>NC_000008.11:131339222-131964222 GCF_000001405.40 Homo sapiens
GTTTAATAAAATCTTAAATAGACTGAAACCAAGTTAACCAGTTTCCTTAATTAGCAAGATAACATGCTTCTAATTTGCAAAGAAAAAAGAAAATCACAAGAAAATATGCCGACATCTATCTCTTATTAAAAACAAAAGTCTAAGAAATACCCTGGGGCCATATTAATTCAATTAGATCCCAAATATCTTTGTATTTCCTCCTGACCTTGAAAATGAAAATTATCACTTATAATTCACTGGGGCTAATTTTTTTTTAAGGGGAGAGAGAGAGAGAGAGAGAGAGAGTGTGTGTGTGTGTGTGTGTGTGTGTGTGTTGGGTGTGAGGGAGACAGGGCTATTGGCATCCAGACATCCTACTAGTAAGATTACTGTTGTCAGGATGCAGTTTGGGAGGAGGTGTAGGGGTAAGAAGAGAGAAGAAACTAAATAAGGGCAAAAGGCTCAGAAAGTTGCAGTAGCATACACTAACATCTGCTTACCATGTGCCACACAGGGCTCTTATGTAAATTCAATTAATCTGCAAAACGACACTGTGAAATACAACCATTGCTGTTCCCATTTTACAGATAAGAAATTGAGGCACAAAAATGTTAGGTAACTTGCCAAAGATCACACAGCTAAAAAGTGCTAGGGCCAGTAGTTCAACTCAGGCAGTCTAGCTCCAGGTACAGATCCAGGGGCGTGATTCATGCATTCTGCATTCTTCAAAATTTTTTTGAACATAGACTCTGACTTAGTGATATATCTAAGGTGAGAACAAATATTGATTTGTCATGTACTATGTTCTAGAAACTTTCTATACTTTCTATTATTTCCTAATACTACCATTTTTCCTAATTCTTCTCCTAATTGAGATGAGTTAAGAACACAAATTAAGGTAATCTTTTTTCCTTTCATTCACATTTTGAAAATTAACTTTATGCTCAGAGGTTTATTGTGTTCCCCAAAGTCACACAGCTCATAAGGTGAAAAGATAAAATTTGATGTCAGGTCTTTTTTACTTTATTTACTTCTCTTGGAATATGAAAACAAATATCCTAGTTACATAAGAAACAGATATTTTACCCAGCATTGATATAACAATTGTGATTTTTGGAGGATACACTTTGTGTCCATTTGGGATCTCTGAGTAATAAACACCAAAATGGAATTCGATGTGCAAGAGGTGTATTGGGGAAATGTCAGTACATGACAAATGGTGAAGAAAGAAAGAATAAGAGAGACACTTCAGGGTGTGATGCAGATGTGGGATCTGTAAAAGGAGAGAGGGAAATGAGGATGATTGGGTAGAAGAGGCCTCAAACTGCTGGGAAATTCTGAGAAAATCTTGGCCAGGCCAATGAAAATATCTCTAGTGAAGACTGACATTAGAGAAATCCTGTGCTGAGTAGAAATGGTCCTGCTGAGTCATTGTCTGTGACCTAGGATCCACTCAGAGATCTTGTGGCATTGTTGTGAAGACTGTGGCAGGTTCAAAGGTAGAACAAATGGTTGTCAACCAACTACATTTCTCACAGCAGTTCTCTTGAAGGAAAATCTGAGTGGTACATTTAATAGGCCACTTCAAATTCTTGTGTTCATGTACACACAAGAAGATAATGCATGGAGATAATTTGTTCACTGTGATATTTACCAATGGACTCTGAATGCAACTTTCCTTCCCATTGGATTCCAGTGCTAAAACAGGAGTGAGGCTCCAGATGTAGAGGGATTTCACTGGATTTGCCCTGGATATTGTCCAAGTTACCTGAAAATATATAAGGGAGTGAACAGTAGGAAAAGACACACACACTCACAAATATTGTTATGCTCATGCATATTGAGTTTTAGGGAAAGCCAGCAGCTGGGCCATGTGGCTGAGCAGTTTTTCTATTTACTTATAGCTGGGGTAGAGACAGGGAGTGTCTGATCCGTAACTATGTAAATCTATTAGTCATCTTGGTCCTATTCCATTATCTGTTGGTGTTTAGTGAGGTTCTCTTAGTGAATGCTGGACTTCCTGGCTGCATCAAGAAGAAACAGAGAAGCAAACTTGTTGTGTATTTTAGAGAGGGGAGTAGTGGCCTTCTGGAGACCTACAAGGCAGAAGAACCAGAGAGAGAGAGAGACAGAGACAGAGGGTGAGAAACAAAGAGACAGAGAGGGCTCAGAAAAGATGGAGAAATCCAGGAACATGTTCTTGTTACTTATATAGCTCTTCCTTTTCATTCATTCATTAAAAAACAATATTTTTGGTCCCATATTGTCCTCAAATCGGTATGTAAGGCCCTGCAGATACAACCATCAACAAGAAATATTACCTATTGGCTGGGCCCAGTGGCTCATGCCTGTAATCCCCACACTTTGGGAGGCCGAGGCAGGCAGATCACTTGAGGCCAGGAGTTCAAGACCAGCCTTGCCAACATGGTGAACCCCCCCATCTCCACTAAAAATACAAAAGAATTAGCCAGGCATGGTGGCATGTGCCTGTAATCCCAGCTACTCAGGAGGCTGAGGCAGGATAATCACTTGAACCAGGGAGGCGGAGGTTGCAGTGAGCTGAGATCGCACCACTGCACTGCAGCCTGGCCCACGGAGCAAGACTCCATCTCTAAAAAAAAGAAGAATAAATATTGCCTATTCTCCAGGAGCTTATAGGTCAGTCAAATCTTCCAAAACCATGGAGGGATTCATGTCTTATTTTAGGGAAGGAGTCTTTGTTCTTGTTGAATTCTTTGAGGAAAGGCAAGGTGATGGAGGAGATGCAGCAGTTTTGTCAGAGTTACCATTATTCCTCTGCATTGTACATGAAAGGTGACAGAGAATATATATGCAAACATCTTAACTCAGAATATTCCCTTCTGCCTTCAAAAGAAAAAAAAAAAAAAGAAAAGATTATTAGAACCACCCAGACAAGGAAAATTCAGTTATAGGATCCCCAACAAAGTTACAGAATTTTCATTCTCTCTCCCTTTCTCTCTCTCTCTCTTCTCCCTCTACTCTCCCTACCCTCTTCACATTTGCTTCTTTTCTGATTAATTATAGAAATGATATTGGACTGGGAAATAGAAGGTCTAAATTGGATCCCAGATTCTCCCCTGCTGAAAAGTAACTTTACTTTTTTGACCCTCAAACTGAATCTCATCATTGTAAAATACCTCTTCACGTAATTCAAACTGTTTACAACATCTGACATTTAACAAGTGCCCAATAAATATTAATTCCTTCTCTCCCTGTTCCCTCCTTTCTTACTTTTTTCCTCTATTGTTTTCTTCAACATGTTTCCAAGGTAAAGTTCAATAATTTTAATGCCATGCATTATTCCTACAAGACATTCAGGTACAAATGCTTGAGGGAAGGTTCTAGTTAAAAGCCTGGATTCATACATCAAAGCTCACACATGCAAAATTGGGCATAGATTGAGTGGTACTTAACTGAGTAAGCATAAGTATAGCCCAAAGGTAAGATCTACAGAACAACTGACAGTTAGTGTCTGCTTCCTGTACCTGTAATTGTTTTTATGCAGTGCCTAGAGTGAGACTCAAGCCAGTGGTAAATAGTACATGCACAGATTTCTGATGCAAACTTTTGTCTCATACCTCAAACATTTGTGATAAATAAAGCTTGGTTGATTTTTCTTCAATGTCATATTTTTATCGGCGGGTCTTTGTTCTTAAGAGCTCCCAAGATGGCGGTGGGCCCACTCCCAAGATGGCGGTGGGCCCACTCCCAAAGATGCGGCAAGTCTTTTGTTCTCTGACCTGGGGTTCTTGGCCTCACGGATTCCAAGGAATGGAACCTTGGGCTATGCGGTGAGTGTTATAGCTCTATTAGAAGCTGTGGGTCATGGAACAGAACCAGCGACTAGTATTCAGCTTGATTAAGATGAACCCGGGCACTTAGCCACGTAGGAACCATAGCGAGCCTCTAGCCCGATCAGGAGCAGCAATGGGTGCCTCCTTGGATCAGAAGCACAGCGGACACCCTGCCGGATCCAGAAGGGTGGAAGTCAGTGGCAGGTCTGTGACAATGGTGATCAGCAGCGGTGGACGGTGAGCGAAAGCTCACCTCAAGCCAGAACAAACACGGACAAGAAGAGAGTGCAGCTGCAAGATTTAACAGAGTCAAAACAGAGCTCTCATACAATGGGAGGGGACCCAAAGGGGGTTGCCTGATCAGGCTTGAATGCCTGGGTTTATATCCCGATCATTGTCCCTCCCCCTGTGCTCTCAGGCAATAGATAATTGACTATTTCTTTACCTCCTGCTTTTAGCTTAATTGGTATTTTAGTGAGCTTTCTTTACTACCTGATTGTTCGGGTGTGAGCTGAGTTACAAGCCCCACGTTTAAAGGTGGGTGTGGTCACCTTCCCCAGCTAGACTTAGGAATTCTTAGCCTAGGAAATCCAGCTGGTCCTGTCTTTCAATATGAATCTGTGTACAAAGCCTTCGGTTCTCACCAGTCACTAGGACTGTATGGATCTCCTAGGTCACCATTACTCTTGGTTTTCTCTGGAAAGCCTACTATGCCTTCTTCCTTCAAAATTATTTCATTTCTCAGCCAGGCATTGTGGCTCATGCCTGTAATCCCAGTACTTTGGGAGGCTGAGGTGGGCAGATTACTTGAGGCCAGGAGTTTGAGACCAGTCTGACCAACATGGCGAAACCCAGACTCACTAAAAATACAAAAAAATTAGCCAGGCATGGTGGTGTGTGCCTGTAATTCCAGCTACTTGGGAGTCTGAGGCAAGACAGTCACTTGAACCTGGGAGGCAAGGTTGCAGTGAGCTGAGATTACACTACCACACTCCAGCCTGGGTGACGAATTGAGACTATCTCAAAAAAAACAAAAAACAAAAAACACATTATCTCATGTCTTGACTCCCTGGTAAAGGTTTTTGTTTCTTCATTGCTATCATGGAAGCTGTGTTTTCTTGTCCCTTTTTAATGCAATTGCAAGGATACTTCTAGGGTTTTCTTTTGATTCACATGATCCTAAAAAGAATTAGGCTTGGCAAGGCTGATAGCCACAGACCCATAAAAACCCCTATTTCCATCACACCTCCTTCCAACATCCTGAATGCTGAGGACTAGACTTAAAAAAAGAACAACTTTCATTCAGTTTACTAATTCACCAAATATATACTGAACGTCTACCATATGCCACATTCTATATGCTCTAATGATAGAGAATAATTAACAAGTCATGCACTAATTCAATATCGTAAATACAAGAAGCTATAAGAGGACAAAAACAAGAATCTAGTCATTATTGAGAGGTGAAGAAAGTTAACAAGAGCAGGTGATATTTGAGCTGTCTTAAAAAGGTACAAATGAGTTTGTCAATCTGACAAAGATGGTGAGAAAATGCATTCCAAACAGAGGAGGAATTATGTAACAAAATTAAAAAGGTCAAAAACACAGCATTTTTGAAAAATAATTAAGGCAAGAGTCAGGAAAGTAAGAAATAAGGTTTTAAAGATAGCAGAAATGATGAAAAATGCCCAGATTTTGTAATGCTCTGCTAGTTTGTCTTTATTCTATAGGCTCTGAGAGCCACTGAAAGTCTTTTAGCTGGTGCATGCATGAATAATCATATTTGTATTTTGAAAATATCTCTCAAGTGGTAAGGAATAAAGATTTTTAGAAGACAAGTACAGAAGTAAATAAATGAGTTAAGTAGTCACTGTAAACAACGCAGGCCACTGGCAATAAAGATAGCCAGGGAGTTGAAGTGAAAGGATTCTTTGGTGGATAAAACACAGGGAGTTAAGGAAAAGTGATTATTTGAGGACAAAGCCCACATTTCTTAAAGTACTTGGGGAAAGCTATTGATACCAAGACAAAATTTAGGCTGATAGTTCTTGAAATGCTAAGACAAGTTAAAATAACCAACATTTATTCAATACTCCCTATGGGTCAAATGCTATTGTCACATGTACTTGCATGTACTGTAAGTAATTACAATTGTGATGAACACATAAAAAGAGGCAGAAAGTAGAATGGGTATTTGTAGCAAAGATATTGAATATAATTTCAGGAATCTTTGATATTGGGGTATGATATTCATCTTAAATTAACCATTACGTATTGGGCTTTCATTACCTGTGAATCTCCTGAAGACGAGGAGAAAATACCCAAGAATTAAGCAATTCACTTGTCCACTTGCCAAGCCCCCGTTCAGAGTTATTAAGTTATACCAAGAACATTCCTAGGAGCTGTTTCTGTGTAGTGAAGATAACAAACAAATAGGTCGGTAAGGATCTGATTTGTCACAACCAGAATCAGGAGACACTGAGAGAAGCTTGTTGTAAGGTCCATGGGTGCCGTGAGTTGCCTCAGGGGTTGTGAATTCTATGCTTACCAATATAATACAGTTCCTGAGCACCTGCTATATGCCTGGAACTGTTCTGAGAGCTCTGTATAATCTCATAATAAACCTTCAAGGTAAGGAAAAACTCTTCCATCTTACTGGTAAAGATATTGAAGCTAAGAGATAAATGACTTTCCCAATACCTTACTGGGAGTTGATGGGGGCCAGAGTTCACTTCAATGCCTGTTTCCAGACTCCATATTCTTTCCAGAACACTATATTGGCTTTATCAATAGTTCAAGAGAGCTCAATATTGCAAATATTGATTAAACATTCTCTTGTGCCAAGCATTGTGTAAGGTTTTTAGGATTCCTGACCCTGAGAAGTGAATGGAATAGAAAGAGCAACAGACATAAGCAGCAATTCAATGCAAAGAAGTGAGTAGAATGCCTGGAAATGAAGAGGGTGGTTTGGAAATATGAACTTAAGCTGGAGTTCCAGAAAGATTTTCTGGAGCATATGATGCCTTAGCTGACTCTAGGAGGATCAGTGAGATTTAGTAAGAAAAGGAAGGTGGGTGAGGCAGGAAGTAAGTGGCTGGAGATGATGTGAATCTTGAAGAAGAGCCTAGACCAGGTCATAGAGAGGCCATGTGAGGGGTCAAGGTCATGGAGAGATTGAATGCTTCACTAACTCCATCTTTATCTTTGGCAATGATTAGCCCTTGATGTGTTTCAACTGAGATTTTTGTTAGATCATTTATGATGCATTCAGAATAATGGATTTTAGGAGTGTAAAGGATGAGTGGAGCGCAAGTGATGAGACTGGAGACAGAAAAACTGGCTAGCAAGCATAACAGACAGCATTTATGTCTCTCCTGCGTCCATTCATCCCTATTTTGGATAAATCTACTCTAATTGTATTCTAAAGAACCACCTCCTCTTTTACTCCCAGTCCATGTGCTTCCATTGGCAGTGTTTTCCTATTAAACTTTAGTGGTGGGCATGTGACTCTGTTTTGGGCAATCAGAGCATTATGCTCTCTTAACTAAACAATGATTGTTTCAGATTTGGACACAGGACTAATTTGAAGTCTATGAGACGCAATGAGACTTCTACCAAGACTGCTGAGTAAGGCAGGCACTTTTTCTATTGAGCATGAATCTAAGAGGGTACAGTCTTCTTGTAGGCAGCTTTCTTGTCACCATGCAGAGTCTGGGAATCAAAGCAACATGGATATGGCAGAGCCAAGAGAGATAAGCACTGTTGTTCAATGCCTGTCAAGTCATACATGAGAACTATTCAGAAGATTTCTTCAGCTAATAAGTTTTACATTTGTTTAAGCCCAAATTGAAGTTGAAATGTCTACTATCTGTGAAAAAAGAAAAAGACAAGAAAAAAATTCCCATCTACAGAAGCCATCTGCAATAATCATGAGGTTTTCAAATATGATATCTGACTATATCACTTCTTTCTAAGCCGCCTCAATTTCCTTACCTAGAAAATAGGTTTGGTTATATAACTTTCAAGGTGTTTCCCTGTCCAACACTGCATGCCGTGCTGAGTTTAATGCAGATACATTTTTTTTGCAGTCACATAAACTGAAAATGCCTCCTCAACACCCATTTGCACTTCCCCAAAGTTGTCTTGGTTCATCCCTGAGCAAAGAACTTTAAATTTAGCCAAGACCCATTAGGGAGATTCATAGCTAAAGGGAAACTTTCAAATGGCTTCCCAATTATCCTCCTTTCAGGAGAAGTTCATGAGAACCCAGAGCTGACTATATACATCCTCTTCCCTTCACAGTAAGGAAGATTGTTACATGAAAAATTCATTAGTGCTTTGGGTCTCAAATGCTTAGTTCCCCTGCCACAGAGGGTTCATAACTCCCACTGAAAAGACAGTGAATTTAATCTGCCCAGAAGAATTCACCTCTGAATACTCAATCTTGCCAAAACATATACATTTGCTTCTTTGTGACATTCTCCATACCATTACCTGTCTCTTTCCTTTTGTTTGTAGCAATAAGAACATGGAGTGATTATTAACAGATGGTGCAAAATGGAGATTAATTTGAGTTATATGGCATCATCCACAGAGCAGAATTTAAAGTCATGAGCCTATACTTTCATGCATAGCAATAGTGCGGTGGGTTACATCTCCCTAGTGCATTTGGAAGCGAGAAAAAACTATCTCCTTTATGATTCAGGCGTGATGGAAATCCTCCCTATACTTGCTTAATGAAGTCATGCCTCATAGTTTTCAGATAGCATATTCCATTTGATTCAATTCCTTCAGCATTACTGAGCTCTGTTTTAGATGCTGCAAATATAAACATGAAAAAGATGTGATTCCAGTCCTAGTGAAACTCAAAATTTTGTGGTGGAGAGAGGCAAGTACACACATACTTAGAGTCCAGCATAGCAAGTACAACGAAAAGGGCCTGTGAAAGTACAGGCATTATACAGAGAAGGGAATGATGAACTACAGTGGAAAGAGCTGGAAGAAACAATACCTGGGATGGATTCTGAAAAATGAGGTGGAATAAACGAACGTGGCAGAGGCTATTATTGTACTACCAGGAGAGAGACCAGCACATGCAAAGACATAGAGACATGATGCAGATTGGCACTTTGCTGATGAAAAGTGGTTCATTGGCAGCAGGGTAAAGTGCCAAGAGAGGGGCTGTAATAGGAGAGGAGGCTGAAAAGACTCGAGTTCAGCAGGAGGAGAAATAGGAGGCAACTTTGATGCAATAGTCTACAGAAAGGCCTGAACAACAGCAGTTGTGGTAGGAATGGGAACTGGAGGCATCGGAGACACATTAGGAAGTAGGGCTGGAAGGGTTGGGTGACTAAGTACTGTGGGGTTGGAGGTGATAGAGCAGGAAGAGTCAAAGAAGCCTTGTAGGTCTGTCTCAAAAAGCAATCACACTTGCAACATGCCTTCCTTGAGCACACATTTTCATCTGCTTTGGGCTCTGCAACAAACTTAGCAGGGCTCCTCTTTTGCTATACAATTGGCCCATCATTTCAGGAACTGAAATTTTCAAATAAAATATTTGAAATGTAATTTTCAAATAAAATATTCAGAAGCCCTCTTAACCTTACACCTAAACCAAGTTTCCTAAGTTTATTAAAATAAAATAAGTTTCCTAATTTTATTAAAATAGGTGAAAATTTCCATCCCCATCTGCCCGACTCCTGTATCTGTATGTTATTTTATTTGGAACTTGGGTGAGGAAGAGAGGAGTACTCCTCATAAGCTTCTTCAAACACCAAAATCTGAGTCCAGATTTCCTTTCTCAACCACACTCAGCCTTCTCTTCATTCATTTATTTAAAGAATGAAAATGTTATTGAAGTAAAAATTGAGATCTCCAGTGCTGTTGTGTTTCCCCTTCTGCACTGGGCTCCCTGGCACACACCATCTCACTTCCAAAGCATTCCATTCTCCAGCCCTCTGACTTGGCGTAACTACATACAGCACCCCTGAGTTTGTAGAATTCACTCCGTAATGAGCGACTTGGCTGGTGTTTCCTATTCCTCAGCCAACCATATCATAGATGTTTATTTGCAATGAGCCTTTTCTCAATTTTCCACAATTAATAAGGTTTGGCCACATAGTGGGCATCAAAAATAAAAAGATTCCAAATTATTCCATTATCATCTGAAGGAATTAAAATTACTTTCCAGCTGGGTGAAATGATTTCTGAGGGTTTCCTAGGAGGGTTTAGTTGAATATGTCTTGAAACTGATGATAAACCTAGTAAGCTTAATGATCATTCAATACGTCTTAAAACTTAAAACTACTTCTCCAATGGTGTCAAATGCATGCAACTCTTGACTGTTGTAGAAAAGAATCCAGAGATCCCTGCCAACAGAATTCTGTGCATTTAGACTTCTCTTGCTGTTTTTCACTCTATGGGCTTAAGACATAAAATTCAGATTTCTGTTATCACAAGTTGATTTTTACCCAGTGCCCAAGGGTTGGGGATTAAGTGAATATTTTCAGAGTTTCTAATATATACTATATTTTTAGCTTGAAATACAGTATCTTATTCAATTTTCACATATAACTTTTAAAGGTAAAGGAACCAAAGCTCTGAGAGGTTAGGTGACTTGCCTGATGTAACATAAGCTAGTAAGTCTTAATGTAGTAACTGGGAACCAGGGCTTCAACACCCGTATTCTTTGCAAATAAAAAAATACTGCCCTCAATAAAATGTTTTCTGGTCTAAAATGTGAAATGTGCAATGATGCAGTAATGGGTTTAAATTCTCATGAGGCCTCCATTTTAAACTGTGCATTCTGAAATTAGAAGTGGGCAACCTTATCAATGGACAGCTTTTTATAGAAGGAATTAACATATTAGAGAAATGTAAAAAGAGTCAAATCACATTCAGTTATAAGCATGGAAAAAAATTACCCATTCCATATTTAGGAAAATGGTACCATATTAGACAATTCTGGTCAAGTACATCTCTATATCCAAAACTGGAAAAAACCTTTTTATTACAATGAATTTGTTCATGGAACTTGAGGTACATCAGAGAAACAGCATAATATTTTATGTGTGTCAGCTCAGAGAAAGAGAGTGTAATCATTGCGTTTAAGTCAATAATGACAATCAAACTCTGTAGCATCTTTCTATGTCAATAAAAATAATGATTCCCTTGAACATATATATGGCTATTCATTTAACAACTTCCATTAATGTAGGTTTATTTGATCGCCACAAAAGTGCTAGCAGGAATTAACATCTTGCTTTTAGCAAAAACAAAATTGAGACTTTTAGAGGTCAAATGCTATATTTGGGCCACAGCAGGTAACTAGCAATGCTGGGGTTGGTGTCTTGGGTTTTGACTCCTGAGCTCTCCCCTCTAGCACCTACTGCTTCCAGAAAATTACTTTTCCAACTTGTTCGACTCTTTAAAGAGCATTTGGACTCTATTAGATCATTTTATAGTCCTAGAATGATGTGAGTTCCTGAAGTTGTCTGATGAATAACATTTCTCTTCTCCACTCAGGTTCTGAAAAGATTGATGAAGGAAAAAAAAATTCCTTGACCAAAAAAGCACTAAATTCCCCCTTCATTACTGAAAAAGACAGAGCTGGAGCATGTATCTTGGAGTGGGCCTGCTGTCTAAACATCAGGATTAGACTAAATTACCCACAGGGTTATAGGTCACCTTCCATAGGGGCAGGCATCCCAGGCTGGGAAGAGTCTGCCCCTGAAGGAGGAGCGGTAGAATGTGGTGTCAGAAAGCACAGTTTCAGGGAGAAGAAGGGACGGGCTGAGCTGATCATGCCCGATTTGATTTATGATTCCCAAATTTACCAGTAAGTTAAATCCCTCTGCCTCCTTTGGGGAAAAATAAATAAAAGGGTAGAGCCTATTACAGCCGGTAAAGCTCCAAATCTTTATAAGAAATATAATACTTAGGAAGAAATAAGTAAAGCCTGGCAGTCCTGTATGCTGTTCACTCATTCATTTTTTATTTATTTGTTTATTTTTTTGAAACGGAGTCTCGCTCTGTCACCAGGCTGGAGTGTAATGGCACAATCTCAGCTCACTAAAACCTCTGACTCCCTGGTTCAAGCGATTCTCCTGCCTCAGCCTCCGTAGTAGCTGTGGTTACAGGCATGAGCCACCATGCCCAACTAATTTTTATATTTTTATTAGGGACGAGGTTTCACCATGTTGGCCAGAAGAGTCTCGATCTCCTGACCTTGTTATCCACCCACTTTGGCCTCCCAGAATGCTGGGAAAACAGGCATGAGCCACTGCACTGGGCCCACTCTTTCATTCTTTTATTTATCTATCCAGTGTTTACTGAGTGCTTTCTCTGTGCCAGGCACTGGTGACACCAAGACAAATGATGCCATGACAGTCCTTGCCTTCCAAGAGGATAATTTCCAGGCAGGAATATAAACACTATTAACAAGTAAACAGTCAACCAGATGATCTCCCCAACTAATACAGGCTATCAAACAAATGATGCCTGCTATTGTAATAGAGTGACTGGGGAGGTGCCTGCTTCATCACCTTTCTCTTATCCTTGATGCCAAGTGGACAGGACAGCAGAATGGGCTTAGTGTGGTTTTATGTCCTTGTGTGAATCAATTTCTTCAAGCCTAAATTTTTCTTGTCCTCAGCCACCTCTCTTCACAACCTCCAATAATGAGGCTCATCCTGGTCCCCAGATATTGAGATTAAATTGTTTAACATTCAGATTCTCAGTACCCATGCTACATCCTCCCCACGGGAGTATCTGAGACCATGGTCCCCAGAATCTGCATCCTTGACAAGTCCTACAGCTAACACAGGTGATTCTTGGATCACATGTTGTACAAAGTTGCTCCAGGGATGTAAGCAGCTCTAACCCTAACTGGGCATCAAATCTTTTTAAGTAAAAGTCTCACCTTTTCATAGTTTTGATATTTGTGGAAATCCTGGATCTGCAGCTGTGTAGACTTTAGAATATTGTTCAAACTTGCTTTGCCTAAATTTTCTTTGCGTAAGTTTTGCCTAAGTTTCTTTGCCTAAGACCTTATCTCTCAAGATTGGTTCATCTATTAAAAGAAAGAATATTCATGAAATGGCCAAGTGACTAGAGTCTCGCAGGTACATACAAATATGTGACAAGTCAAAGAAGAAATGGATGAATATATTTATGGCATGCCTTCAAAACCTTGTTCCATTTATGGGGCCTTCTTTTATTTCTGTGCCTGAGTTTATTCTTAGTGACAGCCTGACATTACAGAACTTCATAAACCAATGGCCCAGTTTTTGGACCCTAACCAGGGCCTCAACCTCAAACTAATCACTGGTTCTGTTACCTGCTTACAGATGCCTCATCTCAGTACTAGCCAGGAGTCAGCATACCATCTCCCACTTGCTCAGTGTTGGCATTGCTTTTGGGGGAATGTCTTCTTAGAAGAACTTATACCATTTTCACAATCTACATGCTGAAGTTTGAAAACTTATATATTCACTATTGTAGTGTATATACCATGAGGCTCAACATTTTGCTCTTAGTGTTTGTTTGGCTTAGAAATATAACAGCAGCAATATAACACCAGCACTCGGGCAACATTGGCACCCAGAGGCAACTGTTTTCATTCTGTGTTGAAGCCTGTGCATGACTCGGGTCTTTGATCTGTGAGACAATGCTTAACAGAAAGCACTTGGTTCATCTGTTATGAAAATGGGTTGGAAAGTGAAAAAAGAAAATCTTGGTTGGTGCTACAAAAAAATTTAAAAAGTTAAAAAAAACACTTCAGAAAAGCACGGTGCCCAGGATTTTAGGAAGGAGTTTTTGAGAAGAATAAAGAGCATAGTCCCTTTACCAAGAATGTTTTGTCATCTAGGTCAGGATCTTTTTACTTACTGAATGTGTCCTTTATGTTTCCTCTCTAAAATTATTAATTAAACTTTATTTATTAAGAGTTGGTGGGTACAAAGATTAAGAAAATAGGTTCTGAAGACAGAATATGGGTTAATTACAGAGAGACCTTGGGCAAGCCATTTATCCTGTACCAACATCAATTCTCTCATCTGTAAAAGGGGAGTCATAGTAAATAGGACACAAGGTCCTGGTTGCTTACGGGAGTAGATAGACATACAACAGTTGGCAGAGTGGCTTCTTCGGAGTGAGGGCTCAATACGTGTTTGCTACCATCATAATCACCTGCTCTTCAATTCTTTGAGGTTGGGTTACACCCACTTCTCAGAGTCCCCTGGAGAGGGTAGATAGTAACATATTTCCTTCTCCAGATAATTCAGGTTGATGACTAATTACATGTCATGTATCAGAAAGCTGCTTCCTGAGCTTCTGATATAAAAGAGTACCTTTGCCTCCAATGGTCTCTTTTTGCCCCTTACTTTTATGTATTTTTCCCCATAGCACTTATCACTCGTAGTCACATTATGTAATTATTTGTCTTTTGTCTGTATCCCCACACATAAATGTATAAGTTTCATGAAGGCAGGGACTTGTTTCACTCACTGCTCTTTTTCCAGGGTCTGACTCACAGTAAGCACTTAAAGAATATTTGAAAGTGAAGGAAAGAACAATCTGTGTGTCTTGAAGACACAAAGGGAATGGCAAGCACTGTTCATCATAGTTATATTATTATTTAACATGAAAGTAAAATTGGAATCAACTGGGGTAAGAGTAGTAAGGGATATTTTTTTCTGCCTGCTCTCATTATCTGATCTTTGTACTTGCTTTCAGGTCACACATGGTGCAGTCCTGTTTCATTGCTTTAGAAAGACTGCTACCTCCTTTATGCTGGAAACAAGAACCATCTCAACAGATATGCAAAATATGAGTAACCTCAAGAGGCAAAAGAGCTTCTTGATTGAGTATGCACATGCCAACACCAGACTGGCAGGTTTTGAATCCAATTTAGACACTTACCAACATTGAGATCTTGACATACTCCAGTGTTCTTATCTGAAGAAATGATTATAATCAATAATTACTTTGTAGAAAGTTTTGTAAAGATTAAAGGAGATGTTGTATAAAAAGCATTTAGTACTATGACTAGTATATGTTAAGCACTCAATAACCATTAGCTGGTATTATTAATATTGTCTTCAAAGCACAAAGTCACATATCCTGGTAGTGGCGTAATGTGAAAGGCCAAAAGATCTAAACAAAGCATGGTTTGGATCATTTTTCTTGTCCATCAATTTTAAGATACTTTTTTTTAAGTCTTAACATCTCTGAAATTAGAATGGATTTTACAATTGCTTACAGTAAGGCAGCAGTCAAGACTTAGATCTTATTGCCTGGGTATATGCATCAAAACTTGCAGAAGGGGCATCAACAGGTTGGAAGCAAATTCCAGGAATAATAATAGAGCATCTTTGGAGAAATTTCGCATTTCCAACACAGGAATCACAGAGGATATTGTAAGGGAACAAAAAATATTTTAAAGACTTGGGTCCAAATGTGATTTTGAAAAATCAGGTATTATGAAGAAATTTTAGGAGAAACTTAACCAATACATTTCACTTTGTCTTTCCTTTTTATGTGTGCACATAAGTGACAGTAGATGAAAATCTATTTCTTCTAAGTATAAAAGTGATTGTTAAGTATAAAATAAAAATGTAAATGGTAAGAAAACATTGTTGTATCACTTAATTAGCACATTTTTCTTTACTAAACACATAATGGTGTCACTTACAATTGATGGCATTTTATTTATTTTTTTTCTTTTTAACTCTTATTTTAGGTTCAGGGAGTATATGTGCAGGTTTGTTACATGGGTAAATTGTATGTTGTAGGGGTTTGGGGTACAGATTATTTCATCACCCAGGTACTATGCATTGTACCTGAGAGGTAGTTTCTGAATCCTCACAGTTCTACCACTCTTTACCCCAAGTAGGCCCTGGTGTCTACTGTTCTATTCTTTGTGTCCATGTGTACTCACTGTTTAGCTACCACTTATAAGTGAGAATATACAGTATTGGTTTTCTGTTCCTGCATTAATTCTCTTAGGTTAATGACCTCCAACTCTATTCATGTTGCTGCAAAGGACATAATCTCATTTTTATTGCTGTATAGTATTCAATGGTGTATAGGTACCACATTTTCTTTATCCAGTCTACCATTGATGGGCAAATATTCCATGTCTTTGCCATTGTGAATGTGCTACAATGAAAATACATTTTCATATGTCTTTATGGTACAACAATTTATATTCATTTGAGTGTATACTCAGTAATGAGATTGCTGAGTTGAACGTTAGCTCTGTTTTATTTGAGAAATATCCAAATTGCTTTCCACAGTGGCTGAACTAATTTACATTCCTACCAGTGGTGTATAAGCATTCCCTTTTCTCCACAACCTCAGCAGCATCTCTTATTTTTTGACTTTTTAATTATAGCCATTCTGAGGTATGAGATGGTATCTTACTACGGTTTTGATTTGCATGTCTCAGTGATTAGTGATGTTGAACATTTTTTTCATATGCTTGTTGACTGCATGTATATTTTCTTTTGAGAAGTGTCTCTTCATGTCCTTTTTCTATTTTTTTAATGGGGTTGTTTGTTTTTTGTTTGTTGAGTCAGTTAAGTTCCTTACAGATTCTGGATATTAGACCTTCGTTGGACACACAGTTTGCAAATATCTTCTCCTAATGTGTAGGTTGTCACTTTACTCTGTTGGTAATTTCTTTTGCTGTGCAAAAGCCCTTTCGTTTAATTAAATATCACTAGTCAACTTTTGTTTTTGTTATAATTGATCTTGGAGCTTCATCATGAAATCTTTGCTATGGCCTATGTCCAGAATTGTATTTCCTAGTTTTTCTGCTAAGGCTTTTTATAGTTTTAGGCCTTACATGTAATTTTTAAATTTATCTAGAGTTGACTTTTGTATATGGTGAAAGCAAGGGGTTTAGTTTCAATATTCAGCATATGGTTAGCCAGTTACTTCACTACCATTTATTGCATAGGGAGTCCTTTCCCATTGCTCGTTTCTGTTGATTTTGTGGAAGATCAGATGCCCGTAGGCATGTGACTTTATTTCTGAGTTTTCTAGCCTGCAGCATTGGTCTATATATCTGTTTTGTACCAGTACCATGCAGTCTTGGTTAGTGCAGGGATATAGTTTAGTTTGAGGTTGGGCAGTGTGATGCTTCAGCTTTGTTCTTTTTGCTTAGGATTGTTGTGGCTATTTGGGCTCTCCCTAGGTTCCATGTGAATTTTAGAAAAGTTTTTTTTTTTTCTAATTCGGTAAAAAAATGTCATTGGCAATTTGTTAGAAACAGCATTAAAGCTGTAAACTACTTTGAGCAATATGGCCATTTGAACAATATTGATTCTTCCCACCCATGAGCATGGAATGTTTCTCGATTTGTTTGTGTTGTCTCTAATTTCTTTTAGCAGTGTTTTATAATTCTCATTGTAGAACAATTTCACCTCTCTGGTTAGCAGTATTTCTAAATATTTTTGTGTGATTGTCTGTGTGGCTTGAATGGGATTGCATTTTTGATTCAGCTCTCTAATTGGATGTTGTTGATATACAGAAATGCTACTGATTTTCATAAATTGATATTGTATCCAGAAACTTTGCTAATATTGTTTATCAGATCTAGGAGTTTGGGGGCAGAGATTATGGGGTTTTGTAGGTATAAAATGATGTTGTCTGAGAAGAGGAATACTTTGACTTCCTATTTGGATGCCTTTTATGTATTTCTCTCACCTAAGTGCTCTAGTTACAACTTCCAGTATCACGTTGAATAGGAGTGGTGAGAGTGGGCCTCCTTGTTTTGCTCTGGTTCTCAAGGGGAGTGCTTCCAGCTTTTGCTCATTTAGTATGATGTTGGCTGTGGGTTTGTCATAGAGGGCTCTTATTATTTTGAGGTATGTACCTTCAATGACTGGTTTGTTTAGGGCTTTTTAACATCAAAAGATGTTAAAATTTTTTTTTTTTTTTTTTTTTTTTTTTTTTTTTTTGAGATGGAGTCTCACTCTGTGGCCCAGGCTGAAGTGCAGTGGCATGATATCTGCTCACTGTAACCTCCACCTCCTGGGTTCAAGTGATTCTTCTGCCTCAACCTGCTGAGTAGCTGGGATTACAGATGTGCACTGCCACGCCCAGCTAATTTTTGTATATTTTTAGTAGAGATGGGTTTTCACCATGTTGCTCAGGCTGGTCTTGAACTCCTGAGCTCAGGTAATCCACCGGCCTCAGCCTCCCAAAGTGCTGGGATTACAGGCATGAGTCACCACACCCAGCCTGATGTTAAATTTCATTGAAAACCTTTCCTGCGTCTATTGAGATAATCATGTGGTTTTGGTTTTTAGCTCTGTTTATGTAATGAATCACATTTATTGATTTGTATCTGTTGAACCAATGTTTCATCCCAAGAAGAAAGCCTACTTGATTATGGTGAATTAGCTTTTTGATGTGCTACTGTGTTGGGAACAGGCCCCCCAAAACCTGGCCATAAACTGGCCCCAAAACTGGCCATAAACAAAATCTCTGTAGCACTGTGACATGTTCATGATGGCCATGACCCCATGCTGGAAGGTTGTGGGTTTACTGGAATGAGGGCAATGAACACCCGGCCCACCCAGGTCGGAAAACTGCCTGAAGTCATTCTTAAACCACAAACAATAGTATGAGCGATCTGTGCCTTAAGGACATGCTCCTGCTGCAGATAACTAGCCGAACCCATCCCTTTATTTTGGCCCATCCCTTTGTGTTTCCTATAAGGGATACTTTTAGTTAATCCCATTTCCCATAAGGGATACTTTTAGTTAATCTAATATCTATAGAAACAATGCTAATGACTGGCTTGCTGTTAATAAATAAGTGGGCAAATCTCTGGGGCTGTCAGCTCTGAAGGCTGTGAGACCCCTGATTTCCCACTTTACACCTCTATATTTCTGTGTGTGTGCCTTTAATTCCTCTAGTGCTGCTGGGTTAGGGTCTCCCCAACCGAGCTGGTCTTGGAACTGCTGGATTTGACCTACTAGTTTATTATTGAGGATTTCTGCATCTATATTCATCAGCGATATTGGACTGGGGTTTTCTTTCTTTTGTGTCTCTGCTTCGTTTTGGTATCAGAATGATGCTGGACTCATAGAATGAGTTAGAAAGGAATCCTTCCCCCTCAATTTTTTGAAATAGTTTCAGTGGGATTGGTACCAGCTCTCCTTAATATATGTGATAAAATTCCACTGTAAATTCATCTGGTCCAGGACTTTTTCTGGTTTATAGGCTTTTTATTACTGATTCAATTTTGGAACTGATTACTGGTGTGTTCAGGGTTTCAATTTCTTCCTGGATAAATACTGAGAGGTCTTATGTTTCCAGGAATTTATTCATTTCTTCTAGGTTTTCAGTTTGTGTGCAAAGTGGTGTTTGTAACCATCACTGAAGTTTTTTTGCTTTTGGTATTTCTGTGGTGTCAGTGGTAATGTCTCCTTTGTTATTTCTGATTGTGTTTATTTGGATCTTCTCTCTTTTTTTTTACTTGGCTACCAGTGATCTATTAATTTTATTAATTCCTTCAAAGAACCAATTTGTGGTTCTGTTGATCTTTTGTACGTTTTCTTGCATCTCAATTTCATTCAATTCAGCTCTGATTTTGGTTATTTCTTGTCTTTTACTAGTTTTGCGTTCGTTTACTTTTGTTTTTCTAGTTCCTGAAGGGGTGATGTTTGTCTTTGATTTGAGAGCTTACTAACTTTTTGATGTGGCCATTTAATGCTGTAAACTTTCCTCTTAACACTGTTTCATCTGGGTATGTACCATGACAACAGGGAGCTGCACCCTTCAGCTGAGCTCACACAGAAGCAGGTCCACTGGTCTGGAGGCTCCAGCAGGTGTTGGCCTCCTGGCTGTCAGTGGTGGGGATGGATGAGGTCTTGGGCTCTGCTGTCTGGGTGTTTCCTGTGACAACAGGAAGCTGTACCCTACAGCTAAGTTCACACAAATGTATGACTTCTGGGCTGGAAACTCTAGCAAGTGTTGCCTCTTGCTACCAGTGGCAGAGGTTTAAGGGGTGGCCAGCCAAGTTCAGGACAAAGCAGGACTACTGAGCCAGAAGTTGCTGAGCCCTGGCCAGCAAACAGTGGTGGAGTGATATTACTGCTCTCTGGTACCACAACTGTGGCCACTATTGCACTATTGGGGTTGTGGCACTGGTGCTGGTCTGCTGTAAGTCCCAAGGCCTCTGGAGTTCCCCTTGGACTTGTGATTTGCCCCCATAAAACATCCAGGTGGCTCTGCCTCAGTCTAGAAGCATGGTGGGAGGGTGCAGGAGGATCCAGGGTGATTCTCCCATTCCCAGTCTTGTGCAGGCCTCTGTGGAGAGCAACAATCCTTCTGGGGGCTCTCACTTACTCACCCTTTCCCATGTTGAAGAGGTACTCCTGACTCCATATTGAGTCCAGGTGGCCTGGGGCCCAGCTTTGCTCCTCTCTATTTTCTGTGTTGCCCTGCTGCTCTGATAAATCTCAACATGGTTTTATAGATGATCAGCCTGCAGGGTCCATGTTCACTGGCCCTTTTGCTTCCTCTCTGTGAGGGTGGTGCATGCGAGCTGTTTCTAGTCTGCTCTCTGGGCCCTGCCTTCAATAGATCTTCACATTATTAATCTCTATTTTGTATTATTCTGTGATCCAAGAGCATGGTTGGTATGATTTTGTTTTGCTTTTGAATTTGTTGAGAATTGTTTTATGACTGAGCAGGTAGTCAATTTAAGAGAATATGTCATGTGCAGATGAGAAGAATGTATATTCTATTATTTGGTAGAGTGTTCTGTAGATGTCTGTTAGGTCTATTTGGTCAAGTGTCAAGTTTCAGTCCCAAATATCTTTGTTAATTTTCTGCATCAATGATCTATCTAATATTGTCAGTGTGGTTTTGAAATATTCCAGTATGATCGTGTAGTGATCTAAATTTCTTCCTAGGTCTCTGATAACTTGTTTTATGAATCTGGGCTCTCCATTGTTGGGTGAATATATTTTTAGGATAGCTAAGTCTTTTTCTTGAATTGAAAGCTTTGTCATTATGTAATGCCATGCTTTGGCTTTTTTTGATCATTGCTTGTTTCCAGTCTGTTTTGTCTGAAATTAAAATAGCTATCCCTGTTCTTTTTTTGCTTTTTATTTGCTTGGTATATTTTCCTCCATCTCTTTAGTTTGAGCGTATGGGTGTCATTGCTTGTGAAATGGGTCTCTTGAATATAGCATATAGTTTGTTCTTGCACCTTCATCCAACTTGCCACTCTGTGCCTTGTAAGTGTGGTGTTTTGCCTATTTATATTTGAGATTAATATTGATATATACAGATTTGATCCTGTCATCATGGTATTTGCTGGTTGTTCTGTAGACATGATTCTGTAGTTACTTCATAGCGTCAGTGGTCTATGTACTTAAGAGTGTTTTTGTGGTGGCTAGTAGTGGTCTTTTGTTTTCACGTTTAACACTCCCTTAAGGACGTCTTGCAAGGCAGGTCTGGCAGTAACATTTTCCCCTAGAATTTGCCTGTCTGAAAAGGATTTTATTTCTTCTTCACTTATGAATCTTAGCTTGGATAGATATGAAATTATTAGTTAGAATTTCTTTTCTTTAAGAAAGCTGAATATAGGCCCCCAACCTCTTCTAGCTTGTAGGATTTCTGCTGAAATGTCCACTGTTAGCCTGATGGGATTCTCTTTGTAGGTGATCTGTCCCTTCTCTCTAGCTGCCTTTAATATTTTTTCTTTTGAGTTTACCTTGGAGAATCTGATGACTATGTGGAAGGTTTTTTATATAACTCACAGGGGTTCTCTGAATTTCCTGAATTTAAATGTTGACCTGAGGTTGGGGAAATTTTCAGGGACAATATCCTCAAATATGATTTCCAAGTTGCTTGCTCTCTAACTCTTTCTTTCAGGGATGCCAATAAGTCATAGGTTTGGTCGTTTTACATAACCCCATATTTCTGAGAGGTTTTATTCATTTTTTAATTCTTCTTTCTTTATTTTTGTCTGATTGAATTGACTTGAAGAACCAGTTTTTGAGCTCTGAGATTCTTCCTTCAGCTTGGTATATTCTGCTGTTAATACTTCCAATTGTATTATGAAATTTTTATAGTGAGTTTTTCAGCTTCATGAGATCAGTTTGTTCTTTCTTAAAATGACTATTTTCTCTTTCGTCTCCTATATCCTTAGATTCCCTGGATTGAATTTCACCTTTCTTTTGAATCTCAATGATCTTCGTTGTGATCCAGATGCTGAATTCTTTGTCTGTCATTTCAGCTATTTCAGATTGGTTAAGAACCATTGCTAGAGAGCTAGTGCAGTCATTTGGAGGTAAGAAGACACTCGGGCGTTTTGAGTTGCCAGCGTTCTTGCACTAGTTCTTTCTTATCTGTGTGGGCTGATGTTCTTTTAATGTTTGAAGTTTCTGTCCTTTGGATGGGGTTTTTTGCTTTTATATTCTCTGATGCCCTTGAGTGTTCAACTGTGGTATAAGTTGGGTTCATTCAACTGGCCTGCTTTCTGGGCAATTTCAGAGGACGAAGACCCAGCTCAGCACTGCTGGACTGTGTACTTTACTCCTAGGGGGCTGGGTCCAGACCCACAGTTTTGTTCTCTGGCCCCTTGAGGTTAAGCTCCTCCTCTTCTGGAAAGCATGTGGTGTTCCCAGTCCACTGGCAACAACACTCTCATGGACTGGCAGGGACAGAGGGTGGGCAGCAAGAGCTCTTCATTGAAGTGGTGGCAGTGGGTTCCACACATGTGCATGAAAGGCATTTTAGATGCAATGAAATTGTACAGGTTCCCATGGAAAGCTACAGGGAGTACATTGGAGAATACAATGTTATTCTTAAAATATTTGGAGATAATTTACCCTTCAGAGAATGATTCCTGTGATATGATAAATGTAATGCAACCAGTTAAATCTTCAAAGATTATTCTAACTTAATATATTTAACTATGTGCTACTACATGATTTTTAGGCTCACAGTTGCAGGAGTAATTATCTTTGGTACAATAATGAATATGTACTTTTGAATGAATTAGTAGCATATGTTGGTGAGAATGTGGAGAAAAGGGAAGGCTTATACATGGTTGGTGGTAATATATATATTGGCACAACCTCTATGGAAAACAGTAGGAAGATTTCTCAAACAACTAAAAATAGAACTAGCATTTGATCCAGAAACCCCACTACTGAGTATCTAACCAAAGGAAAAAGTCATTATGTAAAAAATATATATGCATTTGTGTGTTCATGGCACACTATTCACAACTGCAGAGATATTGAATCAACCTAAGTATACATCAATGGATGACTGGATAAAGAAAATGTAGCATATATACATAATGGAATACTATTCTGCCACAAAGGGAATAAAATGTCTTTTGCAGCAACATGCTTGGAACTGGAAGCCATTACCTTAAGTGAAACAACTCAGAAAGAGAAAGTCAAATACCACATTTTCTCACTTATCGGTGGAAGCTAAATAATGTATACATACGGACACAGAGTATGGAATGACAAACATTGGAGACTCAGAGGGTGAGTGGGTAGGAGCAGGATGAGGGATGAGAAATTATCTAATGGGTACAGCATACACTATTTGGGTGATGGTTGCACTAAAAGTCCAGGCTTCACCACCATGCAATATATCCATGTAACAAAACTGCACTTGTACCACTTAAATTTGCACAAAAAAAGAAAAATAATATAAACCATGGTTTATCTTTATAATCTGAGCACTTTCTGGTTCAAGAAGAAATATAAGTTCTACATTTTATTTATTTATTTATTTTTTGAGATTCCGTGACTTGGCTCTTTCAACCCATCCAACTCTATTCCTGTCGCTTCTTAGTTATGTATCTTCTCTAAAGTGACCCTGATATATATCTAAGAATAAAATGCGGAGCTACTAAAAATTATGCTTGGGCAATATGTACAAATGGGATTATCCCAGGAAAATAGAATGTATGTTAACCCTTATTATTGTTTCAGTTGGAATAATTTTTCTAGTTAATTATACAAAACACCTACCCCAGTCCCCTCTGGTACCTTTTCTTATATTATGTTTTGCCCTTTCCCTGTTAGGGGTCCATTTTCTACGCCATATGTTTGTATATTGAAAGAACCACAATTTGACTCTAATTTAGGCTCTCCTGGACAGGCGTTCAAATTCTGATTCCAAAGTCAATTATTTTTTCAGCGTTGCCTCTTCGGCAATAAAGTGTTTTTGAATCACTTTATTTTACTATGTTTTTGTCTCTATAACTAGATGACAAACATTTGAGGTAAAACCATTTTTTTAAACATTTCCACAACATTTATCTTAATGGTGAATACATTAGGCAGATATATAATTTATATCTTTGTAAAACTGTGTGTAAATTAAAGTCCTATTATGATAATTTTTGCAGTTCTTCTGGATTAGAAACAGGGTTACAATAAAGCAAACATAGTGATAATTTTCATAACGTCATCTTCTGGGCGTATGATCGTTGCTGATGATAAAGTCTTTTCACTCCATTATCCTACTTCATTTTCACAATGAGGTAAGTACTATCATTCCATTTGATGAATATAGCAATTGAGGCTCAGAGAGGCTTACTGATATCATGAGAGACTATAGAACAGTGAGAAACAGAAGCATTTTAAGGCAAAAACAGTGTCTATTATGTATCGCTTTGAAAAATTCTATTCTCTAATGCTCTGAAATGTACAATCACATAAGAAATAACAAAGTGGCATTTTTAAGGAAAAATATCAACTGCTATAAAAATAGAATTTAAAGTTCAGCTGTGATTTATATATAACCGTGGAGCTTTCCATCAAACTTTTCTTCAGAGGAATTCAGTTGTGTATTTTAACAAACCAGTTTCTGCTGTAAAATAATATTCAAGCAGATTTTGTTTATCAAGCACTTGTTAATAAATCCACTGATAATGATTTATTCATTTAAAACAACATATTATTAGAAAATAAAAATAGCTTTTTGTATAGTAGTAATGCTTGCAAACTCCCAAGAATAATGTATTTTTTCAAAATTTTAGTTTGGAAATAATAAAATGTAGGAATAATACAGGTTTTTCAGTAATTAACATCTTATCATTTATTATGAGGCACTTGTGTCTGCACTTTGGAAAAATGGACATAAAATGTCATAAAAGGTAAAACAAAAATGGAAATAAAAATAAACATGGAGGAAAGAATTTTGAGAAGAGCCAAAGGATGACACCACAGGGACCTGAGTTAATGGCATGTCAACAACAGCCATCTGGAGTGAGTCTGAGTCTGGAAGGTGGAGTGCTCTCTAAATAGACAACACTGGCATCTGGTAGCCAAGTGGGAGCACAGAATGGAGTAACGGAATCATAGACATGGGAAAGTGACCATAATGCTAACGGTCCCAAAGTTCTCATAGTCACGGCCCTTGCTTTCGGCAGGTAATTTCTTCTCCAACTCTACCTGGACCCTGCCTTAACAAAGGCCATGACCTTGCTTTTCAGACTGCAGAAACCACCAGAAATCCGGATGCTGTTCCAGCACAATGCCAGATGCCATCCAGAGGAAAGATTATTCCTAGCACTGCAGCCTATGCCTGACTAAGGAGTAATTCCCTGGGATCATGTCCTTGGTCTTTCCCAAGGCTAATCCTATAGTCTGTTGTCTCTTAGTCCACAGTATCTTAAATGTGAGCACAATTTCTTGCTGTCAGTAAACCAAAGACACTCACACTACCACACCCATGTCAAATCTCATGACGTGAGAATCTCCTCCTAATTTCTACTTGGAAGAAAAATAAAGTACTACCACTGCCTGAAAGTTAGATTTCCTTGGTTTAACTCCTGATTGTACCATGGTCTATGTTGGCCTATGACCACCCCCACAGCACTCTCACGCATAACTGACTGTGTATGTGAATGTTGGGCTTACTCTGATGTCTTCTCTGAAGGCTTTTAGGGTAATATGGAATATTCAAAAGTGGACTGTAACTTTGCACCATTAATTACTTGAGGGCCATCAAGTTCTTAGAAAAGTAAAATGAGAGCTCAGAAGGCAAATCCTAGTGATATGGGAAATGAGATATCCCTCTGTCCTCTGTGTATCAATCGCTTGTGTCTAGACATTATGGAGGGTGGGTGGTGAAGCTGTAATACCAGATAAGGATACTACAATGATATCCAGCTCCTGGTGGCAGGTTGGGGGCAAAGAAATGAGAGCATCTCAAAATATCAATGGTCAATTTCTCTTGGAAGCCTAACTAATTAGCTTCACATGGTTTACTGTTTATTATCTACTAAAACATGAAAAAGAAATTCTGTGTGCTCAAATTTTGCTTTAGCTAAGATTCAAAGCATACTATGGAAGGATAAAGGCAGTAACAAGCACAAAAAGAGGAATAATGACGCTTTTTCTTCCTACTACACTTAAATCCCCGAGGTAAAATAGCAGTGACAGCAGCAATTAGTAAGAGATCACCACAGAAGCTCTGAGGTGAATAGGTGTCTTTCTTCATGTGTAGAAATGTTTTTAGCACCAATCCTGAAAGATCTAGCTTTTCTCTTTATACCCACAAGATAGACTTTCCTTTCACTTGATTAACTTGAACTTGATTAAGTTAATAAGTTACAAAAATATTTTGAAGAACAAGTATATTGGTGGCTTTCTAATGTTTTGTTGAAGATCTATAGTGTATAACAGTCTTTAAGGGACAATAAAGATTGATAAAACAAACAAAATCTAAAAATGCAAATGTTTATTAAAATCTAAATAATGGTGCCATTCAAAATGTTCAAATATAAGAATAATTTATATTTGTTCATGAAGCTTTTTTGTCTGCATATGAGGGTTTTATATAATTGAAACTATTGCATAGATACAAGTTTGCATTTTTTATTTCCTCATTTGACATTAAGTTATGAGTTTCTGTTTTGGCACAATGTTTTCTATATCTATTCTTTTTAAAGCCTGAATATTAAAATAAATAGACACACAGATTAGTAGTACAAGTAATGTTTGCCTTTAGCAACATTGCATACAATGTAAATGTGTACATTTTACTCTCAGAAAGTAGGATCCAAATAGCATCTGAAAGACTTTTGCTAGAATGACCTTTAATTTGTTCAGAAGGAAAATCATGTTTAGAAAGATGGAACAAAGCCAAAAAAAACAAACTAGTGCTGAAAAAAGAACTGGAGGGTAACTCCATCTAGAAACCACATTGGAACCTGAGGTTGGTGAAATAACAGAGAGTGGCCAAAACAACTTTCTCCCTCATCTCAGGAGGTCTCAGGCCCTTGGAGAGGAGACAGACTGGTGTTGGCCATTGTGGTGTAGCATGCACAGTATAATATACAGCGTGACCTCAACCACACTTATTTAATAGTTACACATTTATTTTAAAGGGCATTAGAAAAATGTTACCAATATGTCACACATATATAATTTTAGGGACATTATTACTCAGCACAATACAAATAAAAGTGAGCTGATTTAAAGTAAATTTATAGAAAAAATATTAATCACTACTCCATTGTTAACCTGAGTGATAAATAATAAAAGAAGTAAAAGAATGAATCAAGATTGAAAACTTTGATAATAAGTGAGTCAGGAATTCAGAACTGAATTCAGCTCTGCTGCTAGTTAGCTGCATTCACTTGGCTGATTAGTCACCCTAGGCTTCAGTTTTATTATCAATATAACACAAAAATTTTTGCTAGATGATCTCTAAGGTCCTTTCTACCACTATGACTTAGAGAAAAATAAAAGCATTTTTGGGGAAAAGTAGTCTTTTTTTTCCTTAAAAACAACGATCTGAACGTGCTCTATGTTATTGTGCTTTGTCCAGCAGAACATTTGATTAGCTCCATTTTCTCTTGATTGTCCTGTCAACTTCTGAGAGTACTGAATGTCACAGAATCTGCAATTTCACCATTCCCTCTGCATTTAATGGATAATATTTTCAGGTTTTTACTATACTCCCAAGCCATGGCACACCATGTAATCAAATTGATGAAAAACAACCAGGAGAGAAAAAATCTAAAGTAGCTGGAGAAAAAAAAGACATGGTGCATCTAGAGAAATAAGAATAAGAATTCCACTTACTTATCAGAAACAATGCAAATCAGAAGATGATCGGAGTGAATGACTTTTTTTTTTTTTTTTTTTTTTTGAGGTGAAGTCTTGCTTTGTCACCAGGCTGGAGTGCAGTGGCACGATCTCAGCTCACCGCAATCTCCGCCTCCAAGGTTCAAGCGATTCTCCTGCCTCAGCCTCCCGAGTAGCTAGGATTATAGGTGCATGCTGCCACGCCCCCTAATTTTTGTAATTTTAGTGGAGACGGTGTTTCATCATGTTGGTCAGGATGGTCTCCATCTCCTGACCTAGTGATCTGCCCACCTCGGCCTCCCGAAGTGCTGCGATTACAGGCATGAGCCACCATGCCTGGCCCATGAATGGAATTTTTAAAGTGCAAAAATAAAAATAAAATGTGTATCCTAGAATTGTATTCGTCAAAAAAAGATCCTCCAAAGCCAAAGGCAAAATATATTCACAGACAAACATGGGCTGAAAGAATTTGTCACCAGCAGATCTTTACTACAAGAAATATGAAAGTTTCTCAAAATGAAGGAAAATGAAGTAAGATGAAAAATTCAAGAGTGTGAGTGGGGGTGGATGGGAAAACGGGAGATGCTGAGCAGAAGGTACTAGAGGAATAAGCTTTAGTATCTACTACACAGAACAGTGAGCAGAATAAATAATAATACATTACACACTTGAAAATTGCTAAAAGAGTAGAATGTTTTCAACTCAAAAAATGGCATGTGAGGTCATAGGTTTATTAAGTAGCTTGAGTTATTCACATTGTGATCATATATCAAAACATCACATTGTGTAAGTACATATAATATATTATTTGTCAATTAATAAAAAAATTCTATTGTTATTAAAAAATAGAATCCACCAAAAGAATTTAAAGAACTAGAAATGGTAAATATATGGGTAAAATAAATAAAGGGTTAATAATTACCTATTTTTTAAAACCTTTCATGTTCTATCTCAATTTTTAATAATTGTGACCTCAGACTAGATTAATTTTCAGTGAATAAATTGTGATTGATCTCCACACCCTACTGCTTCTTATCTAATGGGGGTTTTATGTATTTGCAATACTCTCAGCTAATTTATTTTCTAATAACTAGGTCTAGTGGTAATGTTTCACTGAGTATGAGGAAGGGGAAGATGGGTGACTTAAAGATATATCTAATTATGGCTGGGCACAGTGGCTCACGTCTGTAATCCCAGCATTTTGGAAGGCCGAGGTGGGCAGATCACCTGAGGTCAGGAGATTGAGACCAGCCTGGCCAACATGGTGAAACCTCGTCTCTATTAAAAAATACAAAAATTAGCTGGATGTGGTGGCAGGCGCCTTAATCCCAGCTATTTGGGAGGCAGAAACAGGAGAATCGTTTGAACCCAGGAGGCGGAGGTTGCAGTGAGCCGAGATCGAGCCATTGCACTCAAACCTGGGGGACAAGAGAAAGACTTCTCTCAAAAAAAAAAAAAAAAAAGATATACCTAATTAGTAAGCTCCTGGCTATGTTCTTATATAATTTTTCCTATAATACAAATAGGTGGGCATCATAACTCCATGTTAGAGATGAGAAATTAGACTCAGAAAGGTTAAGCAGTATGTCCAAGATACAGCTTCTTTGTTTCTCATTTGGTTCTTGAGTCCAAGATTGGAAGTGGGATTGCAGTGTTGTATGATACGTGGAACATAGAGAATTAAGCTCCATGTAATTACTTGCTTATTTCTATGGAACCTATAGAATTATGCTCCATGTAATTATTTGCTTATTTCTATAATATACTGAACTCATTTAATTTCAGCTTCTTTAAAATGCCTTCATATCTGATTAAATAGATCATCCTCCTTTTTCATTCTCCATTTTCAAAATTTATTGACTATTTTATATATGTACTTTGTTTATAATCAGCTATTTTAGTTACACATGTACACACACATCAAATCTACTAGGATTTTGTTTGAAATTTTATTACATTTATTCATGTTCTTAGGACAAAATGATTTCTTTACGATAGCTTTTTTTTTTTCATACCCATAAACATAGTCTCTATCTCTATTAATTTAGATCTTTGGATCGAAGTAGTATCAGGGGCATTTAGGAATAGGTGAATTAAATTAATCTAGGAATGGAGTCATTCTTCTGTAAGTGGAAGCATTCTGGAGGTAAAATTTCCCTTAAATGACATCTAGGCACTGATTCTGCTTTCCTTCCTGGGTTAAAATGTGGCCTAGAGAGAGTTTATTGTCAGTAAAGACTAAACACAAGTGCAGAGATGTTAGTGAAGGTGAACATTACCTTATGGCGTAAGACTGAGAGTGCAAAAATGCAAAGGTGTACCAAGGTTTCCTTTATTTTCTGAGGTCCAACAGGACTTCCTCCATGTGGAGAGAGCCATCTGCAAAGTGAGTTCTGTAGGTAACCAAGAGCCAAGGGGAAAGGTGAATTTGTGTAACTGTGGAGCCACCCCAGTTCCACTAAGTTCTGAATCCAGGCTAAATACAATTAGAACTTTAAGAACTGTGAAAAATCTAAGACTTGATTTGCAAGGAATCAAGTTAGCCTGTCACAGGTTCATATTTATATTGGCAGGAAAACAGAAACCTCTGAGTCAGAGACAAGACAGTTTATTACTAGGAGAAAGAGCAACAGCCAGACTCGCATATTAGTTTTGCTCCCTGAGCTCCAATAACCCAAGAGTGGCGTGGTGAGAGGTAAGTGATACCACATATGCAGTGGGGATTCATTATAGGAGAGGAACCCCAAGCTCTAGAAACTCTCATCTTATCAAACCTGCCCATTTTCTTCTCCTGAAAATATATATTATTTTTATCACTCTTGCATGAAGCCAAATATCTCTGGGGAGAGGAGGAAATTATCTCTGGGTTTATTATCTTCGAATATCTCCTTGGAGAGACATCTCAATATCTCTCAAAAAGGAGCAACTCTGTTTACCTTCACTTATCCATAATGTAGTTAAGTGTGCTCCAGAAGTTTTTGTCTCTGTAATTCAAGGGCTTCCTAACTACATAAACGTGTCTGAAAAGATAGTACTGGAACACAAGAGCTGTTAATGGTTAGATGTGTGGAAATATGATACATTCATGGGGAATTCTCTACTAATATAGATGATCTTTTTACTAAATAAATTCTCTCTTAAGCTGTTCTAATTTACTTTTTAACCTGTGTACTGAATATTGAATTTGTATATATGATTCTTATTTAAAAAAAAAACTTTTTATATCTTCTGTTCTTGACAAATAATTGTTTTTTTTTTTAACCCTCCTAATTTTTGCTTTGCTAATTTTCCTTTTGATTGGGCTGGGCACTTATTCTTACTGTTCATGGTTTTATCACCTCTTGTGATTTGTTTGTTTTTCTTTTCTTTTGAAAGATAATAATGCTGCGAGTTATAGAGGTCTATCGATGCTCTCATATTTGCAGCAGACATTTTAAAGTTTCTTCAGCTCCACACTAGTTATTCCACTAAATAATTTTAGTTTTGAATTCATATATTGAAAGAGTAAATTTGGACCACACATTTATATCCATGGTTCCAGCTTAATTTTCTATTTTTGACTGGTTTTTCTGTGACTAGCATATAGCAACTAAAAACTATTGAGAACTTATGCATAAAGTACTATGCTAAGTGCTTTGCATGTATTATCTGGCTTTGTCCTTGCTATAACCCTGAGATATATACAATTATTAAATACATTATATAGATGGAAGGGTGAGGATTGCAGAAATTAAATGTTTCCCATAATTAAAAGTTGTTTGGTGACAGAAATAAGATTCAAACCCAAGCAATGTGGCATCTGAGGCCCTACTCTTAACCTCTATGTTAAGTATCTCTTGAAGAGAACAAAAAGAATGTGCAATGAGACTGACATTAGCAAAACAGCAGATTGTGAGGTCCTAGTTCTTATCCCACCAAAAACCATAGTTTAACAAGTATCTATGAAAGAAACTAGCTCTGGAAGAGCTGCGGAGTATAATTAGTGTGTTACTGCAACCCAATGGAGCACAAAAATTAAGGATGGCTTCATAGAAAAGTGTAGGAAACATTTTATCTATCTCACCTCACTCAGGCTGGCACAAGTCTGTACAAAGAAGAATCCTCTCGGGGTTCACTTCTTCCCACAGGGGAAAGGGGAACAGGAAAACCCCAGCAGCCTTCACCACCAAGGACTCCAGCAGCCCTCTCCACCACTGCAGATGCCCATGGCCAATGCAACTTAGGACCCCTACAGTCTTTGCTGACACTGACTGTAGCTGATAGAGCTGTCTGGAATCCTCATTGCTGCAACCTCCCTTTCTGGTACTAGAGCCTCTGCTGTTCCTCCCTCCCCAGGGGCTGGACCTGCCACTGTATGCACCTCTCTCGGTAACCTGACTCTCTGCAACCCTTCCTGCCACCCTTGGAACTGCACACATAGTACCTGCACCCGATGAAATCACCAAAGAAACCCAGTATATTCTCAGTAACTGACACTGAAAAAGGCATAATTGTAGGCTGCCTGAAAAAAAAAAATCAAAAGTATTGTTTTTTGAAGAAGTTTAAGGAGAGCTTGAACCCTCAACAAAATCAGAAAAAACAATACATGAAAAAAATAGGAATCCAACAGAGTTGGATTTTAGTCATTAACCTTAGAGCAGTTCTTCGTTTATAATAAATGAATAGCAACACCATTTCTATCTCATAGCACCTAACAACAAAAGACTATACATTTTTCTGAAATGCACATGGAGCATTCACCTGGATAGACCACATGTTGCACTGTAAAACAAGTCTTAAAAAATTTAAGGTGGTCATTCCAAGTATCTTTTCTGACCACAAGGGAATAAAATAAAAAATCAATGACAAAGAAAATAGGAAAATGTACAGATACATGGAAACTAAACCACACACTCTTGAAGTACTGCAGCAGAAGCAGTACTAAGAAGACAGTTTATAGCAATAAACACCTAGATTAAGAAAGAAGAAAGTTCTCAAATAAAAAACTTTACACCTCAAGGAAGTAAAAATAGAAAAAAGCTAAGCCCAAAGTTAACAGAAGGAAGAAAATAATTAAAAATAAAGGCAGAAATAAATTTGAGAATTTTTTAAATAGAAAAAAATGAACAAAAATAAGAATTAACTTTTGATAAGATAAAATCAATAAACTCAGGCTAGAATAACTAAGAAAAAAATAGAGACAACTTAAATAAATAAAATTAGAAATGAAAGAGGAGACATCATAACAGATACCTCAGATATTTAAAAATCATAAGGAACTATAATTGAAAACTGTATGCCAAGAACATGTTAAAATAGATAAATCTATTTTATCTATTTTAAAATAGATTTTAAATAGATTTATTTAATCTATTTAACAAGACTGAGTCATGAAAAAATAGAAAATATGAACAGACCAATAATGGGTACGGAGATTGATCAATCATCAAAAATCCTCCTGCAAAGAAAGGCCTAGGACCAGATGGCCTTACAGGTGAGTTCTACCAAACATTGAAAGAAGAATTAATAACAATTCTTCTTAAACTCTCCCCAAAAAAATGGAAGAGAAAACATTTCTGAAGTAATTTTGAGGCCAGAATTACCTCGATAACAAAGCCATGCAAAGATACCACAAGAAAACAAAACTATAGACCAATATATCAGATGAATATACATTTTTAAATTCTCAATAAAAATAATGGTACGCTGAATTCAACAGCACATTTAAATAATCATACACCATGGCCAAGTGGAATTGACTCCTGTGATGCAAATACTGTTCAAGATATGCAAATCAATCAATGTGAAACACCACATTAATTGAAAGAAAAAAATTCACATTATCATCTCAATAGGTGCAGAAAAAACAGTTCCTTTCATGATAACAACTCTCAGAAATAGGTATAAAAGGAACACCTCAACACAAGAAAAGCTGCATGTGAAAAACCCATAGCTAACATCTTAATCTTTGGGGAAAAACTGAAACTGTATCTCTAAAATCTAATAGAATGCAAAGATTCTCAGTCTCACCACTTCTATTCAACAAAGTACTATAAGTCCTAGCAAGAGAAATTAGAAAAGAAAAGGACATAAAAGGCATCCAAATTGGAAAGGAAGAATTTTTCCAGTTCTGTGAAGAAAGTCATTGGTAGCTTGATGGGGATGGCACTGAATCTATAAATTACCTTGGGCAGTATGGCCATTTTCACAATATTGATTCTTCCTACCCATGAGCATGGAATGTTTTTCCATTTGTTTGTATCCTCTTTTATTTCATTGAGCAGTGGTTTGTAGTTCTCCTTGAAGAGGTCCTTCATGTCCCTTGTAAGTTGGATTCCTAGGTATTTTATTCTCTTTGAAGCATTTGTGAATGGGAGTTCACTCATGATTTGGCTCTCTGTTTGTCTGTTATTAGTGTATAAGAATGCTTGTGATTTTTGTACATTGATTTTGTATCTTGAGACTTTGCTGAAGTTGCTTATCAGCTTAAGGAGATTTTGGACTGAGACAATGGGGTTTTCTAGCCCACTGTCTGGCACTCCCTAGTGAGGTGAACCCAGTACCTCAGATGGAAATGCAGAAATCACCCGTCTTTTGCGTCACTCATGCTGGGAGCTGTAGACCAGAGCTGTTCCTATTCGGCCATCTTGTTTCTACTTATCCCCACTTTGTATGTCTTCTTTTGAGAAGTGCTTGTTTATGTCCTTTTCCCATGTTTTAATGGAGTTTATTTTTTTTCTTTTTGTTTTGTTCAAGGTATTTATAGATTCGGGATAATAGTGGTTTTTTTGGATGCAGAGTTTGTAAATATCTTCTCCCATTCTGTAGATAGTCTGTTTACTCTGCTGCAAATCCACCAGCACCTTAAAAAGTTAATCCACCAAAATCAAGTATGCTTTATTCCTGGGATGCAAGGTTGGTTCAACACACACAAATTAATAAACATGATTTACCATATGAACAGAATTAAGAACAAAAAACTTATCATCATCTCATTAGATGCCAAAAAAAGCTTTCAATGCAATCCAACATCCATGCATAATGAAAAACCTCAACAAACTAGGCATCAAAGGAACATACCTCAAAATAATGAAAGCCATCTATGACAAACCCACAGTCAAGATTATGCTGAATGGGCAAAAGCTGGAAGCATTCCCCTTTAGAACTGGAACAATACAAAGATGTCCACTCTCACCACTTCTATTCAACATAGTACTGGAAGTCCTAGTCAGATCAGTCAGGCAAGAGAAAGAAATAAAAGGCAAACAAACAGGGAAAGAGGAAATTAAATTATCCCTCTTCACTGATGATACAATTCTATACCTAGAAAACCCTGAAGACCCTAACAAAAGGCTTGTGGAATTACAAAATTACTTCAGTCATGTTTCAGGATACAAAATCAATGTACAAAAACTGGTAGCATTTTTATACACCAATAATGTTTATGCTGAGAGCCAAATCAGGAATACAATTCCATTTACAATAGCTGAGAAAAATGAAATATCCAAGAATACATCGAACCAAGAAAGTGAAAGAGCTGTGTAAGATTAACTATAAAACATTGCTGAAAGAGATCATAGATGACACAAATAAATGAAAAAACATTTTAGGCTTATGGATTGGAAGAATCCATATCATTAAAATGTCCATATGTCAATAGCAATCTGTAGATTCAATGCCATTCTTATCAAACTACCAATGGCATTTTTCACAGAATTAGAAAAAACTTTTCTAATGTTCGTATGGGACCAAAGGAGTCTGAATAGCCAAAGCAATCCTAAGCACAAAGACAAAGCATGAGGCATCACATTACCTGATCTCCAACTATACTACAAGGCTACTAACCAAAACAGAATGGTACTGGTACAAAAATAGACACATAGACCAATGGAACCTAACAGAACCTAGAAATAAAATCACACACCTACAAACAAATGATCTTTGACAAAGTCAACAGAAATAAGCAATGGAGAAACTTCCCACTCAATAAGTGGTACTGGGGAAGCTGGTTAGCCATATGCAGAAGAATAAAACTGAACCCTTACCTATCACCATTTGTAAAAATTAACTCAAGATGAATTGAACACTTAAACAAAAGACCTCTGATTGCAAAAAAAAAAAAACAAAATCCTAAAAGATAACCTGGTAAATAACCTTTTATACATTAGCCTTTGCAAATAATTTATGACTGAGTCCTCAAAAGCAATTGTCACCCAAAAAATTGACAGGTGGGAGCTAATTAAACTAAAGAGCTTCTGTACAGCAAAATAAACTACCAACAGATATAACAATTCTTCTTCTTCTTTTTTTTTTTTTTTTTTTTTGAGATGGAGTCTCGCTCTGTCACCCAGGCTAGAGTACAGTGGTACCATCTTGGCTCACTGCAACCTCTAACTCCCAGGTTCAAGCAATTCTCTTGCCTCAGCCTCCTGAATAACTAGGATTACAGGTGCCCACCACCACACTTGGTTAATTTTTGTATTTTTAGTAGAGACAGAGTTTCACCAAGTTGGCCAGGCTGGTCTCTAACTCCTGACCTCAGGTGATCCGCCTGCCTTGGCCTCCCAAAGTGCTGGGATTACAGGTATGAGCCACTGCACCCAGCCATAACAATTCTTCAAATCAAAAGTATTAGAAGCTGAAAATGAAAAATCCATCAATACAGTGGGAGATTGAATACTCTCAGTATTTGATAGTATTCTCAATAATTGATAGAGGAATAAATGAAACAGTCATAGCCTGTAGATGATTTGAACAATGCATTAGTAATTTCAAGATAATGAACAAATTCAGAACCTTATGCTCTATAATCAGGATATTCATTACTCTCAAGCATAAATGAAACACTCATACTAATGGAACAGATGTCAGGCCAAAAAAATGTGAGTAGGTAATATAAAAAAGTCTTCTGACTTTTTATAAGCTATGAGGCCTTATTAGGGTGGACAGTAGCTTATACAAGGCAATTTACTCTTTCAAAGAACAAAAACTTCTATTCTGCAAGAGAGTTTGAAGTTGTGAGTCCAGAAGTGAAGCCAGGTGGAGAATTGGAATGTTTAAATGAAGAGTAAAATACAATAATATGTTCTCGGTTCTCCTGATACCTTTTGCAGAAGGCATACATTGAATCTCACTCAGACAGCATCTTAAAGCAACTGTTAGTACTGAATTTTGGGGACAGATCCATCAGGGTAAAACACAAAGTCCAAGGTGGAATTCTGTTACCCACCAATACCATGGTATAGATCTTCCATGTTTGTCCCAAAATTTTAGTCACACTTACCAAGTCACTGGTTTATTGCCCAGCTCTGCCAAAGGAAGCACCCTATTTGTAAGAATATTTACAGAGAATGGCTTGCCCCTGATCATTTTGGGAACAGGCTAAAATATTTAATTTTTCACTGAAATGAGATGGTTATTCCCTTCCTTTGTAAGACATTGTTTTTTTTTAAAACAAAATCAATATAGATTGTATTTGGAGCTAGTAAGAATCTACTTTTACAGTAATTTCAAGTATATTGCTTGCTATTCATTCAATGTTTTTTCAGCCTATGGAACATTGTTCTACTATAATCAAATCACCATAAAATATCAGAAGAATCTTTCAGGAACAAACACAATACTCTGTATTATGTTCTGATAAAATTTCAACTGATTTAATCACATTATGTAAAGACTTTCGTGGCTCTCAGAGTCTACAAAGTCATACCTGATTTTCATAATATAGCTTTTAAAATGTGTATGCAGTGCAGGTTTTCAGTAGAATGAAGAAAGCTTGGAATAATCACTGTGCAAAAGTGGAAGGAAAGGTTAAAGATGAAGAGCAGATTAAAGGAATGATCTAGAATTATGCAAAGACCTCGGTTCTACAAATCTAGGACCCTTTTAAATTAAAATCTTCACTTAGGAATCTTCAACGAGACCTAATTCAAGCTCTAAAATCTCATAATCAGTGTAATATAATTGTAAATCCTCAAGGAGACAAGTTTACTTTGTTTTACCCTAAATGGGCCAAGAAAAAAAAAGATTAAGTGTTCATATTACCTCTTTTATCTGGGTACTTATTTTTTAGTCTACTCTCTGAAGGTGCCATATTTTATGTTTTATGTGGGAGTCTCAAATCCATGCTTTCCATTGAATTAAGTCTAAATTTTATCTCTTGTCCCTGTGCATCTCTTTAAAACCAAAGCTTTAGACTGCCAAAATTCTGTCGATATCCCAAAGGCAGCTCCTGTCTTGGGTACTTGCTCACCTCTCTGAAGGCATGTTTTTTTTTTTTTTTTTTTTAACATGTTTTGGCCTATAAATACTTTTCCTTTCTTTATGCCATGTCACATGTTAAGTTAGAGTTCCCCAGAGAAACAGAACCAATAGGATATAGGTATATAGGATAGATAGATGATAGATAGATAAGTGGATAGACAGATAGATAGATAGATAGATAGATAGATAGATAGATAGATAGATGGATAGATAGATAGATAATAGATGATAGATGATAGATAAGAGATTTATTATGGGAATTGGCTCCAGCAATTATGGAAGCTGAGAAGTCCCATGATATATGGTCCACAAGCTGGAAACTCAGGAAAGACAGTGGTGTCACTCAGCCCAAGTATGAGCATCTGAGAACCAGGAAAGCCTATGCTATAACTTCCAGTCCAAAGTCAAAAGCCTGAGAACTGGGGGAGGGGGCTTCGGCATCAATCCTGTAATCCAAAAGCCCGAGAACCTGTAGCTCCAATGGCGGTAGTGCAGATGACGATGGAAGGTTCTGATTGAGGAGAGAGAGAGACAGAATTCTCCTTTCCTTTACCTTTTTATTCTATTCAGGCAGGTTCTCAATGGATTGGATGAGACCCACTCACACTGGTGAGGGTACATCTTCTTTACTCAGTCCACTGATTCAAAGGCTAATGTCCTCTGGAAACACCCTCATAGACATACCCTTAAGTAATGTTTTACCAGCTACCTATGTATCTCTTAATCCAGTCACGTTGACACATAAAATTAACCATTCAAACATATGCATTTAAAAAGATTACAAAACACTCTTACGTGGTGTTTTAGCTTGTGATGTGATCAAAACAGTGAAAATTTCTTAGAATAGAATGTTCTCTAGACTATTGTGTTTGTTCCTGAAAGATTCCTCTGATATAGAAAATAGAACCCGAGAGAAAGGATTTTATTCAGGTAATTTGCTTTAGGTAGTGACCTCAGGGGATGAGAGTGGAGGGTCTAGAGGGAGTAAAAGGAAAGCCAAGGAGACCAATTTCACTATGCATTTTTGAGGCTGGTTACTGCTCTGGGCATGTAGAGTTCAATCCCACTGAAGACTTCTTGGGGACCTATGAAATGCACCTCAGACTTTTCCCTCAAAGCACTAGAGAGGCCAGTATTTGCTGAGGAGTTTTAGGCCTATAACTTCAGAGGGTGTTAATTCTTTGACATTTTTAAGTATGTATATGTCCAGGATGGTTGAGCAGCTCATGACAGATGTCCCACATGGCTGAAACGGAGTGATGTCTCTGAGGATACACCTCCATACAGATGGTTGCCATAGCAAGGGCCAGAGCAATGAGTTGGGACAAAGCATGAGATAGAGGGCATAAAATATGCCCAAAATAAGTGTATTGATGGAGACTGGGTAGGTCACATTGCCAGAAACCTACCTTACATCCCAGATTTGGTACTCGGTACTTGGGCGAGCTCAAGCACCACTCTACCGCAGCATTCCTCATTAAGATGGATTTACTATGACCTCAATCTGTCTTACTTGGTTTCTTCCTTGCCCACCTCCATTTTATTCCAGGAGAAAAAAAAACATAATTGCCATACAGAAGAATATCATTGTAGCTCATCTTATCACTGTTGCTGAAACCAAAACAGGACAAGCAAATGTCCAAAGACATCAGGACTCAGACAAGAGGTAGTGGCCAGAAGTTATGAGAGAGGGCAACTAATTAGTAGGACTGAACCATGACCAGATAGAGAAATCACATGAAATTAAAAAAACATGGGGATGTCTTTAGAATAGGTGCAAGTGCTAGCTCCTCACTGACAGTACTTGAGTCATCACCTCTGAATGCAAGCTCTTAGAATGTATGAAAACACTGGACAAAAGTACCTTATAAACAACCAGTAATTTAAAAGATGACGGTCACTATCATATTAATTTTGTACTGAATATATGAAAAATGCCACATCCTTACTCAGGTGAAATAGTGGAAAAGGTGCAGTGTAGATGTAGGGTGCTAGCCCTGATTTCTAATTCATTTTTTCTTTCCTTTTCTGCTGTATCATGCTGGAGACATCAGTTAAGCTGTCCTGAGTTCCTTATAAATTCTACATTGGTAAAAATTATGTAGTGATGAGCCATATGTGTACAAGAAAATGTGCATGTCAATTCAATTTTGTTCTTCAAACCAATTATAGCCACAAGCAAGCAGAAACTGAAATGTGTGTAATTTCTCAATATGCACTTGCAGAAATAATTTTTATTTATTTATTTGAGACAGAGTCTTGCTCTGTTGCCCAGGCTAGAGTGCAATGGCACAATCTTGGCTCACTGCAACCTCCGCCTCTCAGGTTCAAGCGATTCTCCCGCCTCAGCCTCCTGAGTAGCAGGTGCCACCACACCTGGCTAATTTTTGTATTTTTAGTAGAGACTGGGTTTCGCCATATTGTCCAGGCTGGTCTCGAACTCCTGACCTCAGGTGATCCACCTGCCTCGGTCTCCCTTAGTGCTGGGATTACAGGCATGAGCCACCACACCCAGCCCAGAATTAATTTTAAAATGAATTAATGATTTACGAGTTTTGTAAGAGCAAGAATAATTATCTTATATTCCCAGGCCCTGGACTAGAAACACAGAGAGGACAGGAATCTCATCTATTTCAACCATCATTCTATATTCTACTCAAATTCTAGTGCCTTCTATAAAAGAAGCTCAAAAGACATTTTTTTGAATGAATGTGTTGAATGAATAAATAGATGTTTGTTGGTTTTTTGAATGGATAATTGAATGATGAATAAATGTATAAATGTGCTTTTTCCCAAAGATATTATTCTATAGCGAAGAGAAGATGTTCACCAAATCCAATTATTTTTCATAAGGATGATTCCATGGTGTGTGTGAGCCTCAAATGATACTTGATATGTGAATTTTATATCCTATACTTTAAGCCACAGATAATGGCCTCACACATTCAAAAGCATTAGAAAAGGAAGCAATTGCCCTTTAGCAATTTAGGTCCCAAATAATGGCTCTGAATGGAAATGAAAGAAGACTCAGAGGGCCTATTTGGATAAGAATGGGCACTGGCTTTTCTGAGCATCTTCTGGTACAGTTCCTCCTATTCATTCCACTTGAATAAGGTCAGGTAGCTTTTTAATATGTTGTCAAAATGTAATTTCTCTCAAATACTCCCTCTTGGTCTCTTTCAATAGTAACAGTCTCATTCGTGATACACTGAATGAATATTCTGCAATTCTCTCAGTATAAATTTCTTGAAGTGTGGGCATTGTATACCTGTCCATAGTTATATGCAGAATACAGAGGAATAGTCAGCAGTTCTTGAGTCATGCAACCAAAGATTAAGACCTGGATCTGACCCTCACTGGGTGGTCTCACTGGATGATAAGGGCCTCTGTTTTCTCATCTCTACACTGCAGTAGGGTTCAGACTATAGGTATTTGTTGAGCCATCAGTAAATGGTAGGCCTTTGGAATACTGAGATAAAGTAGATCTGATCCACACCTTGTTAGATCAATGAGGAGACAAATATGCAAGCAGAACACTTTCTACAAGATGCATTAAGTACTAGAGAATGAGAGTGAAGCATTTAAGGAAAATCATTTCATTTTGACAAAGTAATAAAACACATCCTATTCAAGTGTAAGAACTGTAGAATAAGAGTTGAGTAAAGGATATTTTAAAGGTGATTCTGAAAAATAAAATGTCCAGAGATGCTTGAGGTTTCATTGAGGCCAAAAGAAAAGCATTTCTACCAACCTAGGGATTACAAAGAGAGTTTTCTGGAAATTTCACTTAAGTTGAGAGTTAAAGAGATGAGTTACTCTTTTTTTTTTTTTTTTTTTTTTTTTGAGACAGAGTCGCTCTGTTGCTCAGGCTAGAATGCAATCACACGATTTCGGCTCACTGCTGCAACCTCTGCCTCCTCGGTTCAAGTGATTCTCCTGCCTCAGACTCCTGAGTAGCTGGGATTACAGGCACCCACCACCACACCTGGCTAATTTTTGTATTTTTAGTAGTGACGGGCTTTCACTATGTTGGCCAGGCTGGTCTTGAACTCCTGACTTCAAGTGATCTGCCCACCTAGGCCTCCCAAAATGCTGACATTACAGGTGTGAGCCACCATGCCCCGCCATGAGTTGCATTTTGACAGGTAGGATGAAGAACAAGGGAGAGAGGGCTGAATTTATGATGGGAAAGTTCTTTGGAGACAATGTCATGACAGATTTTGTATGATAGGAATTTGAACTTTATTTTTATAACATTGTAAAGTAAAAATGAAATCCTAAGGTCCCCAGTGACTGAATAGACCCCCATTTGACCAAGGGGACCCCAGAGAAACCTTAAACAAAGAGTACCTGGCTTTAATGGGAAGGGAGGTTAGTCAGGCCTCCTTATATGCCCTCCCTTTTGGAGTTTAGCCACAACAATTGACCAGCATTAATGTTAAAATAGAGATAATGAGAGTGACAAAACAGATTCTTTCTGGCAATAAGGTAATAAATTATAAAAAAGACTTAAGGCTGTGCAAGGCAAAAGTTAAGTCATGTCCACAGGGCATCAATCTTGCTACATAGGCATCCTTATCTTAACTTAAAACATTCCTTTCTGCTGACTCCAAGTTTTAGACAGAATCTTACTCCTTTACAAATTGTACATTAAAGCATCTCTGAATCTACCTATTACCTGTAAGCTCCTGCTTCAGGATATTCTGCCTTTTTGGGCAGAACAACATATATCTTCCTTGTATTGGTTTATGTCTTTGCCTGTTATCTCCCACATCCCTAAAAATGTGCAAAACCAAACTGTAATCTGACTGCCTCGAGTGCAATTTCTTAGGACTCCTTGAGACTATGATTTCCCTGGCTGTAGCTCTCTGTATTGGCTCAGAATAAATCTTTCTGAAATATTTTACAGTTTGGTTTTTCCATTAACAATGTAAATGTCAGATATGTTGACCCAGGACTCAAATCAGCTAGATTTAAGTCTTAACTTCCCACTTATTAGATGTGCAATCTTGAGTAGGTTGACTAATAATAACAACTAATAATAGTATCTATCTAGTGTCATTGTAAAGAGTGTACAAATTCACATAGTAAAATGCCTAAAACAATACCTTGTGCATTGTAAGTACTTGATAAATGATTGCTATCATCATCATCATTAGCAGCAGAAGCAGTAGCATTATAAACTCAATGGCTTTCCTCTCTTTTCAGTTTGAGATGGAAGGAGATTCTAAAATGCCATTGAGTGAGCTATGAAGGAGGACATACATGAATCTACATATATTTTGAAATTCAAAGATCAGAAATTTCCTGGAGAGTTAGGAAATTGTCCGCTACTAATGAGGAGAGACACTGTTCCCCGAAAATGATTAAAGCAGTGCCTCTAACTAGGAACAAAGTTGAATTCACAGATTTGTCTGGGTTACTTCTCCTCAAAACAGATCAGGCTGTTTATTGTGTAATGCCAGTTGCTCTGGTGATAGGAAGATGACTAAGATTGAAGAGCATTATAATGAGAAAGATCTTGTAATGAAGAAATAGTCTTAATTTATATCAACATTTGTCCATCTATAATGTGGGTTTGAAGCATAGCACATCATATTTCCATGACACTGGTTGTATTAGTCCATTTTTGCATTGCTAAAAAGAAATACCTGAGACTGGGTAACTTATGAGAAAAGAGATTTAATTGGCTCATGGTTCTGCAGGCTGTATAGGAAGCATAGTGGCATCTGCTTCTGGAGACCCCTCAGGAAGCTTCCAATAATGGCAGAAGGCAAAGGGGAAACAGGTATGTTACGTGGCAAAAGCAGGAACAAGAAGGAGTGGGGAGGTGCCACACACTTTAAAATGACCAGATTTCATGAGAACTCACTATGACGAAAACAGCACCAAGCCATGAAGGATCCACTCCCATAGTCCAAAAAGCTCCCACCAGGCCCCACTTCCAGCACTGGGGATTACAATTCATCATGAGATTTGGGTGGGGACAAATATTCAAACTGTATCACTGGTAGACATAATTAAGGTAAAGTATTCCAAGGGTCTGTGTGGGAGGTGGTCTCCACATTGTTTCTGTCTTTGGTTCTCAGAGGATGGTGCATGCATTGGCAGCATCCACATCACATAGGAGCCTGTCAGAAATGCAGAACCTCAGGAACCAACCGCAACAATGTGAATCAGAATCAGGTGATTGGGTTGCACGTTCCAGTTTAACAAACATTGTTCTACGTTCAGTGTAGATTCTAGATGAGGCTAATGAGGAAATTGTCCATACTTAGTAACCGATTAAGGTTTTGACCAAGCGATTTTAGGTCAAATGTGCAAAACACAACAAAAAAGGCACTGGAATGCCCATCTTACACTTCTAAAATGAAAAGCCTTGAATGAAGCCAACAAATAACAACCTTTCACTGAGGTCATACTCTTAAAAGTAACAAAGTCTGGACTCAAACCAAAATCTTCTGAATTGAGGTTCTTATTCATTTAATCTTATTGGTATGACATTTGGGAGACATGAGTTCTAGGCCTGGCTCTTCTTACTAAATGGGTGGACTAAGGCATGTCATTTCACTTCTGATCTTCAGTTTTCCTACCTATATACTATAACTGGTTGACTTCATGTTATTTGGTGACCTCCCAACAATGTTTACTCTCTCTGTATCAGGTCATACTTTCATCTTCCCATTTACATTTATACAAAGAGGTGACCATGGTATATGCACAAATGAAGTTTGCCCTGATACCAGCTTCCAAATCAGCATGACCAATATATTTGCTTAATTATTTCAGTCATTTTTTTTACTCATTGGGAAAAAATTCATCAGAAAATGACTTCCCATTAATTCATTGCTTTGCTTGGTTATTAAATTAATTGCAGCTATTTCCATTGCTGAATAAAAGTGCGTGCATACTTTGGATTCAGTCTGATGCTGATAAAAGTTATTATCTGTTTGGAAATCTGCCTGACTTTTCTATTCCACCTGCTGTCGAATTTTAATAGCATTGAATGAAACCCCTAATAAGAATTGTAATGACAACCTGCATTTTATAGTACTTTATACTTTCCAAAGCACTTTCAAGGGAATTATACACATGTATTATCTCATTGATCCTCTATGGCAGGTAGGGAAATGGGGAACACATGGATGGTTTGCATGAAAGCCCAGATTAGCTTCTCTGATTGAACAATTCATGCCTATTTTCATTCTGCAGAGAGCAGAGATTTAGACTCAAATATGGCTATTATTTATTTCAGGTCTTCTGACACTTTTTTCTAGACATTATCTCATTTGCTACTCACCACCATGCTTTGAGATAGTTATCTTGTTCACTATTTTCAGGTGAGGAAAACAGAAGCTCACATATGTGAAGTACCTTATGAAAGGTCACTGGCTCATAAGAGGAACAGGATGCAGACTGCAGACTTCTGACTCTCAGCTAGCGTCCCTGCTCATTCCCAAGGAAATGGAAAGACACAATGCTACTGTTATTTGAATGTTTAGGAGAAGGGTGGGTGGTGGTAAAAGGAAATGTCTCACAAGCCCCACTGGCACTTGATTTGTTGAAACTGTAATAATCACACTATTAATGGGTCTCTTTGGAATAATGCTTTTAGGAGGGCTTTTATTGGCATTATTTGTTTGACAAAATAACATTGTGCACTTGATGTCATTAAACCCATTTTACAGATTGAGAAACCGGAAAATACTGATTTCTCCGTCGTTTACTAAACTGGTAAATGGAAGAACCAAAAGTTTACTCCCCAAAACTGTGCTTTAAATAAGTGACCACTGCCCTTGTACCTACATTTATTTATTATCTATTAACCCGCTTGCTGGATCTTCCTTATGAAGAAGTTCGGTAGATCATGTTTGCTTTTTCATTTATGCATAAATATTTAAGAGGCCACACCCATTAAGATGACTACTCTGAAAAAAAAAAAAGAATAAATGTTGGTGAAGATATGAAGAAATTAGAACACTTGTGCATTTCTTATGGGAATGTCAAATTGTGTAGCCATGACAGAAGGCAAGTTAGCAGTTTTTCAAAAATTTAGACATAGAATTACTATATAATGCAGAAATTGTACTTATGGATATATGTGCACAAGAAATGAAAGCAGGGACTCACATCTTTATACACAGATGGTTATGGCAGTGTTATTCACAATAGCCAAAAGATGAAAACAACCCAAATGCCCGTTGACAGATGAATAGATAAAAACATGTGCTATATATATACAATGGAATATTATGCAGCCTCAAAAAGGAATAAAATTGTTTAAACAATTTCACAAACTATATCATAGATGAATCTTGAAGAAATTATGATAAATTAGATAAGTCTGTAGCAAAATGACAAATATTGTGTTTCCACTTATATAAGGTACATAGAATAGTCAAATTCATGGAGATAGAAAGTGGAATAGATGTTACAAGCCTTAGAGGGATAAAGTAATGTGTAGTTAGTGCTTCATGGGTACAGAATTTCAGCTTGGGATGGTGAAAAAGATTTTGAGATGGACAGTGGTGATGGTTGCAGAACAGTGAGAATGTATTTAATGCCACCAGACTGTATACTTAAAAATGGTTAAAATTGTAACATTTTATGTTATATATATTTTATCACAATTTAAAAAACAAATGTAAAAACCTCAATATTTATGAAGCATATGTATTTTTGTATACGATGGGTATACAGTAATAGAGAAGGTGTGGCCAATTATTTCAAGAAGACTATCATCTATCTTTCTGGGGAGATACATGTATAAATGGTCAACAATAGCACAGAATACTAACAGCTCTAATTTGGGGTGTTCTTAACCAATGAATCCTCTTGAATATTGACAATTCTCTGTTCAAATATTTAAAACATTTAAAAAATTCTGTAACAACTGTGTGATAGAAACCTTTTTAAATCATTACTCATTTTTTCTATCTAATTACACTGAGGACACTGCATTTATTCACTATTTATGTGTTAATTCTGTATTTAAATTCATTGACACAAATTCACTAGACAAATACTACACAACAGGTACTGTTGAAGGTTTGGGAACATAGAAATGAATAATTAAGACTGGCTCTGGCCCTAAGGTGGTTGAACATCTGGGGATACATAGAGCAGATGTCAGAAAGAGATACCATATGCTATAACTCTGGAGAAGTGCACACACAGTGAGAGGAGAGGTACAAAGCTGGAGTAGGCGAGGGGCAGTAAGAGGAAGTAACAACTGTGCTAATTCTTGAAAAGTGATTTGGTTTTGCCAGATGTACATTGGAAAGAAGGAATCTTGGGCAGTGAAAAGAGGGAGTTAAGATCTGGAGCCAAGCCACAGTTCATTCCATATGCCAAGAAGGAGATTGGACAGGGTTGCAGGGGCCAAATCCTGAAGGACTTTTTATGACATTTTGAAATACATGCCATTGGAAATACAGAGTCACTACATAATTTTAGTTAAGAACAGTGCTCATTAACAGTTCCACTTCAGAGTGATCAGCTTGGCTTTGGAGGGAATATACTGGAGTCATGAGATGTTGGAAGGAGATATGACAGGTAGAAAATTAGTACAATAATTCAGGAAAAAGATAATATGGGTGTGATTCAAGATGGTAGCAGAGAAAATGAAGAAGAAGGTATTAATATAGAAAATGATAAAGAGGTATAATTGATAGGAATTGATCGTAAATTTAATTGAGGAAAGGAGTGAGGAAAAACTAAGCTTTTTTCTCAATGTATCACTTGTCATTATGCATATCAGTAAATTACATTTACTTTGGAGATATCTCCAGAGATTATGGGTTAGATTATCTATGCTTTTCTGGTTGAAAGTTTTTCTGTCTTTTCCTAGTTGCCAATCATCACTGAGTTTTAACTTTCAGCAGGTAGTTCCCTTGTGATCTAACATCCTTTATCACTTGGAAAAAAAATGAGGTCAATGAGGGTGCTGACTTATTAAGAAAAGTACATGAGTGGTCTTAGAATTTAATGCTAGAAAGAAGCCATTAATAATAACCATTCCTTGTTCACTTCTGTATCACCAAGAATAGTGCTTGGCATTATTAATACCTCCTCAAAAACTGTTTGTCACATAAACAAAGGAATGAATGAATGAATGAAATAGAGTGGACCCAGTATTTTATAAATAGGGGCTGTTCTGAGGGCTTGAGGGTGGTTTGATGCTTCTTTCATGGAAAATGCATAGTGTGAGAGTGGGGGTATTAACTGGAATGATACTTAGGTGCTGAGTAGCATTTGTTTATGAAAATAGGTAATGATTACATACTGTATGTACTAAGTAATGTCTCATACCTAATACATGTGGGTAAGCATACTTTGTGTGTTATTAGCCTGGAAAAAGATTTACTGATGTTTCTGAATTGAGTTGAAGGTGCTGGTCCACTGGTAGAAAGAATCAGAGACTATCCATTACTCTCTACCTTGATGAGGTTCCCCAAAGCCTATGGCAGCTCCAGGATTAGTCCCTTCCGGGTGGCAGAAATTTAAGCTGCACAAACTTGCATTTCTAAAGTCAGGAGGAAGTTCTAGCCCAGTTCATTCTTCCCAATCTCCCCTCCTCTTCTGGAGGCAAACAAAAACTGAGCAACCTGAGGGTACTGCGAGGATAGGGACAGAGGGAGGTATGGAAGGATGTTGGGGATGAGGACGCCCACTGCAAAGTTTTGAAAAGGCGACCACATCCTCTGGTCCTTCTCAGGGAAAAATACGTAAGACAGAACACTATAAAGAGAGTACAGAAATGAATCCTGGACTTAATTCCATCTCTAGTCAGAAAAAAGAACAACAGTGAATAAAAATAGCACCAGCATAAAATAACAAAAATGGCAAAATTGGCAAGTAGGCTGAGCTGAGTTTTGGTTCAGCAAATCTCTCTGTGATATTTTTCTTGCCAATTTGAAACCTGGTCTCTCGGCACCCTGGCCCCTTCCCACTTGGGTCTCCAACCACACTAGCATGGTGAGGTTTTCCAAAGGAGTCACGTTAGTTATTTCTTCAAAGACTTTCTGCTGTCTGAAATTGCATACCCCTTCTCTCCCTAACCTTTATATCTGAAAAATTCAAAGTCACCGTTCAGGATTATAAAACACTCCTGCATCACCTCTTTCTCCTTCATAGCATTGACCTCAATTTTAGTTGCTTGTTTTTTGCTTGCTCTTTTCTGCTTTATACCCTAGACTCCACAAGGGTGAGATGTCCTTTCCTTTTAATTCTTTGAACCTGGTACAAAAAAGAATGCCTGAAACTTAGGTAGCTTCAAATAAAACCAGCTATTTATTTATATTTTCAGGAACTAATTTTCACAATTTAGAACCAATTTCAATTCTTTCAAGTGTATCCATCTTATTTGTTTGAATCAAGTACTCATTTACACAGGACACTTAGAAAAGCCCAATGATGGTTTGTGTGAATCAAAAGGAAAAAACAAAAAAATACACGGCACCAATCACACAATTCCATTCTGCAAACAGTGGACTGAGGGTTGAAGCTTGTTAAGGGTTCAGTTGCATCCCTGACAAAACTCATTTGTACCTTAGAATGTGACCATATTTAGAGGTACAGCCTTTAAAGAGATAACTAAGTTAAAAAAGTCATTAGTATGGGTGCTAATCCAACATGACTGGCATTCTTATAAAAAGAGAAGATTTGGCCACAGACAGGCACAGGGGGAAGACCCTGTGAAGACAAAGGGAGTAGACCATCATCTGCAAGCCAAGGAGAGAGGACTTAGAAGAAACCAACTCTGCCAACACTTCAACCTTGGACTTCCAGCCTCTACAACTGAGCGAAATACATTTCAGTTGTTTAAGCCATTCAGCTTGTTGTACTTTACTATGACTGCCCTAGCAGACTAATGTAGAGATGATGAGACATCTGTAAGGCTCCCCCAGGATGAACCTGACCCACTGGAAACCCAGGCTTTTCCTGGGGCCACAGCATCTCCATGAGGGAGCCTATTTTTAACATACAGGAAGGATAGGGCTGAGTCTCAAGGGTGGACCTTGTCTGTGACCAAAGTTGAGTTCTTCTTGATGTCCACTGACAATCCTTCCCATCAAAGCAGACTCTTTTTGGTTCTGCTGCTCAGTGGTTTTTCTCCTCATGTTAGTTACATCAGGAAATAGGGTCGGGGGGATGACATTTAACTTTCTTTGGCTTGTTTCCGTATAAACTCAAATAGAAGAAATAGAACATAATTTATTTTATCTTGGCAATTAGTACCTTATATTACCTAGAGTAACAAATTTAATACAGCAAAATTTTCCTCTCCTGAAACTTGTTGACTATTATAGGGATATATTTAAATTATTTACAGTCATGAAACAATTTAAATAAAATATGTACTTGCTGTGAATTTTGAACTGTCAAATACACTTACTCTGTTGTTTTTTTTTTCTGAAAAGGAAAAAAAACCCAAAAAAAAACACAAAACAAATAAACAACTAGAAAGATGCAGTTACTCCTGTAATCCTGTAATAGCTTAAGAGGCTGAGTTGGGAGGACTGCTTGAGGCCAGAAGTTTAAGATTAGCTTGGCCAACTTAGCAAGGCCCTGTCTGTAAAAAAAATTAAAAAAAAAAAATAGAGGAAGAGGTTGAAACCGTATCTCTGTTTTTTAATTTTATTATTTTTATAGACTTAGGGGGTAAAGTGTAGTTTTATTACATGAATATCCTGCATAGTGGTGAAGTCTGGAGTTTTACTTGGGTGTAACCATCACTCAAATAATATATACACTGTGCCCCTTAGGTAATCCATCATCTCTCACCCCAGTTCCATCCACTCGCCTTTCCAAGTCTCCAATTTCTATTACTCCACTCTCTATGTCCATGTTTATACATCATTTAGCTCTCACTTATAAATGAGAATATGGAGTATTTGGCTTTCTGTTTCTGAGTTATGGCCTCCGGATCCCTCTATGTTGCTGTGAAAGGCATGATCTTTTTAATAAGTTAGTCGTATTTTCATCTTTACTTTCAAGAGTTGACAATCACAGTTCATCATCATCATCACCATCATTTCTGCAGTATAATCACTTTCATACAGACGATGAAAGGAGACACCAGGCTCTCACAGTAATAAAAAATGATAAATGAAAGGATCAGAATTTGAGCTTATTTCTGATCCCCATAACTCAAGCCCATGCTAATACATGATATGTTGCCTTGAAAAGGGAAAACACACTGTGGTTGACACACTTGCAAACTCTATCATATGCAAATTAGCTGAGCCATCTTGTGTTTTAAAACACCTCTAAAGATTGCCTTTTAATTGCTGATGCAATAGGGATTGAATTTTCATCATCTCTTCAGCAATGTGTTTGTACTTACAAAATAGAATTTTATCCTTCAGAACAACGTTCGGAGAACAGCAGGATGGGTTAGCTTCATCCTGTTGTGCGGGAGAACAATTTACACACAAAATGAATATCTGGCTAAATGACTTCACAGAGTCTTTCTAAGTTTCATAGCCTTCGATTTTCTGACCAAGATGCAATTGTCACTTCTTACTCCTAAAAAAAGCCTTCGGACATCATCTCAACTAAACCTCTGACTTAACAGAGGAAACTTTTGGTCACTCATTTTCAGTGCTGAAAAATATAGCTTAATCCAGCCTTGAAAATCAGTTAGTTGCTTCCTACACGTTCTGGTTCATAAATTCACTGCTTGAGTTTTTGGGATACAGGGTTTCTCCCTAAGCAGCAGTGGATGGAACACTGAACTAGGAGCCAAGAAGTGAAAAAATTAGCATATTAACATTTTATGGAGCTCTCTCATACTGTGTGTGCCAGAAGGCCCCGAACTGGGTGCTAAAATGAGGAGCTCAGCTCTTATTGAGGTTTACACTCAGGCATGGTAGAAAAACATAAAATAATGACCAAAAGGGGGAATGGAAGTTGCCAATGTAATAGACACTACAGGGAGAGTTGCCTACTGTGATAAATGTCTATAACAACAGAGTTGATTTAGTCATGGGGTCAATGGATTCCTGGGGGTATTAAAAATTGTGCTGAGATAATCTTAGCAAAATCTCTATGAAGTCCATTTTAAACTCCTACAAAACTCCTTTTTAAAAATGAGAACACTGAGGCAGGCTCAGTGAAGTTAAATGATTTTCTGAGCCCCTACAGTAAGCAACAGAGCTTGTATTCAAAGCCAGGACTGTTCTACACTTGATATTCCCCATTATATCACAGTTGATACCCTAGGACTGCCATCTGCTTGGGCTTCTAGTCCTCGTCCTACTATCAATGGATATACATTTTATTCTGTGCAACACAATTGTATATTGCAGAAAGAGCGTGAATTTTAACATCTGATAAATTTGGATTCAAATTCCAGTTCTTTTACCTGCTGAATGAGCTTGGACAAACCACTCTAACTGTCTGGACCTCCCATTCCTTAATAAGAAAGAGGAAAAAAATGCTATGCACATTATGGAGTAGTTTATAAGATTAGAAATAAGAAATACATGGTGCTCCATAAAAAAATAACAACAACAACACCAGAAACAACAAACAAAAGGCTATCATTTCATGAGCACTTGCCGTGGGCTGGACACACAAACTATCACATTTATTTCTTACAATAATCCTAGGAGATAAGTTCTATTATCACCCTCATTTTGAAGAAGATAAAATTGTGGCACTGAGTAATAAAGTATTTTGCCCAAGGTCATAAAGATAAGAAGTGGCAGAATTAGGATAAAAATTGGGGAGCCTGACTCCAGAACTCTGTTCACACCATATGACCTCCGTAATTCCCGTCCGTAACATGTACGGAAGATGTGGAAAGTTGGAGTGGGTGTTCCTTCCAGCATAAGGTTTCTGATGTGCTTTCTTTGCGGACAGTTTGAAGGCTGCGAGTGTGTGCACACGCACGCGCACACACACACGCACACACACACACACACACGCACACACACACCACCCAAACTTTCCCTTTTGGGCTCTTGGAGCCTACCCTCGCTGGCTGTACTGTTTCAAGGTGTTCTGTGGAGGCTGCTCTTGGTTTCACAGCCATCTGCTTTGTTTCCTCCAGCTGCAGAACTGTAGACAGAGATGCGTTTATTTTTGGTAGTATGTATTTTCTGAGCTGAAACCAATGCAGGCTGCTGTCCAGATCCTCTGAAAAATCACTTCAACCAGCTCTAAGAATGGCCAACTGATTTTTCTTTAGTATCTCATTTTAAACAATAAGTTGATGGAAGAAGAAGTGAAACTACCTGAACAAAGTAATTAGGATGGAAAATTCCCTGAACCTGGCCAATTATGTCAGTTTTGCATAATAATAACTGCACAATAGGCTCCTTATAGCCCTGCTATTTAGTGCCATTTAGTTTCCCCAAGGTGTCATGCTGTTTCCTGCTTCCATGTTTTTACATTTGCTGAATGCTTTGTCTTTTTTTTTTTTTTTTTTTGAGACAGAGTCTCGCTCTTATTACCCAGGCTGGAGTGCAATGGTGCGATCTTGGCTCACCTCCGCCTCCCAGGTTCAAGGGATTCTCCTGCCTCAGCCTCCCAAGTAGCTGGGATTACAGGCATGCACCACCATGCCCAGCTAATTTTGTATTTTTAGTAGAGACTGGGTTTCTCAATATTGGTCAGGCTGGCCTTGAACTCCCAACCTCAGGTGATCCGCCCACCTTGGCTTCCCAATGTGCTGGAATTACAGGCGTGAGCCACTGCACCTGCCCTGAATTCTTTGTCTTAAAAATATCTCCCCAAACCCTTGTCTACTGGGAGATCTCCTATAACAAGATTTCCTCTCCACTCTTAACCCCTTGAGGGCTTCCCTAATGGCCTCCTTGCCAGGTCAGTTAAATTCTAGGTTAAAATTTAATACAGATGTTAAATTCAGAAAAACTTAACACTCTAACTCTAACTCAATTTTACTAATTGTTAGCTTTTGAGATTGGTTAAAGTTGTCAAAATTTTCTGAGGTTTGGTATCCTTCTCCTTGAAAGGAGCACTGTAATATAACGTGTCTCATAACCTAGTTGCGAAGATTTATGCAAGAAGAAAACATAATATAAGTGATAAAGCAGTGCCTGCTATGAATATGTTCCCAGTAAATACTTTTAAAGGAATAAATAAAAGAAAGTGGTTAGCACACAGCCTATACACAACAACTGCTTAACAAACTTTATTTATTCTTAGCGCATTATCTGTTAACTACTGTCCCACAATGAGCATTATTTGTGGGAGTCTCTAATTGTCACTGCTGTATTTGTAGAAATTGCCGTAGTACATGACACGCAGAAAACCTTTCATTTATAGGTAACTTTTATAGATAACCTTTCATTTATAGATAACTTTTCACTTTAATATATGAATAATACAGGGTGGTCACAGGAGAATAGAAAATTCCAGGCCGCAGTCTCACATGACTAGCAAAAAGGTAACAGTTGAAATAGTTGCATACACTAGAGAATGATAAAACCCTGAAAAACAGAATGGGGGCCAAGCTGGCTGAGACCAGCTAGACCCAACATGGAGCTAGATTTGACCTAGATTTCACCTAAAACCTCATTATACTCCCATTACCATACTAAATTACACACCCATTAGTGCTATGACAGTTTCAGGAACACCGATATTTGGTATGAAAATGGGTGGCACCATAGTTACATGAAATCTTTATCTTTTTCAAGAAATCTTCATGAATATGACTCCCCTTGGTTAAATAAACCCATAGAGATAGATGCCCCAAACCCCACGGGGCACAACTCACTCTGTTGAGTATACTCACATTCCCCTTTCTTGAGTGTGTACTTTCATTTTGCAATAAATCTCCATACTTTTGCTATTTTATGACTTGTCCTTGAATTCCTTCTTGGAATGGTGTCAAGAACCTGGATACCAGCTGAAGTTGAGTTCCCACTGACATTTGGGGACCTGCCTTAGCCCATCAACTTAACAAATAGTTTTTCATATGTTTATTTTGATTGTTACTTCCACTTGAAGCGGTAGGAATTATATTGTCACTAATTTACATGTGATAAAACTCTGAACCACAGGGAATAAAGATACTTTCTTTAATTAAAGTTGGTAAAAACTAGATTAGAACTTGGGCCCAATGCTCCAACTGAATGCTTTCTGCATTTTCGTAGAAGAATTAATCCAATTTGGATTTGCAGGGACTTTACACATCACCTACACTAACTGTCCTCATTTTATATGTATTGTCCGGGAAAAAGGGACCTGCCCAAACTCACATAGCCACTTTGAAGTGATTGCATTTTGTGAATAATCCAATAGCTCAAGGATGAAAGACTAATTTATTTTGATAAATAAACCAAATTGTTGATAAATAAATTGAATTACTGCTACTCACCAGTCTAAATGGGTTGTGCTCAGAAATGCTAAATATTTATGGCCGACAAGAAAAAATTGAATTCATTTATGTCTCTTTTAATAAACTGGATACCTCATGTAGAATAATTGCTACTTTTACTCACAGTATTTGAATACTGCGCATTACTGAGTCATAGTTTAGTTAATGCCTGATTTCAGTTGGCAACATGCTATTTATGGAAGAAAATAAAAGACTGTAATGTTTAGAATTTGAACCAGTCTTTTATTCTTTGAACTTTGAATGCATATGATTGGAGAATTTAAAAGCTCTAACCTAGATTCAAGTAAGAGAAAACTGATCCATTGAAAAAGGCAGAGTGTGTGATTGGGTGTTTATCCTCTATAATAGCATCCCCATTCAGTGACACGTTTCACAAGTGCTTGCCTGTGTCTGGATGAGGAACCTCTGCATTTTCAAAAACTCTTGTTCACAACTCAGAAACATTTAGTATTGCTTTCTGTCAATAGAAGATAGGGTCGCATTTAACTGCCTTCAGGCTGGTTTGATGATTATTGTAAATCTGCTGCATGGAAAAAAATGACTTAGATTTTCTCCTTAGTACAATAAATGGTAGTCCCTCCTTAACCAGGGTTTTACTTGCAGTGGTTTCAGTTACCCAAGGTCAGCTGTGGTCAGAAAATATCCAATGATAAATGCCAGAAATAAACAATTCATAAATGTTAAATGACATGCCATTCTGAGTAGCGTGATGAAATCTTGCACTGTCCCTCTCCGTTCTGCCTGTGATGTGAATCATCCCTTTGTCCAGCATATCCATGCTGTATATGTTACCTGACAGTGAGTGAGTCACTTAATAGCCCTCCAGGTTATCAGCCCCCCATGTTATCAACCCTCCATGGTACCACTGTCCTGGCATCACAGTGCCTGTGTTCAAGTCACCTTTATTTTCCGTAACACTTCCCTAAAAGCACAAAGAGTAGTGATACTGGCAACTCAAGCCAAAGAGAAGGCTTAAGTGCTCCCTTTAAGAGAAAAGGCAAAAGTTCTCAACTCAATGGAAAGAAAAAAATCCTATGCTGGGGTTGCTTAGATCTATGTAAGAAGGAATCATCTATCTATAAAATTGTGAAGAAGGAAAAAGAAATTTGTGCTAGTTTTGCTGTTGCACCTGAAACTACAAAGTCACGGCCACAGTGCATGATAAGGGCTTAAGATGAAAAAAGGCATTAAATTTGTGGGTGGAAGACATGCACAGAAATGCCCTCCAATTGATGACCATCAGGTTCCATACTATCCTAGGTTTGGGGCATCCACTGGGGATCTTGGACTGTATCTCTCGAGGGTAAGAGCAGGGCAACTGTAATGTCCACTTTCTCCCAGGAAGGACACACGCAACAGCATTCACAGAGGAGTCGTGGGAACACACATTTAGCCCAGCAGAATTCAAAGAAGCAGTAAATTCATGACAAGAAGTGAAGTTTGTGGAGATAGAAATCAGGAGACATTCCTTTCAGGGCTGATTTTTTGCCACTAGTGTGCTGTATGGCCAGTAGTCTTATTTGACTATAAAACCATCATTTCCAACCATAGAACCCAAGTTTTGTTCAAGGCTGTCATGAGCCCAGGCACTGAATCATAACAGGAGCAACGATGCCATCCATGACAATCCTGATTCTCTGCACTCAACAACCATATTTCTAGCTCCAATTGCAATTAATGGAGTCTAGTCCTAAGACAATGTTCTCACCAAAATATAAGTAAACAAATTGACAAATAAAGTGAGGGGATATCTGCTGGAGGCTTCTGGGAAATATATTTGACTTTCTGGAACTAACTGGGACTGCACATTGCCATTTCTTATTGCTGAGGAAGTGAATGTCAGGATATAATGCCTAGAGCTGATATAATGATATAACCGTCTCGTATCTGAGGCAGTAAGTATGAAAATAAGAAACCTAACATGCTAAGCATCACAGAAGGGAAAGATGCCAAAAGTCCGCATCTTTGTGGCATCATTGATCTGTGAAGGAACCCTGGGATAGCTTGCTTCCATATTTCTCATTAAGTAAATAATAACTGTCTTTATGATTCAAAACACCAGTGTTTGAACCTTCTGTTACTTGCAGCCAGAAACATTCTAGTTACATTAACAAAATTACTAATTATGTCTCCCCTTTTTCACCTTCATTTCTCCCTCTACCTTATCAGGCTGCAATCAATTTCTTCTTTTACTGACTTTGTACTTGGTATGCATTTCTATTGTTAGAGCTGCTGGCATTAAACTGGATTGTTATAGCCAATTTTAGGAGGTTTTCTCTGGCATCAAAATATGAGTACCAAATTTTATTAATTTGCAATAGATTAATTCAGAGAAGTTGCTGCTCTTTGCTGGGGGTATTATATTTTCCTATTCTACGAATGTCAGGCTTAGTCAAGTGACATGGAATGGGCTGGGTGCAGTGGCTTGCGCCTGTAATCCCAGCATCTGGGAGGCCAAGGTGTGTGGATCACTTGAGGTCAGGAGTTCGAGACCAGCCTGGCCAACATGGTGAAACCCTCTCTACTGAAAATACAAAAGTTATCTGGGCCTGGTGGCAGGTGCCTAATCCCAGCTACTTGGGAGGCTGAGGCAGGAGAATCGCTTGATTCCAGGAAGCGGAGGTTGAGTGAGCTGAGATCGTGCCACTGCCCTCCAGCCTGGGCGACAAGAGCAAAACTCCATCTTAAAAAAAAAAAAAGGACATGGAATGATCCTCTTTGTGATCAAAGAATAATGGTATCCCAAAGATGTTCAGTTCCAAATTTCCAAGGCCTTTCAATATGTTACCTTACATGAAAAAAGAGATTTGAAGATGCTATTCTGATAGCTTTGAAGATGAAGGAAGGGGCTATTTCCCAGGCAGAAGTTACTTCTTCTTCTTCTTCTTTTTTTTTTTTTTTTGAAATGGAGTCTCGCTCTGCAGGCTGGAGTGCAGTGGCAGGATCTTAGCTCACTGCAAGCTCTGCCTCCCGGGTTCATGCCATTCTCCTGCCTCAGCCTCCCGTGTAGCTGGGACTACAGGCGCCCGCCACCACACCTGTCTAATTTTTTTGTATTTTTTAGTAGAGACGGGGTTTCACCATGTTAGCCAGGAGGGTCTCCATCTCCTGACCTCGTGATCTGTCCGCCTCGGCCTCCCAAAGTGGTGGGGTTACAGGCGTGAGCCACCGTGCCTGGCCCCTTCATTTTTAAGGTTGAATTATATTCCATCGTGTATGAATGTGTGTGTGTGTGTGTGTGTGTGTGTGTGTGTGTGTGGTGTGTGTGTGTGTGAAAGAGAGAAAGAGAGAGAGAGAAATTGTGGCATATTTACTTATTGATACATCTATCTGTTGATGAACACTATTATTTCCACATCTTGCCTATTGTGAATAATGCTGCAATGAACGTGGGAGTGCAGATATCTCTTTCAAATGTTGATTTCATTTCCTATGAATATATACCCAGAAGTGAGATTACTGGAACAAACGAATTGATTAACTTGATTAATTTTTTGATAAACCTCTTTATTGTTTTCCATAATGGCAGTACAATTTACTTTCCCTCCAACAGCTCACAAGAAATCCCTTTATCCATATCCTTGTCAGCACTTGTTACCACTTGTCTTTTCGGTAATAGCCATTCTAACAGGTGTGAGGTCATATCTTGTGGTTTTGGTTTGTATTTCCCTGACGGTTAGTGATTTTGAGCACCATTTCATGAATCTACTGGCCATTTGTATATTTTCGTTGGAAAAATATCTATTGAGGTCCTTTCACAACTTTTAATTGAGTTTTTTGTGTTTGCTTCTTTGTTTTTGTTATTGAGTTATATGATTTACTTATATATTTTGGAAATTAACCCCTTATCAGGTATTTGGGTTGCAAATGTTTTCTTCTATTCCATAGGTTGCCTTTTCATTTCATTGATTATTTCCCTAGCTGTGCAAGAATTTTTTTTAATTAATTTATTTTTAAAATTAGTCTGAATAATTTATACTAGCCAATGTCCTTATATCTTAGTGGTTCAACATGATTGAAATTTGTTTCCAGTCTGTGTCACAGTTCTATATAGTTCTGGGGCTCTCATGGTGGCTGTCCTCCAGGAGAGCAACAGCTGAAGGACTCTGATTCCTTCCTTCATGTGGTTCTGATGTCATGGAACCCTTTGCTTCCATCTGCAATAAAGAGCGGAGGAAAAGCATAGTTTTTGCTGTTATTGTCTATCTTACCCTGACCACAATTTCATCTCAACGCCCAAACTTTTTGTGATAAAGTGGGGAATATAGTCTTTTTTTGATGTGGCTAGGAAGAAGAAACAGGACTGGTACATTCAGCTGTGCTCTGCCACACATGTTAACATGTAACTTAGATTCTGTGTTGGGAACAGGCTTATTCCACAATAGAGCCAAAGGGACATTACCATCATTTACAAGTTTATCATTCTATATTGGGAGTATATCCTAAATACATAGAGGGATGTGATGAGATATCAGGGGCAGAACATGTTAAAAAAACAAACCAGAACAAACTAACACATCAAGGGAGAAGTCATTGAGTTCCATGACAGAAGTAAGCCAAGAAGAGGTAGAGCTTGTGTTTGGCCTTAATGGATGAGTAAGGCAGTAAAGCATGGTTAGTAACGATGCCAAACACATGGACCATTGTGAGAGAGGGGCCCAGACTGAGAAGAGAGACTGCAGCATTGAAGATTTATGTAAGAAGTTCCAGGAGTATAGAGTAGAGGGGTGATCAAACGAAGGATTGAGGAGATCCTTTAAAACAAACAAACAGCTGGGCCTTTATCCTGAAGACAATTAGGCTATGATGCTTGCTTTATTCACAGTACAAGGCTCATACCTTTGAATCTTTGTCCATTTATATTGATGAAACCTCTTCCATTATTTGGCCCCAAATACCATATTTATTTTTTATGTTTTATCATAGAGATATTTAAGACAGAGGAGAACGACGTGCATCATACTTCATTATCTTACATTGTGAGAAATTAAGACTATCCACATAAATTAACATTACTAGAAGCTAAAGCTAAGCATTTTTTATGTTTACAAACTTTCTTCTAATATCATCTATTCTATATCGAATTGATTTTGAAACATTTTGAAATATATATTTTCTGCTTTCTCAAAACAGCATTTTTAAACATGATTTAACATCTGTATGATTTTTTTTTTTAACTTTTAAGTTCAGTGGTATATGTGCAGGTTTGTTACGTAGATAAACTTGTGTCATAGGGGTTTGTTGTACAGATTATTTCATCACCCAAGTATTAAGCCTAGTGCTCATTAGCTATTTATCCTGGTTCTCCTTCTCCTCCAACCCTGCACCCACCCTCTATCCTTCAATAGGCCCCAGCGTGTTGTCCCCCTCTATGTGTCCATGTGTTCTCATCATTTATCTGCCACCTATAAGTGAGAACATGCGGTATTTGGTTTTCTGTTTCTGTGTTAGTTTGCTGAGGAAAATGGCCTTCATATCAATCCATGACCCTACAAAGGATACAATCTTGTTCTTTTTTATGGTTGCATAGTGTTCCATGGTGTATATGTACCACATTTTTTTTATCCAGTCTATCACTGATGGGCATTTAGGTTGATTCCATGTTTTTGCTCTTGTGAATAGTACTGCAATGAACATATACATGCATGTGTATTTATAATAGAGTGATTTCTATTCCTTTGGGTATATACCCAGCAATGGGTTGCTGAGTCAAATGGTATCTGTCTTTAGGTCTTTGATTTTCATTCAAGGTTTACTTATTGAGCCTCTATCCAGTAGCTGGCACTTTCCTTTTGCTTTTTGAGACCAGTCTAAAAGAAAAAAAGACCACATATGCAAACACATCTTCATTTTAAAGCCTTGCCATCTATATTTATTTCTTTATGGCACGATATGGTTCATCTTCCTTCTGTGTATTGTTAGCTCTATGAGGCCAGGAACGATGTCTGTTTCTATTGTGAATCACCACCATATTCACAGCACCAGCAGAGTGTGGGGCATATAGTAGGTTCTCAATAAATATTCTGCATGAATAAATTAATTAGTTGACATCTTTTCTTTCTGCTCCTGATGCCAATATTTTTTGTCTGGATGTCATTTATATCTCATACATCCTAAAACACAGACTTAGAGTCAGAATTTCTGGGATAGACTATTGGCTTTGTAAATTCCTAGCTCTTGGGAAAGTTCTTTAATCTCTTCATCTGTACTTGTATTTTTTATCTGTAAAATGGAAGAATCATAGTGCTTGCCTCATCAGTTTGTTATGTGTATTAAATAGCATAATGACCATGACTAGAAGACACACGCACACACAAACACATACACGTCAGTGACAGAGCTATGATTTGAACTCAGTTCTGTGTACTCCAAAAATTGTTCTCTTTGCAGAACATTTGCCCAAACACACATTTATTAAACAACTACTATATTCCAGTTGTTATTATAATGCCCATTTTATAGGTAATCAAACAGAGCTTTAGCAAATTTAAATTATCTGCATGGGTAACCCAACAAGAAATCTGTGAAGATGAGGTCCCTTCCATGACTCCAATTTTTGTTCTTTATTTTCAGGAAAGCAACTACCACAAACAATGTTGTTTCTTGTGTTTCCCCTAGATTTATGGCCCCAAATTACCCAGAATACATCAAGGCCATGACTATTTTTCACAGCTAAGTGGATCTTCTACTCAAAATTTATTGTAGTTCATGGCAAGAATTTGAAGGTTATAAAAGTCTAGCAATAAAACACCCTGAAACTTACAGTTTGAGTGAAAATTGCTGAAATTAATATTAGGGTTATAATTTGTCTTCCCTATTTTCCACATATTTTATGACCACTGTAGAGAGTTTTTGTTGTTGTTGGTTTTTAGTGAGTGGTAATGAGGGATGCATCTGACATTGTTAACGAGCCCTGTGTATGCCTGGTATTGAAGGTGATGGAAAAGAATCCTGAGACATCATATTTCTCTTTGATGCAATATCCAATTTCTTATTATAAATCACTGTTTCCATTTATTTAATGGTGTCATGTTTGAATTAATTCACTCATTAGTTCAACAACTCTTTATTGAGACATAATATGTGTGAGGTATTATGCTAGGTATAGAAAATATAAACATGAGTAAGAAACATTCCTGAAATTCAAACAGCATAGAGTCTAGTGGAAATAACTCTAGTACCAAAAGTTTTATGCATTATTGAAAAAATAAAGAAATAAAGTACGACTTGCTCCTTAGAGTCTAAGTAAGACTATATTCTCCTCAGTGTGGCATTTATGCTGTAAGTACAAAATATAAACATTAATTCCACTAACATTATATGTTTTCATTCAGAAAGTTTAGGGCTTTATTTTTCTCCAAAGGCAGGCAAAGAGATTCATTTTTAGGAGATGGAAACATTTTGAACTTACACATCTCCGGATCTGATTCTAAAATTGAGTTCACTAAAATGTAAGCTCCATAACTGAAACTTTAATAGACTAAAAAGTCTATTTGTTCACAAGTGCTTAAAATACTTTGCCTGACTCATAATGTGTGATAAATATTTGTTGAAGAATATGAGAACACATGTGGGGAAAGGACAGTCTCTTCAATAAATGGTGTTGGGAAAACTGGATATTCACACCCAGGGGAATAAATGTATGGAAGTAACTCATTGTGTGATACTGGCTTAATTATTTAACTTCGCTGGGCAGAGAATGAATCTGTGTTCTTGTTCTCTCCACCTAGGATACGGAATAATTACAGGAAAATTATACAACCTCTTAGACTGGTACCTTTAGAAATCATGGTGTGCAGTCTTTCCTGTGCCATTGGCATTATCCCTCAGCCACTGTCCTTCCCTAATTCAATTGTCTCATTTCTTCCACAGCACCAAACTTTCTGCCCTGCCCTACAGTGGCACATTCTTTCCGAATCCCCCATTTGTATGTGGAGGAAAGCAAGTCTTTTCTTTCCTCTAAGGGTGGTCATTTGAGTTGTGCATCATGGTTCATACCCTCCCACTGCTAGGGACACACTCCATTATCCCCCTTTCCCGTTATAAACTGGCTTTTTCCAACAGCATTTAAACATCTTAAAATCTCCTTTTGTTAAACAAGGAAAAAAGGGTGGGGCGAACAACCTCCAGCAACTCCTCTTTTCCCTTCAGCTACTTCTTTATCCCCTTTTCTGCAGGATCAACTTCTTGAGAGATTTGTCTACATCAACTGGATCACCTGACATTATTATTCTGAATTCATTTTAATTTGGCCTCCTCCTTCATGTTGCCCTGAAATGTCCTTACCTAGATTATCTGTAGTCTCAGTGGTTAGGGATAACAAGTGCTTTTTAGTCCTCCTCTTACCTGAATTCTCAAGCTCTCAAGAGGTTCGCTCCTCTCTTCCTACTTGAACTGTCTCTTTTCTTAGTTCTAGCTTTGTGCCTTTGCACATCACAAATGTGTTCTATTCAGTAGACTTTGCTGGCTGTTATTGCAATGTCTACCCTTCACATAAGTGACCTTGGGCTTCTGTTCCAGGCCCTCTCCCTTTCTCACTCTGTGTACTTCTTATGCTATCTCATCCACACTCACAGCTCTATTTTATTACCTATTTATCAATTCCCAAATTCTCTCTTGAATTTTATTTAGCATTCTGAATTTTACCTCATTTGGAAAACCTACAATCCCCTAAAATAAACATGTAAAAATTGTTATTGATACTATGATACATTCTCTAAGTGGTTGGGGCCCTTTGGGCAGGAAATTATCTTGGATAATTTGAAGACCAGCTGAGGGAGGAGATCAGCGGAGCACCAGTAAGGAGCCTGCTGATCAAAAACAGGATGCGGTAAGGAAATTGGCTGAAACCAGCAGATGGTGACGAAAGCAACCTCTGGTTGCCCTCACTGATCATTATTTTTTATTTTTTATTTTTTTAAATATTTCTTTATTTATTTAAGATGGAGTCTTGCTCTGTCTCCCAGGCTGGAGCTCAGTGGTGCGATCTCAGCTCACTACACGCTCCGCTTCCCGGGTTCATGCCATTCTCCTGCCTCAGCCTCCCAAGTAGCTGGGACTACAGATGCCCACCACCACGCCTGGCTAATTTTTTGTATTTTTAGTAGACATGTGGTTTCACCGTGTTAGCCAGGATGGTCTCGATCTCCTGACCTCGTGATCCGCCCTCCTTGGCCTCCCAAAGTGCTGGGATTATACGCAGTAAGCTACCGCACCAGGCCGTCCTCACAGATCATTATTAAAGACACTCCCACTGGTACTATGACAGTTTACAAATGCCATGGCAACCACCTAGAAGTTACCTCATATGGTTCCAGGAAGTCCTCGCTTCTTTTCTAGAAAATTCTGAATAATCCTCCCTTTAATTAGCATATAGTCAAGAGTGGATATAACTGTAGCCAGCCAGCAATCCATGCTGTGGCTGCTGCTCCCATGCTGTGGGAGCAGACATTTTGCTGTACACTGTTACTCTAATAAGCTTGCTTATTTTCACTGCTCAGTTACCCTTGAATTCTTTCCTAAGTGAAGCCAAGAACGCTTTTGGGCTAAGCCCAAACTTGGTGTGTGCCTGCATCACAACCAACATAATTCTAAGAGAAATATCTTGGCACGTGGTATCCAGCATTAAAACTAGTTAAGCAACATTGTGGCCCAAGTACAATTTAGAAAAAGGTGCATGCACACTTATTTTATAAGCCAAATTTCCATAATCTCCACTTAAGTTCATTTCTCTCACAACTTAATAACTCTATGAGGGAGTCATTAAGAAATTCTAACATACTTGTCAAGGTTTTGCCCTTTGTGCAAAATCCTTACTCATCACATATCATCACAAAGAAATTTATTTCCTGATATTCCAAATAAACCATGACATTCCAAATAAACCATGACCATGATAGGATTTGTCACCAGTAAACAAGCGAGCATCATCGGTGAATCTTATTCAAACCATAGAGAGAGGACAGTGCCTTGCAGAAGGTCATCTGTGAAACACAAAGTGGTGGGGGTGTGGATTTATTTGTCACTTTTATCTAGGGTCACAGAGTTATGGTTAAATTCAACATTATTATGGTATACCTCAGTAATCTCTCACATGGTTTTAAACTCTATAAAGACAAGAATTGAGTTAACTCCCTACAAATTTGTGTTCCTAAATCAGTCCAGTGCCTGTAGAATAGTATTACTGTTTGATGAGTGCATTCATGAGGAATGAATAAATGAATAAATTGATGGGTAAAAGACATGATTTTCTTTGTATAAACTCCTATTTTACCTTCTTTACATGCATCTAATTTATGACACAAATCACTGTCTACTAGCAAATGTATCTGCCTTATGGGTATGTAATTTTCAATACTAGGCTGAAATGCACACATGGCTTTTAGGTATATGGGAACAATTAAATCTTCAGATCATCTTCACGTATTTACATTTTATGTCAATTACCATCTACATTGAGTGTCACAATAGATCCTTGGAAACAAAACTGAAGACTTACCTTTTATTTCAGTCGAATGTCACTAAAGAACTAACAGCATAAGTTGCCACAGTGAGAGAGAATCACATAAAATAGAAAGAGTAGGGGGTTTGGATTCAGATAAACCCAGGTTCAAATCGCAGTTCCCTAAAAGAATGACCATGGACAAGTTAGTTAACTTCTCAAACCTCAGTTAATTCATCTACAAGATGTGAATAATTAAGATAATCCTGAAGAAGGAGTAGAGAATTTACCATGTGCCTTCTTCCATTTTCTGCTCTTGGTTTACATTACAGGCATAATTTTTTTTAACTGAACCCAATTGAAACCCAATATTTCTTTTTAAAACATGCTCAAGGTAGCCATAACCAGACCAGAATCCATGCCAGACATGAACTTGTCATCTGTTCTCTATAGAATTTTATAAGGACTACAGCTAATGCATATGAAGTCTCAATATATATCAGATGTTCACTGCCTGGTATTGGTATCATAATAATTTCTGGTTTATGTGAACCAGGCTTGAGATTAATAACCAGTGGGTCACTGAAGAGTTGCCCAGGCATTGGTCTTAATAACAATATCTTCAGCACTCCTTTGTGCCAAGCTTACCAAATCTGGAAATAATGCAGTAGTGCCATAATCTCCAGAGGGTGAAGTGTAGAGCTAATCTTCCACCTAGTCAGCCCAGTTAGCTTCTTGGAGCCAATTTTTCTCATGTATAAAATCGGAGTGATCATAGCATCTACCTCATAGGATTACTGGGAGAGTAATTGAGATGCTAGACATAGCACACTGAACACAAAGCTGAGCACATTATTTGGCACTCTGTAAGTGGAAGTTGCTTTTTTTCTTGGAAACATAGACCCTGGCACAATGGATGATCAGAAAGAAGATTGTTTCTGGTTGAAAATTCATCAATGAGTCCATTAAATTTCAGTGACAAATTGAATTTAAGTCACATTTCAATATGTAACAGACTCACTTGGTTGCAAGACAAATCAAACTCATTCTATTTTAAGCATATGAAAACCAGTGAAATACAAGGGTGATTCTACTGGCAGGCCAGATATAGGAACCAATTTTTTCAAAGCTTCCTTTCTCAGTTATAGTCCCCTCTTTCCTGAATGTGGGCTTTCCTCCAATGACTGGAAGAGAACATCGCCTAAAGCAACTCCAGACACAAATAAGTTCGGCTTAGCACGTTGAATAAAGGGAGAAATTCTCTCAAATCAGTCAAGATAATTCTGATTGGCTCAACTTGCATCACACACTCATCCATGGACTAATAGGTCTGGTCAAATACCTAGACCCTTTCTCAAAGAAAAGGATCTATTGCATGAAGGAAAATATAGCACAGTAGGCAGAAGCATTGAAAGGAGGGAAGGCTTTATGAGAAAAAGAAGACTGAAGCAAAAGAAAGAATGAGTAGAATTTGGATTTGTGGAGAAAACAAGAAAATGCTACTTTTGGCAAAACAATTTTAACCACAGCTATAGCCACTTATATATTGATGCCTAACATATTAATAGTTTGTGCCTATATTGACTTTCATAAACTCAATGGTTTGGAGTCCCTTATTATACAAAGTGAAAAGCCCACTGGCAGTTGAGGTAAGCTAAGAAAGAGAAAACAGTACATACATGTTATTTTGCCTAGACCAAAATGGGAAAATAGTAATCACAAATTAGCAACAATATTATGATAATAACAAATACCTTTTACTGAGTGTTAGGCACTGCAATATGACAGTTGTATATATTATGTTTAATTCTCCAAGCAGCCCTCCAGAAAGATAGCATTCTTTTACCAACGAATAAATGGAAGCTTAAAAAGTTATTTGCCCAACCATTAATTTCTAAGCTTGATTCAAATTCATTTTATTCACTCAACATAATTTTACTGACTACCTGCTATATGTTACTCTCCAAACTTACAACTGGCATAGATTGTGAACAAGACAGAGAGTTTCTCTGCTCCTGGAGCTTACTGCACCACCCTGTCTTTTTAATGAGCTGAATAAACTACAGTTTCAGGGTAGAAAAAGAATTTTCACATTAATATTCTCTAATTTGTTAACTGATTAACAGAAACAGAAATTATTCTTTGAACTGTTGAGTGCCCTGTTCTAATTCATCTAGATTTTCTACAGATCTAGGGAAAACATTTTAAAAATTTAAATTACATCTATAAAAAATATTTCTACCAAAACCAAGCAAAGTCTTATATAACTTCTGAGATGTAGAGTCAATATTCTATTTTTGCTTGGAGTAAGAAGTACATATTCTCATTAGTGGACAGGCTAGACAAGATTATTTGATTTCTAATTTTTTTTAATTTTTAATTTTTGTGCTTCATCATAAGTGTATGTATTTATGGGGCACATGTGATGTTTTGATGCAGGCCTGCAATGTGAAATACTCATGTCATGGAGAATGGGGTATCCACCTCCTCAGCCTTTGTCCTTTGTGTTACAAACAATCCAATTACACTCCTTTCATTATTTAAAAATGTACAATTAAGTTATTGACTATAGTCACCCTGTTGTGCTATCAAATAGTGGGTCTTATTCATTCTTTCTATTTTTTTATAATCATTAACCATCCCCACCTCTCCCCATTCCCCCACTACCCTTTTCAGCCTCTGGTAATCATCCTTCTTCTCTCTATGTCCATAAGTTCAATTGTTTTGATTTTTACATCACACAAATAAGTGAGATCATGTGATGTTTGTATTTCTGTGCCTGACTATTTCAGTGAGCATAATGATCTCCAGTTCCATTCCTGTTGTTGCAAATGACGGATCTCATTCTTTTTAATGGCTGAATAGTACTCCATTGTGTATATATACCATATTTTCTCTATCTGGTCATCTGTTGATGGACACTTAGGTTGCTTCCAAATCTTAGCTATTGTGAACAGTGCTGCAACAAAGAGTGCAGATGTATCTTCAATATACTGATTCCCTGTCTTTTGGGTTTATACCCAGTAGTGGGATTGCTGGAACATATAGTAGCCCTATTTTTAGTTTTTTTTGAGAAATCTTCAAACTGTTCTCCATAGTTGTTGTTCTAAGGTACATTCCCACCAACACTGCATGAGGGTTCCCTTTCCTCTGCATGCTTGCCAGCATTCATTATTGCCTGTCTTTTGGATAAAAGCCATTTTAATTGGTGTAAGATGATATTGTGGATTTGATTTGCATTTCCTCTATGATCAGTGATGTTGAGCACCTTTTCATATAACTGTTTGTCACTTGTATGTCTTCTTTTGAGAAATGTCTATTCTGATCTTTTGTCCATTTTTTAATCAGATTATTAGATTTTTTCTACAAAGTTGTTTGAGCTCCTTATATATTTTGGTTATTAATCCCCTGTCAGATGGGTAGGTGGCAAATATTTTCTCCCATTCTGTGGGTTGTCTCTCCACTTTGTTGATTGTTTCCTTTGCTGTGCAGAAGCTTTTTAACTTGATGTGATCCCAAGTGTCCATTTTTGTTTTGGTTGCCTGTGCCAGTTGAATATTGTTCAATAAATAGATTATTTGATTTTATTATGTTATTTTCTTATATAGAACCTCTGTGTTGGTTCAAAATATACAAAAATATTATGAATTATTCATTCACTCAAAATATATTTAGTTAGCATTTACATAATAAGTAATTATCCAGCATCCACCTATATTTCTATCTAGAGTGCCTGCTACCCCTAAGGTCACTCATTCCATTGCTGTGTAGATTTTCTTTGTATATGGTCCAGATGCCCTCTAAAGCATCCTCTCCTTCATTCTGGCATCTGTTTGAAGTTATCGTGAATAAATGTACAATTTTATTCTATTCATTTATTTCATTTTTCAAGAGCAGCGTAAATCTTTGCAGATCAATTATTAACCCAGCTAAATCATCCCTGAATTTTAGCTATTCTTTTATTTTTATTTTATAGTTTAAAAACTCATAGAAATAAAACTATAGACATCATAGAAGATAAACTTTTGGAGAAAACAATTTTATATATAACCAATATTAACATATGATATAATCTCCCATACTTTGTCTTATGCTTAGGTGTATACATATGATAATTTCTAAACAAATATTCATTCAAGTTTATACAATACACTCTATATTATAAACTTTCTGCATCAGTAAACAGCAATTTAAGATTTCATTTTATGGCTACATATTACACCGTTGTGAACACTATAATGTATTTAACTAATCACAATTTTAAGAATTCATTGAATTTCCAATAGCTCAAAATGCAAAAAAAAAAACAAAAAAAAAAAAAACCAGCAATTTTGCAATGTTATCTTTGCTGCACTTGTTCTTTTTTTGAATAAATTTCTAGGAGTGTGAGAGTTGTGTCACAGCACATCAGCACATACAGTTTTTAAAGTTCTTGTGTGTGCTTCCAAGATACATCCAGAAATACTGTAGCAGTCAATTTTCATTTCAACAGTGCATAAGAAGGACTTTCCCCCTACAACCACACTAACACTGGGTATTACAATTTTCTCTTTCAAAACAGTGCATCAACTGTCACCTATTTGTCCTGGGGAGCCATTCCAATTTGCTAGCGTTTCTCAAAATGTTGGCTGTTTGTAATTAATTATGGTTTTAAGTGCAAAATGGCTGATGCAGAGTAGGACTGATTTATGCCTTCCTTGTTCTAAATACAATTTCCCTAAATAAAACTACGATTACAAAGGTTTCTGGCAGCACTATCAAACTGGTTTATCACAAAGGAGTTGAGCTCATTACCATCATTCATATAGTCCCTTTATTTTATCTTATAACTTCCGATGTCAACTTTTACAACCCAAAGCACTGCACTCAAGTTAAACAAATCAACTCCAAAAACTAGAATTAAAGAATCCTCACTTCCTACAAGTTAAAATGAGAATCTTCAGTGCAATACAAATAACATGAAAAATTAGCTGGGAGGAAACATCCAAAAGGGAACTTCAGATAGAAAACAATTAGCTTTGTTCCTCCAGCAGGCAAAAGAATATTGTGGCTTCAATTTTTCTTTTGATTCCATTTAATTTTCTTTCATTGGCAATTATCCTATTAAACTGGCTCTTTTGTTTTTGCATAAGTAATTAATCCCTCAGAGCTCAAGATTACCTCCTTCAATGGCAAAATTTAGCCCTGTGCAGTTTTTCCAGGATTTTGAAGGCTGCAAAGCTCTTGTAAAAGTGACCGTGCTCTAGACTTTTCCTGAGATCAGTCTCCTAGAGACCCTGGGAAGGAAACTCTCTGAGCATCTATTAAAGGAGAGAAATAAAGTGTATGTAGCTACTATTTCCAGGTGTGAGGTTTTTGCCTGCAGCCCATTTAAGAAGCTAGTGCTCTAATTTTAAAACTCAAATTTAGTTCAAGCAGTATTTATTGAGTACATACTACAGGGTGAGGACTGAGGACTCTGAGAAAGGATTATTTCTTGCCTTAAAAACAAAATAAAACAAAAACCAAAAAATTATAGCTGGTGAAATGCACATAATTTTGAGAATAGAAAAGACCAGTGGGTTTTGGAGTTTGGAAAAAAGACCAATCTCTGTTCAAATCACAGATTTGCTACTACCTGACTCTGTAGCCTTGGACAACCTTCAAAGTCTCAGCTTATTCACCTAGATTCCAGACCAAGAAATGAGGATGGTGAAATCTGAAACAAGTGGATGAACTAGGTAAGAGTCTTGTAAATACCATGGGATCATCATCGTCAAAGGGGTATTCACTGGTAGCAGTAATATAAGGAAACCCCATCACAAGGTAAAATACAGATATCAAAATTTAAACAACATATGGTTGTATTATGGGGATGTTAAAGCAAGGATCAAGGCAAGCCTGTGCAGACAGCTAGTCAGGAGTTCCGCCCGGCCTTCTGTGCTCTCCAATTATTTCCGTGTTTCTATTTAGTTTGGGGCCAACAGGATGTGGTCTACTTCAGCTTGACTGTTGAGGGGATTATTGTGATTATGCTTCTGTGGCCCACCGGAGCTTGAAGGACAAAAAAATCTTATTCCAAAAATCTCCTGGCTGGAGACCGGGAGATTGATCCAATCCAGAGAGACATGAAACACCAGGGGGCTATTAGAGGTATTAGGGATGTGAAGATCTTATTTGTCCTTTCTTGCATTTTCTCTGCTATTTGTTGCCTGACTTTACTCTCACTTTCATCTCTTCCTTCTCCTGTGCAAAGTAAGAATTTTAGCTCACCCTGTTTGATGGTGGCTGAACCAAGACAGAAAGTATCCTCATTATGGCAGAATTTATATCTTTGTGGAGAACAGTATTAAAGGGGTCAGGAGCTAGTGTTACTCTATTTATGATAGATACGTTATTCTGGAAGGTCTGGCACAGAAGTTCCACACACTCAAATACACATGAAATATTCTGTCTCACAGCATTACCTTGAGAATCAGCCTGGATTCTTGATTCCAAGAATAAGGGCACTAGGAGCAGGACCTCACATAGCAGCTAGAGGGATGTCCTTGGGGAAGGCACCTGATCAGAGCTGGGAGAGAGGCCTCAGGCCATTTGGGGGAACCAGGTGTCAGCAAAATGGCCCTTTCCAGCATGGAACCAGATTGCTGATATGAGGAACAAAGGATTCTTTTAAATCAGGATAGTTAATTGGAATCCACAGGTGTTAAGAATGTCATGATTGGGTCTCAGAGATCTATGGACCCATAGATAGCAATACAAAAAGCAGTTTTGCTGGAGAAAGAAAGGGTTTACTACTAGCATGATATTCTCAAAGGAGTTCCTAGTCCCCCAATAAGTAAAACCAAGTATAATACTTTAACTAGATGATATTCTTCATGTATTAAAACAGGAAGTGATTGGCACAGAGTCAGACTCAATGGGATATTTAGAAATGTCACACTACACATACTGAGCTCATAAAATATTACAGGCAGTAAACAAGCAGGAGGAATTTAAAAAACTACCAAAAGGCACTCAGAATCCTTCAAGAGGGACAATTACTTGACCTAATTGCTGAAACAGGGCCTCTGCGATGCCCAAAGCATTTGCAACTTCCCATTTCATTGAAGACATTGCTTTAAACATAATTACATTTAATGAAATAAAGGCCATGTGAGTGATGACAGAGCATAATTAATAAGATGTTGGAATTGAAAACTAGCTTTTAAAAGTTCAAAGGTGCAGCTCATCACCAGCTGCCTTTCCTATTCTATTGGCCAGCATCACTCTGAGCCTACTGACTCTTATTTGCTTATTTTGCAAATAGGTCACTATTTCTTTAATAGATTAAAGAAAGGGAAACAAATGAAGAAATTGCCCCCAAAGAAGCACACTAAAATAAGGAAACAGAGAAATTCCAAACAGGGAAAGAAACAGATGGACCAATTCAAAAAGAGTAGCGTTCTGAAATCATTTAATGTAGAAATAAGGATTCCTATATACTTCAATAGAGCTTTAGTACATAATTATAGAATTCTACTGTAAACATTTCAAAAATTTGCCTCTTCTTAAACATAATGGTATAGGCTAATCTGATTGTTTGAGTATTTTGTGTGTCCTGTGCATCTCTTTAACCTCTCCAAGTATGACTGCCTTCTTCATGGTTAATTTCAAATATATAAAGTGATACCATGTGGAAGGGGATAGAGATTTTCTTAGTGTTGCTTAATTAAAAGCTAGGATGGAAGTTATCAGAAAGCAGATTTTAGTTGAATATAGGAAAATAGTTTTTAGTAATTAGTGCTAACTTTATGGGGAATAAGCTGCTTTTTGAAGTCATGAGCTTATAATTTGTAAAGGTGTTCAAATAAGGCAAGACACCCCATCAGGGATGTTATAAAAATGATTTATACATTGAATTGACATATAAAGTAGCAAAACAAATCCAGATTCTGTGATCAAAGAGCTTGATTCAAACAAGTATAAGAGAATTTCCATACTAAGCCTTTGTAAAATTCCACATTGAATTATAATACTTGTGTACTCTTCATGGTGGTGATTCCTGTCTACTAAGAAAGGGAAGCAGGAGGCAGGAGGAATGGTTTTGAAGGCCATTCATAGGCTCTTAAACTCATATTGAATTTTGAAGGCCATTCATAGGCTCTTAAACTCATATTGAAGAGTTCAATTGTAGGGAGGCTTCTATTTCTGTACATCTTTCAGGTGAATTTTCAGGGTCCAGTGGAGATGGGATGTAATAAGTTAAAGCCTCGCTCAAACTCTCATAGAAGTAAGTGTGCTGAGAACTGTTTATATCATGGATTCTATCTAGCTGATGAGAAAAACAAAATGAATACAAAAAAAAGAAAAAAAGAAAATTACTTGTGGTTTAGAGTTTACCGGGAATTTTAAAAGGGAGTAATGGAGAACCACAAAACACCTCTGCCACGGTTAGAATGGATGGGCACCGCTCAGGAGAAGTGGAGCTGGCCCTCCTGGGAGGAATCTGTCTCTGCATGCCTCAGAATTGGCTAAATGGGTGCACAAAAGGATTGGTGTTCCAACAGCACACAAAAGGAAGGTTCTATGCTGGTGAATATTGAGGACCCTGTAGAAGAAGGTACAGTAACTTTTCAGGAAATCCACTTGTCCTGTTCCTAAACCACCCTATCCTAGCAACTCATACAAAATGCAATCTCTTGTTTTACAAACTCAGTATTCCTAGACTCTCTCTCTCCTTCCACTAATAGAATGATATCTAATGCACCTGCCAGTCCGCAGTGCTTGCCATTCTTGGAATATGCCATGCACACTTGAGCATCAGGAACTATATACAGTCATCCCTTTGTCTGGAACACCCCTCCATTCCACTACTACCATCACAGGCAAAAATGTAGTAAAGATTGTGCATTACCAAGGTCAGTTTCCTTTCCAGTATGACTTTTCACTTTGTATTTTAATTGTAAATTAATCTGTGCTCACACCCATTCACAGATTTATTTATTGCTGTATCTACAGTGCCTGAAATGATGCCCAGCATGCAGTAGTGGCCAAGTAAATGATGTTGACTAAATAAAGAAGGCAAAAAAAAGTTGCTTCTTGAATGAGGTATGACATTTTCTTCCTATTGACTCCCAGTTCTATTTCTCTATCTGGACATCATCATCCAAAACATACTTGAGGCAAATAAACACATCGTGGACATCAACATGCAATCCATACTTGAGAAAGAAAGCCGTTTTTCATATGGTGTCCTGAAGAGTTCTGGCTCAAACTCAGCATCAGAAGTATGGACTTCTACCTTTTCCTTCAGGCAGTGATGGAAATTGATTGTCAGGAGAAATGAGGCAATGAAGATTTACAAGTACAAGATTTACTAAATATGCTCATCTTAACTGGAATTAGCAGGAGAAGCCACAAATTGGAACATCTCCAGAAGTTTTCAAACACACTTGGACTTATATATCTCTGCAAGAAAAAAGGAGATAGAGAAAAAAACAACTTCCCCTTCCATTGTTTTCTGTTTTCACTCCATTTTTCCCAAATTAGATGTGTGTAGTTACCTCCTTGTATATCCAGATGTATTGTTAGGGTTATCCAGAGAAACAGAACTCATAGAACATATGTAGATATATAGAAAGAAAGTTATTAGGAGGAATTTGCTCATGCAATCATGGATACTGAGAAGTCCCATAATTTGCCATATACAAGCTAGAGGTCCTGGAAAGCCAGTGGTGTGTTCCAATTCAAGCCCAGATGCCTGAGAATCAGGGAGCCTGCTTGCATAACTCCGAGTCTGAGTCCAAAGGCCTGAGAACCAGGAGTGCTGATGTCCCAGGACAGAAGAAGATGGATGTCCCAGCTCATATAAAGAGAGCAAATTTGCCCTTCCTCTGCCATTTTATCCTATTCAGAGCCTCAACTTATTGGATGACACCCATTCACATTGCTGAAGGAAAACTTCTTTACTCTGGCTACAAGTTCAAATACTAATTTCTTCTGGAAACACTTTCACAAACATATCAAAAAATAGTTTTTTACCAGCTCTCTGGGCATTTTTTAGCCCAGCCTTGCTGACAAATAAAAGATCATATTGGAGGAATGCAGACTGTATTAGTTTGTTCTCACACTGCTAATAAAGACATAGCCAAGACTGGGTGATTTATAAAGGAAAGAGGCTTAATGGAATCACAGTTCCACATGGCTGGGGAGGCCTCACAATCATGGTGGAAGGCAAAGGAAGAGCAAAGGTACATCTGACATGGTGGCAGGCAAGAGAGAGTATGTGCAGGGGAACTTCCATTTATAAAACCATCAGATCACGTGAGACTTATTCACTATCACAAGAACAGCATAGGAAAGACCCACGCTCATAGTTCAGTTACTTCCCACTGAGTCTTTCTGATGACACATGGAAATTATAGGAGCTACAATTCAAGATTTGGGTGGGGACACAGCCAAACCATATCAAAGACTGAGCATCATAGACTCATTGTTTCATTTTGCATCTGCATTATCTTTCCTTCCTGGTTGATTTCCTTCCAAAATTTTCTAAAATTATAACTTTTCTATAATTAAATTTTGCATATATCCAGGTGTTACTTAGTGTTCTATAATATAGACACCCACAGATGTTGAACTGCTCATCTAATTTATTCCTCCCCATGTATTTTGTTCTTTTCTTATTTTGTGTACAAAACAAATTTGTTGTCAACATTTTTCTGAAATACTATTAAAATTTGAACTTCCTAATACATTTTTGTCTATTTTACTTATATGCATTTTACCCTCAAAGGTTTACAAATTCTAGTGCATAATAAAATTCTCATTAGACCATGCAAAAAGAAACTGAACCATTGTGGGTGTGTATGTGTATGAATGTGCATGCCCTATAGTTGCTACAAATTTGTCTTTTTTATATTAGAGATGATCTTTCCTCCCTTTTTAGTTTTGATGCTAAATTGTTGTTTCTTTTATAATTATATATATAATATAATTATGGGATTTTTTTAAAGATGAAATTATTTTAAAAAGTTACTTTACTTTGAAAAAGCAAAAGCTGAAAGTTGTATGTTAGACTTTTTGTATGTTTGCTGTTTAATTTGTATTGATTAAGAAATCCCATATGGAAAACCCCGGAGTAATAATATTACTATTTCATGCCAAGAACTACAGAACAATTCAATCATGAAGCTAAGGAACTGTTGATGATCTCATAGTGCTATCATGCCATTAACAGAGAAGGAACTGAGGCACGGAGAGGTGGAGTTGTATGCTCAGAGTAAGATGGTAATAAAAGACAAGCAGAGCAAGGACTAAAGCCAGGTTTCCTGAGTCAGTCATTCTCCTCCACTGCCCTACATCACTTTTTATTCTGCCTTGTTTATTCATGTTTAGAATGGCATTTTCAAAAAATCTGAGAGAGTTCATAATCAATATTTCTAGGGTGAGAAAAATCACAAATATCTGGTAAAAAGGCACCTCTTTCTTTGGAGCTGAACGTATAATTGAGGATTTCACACTTCAGCATTATTCAATCTTAATCTTCAACGAACTTAGTAAAATCTCATTTTGATCAGAATAGGTTCCATACTATTATATGACTTCCCAGCCATAATTGGATTCCTCGGACACCACAGGAGTTCTAATTGTAAATGCAAAGCAATTTCAAAATTAGTTACTCATGTGGTCCATGTTGAAAGCCTTAGAAAGGTTTTAAAATAAGGTGTCATTTCATTTCTGGGTGATTTTCAGAGGCTAACATAATGCCATCACTCTTTCCTTCCATAATTTTCAGAAGGCCTGAGCAATCTACATGATTTTCAATCTTTCCCCTTCTAAAGATTTCAGGAATAACATATTAGAGACAAATGTAGTAGAACTACCACAGAACCTAAAACAGCAAATTGGATTTCCAAAGAAAAAATGAGATGGCACACATCTATAAATCGTAATACTGTCATGGTATTCTCTCTGCTTAAAGTTTGACCATACTTAAGCATTTTCTTCATGTCATGGTCAATTGAAAGATTTTTGAAATTCAAATCTTTATATTTGAATTTAATCTTATCAGCCACATAGCCTGGTATAGATTAAAGACAACAAGCCTGGAAATCCCATCCCTTGGGTTCTAATTCTGTTTTGCATTACCTCCTTGTGTAATGAGTGACTCATTCTTCTGTACCTCTACATCTTCATGTCTTGGAAATGAAGATCAAAATTCTGGCATAATCTATAAGGTTCTATGTTGATCAAATGATGTTAGATGTGGAAACCTGCTTTATAAATTCAAACTCCACCTAAATGCAAGGTCATAGATTTATAGTAATAAACAAGTAAATATATCTAGTACATACTAGATTCCAGGTGCCATGATAAATGCTTCATGCATTCTTTGGCTCCTCATGACAACTCAGAAGAATAGGAACCATTGTTATTCCAAGTTTACAAATAAGGAAACTGAGAATAGAGAGGCAAAGTAGCTTGCTCAAAATCACACAGCTGGTGAATAGCAAACAGAACCCAGAGCCCATCATCTTAGCTGTGATGTCGTATGGCTTCCAAGGCTGACATCAGTGATCAGAAGGAAATAAGGATGCTGAAACAGAAAGAGTATATATGCTGTTATGGGTTGAATTGTGTCCCCCTACAAAAAAAAAATATGTTGAAGTTTTAACCACAGTTACCTCAGAATGTGACCTTATTTCAAAATGATGTCATTGCAAATGTAATTAGTTAAGACAAGGTCATGCTAGAGTAGCATGGGCCCCTAATCCAATATGACTTGTGTTCTTATAAAAAGGGGAAATTTGGAGAAAAACACATACATGAAAAGAATGATGTGTAAATATAAGGGTTATGGTGCCATAAGCCAAGGAACTACCAGAATGTAAGAGAGAGGCCTAGGATAGATTCTTCCTTTGAAACTTCAGAGGGAACGTGGCACTGAAGACACCTTGCTCTCAGACTTCTAAACTCCAGAATAAATTTCTGTCATTTGGATCACTCAGTTTTTTTTGTTTTTTTGTTTTGTTATGGCAGCCGTAGGAAATGAATCCATGGGTACATATGACTTGTGAAAATCAGCTCTCTGATTTATTTATTCATCCTTTGAAAATCTATGGAGAGGTACCCTTGTAGGGTATGCATGGATCTGACTGCAGATCAGGCCAAGGTGAGTGGAGAGGAGGCCACTGACTTCCAGTGATAGTGACTCTGGACCCTTCTTGGATCATCTGTGAAAAGCAGAACCTAATATCATCCATAGAAATGACAACGAGAACACATGGAATCAGTCCAGGGAAAGCTAAAGGAAACACAGTCTTCCCTTGACATCTGTGACACAAATACTTGGTTTTCTTCTTGCCTCTGAGGTCATTCTTTCTCAGGTACCTCTGCAACCACCTTATCCTAACTCATCTATGTAATGTTGGGGCTTCTCAGGCTTAGTCCCAGATTGGGTAAGTTCCTACTTTATGAACTTTCCCAGTTAATTTGTTCCCTCCTGTGGCTTACATCACCCTCTATGATGCTGCTTTTGCACAATACAGTGGTTAAAAATCCTCATTGCACTATTGCCTAGCTATGGAATCTTGAGAGTTAATGTCTTTAGTACACTGCTCCTCAGTTTTCTCACTTATGAAATAGAGATAAAAATAGCATGTTCTTTCAAGTTTTTTGGGAGAATGTATATGAAGTATTATATGTGTAATAAACTATATATATAAAAGAGCAGTCATGAACTCAGAGAGTTTCATATCTGACAGTGAATATAGACAAATATATTTATGAATAATTTGCTTGCAAATATGGGTTGGGAGATAGGGAAAAATAAAGCAAGAGGAAGAGAGTGTCACATGCAGAAATTTCAACTAGGGTGTGACCCAGGTGGGGAAATCCATTGGCACTGAAAACATATTACCTGGGCAAAAAGTAGCTAAAGAAGAGCCAGAGAGAGACCTTCTAAGCCATGGGTTCCAGTACCCAGGTAGTTTTAAGATGCAACAAAATTGATTGCTTCACACCTATTAAACATCAATTGTTTGTTTTTAGCCTGCTTGTCTACACCATAGTACAGATGGATACATATTACTAATAAGCTGCTTACTATTCTTCTGAGACAAACTCAGAGAAAATGAGGCTGCTGCTCATTGGAACAGTCTTGCTTTTAGGGAATGGGAGAGATAGGAAAATTTTCAGATTATTTCCTCCTGGCTGCTACTGGCCAACTTTCATCCCAGAGGAATTAATCCTTTTGCACTTCCAGATTATTACCTGGCCCCTTCAGCAGATTCTGAGGAAGCCCAAAGGGTCACCCTCTGGGTGAAGCTGATTCAAGTTATGCCACAGAACTAGAGAGCAGGGGGCAATAGCCACAGGTGGGCCAGGTCAGCCTGTGAGATGAGGCGGATGCTGCAGTGTCTATTTGAGAGCCACAGAGTGTAAGAGTTGATAGCACATGCAGATCCTGTGCCCAAAGAGGTGCATGATGTGGAACAAGTGGCAAGGGCCCTGGAGACAAGTGAGGCCAGAAGACCTGGGTCTGAACCTAAATAAAAGCTGCCAGACACACCAATTCTTAGGTGCTGGGAAGCTCTTAAATGAAGTTAATGGCCCAGCAATTCCATGAGTTAATTACAATGTCTTCATTCAACATTTAAGAGACCTGAGTGGAAGTCAGATGGTGTAAGTGGTAAAACAGGATCCTAATAGGGTCTAGTGACTCCAAACCTAGAAGTATTTCCATTTTATTATATCATCATAGTTCAGCAAGCCAAGATGTAAACTATGTATGTGGATCCCAGACTTTTTACTCATAAATGTTCTCGTACTAATAAAAGTCCAAAACAATTTAGCTCAACAAGGTAACTGATCAGTGTATCAGGCAGACATTTTAAGTTGTTTCCCAAATCCTTGACTTCTTGATGTACATACATCTCCCAGTTATATAAGCAAACACTGATGTGGGTGTTATTGTAAAGGGATTTTGAAGACACATTTAAGGTCTCAAATCGGTTGATATGGAGATTATCATATCCTTAAGATATGGAGATTATCTGGGTGAATCTGACCTAATCACAGAAGCCCTTTAAGTCTGGGTCTAGAGGTCAGAGACAAAATCAGAGATTTAGACCTCTTGATCCTAGCTTAAAGATGGAAAATGGAGGGGACCACATGCAGAGGAATGTGGGTGGCCTCTAGTTGCTGAAAGTAGCCCCCACCTTACATCCAGCAGGAAAGCAGTGACCTCAAGTCCTATAAGCACAAGGAGCTAAATTTTGCAATCAAACAAAAGAAGCTTGGAAGCAGACTTTTCCCCAATGCATCCAGATGAGAACTCAGTGTTTTGATACCTTGATTTCAGGTTTGTGAAGATGACCTAGTCATCCCATGATGGACTTCTGAACTACAGAACTGTAAACTAATAATTAGGTAATATTTCGACCCACTGCATTTGTGGTAATCTGTGCAACAATCATCACCAATGCAGTGGATTAAAACACTACCCAATTATTAGTTTATTAATAGAAAATTAATATGACCAAACAAATTCTGTCTTCCTTCCTCTTTTTTTTCCTTCATTCCAAAAATATTACTCTATAATTACTGAGTGCAAGACATTACGCAAAGAGGAAAAGAATGAATAGGATATAACTTCTACTCTCAAGTATCTCTCATTTAGAATATAAGTTTAGGACATAGCTATAAGTAATCATCATAAATGATATGGAGTGCTATGGACAGTACAGATAAAAATACTAGGAGGACATAAAAATATGGCATTGATCTGATGATGAAAGAATGCAAACATGTGTATGTTTGAGTGTGGGGGCATTATTCCAGGGAGAGGGGCAATGCAAGTCATGACAGAAAGGAAGAAAATTGCTACCACATACACAAAACAGTCATTAGCCATATTAGGCTCCAGGACAGGTTAGGTTAACTGTTGGAACCTTATAGCAGACAACTCTAAACTTCAAATGTAAGAAATCCTTATAGAAGAAAAAATCTGGAGTAAAGCTTTGGTCAGTAGTCATTTTCAAATGAATTACTAAAGTCTCTGAGAGTTTGAGAGGTCCTGCTCAGTAAATAAGCAGGGTCTTGGGATCCTAGAAACTGAAAGTTGAAGGATGCCTTAAAGACTATTCACTCAAACATATCATATTACAAGAGAAGACACTGGGATCCCAGTAGTAGTAGCAGTAGTAGTAGTGATGGTGAATAGGCATGACTTATTTGGGCTTGCATTCTGAAGTGGGAATTTCACTTACCAGTGCTCAGGAAATTCTCACAGCACACCCAGGAGACGTGGCCATCTGCTAAGTAAGGAAAATGTAAGGGGAGGTCCTAGGGGTTGGACCACAATCTGCTCATTGTACGTCCTGTGCATTTAATTATGGCACCTATAGCCTTCCCAAATAGTCAGAGTCTCCAAGTTGAATTGTGGGAATGTAGGGTCCAAATGTCAGCCCTCCTGGGGGGGAGCACTTATCATATGGTAAGTACTGTGATAGGCTTGGGGCCACCAATATTAATAAGACCTGTCCCATCCCTCCAGGAGGTCATGGCATAAACTCCTTCCCACTGTCAGGCACTGGGAGTTGTGTGTAATAATCAGCTTAAGACCTTGTCTAGCTTCTAGGCCAGGTGTTAAGAGGGTTGGTTTTGCATTCAGACCTATCTTGGTTCAAATTCTGTCACTGTCATTTATCTACCTCGTGGCTTTGGGGAAATTAGTGACTCTCTGTGACTCTAAATTATCTTATCTGTAAAATAGGCATAAAGACACCCACCACACAGGGCGATTGTGATGGTTAGAGGTAATGTAGCATTTGCTCAATACATGTTAGATCTTGTTACTTTGATTGCTTTCTGATTCAAGACAGCAGTTCTGCCTCTCTCTGTAGTTATCAGCAGTGACTCACCACCAGTCCTCCCTAAACAAGAGATTCCTAGAATCTGCCACTTTATGGAAATAAAGCTTTTCCAGCATGTCCTGAGTGAGTGCAGGGAAGCCTCCTCTAGAAGCAAGTACTGCTTCCCATAGAGGGAAGCCCTTACTCAAATGCCTCAAGCTTGGAGTGAGGAGAGAGGACTCCCATTCCTCCCTGCAGGACAGAACTATACGAATTGACACTGTATTCTCACCAATCTGACACACTCAGCCCTTGGAGAGTGGGAGTAGGTACCTGATTGTGGTGCCTGGGAGAAAGGTTCTGTTCCTGCAGGATCTTTAGTTCCCCTCTGCAGATCCCAAGTCTCCGCCCACCAGATGAGGTTTCTTCATCTGCCACTTAGTGGGAAAATTAGACTAATTCAATAGGAGCATGGTCAAATGCTCAGGGGAGTCCCAGTCAAGCTTCAGGAGGTTTATAGTGATTCCTTCACCGACTAGCTATGTGACCTCAGGCAAGTTACAACCAAAGCAACAACAACAACAATAAAAATCTTTCTGTGCCTTGGTTTCCCCATCTATAAAACTGCAGTAATAACAGTAACCACCTCAAAGAGTCATTATGAAGATGAAGTAAATTAACATTTGTAAAGTGCTTGGAAGAGTGCTAAACACAAGGTATGTTCTATGTGGTATATTTATATAAGCTAAAGGTACAAAACACTTCAGCAATTCTTTCTCAATTATTTCAGATTCCATAAAGGAGAAGGGTGTGATTACTTATCATCACAATAGGTAATATTTATTGTGTTAGTACAAAATGCCAAATATCGTTCCAAAGCATTTATATTTATTAAGTTATTTAACCTTATGGGATATGCACTGCAATTATCCTTACTTAAGAAATGAAAAAATGTAGAGAGAAAAATTTCATAATTTTGTCATGAATATTTAACAGATTTGGCAAGGTTTTCTGCCAAGGGCTGGATTATATATTAACTGAATATATCAATATATAATTGTTAGCTGTATCATTAATGCTATCATAATTAATATAATTAAATATATTAATCATGCATAATTAATATAATTAAATATATTAATCATGCATAATTAATATATAATTATATTAACATAATGTATTAATTACAATATATTATATTATATATTAACATATATAAACATATATAATATTAACATAAAATGTAATATGATAAAGATGTCTCCAAAGTACAGTGGTTCGACTTTCAATTTTTCTACTTCAAAGTGGTGCAAAAGCAATATGCATCCAGTAGAAACCATACTTTGGGTACTCATACAACCATTCTGCTTTCACTTTCGATACAGTATTCAATAAATTACATCCCTGTATTATAAGCATTTAACACTTTATTATAAAATAAGCTTTGTGGTAGTTGATTTTTGCTTAACTGCAGGCTAATGTAAGTGTTCTGAGCACATTTAAGATAGGATAAGATAAACTATGACATTCAGTAGATTAGATATATTAAATGCACTTGAGATTTGTGATCTTTTCTCTTTTCTTTTCATTTTTGAAACAGGGTTTCACTCTCATCATCTGGGCTGGAGTGCAATCTCAGCTCACTGCAACCTCCCTCTCTCGGGTTCAAGCCATTCTCCTGCCCCAGCCTCCCAAGTAGCTGGAGGTGCGCAGGTGTACACCACTGCGCCAGGCTAATTTTTGTATTTTTAGTAGAGATGGGGTTTCGCCATGTTTCCCAGGCTGGTCGATTTGTGATATTTTCGATTTATGATGGGTTTATGGGTTTCAATTTATGATGGGTTTAACATACAATGAGTAAGTGTAGTAGCACGTGTATTATACATAATATATATTATTATAATAGTGTGTAATCATTATATATTATGATACATTACATAACATATATTATATAATTATATATCATTATATGTAATATGTAAACATTACATTATATTCATATGTATTTCATATATTATAATCTGTCTTCAAGGAGGACAGATATTGGCTATGTGATTGGAATGCTCAGAATCATCAGTATAGGGCACTATAGGGATCCACAATTGGATCACATTACAAAGAAAAAATAAAAATATAGCATCTTTATTGAAAAACAAATGATCAAGTAAGGTTCACTTGGCTATCTTGTGAGAACTTTTAGTTAAAGTCATTACTGCATGGGTAATGCTAACAGTTCCAGGTGAGTTCTCAGTTGGCCTCTGAAAAAGAGCCTGTTTTAATTCTGCTGTCTATTGAAGAGTGGAAATTACTAGTCAGTTTACAATACAGCTGGGAATGGCATACCACCTTAGAGACTCTTGGAAAAAAGCCCAATCTTTCTCAAAGAGCATAGTAGACTGAATGAATCAGATACACAACCTTAAGAAAATTTAGGTCCAAAGAAAAATAGTGTAGATGCTAGTCCACTTTGAGGCATTGTTATAGACACTAGGAATGGAACAGTGAACCAAAGATGGTGAAGTTCTCATTTTATACAACTTACTTTCTAGAAGGGGAAAATAAAAAATAAACAAATAGACAAACAAATAGACAAAGCTGGTAATACATTCCAAGATAAAAAGTATAAAAGATAAAAGGAACAGAGATTGAGTGGATATAGGGGGTATTATTTTAAATAGGTTGGTCAAGAAAGTCCTTATTATAGAAATGGCATTTGAACCAAGGTCTGAATAAAATGAGAAAACCTCAACACACAGAGGAATCCCCCCAAACATCAAATGCAAATACATGAAAGCTGTCTGCATTAATTGTGGTTTTCTCCATGTGTACTGCCAGCTGGCATACCTGTGCAGTCAGTCTCAGAGCAGAGGAGCAGAAGTCTGGCTAGATATCCAGTCTCCTTTCCCCCAACAGAAGCAAGATCACCATTCTAGCCTTTCCTTCCTGTGCACCATGCTGGTGACACCTTCCCTATCCCAATTTCTCAATATTTATACTCAGGTAGGTTCATTTGTACAGGTAATTTTTGCAACATTTTTAATACCTGCAAATGCAGTACTTATTCTGCTTCTCATTACCATTCTCTAGAGTCATTTCTTACTGATATCTGCTAAGGCTAAAATTATCTTTTATCCTATTCCTGAGCCCTTCTTAGCCACTTTCTTGCTCAAGGTATTTAAGAATATTAAACAGGAACAAAATCTTATCATAAAATGTGATATGAAGAAAATGTGTGGGAGGGTCCTATCTAATACTAGGGGGAATGAGGGCACATGAAAATGGTGGCCTGTATTCCAATTAGAATGCAAGGGCAATTGCTTACTTGCCTCTGAGTGCAACTAGCACAGTGTCTGGCACCTACTTGATCCTTAATATTACCTTGGAGCTGAATTTAACAATGAGTCTATGATTCTAGCAATAAATTAGGTCAAGAGAGTTTATTTATCAACCTATCAGAATCCAAGGTAAAAACATAGAGCAAACATAAAAGTTATTCAACAAACAATAGTTCCCTTTAAAGAATCCCCAATTAGCTTTCCAATATACACCAGTGGACTGACATCCTCAGCCAGTGCTGCAGATCACAAGTTCTGTATGTGTGCTCAGGCACTGCATGAACATTGGTTAATAGTTGTGGATTGAGATGTAAAACATCCTGGATCAGCAGGTCTAGTCACAGATGCAAAATGTTGATGCACAGTGATCTGAAACAACCTCTTTTTTAAGATGATGCCTTAGTTCATCAATAGCTAAGAAGACAGGCAAGGCAATTATGTTAAAGACCAATTCCTTTTTGTTTTAGATTATACAGTGTGTTAGGGCATCTGTTGCAGGTGCTATATACTCTAAGGGATGGCCTAGGCATCCTGACTTTGTTCTTTTTCTCTGTCCTGCCTATCCAAGCCTCATATTATCATGCATAGACAGAGGTGTCTAAGGTGGGCCTGGGCATAATGTAGAGATCATGAACCTGAAAGCATGCTCAAAGTCTCACTTTTCCCTTAATAGTTTCTTTATGGAAAAGCAGAGATAACATTTAATCCTTAAGTTGATATAAGAGTTCCATATAAGAATATCACCATTCTACTCTCTGTATTTAATGAATTTGAAGATTTTAGCCACCTCATGCAATATTTGTCCTTGAGACTGGATTATTTCACTTAACATAATGTTCTCCAGTTTCATCCATGATGTTGCCTGTAGCGGGATTTCTTTCTAAATTATGGTGAAATAATATACTATTGTATGTTTATACTGCAATTTTTAAATCCATTTATCCATAAGGAAGGGGAAATGGGGAGATGCAAATGAATGAGGATAAAATTTCAGTTATGCAAAATAAATAAGTCCTGAAAATTTGCTGCACAATATTTTATCTACAGATAACAACATGAAGATCTCATTTTATATATTCTTACCACATTAAAATAAAGAAATCAGATTTGGCACTTAATAGTTTTAATGTCCAACTCATATTTTTAATCTATTAGTTTAAAGTCACTTAATTATTAGAATCCACAGTACAAACTCACCTCTAAGTCCTGAAAACATTGTCTATATGTGCCATTTTTTCAGTAATTCAGCATAAACAACTTTATAATATTCATTCAACATTCAGCTAATTATTAGATATCTACTTTGTTGCAGAGCTAGAGGCTTGAGATTTAAAAGTAAATAGGAATAGATAGAAATTTTGGTAAACTGCAAAAGAATGATCACCTAAAACCAACTTTGGGAGCATAAGGCGTTCATTGCATGTTTACATTTACCACTTGTATTAATCTGTTCTCATGCTGCTAATAAAGGTGTACCCAAGACTGGATAAATTATAAAGGAAAAATAGCTTTAATGGACTCACAGTTCCAAATGGCTAGGGAGGCCTTGGGACACAACCAAACTGTATCATCCTGCCCCTGGCCCCTCTCAAATGTCATGTCCTCACATTTTAAAACCAATCATGCCTTCACAACAGTCTCCCAGAGTCTTAACTCATTTTAACATTAACTCAAAAGTCCACAGTCTCATCTGAGACAAGGCAAGTCTGTTTCACCTATGAGCCTGTAAAATCAAAAATCAAAAGCAAGTTAGTTACTTCCTAGATACAACTGGGGTACAGGCATTGGGTAAATACACCCATTCCAAATGGGAGAAATTGGTCAAATAGAAGGGGCTAAAGGCCTCATCCAAGTCCAAAATCCAATGGGGCAGTCAAATTTCAAAGTTCCAAAATGATCTCCTTTGACTCCATGTCTTACATCCATTCAGGCTGATGCAAGAGGTGGATCTCCATGGTCTTGGGCTCCACCCCTGTGGCTTTGCTGGGTACAGCCTCCTTCCTGGCTGCTTTCATGGGCTGGCATTGAGTGTCTGCAGCTTTTCCATGTGCACAGTACAAGCTGTTTGTGGATTTACCCTTCTGGGGTCTGGAGAATGGTGGCCCTCTTCTCACAACTCCACTAGACAGTGCCCCAGAGGGGACTCTATGTGGAGGCTTGCACCTCACATTTTCCTTCCATGCTGTCCTAGCAGAGGTTCTTCATGAGGGCCCCACCCCTGCAGTAAACTTCTGCCTGGTCATCCAGGGGTCTCCATACATCCTCTGAAATCCAGGTGGAGGTTCCCAAACCTCAATTATTTACTTCTGTGTACCCACAGGCCCAACACCATGCATAAGCCACCAAGGCCTGGGGCTTGGGCCCTCTACAGCCATGGCCTGAGCTATACCTTGGGCCCTTTTAGCCATGGCTAGAGCAGCTGGGACACAGGATACCAAGTCCCTAGGCTGCACAGAGCAGGGGCACCCGGGGTCCAGCCCACGAAACTATTTTGACCTCCTAGGCCTTCAGGCCTGTGATGGAAGGGGTGCTGTGACAGTCTCTGACATGCCCTGGAGACATTTTCTCCATTGTTTTGGTGATTAACGTTCAGGTCCTTGTTACTTTTGCAAATTTCTGCAGAGGGCTTGAATTTCTCCCCAGAAAATGGGTTTTTCTTTTCTATTGCGTTGTCAGCCTGAAAATTTTCCAAACTTTTATACTGTTTCCGCTTGAATAGTTTGGTGCTTAGAAATTTCTTCTGCCATGTACCCTAAATCATCTCTCTCAAGTTCAAAGTTCCACAAGCCTCTAAGGTGGGGCAAAATGCTGCCAGTCCTTTTGCACAGCAAAAGTGAATTACTCCAGTTCCCAACAAGTTCCTCATCTTCATCTGAGACCGCCTCAGCCTGGATTTTATTCTCCATATCACTATCAGCATTTTGGTCAAAGCCATTCAACAAGTCTATAGGAAGGTCCAAACTTTCCCACTTTTTCCTGTCTTCTTCTGAGCCCTCTAAACTGTTCCAACCTCTGCGTGTTAGCCAGTTCCAAAGGCGCTTCCATATTTTCAGGTACCTTTACAGCAATGCTCCTCTCCCAGTAACAATTTACTGTATTAGTCTGTTTTCATGCTGCTAATAAAGACATACCTGAGACTGAGAAATTTATAAAGAAAAAGAGGTTTAATGGACTCACAGTTCCACATGGCTGGGGAGGCCTCACAATCATTGTGGAAGGTGAAGCAAAGGCACATCTTACATGACCACAGGCAAGACAGTTTGTGAAGGGGAACTCCCCTTTATAAAAACCATCAGATCTCATGAGACTTATTCAGTATCACAAGAACAGCATTGGAAACACCTGCCCCCATGATTCAATTATCTCCCACCAGGTCCCTCCCACAACAAGAGGGAATTTGGGGAGCTACAACTCAAGATGAAATTTGGGTGGGGACACAGCAAAACCCTATCACCACTTAACTGGAGATTCTAGCTGGTATCATATAATCAAAAACTAAATAATGAAAAGTACTGAAAAATAATCCAAACTGGATTATTTACAGGTGATGTAATATAGAAAAGCCAAGAAATATACATATTAAATGTTAGGATGACAAAAGATGTTCATTAAGTTTGCTAGATATCAGATCAATATATGAAACACAAGAAGTACACAGCAATTGCAAGTTTTAAAAAGACAAGATACAGTTGAAATAGTAACTGAACATAAAGGAATCTACAAAAGAATTTAACAATATGCAAAGCCTTTATGGAGAGCATTAAAAACTTTCTTGAAAGACATTGGAGTTGATTTATATAAATAGAGATTGTAGTATGTACATTTATGAGTTGGAAGACTCAATGTTATAAAAATGGGTAGTGAATTCATGAATATTCATTTTATTATCCTTTGTACCTTCTTGTATGTGTAAAAGCATCTACCATTTTAATTGAAAAATTAAAAATATTTAAATGTAATTTTTAAAGAACAAATAGACACAAAGTGTTTTTGAGTACATGCCTTGCATGTGCATATACATGTTAAGGCCAAACAGTTGGAGTGTGCCTAATTTCATGTAACCTACCATGATTTGTTGGAAAATTATGTGTATCTACACTGGATAGATGAGCCAAGTGAAGCTCAAGGTAGATAAGTGGCTTCCCAAAGTCATACCTCACTAAGACCATATGTTGGCCTTCTTTCTCCTGCCCGGGACCTCTTAGCTGGCCCAGTGTTCACTTACCAGCCAATACCACCACATTTCTCAGGTCGACCTAATGCACACAGAATTGGGAGTCTGGTAGAGTTGGGAATCCTGTTAATCAGTGTCTCCTTTGGTAGGACATAGGTGATGATTTCAGTCTAAATAATGGGCAGTTTAATGTCATGTGGTGGGATGGGTGCAAGGTGTTGCTAGGCTTTGAAACATTGGCCATCTGGGATTTGCCCCTTGCTTCCCACAAGAACTGTCTGCTAAGCACTCATGTCCAGGTAGCACTGCCATTAAAGCTATGTAGCCACTCATTACCAAGCTCTGAAATCCATCTCTGGAAAATAAGAGTGAATTAGTCACAGGTGGTGCTGCTGGACACATACACGCTAATCAGAAATGACTTTTCGACACTTCTCATAAGCCCCTGTGAACAGCTTTTGAAACAAACAAACAAAAATAAACCCCCCTCCTAACAGAGCTTGCCCTGAGGTTAAAAACTGAAAAATACATACATATGTTTATTCATTTGTTCACCTTTTAATTTATTTATCTTTGAATATATTTCTTCAATAAATATTTACAGTGTTTCTTTGTGCCACATATTGTATGAAGCCCTGTGTATACATTGTGAAAAAAAAGTGGTCCTTGCTCTCAGAGAGCTTATAGGATAGGGAAGATGTTAAACAAACAAATATAAGTATCCACAAACATTAAAAATTAGATCAGCATGAACAATATGACAAAATCCCATCTCTACACAAAATAATACAAAAATTAGCTGGGCATGATGTCATGCACCTGTAGTCCCAACTACTCAGAAGGCTGAGGTGGGAGGATTGCCTCAGCCCTGGAGGTCCAGGCTACAGTGAGCTGAGATTGTACCACTGCTCTCCAGCATGGGTGATAGAGTAAGAAAGACTGTGTTTCCCAAAATAAATAAATAAATATATAAATAAAATTGAAAGTAATAATAAAAATTGAATTGGGGGAAAGAGTTGGAAGGAGGATAAAGAGGAGGAAGTTCTTAAACTTTTTCAGGGAGTCACTTTCTGAGAAGAAAGCATGAAAATCAAGCCTAAGGGAAGAGTTTTTGATCCCCTGCAATACTTCAGATTTCTTGGGAACACATTTCTGTCTCTAGTTCATTTTTGCATCCCTAAAACCTATCACTATGAGACAGTTCAGTCTATTAGAGAACATGTTAGTTATTGTTGCACCCAGTGTAAGGTTTACTAGACCTAAATATCCAACTCCATTGTTGCCTCAAGGGGCTCCAAGCTCAGCCCTCTTAGTTTTCTTTTTTCTTTTTTTAACTTTTATTTTAGGTTCAGGTGTACTTGTGTAGGTTTATTATATAGGTAAACTTGTGTCATGTGGGTTTGTTGTATAGATTACTTCATCACCCAGGTACTAAGCCTAGGACCCAATGGTTATTTTTTCCTACTCCTTTCCCTCCTCCCACCCTCCAACCTCACTGTCTCTTGTTCCTTTCTTTGTGTTCACAAATTTTCATCATTTAGCTCCCACTTACAAGTGAGAACATGCAGTATTTGATTTTCTGTTCCTGTGTTAGTTTGCTAAGGATAATGGCCTCCAGATCCATTTGTGTTCCTTAAAAAAACCATGATCTCATTCTTTTTTGTGGCTGCATATTCCATCTGTACCACATTTTCTTAAACACTCAGGTATAACTCACAGCAGCACTTCTCTACCTTTACTGTGTGGAAGAACACGTGACAGAAGGCATGAATCTGTGCAACATACTACTAGTACATGTAGACTTAAGATGTACATTCATATTAACCTAAACTTTTTCTGACCCATTCAAAAAAATGTATCAGAAGGCAAGTAAGTAAGAGCAAACTTATTACTGAATTAACCTTGGATCCACTTTACTTATACAATCCAAAGTACAACATTCATATATCTGTACTGCTGTTAATAACAGACTACTTGTAGGACACATGACAATTATTTACATTGGTTTTCTGATATCACAGTAAATGTAACTGCTCTGCAGAGCTCCCGTTGTCACTCCCACCTACATGAATGGGCCTCAGGCCCTATCCCCTTAGGTATTATTTTCTTAAATCCAGTAACTCACTGAAGAATTAGTCGAAGTCCCCAGTTACATAAGACTGTCTTCATCCCATCCACACACGACTGATTAATTGCTTCCACATTTCTCAATACATTTTTTTTAAACCAATGCTCTCATATCACTTGCCTACTCCCCACTACATACCCCTTAATTATTGGTCTCTGGTGTTGAGATTTATAAAGGGCCTCCACCATAATACCACTTTAGGAGTTAGGGTCATTATTAATAGTCTCTTAATACATTATATATTCAATAAATACATATCAAATAGTTACTATCATCATCATCATCATCATCATCATTGTCATTCCTGTTATGTGTAAGGCTTTTGGGAGGCACTGGACCATCAGCAGTGAACATTATGGACAAGCAACCACTGATTAGTTTTCTTTCACTGTAGATTAGTTGGCATTTTAAAAAATTTTGTAAGTAGAATTGTACAATGTGGACTTTTTGTATATGGCATCTTTCAATCTACATAGCGACTTTGAGATTCATCCATGTTTTTGCATATCTATAGCTCACTTATATTGTTACTGTTATGGTCATTTATATTGTTATCCTATTATATGGATATACCTCATTTTATTTATTGTTCACTTCTTGATTAATACTTGTATATACGATTTTCTTGTTTTTGCTACTGTGAATAAAGCTTCAATAAGCATTTCTGTACAAGCCTTTGCATAAAGGTACATTTTCATTTATTTTTGGCAAATACTTAGGAATGGAACTCCTGGAATATTTAATGAATAATGTATCTAGCTTTGAGAGGGAAGTGGTCAGTTTCCCAAAGTGTTTGTTCCATTTTACTTTCTCATCAACAAGTGTATAGGAGTTCAACCTCTTTCACCTCTCAGCCAGGTGCTTAACCAGAAGTACTTGCTACTGTCAATCATTTAAAAAGGCCATTTTGTAAGTATAATTTGGATAAAATAAAATTTGTTTAAGTGTACATATTTCATATGTTTTTACAAACTGGTATAGCCACTTACCCACCAAAATTGAGATACAGAAAATTTATATCACCCCAGAAACTTTCCTCATGACCTTTTGTAATTAATGTCTTCCCCCAAATGCAGCCCTGGGAAACCATTGAGCTGTTTCTATTACTAAAGTTATGCCTTTTCTTTGTCTTTTTTATCTCCTTTTTCTTTTCTGCGTTCATCATTAGCATTTATAAAACTAGACTTAAGAAAAGAATTAGGTTTGGGGGCACATGCATGATCTTAATATAGTGAATGTTATACCCACAAAAATTAAAATTAAAAATTAAAAAAATATAGCAAATGTTTAGGCTGTCCTGACTATTACAAAATCAGAGCAATGAGAATATTGGCAGAGTTTTGTCTTTTCTACAATTTAATATTAATTGTGTACATACACAATATAGTCTTTTGTGTCTGTCTTCCTTCGCTAGCACAATGCTTTTGAGATTGATCCATGTTCCTGAATATATGAGTAGATCATTCCTTTCTTTTGCTGACTAGCTCTCCATTACATTTTCCATTCACTCTTCTATTAGTGGACATTTGAGTTGTTTCTAACTTGGCAATATTATAAATTATCTCTATGAATGCACATAAAAGTATTTACATGGACATAAGTTTTCATCTCACCGGAATAAAAACTCAAGAGTGGGACTTCTGGATCTCATGGTAAGTGAAATAATCTGTACACCAAAACCCTGAGTCGTGAGTTTACCTATATAACAAACCTGCACTTGTTCCCCTGAAGCTAAAATAAAAGTTAAACTATTAAAAAAAAAAGAAATGGACAATGTTTCCTACAAGCTACATATGAAAGCAACACAAATACTTGATATTGTCCTCACCAACATTTGGTATTGTCAGTAATGTTACCGACACAACAGGTGGGTTCAATTGCTTGGTGGGTGACAGTCCAATGACCACAACCAAGGAGGATTTAACAAGGACATTTTATTACTTGCAACAGGTAAGGAAGAAACCAGAGGTAGTCCCCCAAAGCAGTGCCTCCCTGAACAAAGGTGAAAATAAGGCTTTTACTGGGCTGATTAGCTGAGTCATTGCATATGGAGGTGGAGTAAAGGCAGTGCAGGCACAGTCATTGATCATGCTTCTACCTAAGACGCATGTGTGGAAAATGGAGAGTAAGCTCCTCCCTGGGCTGTGTTTTTAGTATGGCAATGATGAGAGTTTGCCAAATTCACCTGCAACTCAGGCATCTCTGGATCCATCTTGTTTTTGTTTTGCTGGGGCTGGTCATAATCAGTGGCACAGCATGATCAATGACTGCGCCTGTGCTGCCTTTATTCTACCTCTACATGCAATGACTCAGCTAACCAGCCCAGTAAGAGCTTTACTTTCACCTTTGCTCTGAAACTTTTCTGAAACAACAAGAACTCAAGATGGAGCAGTTACAAGTGGCTACTTCTTTGCAGTGAAAACCTAGGCACCTTGGGTTACAGTAATTTTGGCTACACTAGTGGATGTGTGGTGGCACGTCTTTGGGGAAGCTTACATTTCCCTAATGATTTATGAGGATGACCATTTGTTTTTCTGTGCTTATTGGACATTTGTGTATATCTTTTTTTGTGTGTATGTGGAATGCCTTCTTGAACACTTTGCTCTTTTGTCATTTTTATTGAATAGTCTTCTTATTATTAAATTCTAAAAGTTATTTATATATGTAAGTTCCCGTCAGAAATTTGCATTTTGTTACTTTCTTTCAGCCTGTGCCTTGTTATATATTGTATTGATAGTATCTCTCTCAAAGAACGAACACTTTTATTGTTGTGTTTAAAAGCTTTATTGAGATACATAAGTACTGTCTTAATTTTAATTTCTTAAAGTCAGTTAGCATATGTCCCCAGAAATTAAGTTTTTTTTACATTTGCTAAGACTGCTTTAGTTTCTTTGCATATCTAATGATTTTTAGAGCGAGTTTTTAAATTTCTACACAAAATCTCACTGGGATTTTTGATTGGGATTACACTGAATATATAGATAGAAAAACTGTTGCTAGCAAATCTACTTTTATAAAATGATTAAAGAAAGTTCTCTAAACAGAAAGAAATTGGAAAAAAAAACTTGGAACTTCAGAAAGAAAAAATAGAACATAAAAGTCAACAAAAGTAGAAATAAATTAAATATTTTTCTCTCCAGAGTGTCTTAAATCATATTTGATGGCTTATGTAAAATAATATCTTTTGATTTAGTGCTCAATTTATATAGAGAAATAATAAAAATAATTATATTTTAAAAGTGGGAAAATTAAATGACCTAAAAGGAAGTAAAGTTTACATACTTTAGAGTGATAAAACATATCAGTAGGATTTAGTAAATAATATACACATATTATAATACCTAAAATGGCTGCTGAGGAACTAAACAAAGCAGTATACTCAAAAACACTATAAATAAGTAAAAATGAAATTCTAAAATATGTTTAATTAACCCACAGGGGAGTTTCAAAAGAAAGGCCAAAGCAGAAAAATAAAGAAAAAGAAAAACAAAGTTAAAAAAGAAATAATAATATGGAAGACTTAAGCCTAACATGTAAATAATTACCTTAGGTAATTAGTGGTCTAAATACATGATTTAAAAAACATTATTTGAATGGTTGTAAAAAAATAACCATGATCAAACGATATGATATAGTGACTACGAGTAACTCATTTCAAATAAAATAACATAGGTAGGCTGAAAGTAAAAGGATAAAAAAAAATGTATACCACACAGGCTTTTCTTAAAAGCAAGGCTATATTAGCATCAGCTAAGGTTGACTTCAGAGCAAAAAAAGTCACTGAAGATAGAAAGGGTGATTATGTAATAATAAGGGGACCCAGGATACAGGAGACACAGCAATTCTAAATGTCCATTCAGTAAACAACAACCCATTAATATAAATAAAACAAAGCTTGACAGAGCTAAAAGACATCCCATGCTCATGAATCAAAAGAATTGAAATTACTAAAATGACCATACTACTAAAAAAATTTATAGATTCAGTGCAGCCCCCTCAAAATATTAATTAAATTCTTCATAGAAACAGAAATAACAGTCCTGAAATTCATATGGAACCACGAGACCCTAATAAGCCAAAGTAATACTGAGCAAAAAGAATAAAGCTGGAGGCATTACACTACCTGACTTCAAATGATACTACAAAACTATTGTAATTAAAATGGCATGGTTTTGGTATAAAAACAGACACATAGATAAATGGAAGAGAATAGAGCAATAAATCCAGATATTTACAGTCAATTGATGCTTAATAAAGGTGTCAAAAACACACATGAGAGAAAGAACTCCCTGTTCAATAAATGGTGCTGGAAAAACTGGATATCAGTATACAGAAGAATGAAACTAGACCCCTATCTCTCATTATATACAATGGTCAACTCAGAGTGAACTAAAACCTTAAACATAAGACCTGAAACTATAAAAGTACTAGTAAAAAGCATTGTGGAAACACTTCAGGATATTGGTCTAGGATAAGACCTCAAAACCACAGAAAACAAAAACAAAAACAAAAGACAAATGGTAGTCCCAAACTAAAAAGCTACCTCGTAGCAAAGTAAATGATCAGCAGAGTTAACATCCTGTAGAATGGGAGAAAATATTTGCAAACTATTTATCTGACAAAGGACTAAAATCTAGAATATACTAGAAACTCAACAATAAATCACAACTAATCTCATTCAAAATTGGGCAAAGGATCTGAATAGATATTCCTCAAAAGAAGTCACACAAATGGCCACAAGGTATATGAAAAAATGCTCAACATCACTGAGCATTAGGGAAATGTAAATCAAGACCACAATGAAGTATCAGTTAAAATGGCTATTATCAAAAAGACAGAAAAATTACCAAATGCTGATGAGAATGCAGAGAAAGGAATCTGTTATACACTCTTGGTGGGAATGTAAGTTAGTATCGACATTATAGAAAGTAGTATGGAGGTTCTCAAAAACACAAAAATAGTAATACTATATGATCTAACAATCCCACTACTTGATATTTATCCAAAGGAAAGGTAATCAGTATATCAAACGAATAACTGTGTCTCTGTTTATTGCAGAACTATTCACAATGGCCAAGATATGGAATCAACCTACGTGCCCATCAATGAGTGGACAAAGTAAATGTGGTATGTATACACAATGCAATACTATTCAGCCATAAAAAAGAATGAAATCCTATCATTTGCAGCAACATAGATTGAGCTGGAGGTCATTATGTTAAGTGAAATAGGCACAGAAAGACAAATTTTGCAGGTTCTCATTCATTGATGGGAACTAAAGAAAGCTAATCTCACAAATGTAAAGAGTGGAATGATGGTTACCAGAGGCTGGGAAGGTGTGAGGGGTATGAATAGAAGTTGGTTAATGGGCACAGACATACAACTAGATAGAAGAAATAAATTCTAAGTTCTAAGGTTGTGTAGCACTGTAGCGTGAATACAGTTAACAACAATTTATTGAATATTTCAAAATAGCTAGAAGAAAAGGTTTGAAATATTCCCAACACTAATAAGTGATAAATGTTTGATATGATGAATATCCTAAATACCATGATTTGATAATTACACCACATTGTATAAATGAGTCCAAATATCACATGCACCCCCAAATATGTACAATTATTATACATCAACAAAAATACTTTAAAAATTTACTTCAGTGATTCTGCTTTTCAACTTTTCATCTGTTGATATTTTGTCTGTTAATAATTTCCATTTCTCTGTTGACTTTCCCAATCTATTTATTTATTTAGTGATGCACATATATGTATACATATATATATGTCATTTTCTGCTAAATCAAATATTTGAGACATCTTGGATTCAATTTCTATTGAGTACCCTTTCTACTGTTTTTGCATAGCTAGTAATTTTTGCTTCAGAAATGAACATTGTAAATAATACAGTATTTTATAGCAGCTCTGGATTCTATTGTTTTCTCCTCAGAATTATTGTTTTGTTATTATTTTGTTGTCGTTCTATTGGGAATTTAACATGCCTGAATTTAAAATGTAACCTTCTTTTTCAAGCATTATATAGTAGCTGATATCTCTATTCTGCTTTTGTATTTTACATTTCTGTTTTTTGTTTGTGTGTTTGCTTTTAGCCTCCTTACTGTACTAGGGGTCTCTCCTAGGCCTGAAGAATTTGGCATTCATCCCAAAATGTGGGTGGCATTGGAGCTCACCTTCTTCAGGGCTTCTTGTAGGGACTCCCTCCTAGTTTTCAGCGGTTCTGCTGGTTTAAAACTTTGTCCTCTGACACTTCAAGCCTGTGAAGCTTCAGGACTTTGCCACCTGATCTGTTCAAAGTTGGCGAATGTGTCCAATTAGTTCAAAACCCAGCAAGCTCACAGGTTAGACCCACTTTGCTCTCTCTTTCTAGATTAGATTTCTTCTTGGATTTTGTCTGCAGTTTATATGGACTCCAGAGTCTGCTTATGCAATAATAATTTAACTGTCTTCTAGAGATTTCGGCAGAATACGTAATCAGAATTAATTCTTTTTTTTATTATACTTCAAGTTTTAGGGTACATGTGCACAATGTGCAGGTTTGTTACATATGTATACATGTGCCATGTTGGTGTGCTGCACCCATTAACTCGTCATTTAACATTAGGTATATCTCCTAATGCTATCCCTTCCCCTTCCCCCCACCCCACAACAGCCCCGGTGTGTGATGTTCCCCTTCCTGTGTCCATGTGTTCTCATTGTTCAATTCCCACCTATGAGTGAGAACATGCGGTGTTTGGTTTTTTGTTCTTGCGATAGTTTGCTGAGAATGATGGCTTCCGGCTTCATCCATGTCCCTACAAAGGATGTGAACTCATCATTTTTTTATGGCTGCATAGTATTCCATGGTGTATATGTGCCACATTTTCTTAATCCAGTCTATCATTGTTGGACATTTGGCTTGGTTCCAAGTCTTTGCTATTGTGAATAGTGCCGTAATAAACGTACGTGTGCATGTGTCTTTGCAGCAGCATCATGTATAATCCTTTAGGTGTATACCCAGTAATGGGATGGCTGGGTCAAATGGTATTTCTAATTCTAGATCCCTGAGGAATCACCAAACTGACTTCCACAATGGTTGAACTAGTTTACAGTCCCACCAACAGTGTAAAACTGTTCCTATTTCTCCACAGCCTCTCCAGCACCTGTTGTTTCCTGACTTTTTAATTATCGCCATTCTAACTGGTGTGAGATGGTATCTCATTGTGGTTTTGATTTGCATTTCTCTGATGGCCAGTGATGATGAGCATTTTTTCATGTGTCTTTTGGCTGCATAAATGTCTTCTTTTGAGAAGTGTCTGTTCTTATCCTTCACCCACTTTTTGATGGGGTTGTTTGTTTTTTTCTTGTAAATTTGTTTGAGTTCATTGTACATTCTGGATATTAGCCCTTCGTCAGATGAGTAGATTGCAAAAATTTTCTCCCATTCTGTAGGTTGCCTGTTCACTCTGATGGTAGTTTCTTTTGCTGTGCAGAAGCTCTTTAGTTTAATTAGATCCCATTTGTCAATTTTGGCTTTTGTTGCCATTGCTTTTGGTGTTTTCGACATGAAGTCCTTGCCCATGCCTATGTCCTGAATGGTATTGCCTAGGTTTTCTTCTAGGGTTTTTATGGTTTTAGGTCTACCATGTAAGTCTTTAATCTGTCTTGAATTGATTTTTGTATAAGGTGTAAGGAAGGGATCCAGTTTCAGCTTTCTACATATGGCTAGCCAGTTTTCCCAGCACCATTTATTAAATAGGGAATCGTTTTAATTCTTATTCTTTTTGCTGTTCTTTGTCTTCAAAAATTCCCCATTTAAATTTACAGCGGTTTTTTTATTCATAGCCCTGACATTTTTTTGGCACCTTAAGCCAGTAAAACTATGTTTCTAAAGCTGTAGTCAAAGTGGTTGGACAGTTTCCTAATGCAAAACACACACACACACAACCAATCTTTACCCCTTCTATTTGTGTTTTTTTCAATTATACTCTTTAGAGACTTTTACCAGGTTGGACAATCATTCTAGTATCTTAAACTAGTTTTTTTTTCTAATTATACTGTTTTAAAAATTTTCATTTGTGGAAGAGTTCATGCTATAAGTTTACTACTCTGCCATTAATTTAAAAGGGTTTCCTCTCCTTTAGTTATTATGTTAAAAACAAATGACATTAAGGGATGACCTCTTTATGGAGGTGATATTTAAGTAGAGATATTAAATATTATCATAAATGTATTTTTAAAGATGCTTTAATTCCCTTTGGGCCTGAAGAAAGACTATAAATAAATAGTATTTACCACTGAGAAACTAGTTTTTCTAAAGTGAGTACATTCACTTAGCTATATATGAATAAATATTACTAAGCACCTGCTCTTTTCCAGGTACCGTTTTAAGTGCTAAACATAGACAATTTTCCTAATTTCTCATGACACTTACATTTTAATAGGAAGAAACAAAAAGTGAAGTCAATAATCAAATTATATACAGTGTGATGTCATTATAAGCACTATGGAGAAAAATTAAGTAGAAGGAATGTATAGAGTGTCAGTAGAAGAAAAAATCAATTTTAAATAAGGAATTAGGGAAGACTTCACTGATAACAAACATCTGAGGTAGATATATTTGGGAAGTGCAGCCTGGGCAGAAGGAGTAGCAACTGAAAATGTCCTGAGTTGGAAAATGCCTTTAGTATTTGAGGAACAGTGAAGGAGCCACTGCAGCTATTTAGAGTGAGCAAGAGATAGGATTTAAAAGGGGAGGGAGGAGAAATAGCAAAGAGCCCAATCTGCAAATCCTCTTAGATTATTATAAGAACTTTTCTTATTTTACACGGATTGAAATGGGGAGTCACTGGAAGGGTTTGAGCAAAGAAGTGATGGCAGAAAATAGTTATATTGTGTGTGTATGTATATGCACATACATACAGCAAGAAATCTCTATCTGTATCAGGTCTTTTTCCATACCTAGATATGAAATTTCTGCCTTGTGCTTTAACAGGATCTCTCACTGCTATGTAGAGAACAGACTGTTTAGGCAAGAACTCAATGAATCAGCAAGTCACTTCAATAATCCAGGAGATATTATAGTGTCTTAGACCAGAGAGATAACAAAGGAGATAACAAAAGAGTTGGATTCTAGAAATCCAGAATGCCTATAGTGTTTTGAAGGTAGAGTAAGTGGTATTTTGTGTGAGTGCAGCTGACATGGGCACAGCAACTATTTATAGCAGTGTAGTACTGCAAGCATCATATTATTTGGTATGCATCTGCCTACATGTATACCTCTTCTCTCTTTTGTGTTCCTTGAGGATATGGAATATGTAGTTTTATCTTCATAGCCCACAGTCCTCCAATATCTGAAAGCTGTTTCACTAAATTTTTATCCATTGATTCTTTTCCAGCTCTTCTGAGCTGCATGGAATAAGCCTGATTTTTCTTCCCCATAGGAGGCCTCTGCACACTTGAAGCCACTTCTTCTTACTTGCCATTCTGTACACATATGAAATACTAGAGGTGGATGGAGGTGAGTATCTAATAGGTTTTAGGACTTCAGTGGAATAAGATTGAGTTTTGAGGGCCATTTACCAGCCACAGCAAGGAGAATATAACATGTTCCTTGCCTACAGCTCAGTAAAGACAATTTTCAGAAGGCTGGGTTAATCGGGACTGAAGAAGGGAAAACTAAAGGAAGATAACTGCCCTATTCAGAAAACCTCACTCTTTTCCTCATTCAGGGTTCCCTTTCTCCTGTGAATAAATGAGCAACTTCTACATTCTGAGACAGAAACTTCCTCAGCAGCAGCACTGGGCTCGTGGGGTTCTGTACTCATGACCATGGTAAGTAGGCAGGAGCTAGAGGAAACCTCATACCAGAGCCACAGTAATACAGACCTAGGCTAATTTCCTTTCTAACTTCCCTGCTCTTTTCTAACTCTCTCAAGTAGGAGATTATAATCCTAGGATTAACATCTATAGCAACTTTATTATAAAGCCCCCTCATTTCTACAACTCTGTGTAGTTTATAAAGTACTTTCACATTTTGTAATTCACCGAATATATACAACAGATTTGCAGGATAGATTTTATTATCATCATTGAATTTATTGAAGAGAAGAATTATTTAAAAGCTTATGTGGAGTTACTTTGAGTTGTTTCTTGTTACTCTGGGGCACATATAAACAAAAAAAGCTGAGTACTCTGTGCAGATTTTATAAAAGTGAGAAAGGCTTTAGTTCAGAAAAACCAGGGCAAAGACACTTAGAATCAAATAAAGAAAAAGGGAACAAGTATTGTTTATCAGAGATCTGGTTATTGTTTGTCTAGAGATTGCCAAATAAGTTCTAGCTGTAGCCTTTCTGGGGGTAACTTACAGCATCCTTAGAGATAGAAGAGGTAGGCATGCAGTTAACTACAGGTTAGGAGAGATTTATATTTTATTTATACCCTGTATTCATGGAATGAGAAATAATAATAAAATCATCAGCAATAATAAACATCAGTTTTTAAGCACTTACTGCATATCAGGCTAAATGATTCCCCGGGATCATCTCATTGAATCCCCACATCAACCCTGACTGGTATAAATTGTGGACATCTCATTCTCTTAGATAAGGAAATTGGGATTCAAAGAGTTAGGTTAATTGTTTAAGGTCACAAAACTAATAATGGCAATGACAAGATTGAAGCTTTTGATGATCTAACTTCAGAAATGTGACCTCTTAACACATGGCTAATTTGACTCTACCAAGAACCAAGGGAAAAGGCGGCCGTTTTGGAGCCCAAGGTGTAGCACTGACCATGGGCTACAGAAAAAAGCCAACTGAAGCCTCTCATGTAAATAAAAATAATCTAATTATACCACTGTAAAAAGGCAGCTTAGTTTCAGTTAGGATCAGTTATGTGGAGCCTTTTACCAAAGTAAGACCTTATAGCTAACAAACGTGTTAGGTTAAGTGAGCCTATCATGAGGTAATAAGACAACATCCACATTTCAATGGATTAAACCAGCAAAATGTATTTCTTACTCATGAAAAATCAAGTGCAAATCTGGGAAAATTTCCAGGGCAAATGTCCTCCATGAGGCAATTCAACAATCTAAGCCCACAAAGGCTCCAGCATCTTTTACTTGAACCACCTGCAAATTAAGGCATACTCATCACTCATGGCAGGAGACATGACTACTGAAGACTTCTCATCAACAATTACATACTTTCATCCCAAATAATGCATTATCACCTCTGGTCATAGCCTATTGGCCAAAGTTAGTTACATGGGAGTAAAGAAGTGTAATTCTCCCATGGTCTGGGATGATAGGGAGGACCCAACACGAGTTGTGAAGCAGGTTCACTGTGTACTGGTTACAAACTTGCCTGGGTCCAGTGAGACAGAACACACACACACACATACAAGGTGTTACATGAGATGGGTTTATTACCTAAAGATAGACAGCAAGGGACAACAGAAGCCTAGGATTCATTGAGAGTCAATCCCTCAAGGCTTAGAAAAGCTGGCTGGGGCGGATGGTGTCTCATCTGCACATGCCTTACTTGCACCACAGGTGGAGAACCCCAGAAATCAGCCTAATCTGAGTTTTATACCCTGGGGTAACATGACACATTTGGCTAAAGTATTGAAAAACATCTTTTTCAAGGAGCAGGGGAGGTAGATAAAAATAACACAGGCTTTTCTGGCCAGTACCCACTTATCTCAGGTGGTTAAATTCCCAGCACATTCTACAGTTATTCTTGAGATTGTAAATAAGAAAGGGAGGGAGAATTGGGTCAGTGAAAGGGCACTCAGAGAACTGTCCTGAATGAGTGTCTTCTAGAAACCTCTACCATACAAGTGTTAGAGCATCCCAAATGAAGTTAAGCTTGCCATTAAATGTGCTACCGATTTGTACCTTTTCAAGAACTATAGTGTCAGCTTGCATTTATTGACATCAGGCTTTTACGTTTTTTTTTTAAATATGTAGCACTTCATGTAACTCTTCTCAACAACCCTATGAGAAGGTATTACCCATATAATCTAGACCTTTTTCACTAACCTCTGAGGTTTGAGGCAGGAACTGTATCTTGTTTTATTTACACCTCTCCCTAGCACACCGTTTAGCTCTTACTAGGTGTTTGTTAACTATTCTGTGAATCTGGGTCAGTTGTAGCATGAGAAATAGAGACTCATAACAGTTATGTGACTTATCCAGGCTCACATAATCAGCAGGCGAATTAACCAAGATTTGAACTTAAGTTCATAACTCAAACTCTTCTATACTCAGCCTCCATGACATTGCTCAAGGGGGATTTCTGGTCACATTTTAATTGAAATGTATGCTACCCTTCACCAGGGCCAAAATTAAAGCAACCATCAAGCATTCAGACCAGCCTGAGATGTGGGAGGCTTGGCCACTCAGGCATGCTGATGATAGCCATGTTTAGCGAGGCAGCTGGAAGCCAAGACATGAAGCAGGATGCCAAGGGGGCTTGGCCCTTTTCAGGCATGCATTGATGGATGACTCTTGCAGAGGCAGCAGATGTACTGAGATACTGGGACTGTTGGCCTCATTTGTCAATTGCCTAGCACTGCCGGGTGGCTCTCCTCCTCTGATATTGTTTGTGCATTTGTTACTCCTAAGGAGCAACTTTATCTGTACATAGCACCTGGGGAGCTAGGTCTGGAAGAATAGAGGCTTTGGTTTAATTACCTACTTACCACAATACATCTTTTTCCTAGGAACATTGACAATAAAAGTGAAATGACTGGTGTTAAAGGTACAAGAGAATGAATCTTCTCTTAATTTTGCTAAGCCAAATGGAAACCAAAACAATTTCTCAAGTGGCTTGCGGTAGCAGGTCAATTCCTGACGGCTCAAATTTACCACTTTCTTAGAAAAATTTTCACATCTCTCTATGAAAAGAATTCTAAGCTCTTGGGACTAAGCTAAAGTAAATTTGTTTTGGGTCTACAAATTGTTTTAGGTTAATTCATCTCACTGTCATAGATAAACATCAGTGACATACTATAGCCTAATAGATTATACATTTTGGTTTCTAAACTCTTGAGTGCATCAGAGAAAGCAAACTATATCAAGTGCAATTCAGTTTGGTTGCACATAATAGAAAAATCCCCAAATAACAAAGGTTTAAACATAAGAGTTTATCTTTTCCATAAAAGAATTACAAAAGTTACAGAGCAGGGCCAGTGGTGGCACTGCAAGATTCTGGAAAAAGTCTTCACCTCATGTTTCTTCAACATCCACTGTTAATGTAGACAAGATCAGAATGAATCTTACCATGCAATTTGTAACTCTTTGTATCAGTCAAAAGACCAAGACTGCCAACATTTCTTCTATCCCTAAACTCCTCAAATCTATACAGAAGTGTCTATTTCCATTTTGGATACATTTTTCATTCTTCCCCAGTCCCAGAGACCCTTTTATGAGCACATTCAAACATAAGTCTCCATCATCAACAAAACACTACACATTTTCACTCAATTTTCTGAATGTCCTTTTTACCTTCTTGCTCCAACAGAAATCTGCCTTTCCTCTGAAAACACTCTTTCTCCTTGAACACTATTAAGTATGCATTTTTCCCCCGGTGCTTCTTGGCCTAATGTACCCTTTGATTCACAAAGTCACTTTCACACATTCTCCCTCCTTTTTCCCTAGATCTATTATTTTTAATCCTCACCATCAGATCTTTGGTTCAGAATATCTCCTTGTGACAGTCATCTGCAGACAGGAAGGGTATTCTGCCTCATCCTCAACAATTGGTATAATCAGCTTTTTAATGTTATCCATTGTAGTGGCTATGTAGTATTCTCATTGTTTTCATTGTATTTCCCTGTTCGTTATTGATGCTGAGTGCCATTCAATTATTTATTGAGACTATCTATGAATCTTCTTTTGGAACTGCATATTTAAATCTTCCAGCACATTTTTTAATCTGATTCTTTAACTTATATAGAGTTGCAAGAGGTTTTAGATATCCTGGACAAAATTGCTCTATCAAGTATACATTTGTGAATATTTTCCCCATTCTTTGGCTATCCTTATTGTTTCTATTTTGTTAAGTATTTTTATTCAGGCATAATATGCATAAACTAATCCACATATAAAGCATACAGTTTTAAATGTTGACATACATATACACTCGTGAAACTATCATCATAATCAAGATAGTGAATATATTCATCAACCCCCAAAGTTTTCTCTCCTACTTCTGCAGTCACTTTCTCTCACTCATCTCGTCCCCACCATTATCTTTTATCTCAGCCTAACAACAAAGATGCTTTCTATTATTATAGATTAGTTTGCATGTTTTAAACTTTCAGATGAATTGAATCAGTAAGTTCTCTTTTTTGTCTGACGTCCTTGACTCAGCCTAAGTATTTTGAAATCCATTCACATTGTAGCATCAACGTAATTGTATCAATAGCCTTCTTTTTCCTTGCTTTTTACACCATTGTATGGCTATACTACAGTTTAATTATCCATTCCCATGTTGACATAGTTTCACTTCTTCTTTTCTGATCTGAATGCTTTTTTTGTTCCTAATAAGTAGGTACCAAACAGAGACTGTAAGCAGGCTACAATCTCTAGAACAATATTGAATAGAAGTGTTGATTGCAAGTATCCTTGATTTGTTCCTGATATTGTAGAGAAAAGGCATTTAGTCTTTCACCATTAAATATGATATTAGCTGTTAGGTTATTATAGAAGCCTGTGATCAGGTTGAAAAAGTTCTCTTTTATTCCTAGCACAATTAAAGTTATTATTAGGAATAGATGTTGGCTTTTTAAAAATGATTCTTTCTGTGTCTGTGGAGATGGCCATAGAGTTTTACTTTTTAGATGGATACTGTAATGAATTATACTGATTTTTAACCTGATACAACTTTGCATTCCAGGCAAAATCCTACTTGGTGATGATGTATTAGTCCTTGAATATGTTTTTAGATTTTATCTGCTAAAAGTTGTTTAGAATTTTTACATCTATACTCCTGAGGGATATTGGCCTGTAGATTTCTTTGCTTGGAATACCTTTGTCTGGTTTGGTGCCAAGGCAATATTGGTCTGATCAAATGAATAGGGAACTAATCCTTTCTCTTCAGTTTTCTGGAAGAGTTTGTGTAGAATGGATATTGCTTCTTTATCAAAATGTGGTAGAAATCACTATTGAAGCCATTTAGGCCTTGAGTTTTCTTTGTGTGAAGTTATGTTTTTGCTTCTGTTTATTAACGGAAACTGAATTTCTTTATTATAACTGAGAAGTATTTAATTTTACCTAATAATAGGACATAATTTTAATTAAACATTTTATTTTTAGACAATTGTAGATTCACATACAGTTATAAGTAATACAGAAATATTGTGCATCATACCCAGTTTCCCCTCATAGTAACATCTTGTGAAAAATCTATTACAATATTAGAACCAGAATATTGACATTGATAGAGTCAAGACATTTCAGCCTGGAAATCCAAGATTTCCACGTGGTCTTCACTGCCACTTTGGAGGGGCAGGGGCTTCATTACCTCCCATGGGAAATTAGATTATAAGCTTTCTACTCAGCATTCTCTCATACCAGCCTGGCAGCAGAATGGGGTGCCTTAATCCAGCCTGAAGAAGGTAGAAGTCTAGGCTCCACCCTTTGGTATAGCAGAGCAGTGACTGTCTAAATGTTCTGCCTCACTAGGCTGCCTCTTTCCTGATCCTTTGACAATAGAGAGCAGACTGTTCAGGCTTTTGGTTTGTCCCCATTGGCATTTCTTCACTGTCACCTTCATCAGCTACAAGTCAAAAAGAAAACACAGGAAACTGGAAACTCATCCATGTTCCTTGAATCCCTCAGTCCTTAACATTTTTGTCTTCTTGTCTCCATTTCTCAGTGTTCTTATGTTTCCTTAATACACAATGTCTAAGATTTTTAGTTGTACTTAGCAAGAGGGAGTAGGTAAAAGTATGTCTATTCCATCTTCGCAAAAAAGAGAAGTCCTGGTGAAGTTTTAAACTATAATTTTAATATCTTTAATAGACATAGAACTATTAATGTTAGCTATTTCTTTTGGACTGAGATCTGGTAGATTACAGATTACATTTTTCAAGGAATTTTTTTCATTTTGTCTATCTTGTCAAAATTACTGACATAACATTGTTCATAATATTCCCCTATTATCTTTCTAGAATGTGTAGAATTTGTTGTATGTAACCTCTCTCATTATTTATATTGATAATTTGTATCTTCTCTTTTTTCCTGATAAATATATCTCTTTTTCAATTTTATGGATTTTCTCAAAGAACCAGCTTATAGATTCACTGACTATTATTTTTCTGAATTTTATTTCATTGATTTTTATTTGGTTTTTATTATTTTCATTCTCCTATGTGCTTTGGCTTTAATTTGCTATTTTGTTTCTGGTTTCTTAAAGAGAAAGAAGAGGTCATTGATTTGGGAAAGGCATATAGTACTATAAATTTCTAAGTATTATTTTAACAGATCTCACAAGTTATATATTCTGTTTTCATCTTCATTCAGTTCAAATAATACTTTCTAATTTCTCTCATGCTCTTTCCTTTGATCCAATGGTGATTTAGAAGTATGTTCTTTGGTTTCCAAATATTTTGGATGTTTTTAGAGATCTTTCTGTTACTGGTTACTTTTTTTTTCTCTTTTTGAGACAGAGTCACTCTGTTGCCCAGGCCAGAGTGCAGTGGTGCGGTCTTGGCTCACTGCAACCTCCACCTCCGGGGTTCAAGCAATTCTTGTGCCTCAGGCTCCCAAGTAGCTGGGATTACAGGCACATGCAACCACAGCCAGCTAATTTTTGTATTTTTAGTAGAGACGAGGTTTCACCATGTTGCTCAGGCTGGTGTTGAACTCCTGACCTCAGGTAAGCCACCTGGCCTGGCCTGTAATTGATTTCTAATTTAAGTCAATTGTGATGAGAGAACACACCTTGTATAAACTGAAATATTTTACATTTACTGAGGCTTATTTTGTGGTTCAGAATAGGGTCCATTTCAGTAATGTTCCATGTGCATTCAAAAAGGATGTACATTTTGCTATTGTTGGATGATGTGTTATGGAAATGTAAAATAGCTCTAGTTGGTTGATAATGAAAGTTTCCTACATCTTTACTGGTTTTCTACTTGCTCTATCAATTATTGTGAGAGGGGTATTGAAATCACTGACCATATTTATGGATTTGTCTATTTTTTCTTGTACTTCTATTAGATGTTTTTCCTACCAGACTTGTTTGAGCTCCTTATATATTCTGGTTATTAATCCCTTGTCAGATGGGTAGTTTGCAAATATTTTCTCCCATTCTGTAGGCTGTCTTTTCACCTTGTTGACTGTTTCCTTTGCTGTGCAGAAACATTTTAAGTTGATGAGATCGCATTTGTCCAGTTTTGCTTTTATTGCTCATGTTTGTGGGCTATTATTCAAGAAATCTTTGCTCAGTCTAATTCCCTAAAGTTTTATTATAGTAATTTTATAGTATGAGGTCTTAGATTTAAATTTAATCAGCTTTGGTTTGACTTTTTTTATATTGTGAGATATAAGGGTCTAGTTTTATTCTTCTTTATATGGATATCCAGTTTTCCCAGCACCATTTATTGAAGAGACTGTTCTTTCCTCAATGTATAAAAGGGATAAAAACTACTCAGGTTATAGGTGTACTAAAATCTCAGACTTAATCACTCTACAATTCATCCATGTAACCATAAACTACTTGTACCCCAAAAGCTATTGAGATAAAAAATATTTAAAATCAAATCAAATAAATGTTCAGCAGTGAAGCCATCTGGTCCTGGGCTTTTCTTTGCCAGGAGACATTTTATTATGGCTTCAATCTCATTACTTGTTACTGGGCTGTTCAGGTTTAGGATTTCTTCATGGTTCAATCTTGGTAGGTTATATGTGTCTAGGAACTTACCCATTTCTTTCAGGTTTTTACAATTTATTGTCATACAGTTTCTCATATTAACCACTAATGATCTTTTAAATTCCTACAGTATCAGTTGTAATGTTTCCTTTCTCATCTTCGATTTTATTTATTTGTGTCTTCTCTTTTTTCTTAGTCTGGCTAAAGGTTTGTAAATTTTCTTTATCTTTTCAAAAAGCCAACTTTTCACTCATTGATCTTTTGTATTTTTTTCATTTCAATTTCATTCATTTTTGCTCGGATTTTTATTATTTCTTTTCTTCTGCTAATTTGGGGTTTCGTTTGCTCTTGCTTTTCTAGTTCTTTAAGATGCAACATTGGTTGTTTATCTGAAGTTTTTCTATTTTTTTGGTGTACACACTGGATAGTTGGAGAATTGATTGTCTGGACAGTTGGAGAATTGGTTGATGTGGTGGGGAGAGGAAACACGCACATTTCGTGTCACAAATGTTGTGAGCAACAACAGTTCATTATATCCTTTATTAGGTTGGAGAAGACTACACTTTGTGAACAAGTGCTCTAAAGTTTGTAAAATATATCCTAAAATCATCACAATCTAACCTCACATAATATTATACTTACTTCATGCATAATGTAAGAACCTTGTTGTATGCTTATATTTATCCCTTCCTGTTCTCTGGGCTATTTTCTTCTACATATTTTATAAATCCCACAATGCATTGTCATTAATTTGATTTATACATTAAATTATGTTTTAATAAATGCCTGTTTATTTGTCCTTATATTTAGTGTTTCTAACACTCTTCGTTCTTTGTGCATAACAAATTTTTTCTATTTCTTTTTCCTTTAGCCTGAAGAACTTCGTTGAATCCTTTTTTTTCACTGCTTTCCTTTTAAAACAGCCTACTTACAATCCATCTGAAAATTCTTCTCTCTTTTACCAAAATATAACCAGAACACTAAATCATCTCACATTTTCCAGAAATATTGCAGTTCAATCCATTGTACTTTCTTTTTTTTTTTTAACTTTTCTTTTATGTTCAAGAGTACATGTGCAGGTTTGTTATATAGGTAAACTTGTGTTACGGGGATTTGTTGTACAGATTATTTCATCACCCAAGTATTAAGCCTGGTACCCATTAGTTATTTTTCCTGATCTTCCCGCTTCTCCTACCCTCCACTCTTTGATAGGCCCCAGTGTGTTTTGTTGCCCTCTTTGTGTTCATGTGTTCTCGTCATTTAGCACCCACTTGTCAGTGAGAACATGTGGTATTTGGTTTTCTGTTCCCACTTTAGTTTGCTTAGGATAGTGGCCTCCAGATCCATCCATGTCCTGCAAAAGACATTATCTCATTCTTTTTCATGGCTGCATAGTATTTCATGGTGTATATGTACCATATTTTCTTTATTCAATATATCATTGATGGGCATTTAGGTTGATTCTATGTCTTTGCTATTGTGAATAGTGCTGCAATGAACATATGCGTGCATGCGTCCTTATACTACAATGACTTATATTCCTTCGGGTATATGCCCAGTAATGAGATTGCTGAGTCAAATGGTATTTCTGTTTTTAGGTTTCTGAAGAATTACTACACTGTTTTCCACAATGGTTGAATTAATTTACACTCCCACCAATGCTCTGTAAGCTCTCCTTTTTCTCCACAACCTTGCCAGTATCTATTATTTTTTGACTTTTTAGTAATAGCCATTCTGACTGGTGTGAGATGGTATCTCATTGTGGTTTTGATTTGCATTTCTCTAATGACCAGTGATGTTGAGCTTGTTAAAATATGATTGCTGGTGCATTGTATTAATAGTTTCATGTCTTAATTATTGCAGCGGTCTCCTAATTGGTCTCTCTCCTTTCAGTATTATTCCCCTACTGTTTAGTCTTAACACAGCCATGATAGCAGAGTCTCACTCTGTTGCTCAGGCCAGAGTGCAGTGGTGCAATCTGAGGCATTGTTGGCCATCATAAGAACCTTGGGATTTAGTCTGAATGAAGTTCTTTTAGAATATAAGTTAATTTTCATTGTTTAACTCCCACTTAGGAGTGAGAACATGTGGTGTTTGGTTTTCTGTTCTTGTGTTAGTTTGCTGTGAATGATGGTTTCCAGCTTCATCCATGTCCCTGCAAAGGACATGAACTCATCCTTTTCTATGGCTGCATTATGCCACAGTGTATATGTGCCACATTTTCTTTATCCAGTTTATCATTGATGGGCATTTGGGTTGGTTCCAAGTCTTTGATATTGTGAACAGTGCCACAATAAACATGTGTGTCCATGTGCTCTTATAGTAGAATGATTTATAATCCTAGGGGTATATATCTAGTAATAGAATTGCTGGGTCAAATGGTATTTCTGGTTCTAGATCCTTGAGGAATTGCCACACTGTCTTCCACAATGGTTGAACTAATTTACACTCCCACCGACAGTGTAAAAGCATAGGGAGGGAAACATCACATACTGGGGCCTGTTGGGGGGTGGGGGACTAAAGGAAGGATAGCAATAGGAGAAATACCTAATGTAGATGATGGGTTGATGGGTGCAGCAAACCACCATGGCACGTGTATACCTATGTAACAAACCTGCACGTTCTGCACATGTACTCCAGAACTTAAAGTATAATTTAAAAAAAAAGAATTAAAAAAATTTTGTTTTAATGTAAAATAAATAAATACATAAAATATAAGTTAATTCATGACTTCCCTATGCTCAGAACTCTAGAATGACTTCTACTTCATTCAGACTAAATCCCAAGTTTCTTATGATAGCCAACAATGCCTTATACACATCATTCCCTTTTATCTATCTGACTATGTTTTCCTAGTCCTGTCTATTACTTCACTCAGCCACACTGTTTGCCTTGCAGTTTCTCTAATACACAGACACTCTTTCCTCAGGGCATTTGCTTTGTTAATCTTTTCATCAACTACTGCTAAGAAATGCCTTCAAGTGTTTTTTTTCTTCATTTAACCTTGAAAGTAGGGCCTTCTATGGCTACACTGTTTAATTAACCACCACACTCTACATTAGTCCCACCTAAGACATTTGTCTGATAAAATTTATCACTTTGAAAAATATTAAAGATTTGATGTATTTATTGTCTGTCTCTAATTAATGGTCCATGAAGTCAGTTACTTTTAGAAAAATTCAGTCCTATTTAGTTCTTAAGAAAATTTTCTGCCACAAAGAAAGGGTTGAATAAATATTTGTGAAATTTAAGAAAGAAATAAAGTAAAAGAATATGCAGGTATAAATCTAACAACGTATGTGCAATGTCTATATGCTGAAAACTACAAAACACTGATAAAATAAATCAAAGCTTTAAATAAATGGAAATGTAGTTCACATTTATGGAATGCAAGTCTCAATAATGTTAGGATGTCAACGTTTCCCAAAGATTTCTATAAATGGAATACAATTTTAATCAAAATTCTAGCAAGATTTTTGGTAGATATATGAAAAGGTAGAGGAACTAATAAGCAAAACACTTTGAAAACAGAACACAGTGGAAAAACTCACACTGCCCAATTTCAAGAGTTACTACACAGCTGCAGTCATCAAAACAGTGTAATATTGACAAAAGCAAAAACACAGAGATCAATGGAACACAGAAATCCAGGGGACTCAGATAGCCAACTAAATGCAGCCAGGAGGAATATATGCAGGATATCAAGAAGATTGGTGGACCCTGAGCTGATCTGTTGAGGGAAAGCATTGAGAGTGAAGGGAGAGAAGACACAGATGCTAAGATCAAAGGCATGGAACCTGGAATCCCTGCATGTAGCTATTGCACACAGGACTCGTTCCTGACCCTCTGTGATTCCTGGGGAAGAGATGACTTGAACGGGTGAGAAATGATCTATTCTCACCAGGAACCTCTGGAATCCTGGCAGCAGGAGACCCTACAACCTTCATGGACACTTGAGCTGGCAGGTAGAGCTGCTTGGAGAGATGGTAGGGGCAGGACTCAAGCCTGTGTGGAACCCAGAGAGTCTGATGTGGAAATTTCTGCATTGGAGCATGGCCAGGGACACCTATCCCCTAAAAGTCACCATGCTCCTCTCACACACAGAAACCTTAAGGGACTGTCAGACCTGGATAGAGCAGGTGTGCCCATGAGTTGGCACCAGTCCAACCTGAGTGTCCCCTCTGTCCGCAGGTCTCCCCTGGGTACACAGCCTGGCAGTGCCTTCTTGCAGTGCAGCCTCAGATGTCCGACCAGGGTGCTTTCCGGGGGCCCTCATCACAGCTTATTTGCTGGTAAACCACACCTAACTGTCAGAGAACTCCAGCAGAGCATCCCTGCTTACATCACCAGTCCATGTGCACCCTTCCCTTGCCACAGCCTGTCCTACGCTACTTCACCAGAGTGCACTTGCCCATGGCTAGTCTCCATCCCCTCATCACCTTGCCAGTTTGTGATGCGTGGACCTCATTACCTCCTCTTCCCTGCCAGACCATGTGAGCTCACTGCAACACCATCCCTTCCACCACAACACTGCTGCCAGGGTGAGCACACCCTGTCCCCCACCACATCTGCTGGCAACCTCCTCCCATGCAGCCACCATCATGGCTGCAAACTCACACACAGAGACTAGAAGCCCTGATCCATCCAGCATTCTGCCACTGCCATCATCACCACCAACATGAGCATGCACAGGAACATAGCAGCCTTGCTCCCACCAGGACCCCACCTCAGCCAATGCACATGTACCCTGCCTGCTGCCTCTCCTGTTGGCATACACAAACAAGCCTCAATCCCACTGCCACCACCCCAACTAACTGCTTTGTCCAGCACCACCCAGCAGATTGATGTAGTCATCTCTCTGGGAACACCTTGTCCACTCTAGTGCAGCAGGTTCTAACCTGGAGGGGCCAGAGAACAAAGCCAGGGGTCTGAAACCAGCCCCCCAGAGTTAGAGCACACAGCCCTGGAGTGTTGAGTTGAGCCCTAGCCCCCGAAATTCTTTCAGAAATGACCAGTTGACTAAGCCCACCTTATACCACAATCAAATCCCCAACAGCATCAAAGAAGATAAAAGAAAAAATAAATCCAAAGGGCAGCAGCTTCAAAGATTGAAGGAACATCAGCCCACACAAAAGAGAAAGAACCAGTGCAAGAACTCTGGTGACTCAAAAAGCCAGTGTCTTCTTACCTCCAAATGATCATACCAGTTCCCCAGTAATGAACGGTTCTTAACCAGGCTGAAATGGTTGAAATGACAGTAATAGAATTCAGAATATGGATAGGAACAAAAGTCATCAAGATTCAGGAGAAAGTTGAAACCCAATCCTAGGATTCTAAGAAAAATAATAAAATAATAAAGGATATAAAAGATGAAATGACCATTTTAAGAAAGAACTGAACTGAACTGATAAAGCTAAAAAACTCACTTTAAGAATTTCAAAAAACAATTGCAATTATCCACAACAGAATCAACCAAGCTGAGGAAAGAATCTCAGAACTCAAAGATAGGTTCTCCCAAATAAATCAGGCAAAAATAAAGAAAAGAGATTAAAGAAGAATGAAAAAAATCCTTCAAGAAATATGGGATTATGTAGAGACCAAATCTGTAACTCATTGATATGATATTCCTGAAAGAGAGAGAGAGAAAGCAAGCAACTTGGAAAACATATTTCAGGATATCATCCATGAAAATTTCCCCAACCTTGCTAGAGAGGGTTACATTCAAATTCAGGAAATGAAGAGAACCCCTGCCAGGTACTATACAAGATGACTATCTCAAGACACCTGGTTGTCAGATTCTCCAAGTTTGAAATGAAAGAAAAAATATTAAAGTCAGCTGGAGAGAAGAGGCAGGTCACCTACAAAGGCTACCCCATTAGGCTACCAGTGGACCATTCAGCAGACATCTGACAGGCCAGAAGAGATTGGGGGCTTGTACTCAGCATTGTCAAAGAAAAGAAATTCCAACCAAGAATTTCATATCCCACCAAACTAAGCTTCATAAGTGAAGGAGACATAACACCCTTTTCAGGGAAGCAAATGCTAATGGAATTCCTTACCAACAGACTTGCCTTATAAGAGGTCCTGAAGGGAGTGCTAAACATGAAAAAGAAAGACAACTACTGGCCACTACTAAAGCATACTTATGTACAAAGACCATTGACACTATAAAGCAACCATACAAACAAGTCTGCATAACAACCACCTAACAACATGATGACAGAATCAAATCCATGTATATCAATTTAAACCTTGAATGTAAACAGCTAAATGCTCCAATTAAAAGACATAGGGTGGGCTGGGCTCATGCCTGTAATCCCAGCACTTTGGGAGGCCAAGGTGGGCGGATCACGAGGTCAGGAAGTCGAGACCATCCTGGCTAACATGGTGAAACCCCATCTCTACTAAAAATACAAAAATTAGCCAGGCATGGTGGCGGGTGCCTGTAGTCCCAGCTACTAGAGAGGCTGAGGCAGGAGGATGGTGTGAATCCAGGAGGCAGAGCTTGCAGTGAGTGGAGATTAAGCCACTGCACTCCAGACTGCGCTACAGAGCAAGACTCCATCTCAAAAACAACAACAACAACAACAACAACAACAACAACACATAGGGTGGGAAGTTGCATAAGGAAGCAAGACTCGATAGTATGCTGTCTTTAAAAGACTCGTTTCACATGCAGTGACACCCATAGGCTCAAAATAAAGGAATGGGGAAAAAATCTACAAGCAAATGGAAAACAGAAGAAAAAGCAGGGACTGCTATTCTAATCTACTAGAATGGCTAAAATAATCATTGATAATACCCTATGCTGACAAGGATACACATAGGAATTTTCATATGTCATTCATGCAAATGCAAAATAGTATGGCCTCTTTGAAAGACAGTATGGCAATTTCTTATAAAGTTAAATATAAATGAGCCACACAATTTCATTCTACTCAGAAATATTTATCTAGAAAAAATAAAACTTTTTGTTCATACAAAAACTTTTGTCTGTGTTTGTAGTAGCTTTGTTATTAACAGCCCCAAACTAGAAGCAACTCAAATGGCCTTCAACTGGTGAATAGATAAGCAAGACATAGCACATTTATACAATGGAATGCACCCTGCCTGCTGCCAATTAGAAGGAAAGAACTACTAAAACATGCATTGTGCTAAATGAAAGAAAACAGACTCAAAAGTCTATGTACTACATGATCCCATTAATATGAATAATAAATTGGAGTGGAGGGATTGATTAAATGGGGGCAAAGAGAATTTATTTTGGAAGTGATAAACATGTTCTCTATCTTTATATCTTGATTCTGGTGATGATTACAAGGTAGTATGCATTTTTTTCAAAACATGCTTAACACAAAAAGAGGAAATTTTACTGCTTGAGAATTACACTTTAGTTTAAAAATGGCGTAAAGATTTATTCAATCATTCCATACGATTTTTATAGAATAAATCATAGAAATAGAAATTACATAATTTCAGCCTTTACACTGGTGAAGAACTGAACTCTCTGTGAATTTGGGAATGTGTAGGTAATAGATTATAATATTAGCTCATCATAACCGTGAGAGTAGTGAAGATGCATTAATTAGCACTAGGATTGCATGACATTTATCTTTGCAATTTCTTTTTGTAAGAAGTTCATATATGTTTATTTTAAAAATTCTAAGAACACTTATGCCATGGGAATATTTATTATGTAAATATTCCCTTTAGTGTTTTATAAAATCTTAAATTTTAGACCTTTTCAAGTATTGTCAAGCAAATGAGCTATTAGAATCAAGTGGACTAAAATTATTTTAGTTACCACCTATCTTCCAAAGTCATCCAAGCAGAACAATAGCAACTCTCATGAAGACTGTGAAGTGCTTATTTTTATAAGGAAGGCAGGGATTTTGAAAAAGTAAAGAAGGTACAGCCTGAAGCTGTCTTCCTTTAATGTATTCATCAGTGTCAAAAGCTGACTCTGTTGTATCTTCTATAAGGTATGATTTTTCCCATGGATTTTTTGCTGTCTAGGAGAGCATCAGAACTGTCCCACCTCCTGCATATATTATATGTAGAGCACTCAGGCTCCAAAAATAGTTTCATTATAAAACCATTCTCTCTAGAAGGGCTGCTTACCTATGTCATGCCCACTGTACGTGAGGCTACCTGATCTGGATACGCCTCTACATAAAAATCTGGCAGAATTCTTGTATTCAAGACATTATAAGGCCAGCAAAGGATTTGTTAAGAAAGACTGAGGGCTGGGTGTGGTGGCTCATGCCTGTAATCCCAGCACTTTGGAAGGCCAAGGCGGGCGGATCATGAGGTCAGGAGATTGAGACCATCCTGGTGAACACGGTGAAATCCCATCTCTACTAAAAATACAAAAAATTAGCCAGGCATGGTGGTGGGCACCTGTAATCCCAGCTACTTGAGAGGCTGAGGCAGGAGAATGGCGGGAACCCGGGAGGAGGAGCTTGCAGTGAGCCGAGATTGCGCCACTGCCCTCCAGCCTGGGCAACAGAGTGAGACTCTGTCTCAAAAATAAAAATAAAAAAAAACCATAAATAAATAAATAAATAAAAGACAGACTGAGGTCACAGTCAAAAAATAAAGATGTTATATTAATCAATTACAGTAATCCTTAAAGATACACTTTCTCTCTGGCTGGAACTGGAGAAAGTGAGTGATTGATACAGAGTAAGCTTTAGGGTCAGATTTCTTGAATCCCTGCACTTCCAGTTACTAATTGTGTAACTTTGGGCAAATTACTTCATCTCTCACTGCCTTTCCTTTCCTCATTTGTCAAATGGAAACAATTGCAATAGCTATCTCTTTTGTTTGTTGGGATTTAGAACATGAAAAGCGTCATAGTACAATGCCCAGCAGAGAATAAATACTCCCTGTTATAAAGAGCATATGCTGTGGCTGAGACTGACCTGAAATCCTACTTGTATCTATCATTATAAGCTGGATGACAGTGAGCAATTTGTGAAACTCTCTGTCTTTCAGTTTCCTGATGGTAAATGTGCTCACCTAAAGAAATTATTGTGCACATAAATGAAAAATTATCTTGTACTTTTGTGATAATTATTATGTACTTTGTGAAAAATTATCACAAAGACTAAATTAATTGTGCATTTAAAGTGTTCTGTGGAGTGCCTGTAACAAAGGATTTGTTCAATATATTTAACTACTTGTTACTACGACTACTGTAAGTATTATTAGCTTCTGTATTATATTCTTAACAAATGCCATTCAGTGGAATTTAAAGAGGGGGATTCACTTCAGATGTGTCTTAAAAATTCATATTGGACAAATGTCAAAGGACTGAGTAGAAAGATCAATATTTGACCAAAGCCAAAGCCAGAGCCAAATATTGCCACCTCATTTTATAGGATACCAATTAAATCTGGAATTTAATTTAAAAAGTAAATATTATTCTCACCAGCATTTCATTGTTAAAATCCAGTAAGCTTTTAAAATTCTGATATTTGTATTTCTAAATGTTAATAAGCAATGATTTCTCAGCATTGTCAGATTCAAGATTTTTTCTTATGTCCCTATACTATACTTTGTAACACTAAATTATTATTTTATTTTAAAATCGGTTGTGGAGCAAGGATTTTCCTTTATTTGCTATCTCTGAAGGTATAAGCTAAATGTTATGTCCAAGAGTTTAAGCTTGCCTTCTGCTCTGATTTTAAATGATTTAAGCATATGCTTGTATTCTCTTTAAGTCATGGACTTAAATATTTAGTTGAGAGTAGTGAAAAAATTTTATTGAATAAAACTTTCAATGCAAAGCTTTGTTTACTCATTAAAGAAGACATGGACTTAGTCCAGCTTCCCTAAAAAGCAGAGCCTATGGCAAATTTCAAGCACTAACACTTTATCAGGAGGTGAAATTCAGAGCAGTAAGATTGAGGGGAAAGTGAAGTGAGCAGGAAAGAAAGTGGAAAGTGGGCGTATTTGTGAGCTCGCCACAGCTCAATGCAAAGTTGTGAACAGTCATTTGGTTGTACAGGACACCTCCGATCAGGCCCGACAGAAACATGCTGCCTTAGAATAGTCCCCTAGGGGGAGGAAAGGAGAGAAGTTCATTTGCTGGTTCTCTTTTGTCTCTTGTCCATCATTTATCAATTATTATGCCAAGGGCAGTAACTCCCCTATATTTTTATATGTGAAATATGTATTAATCCTGGTATGGAAAAATAACTACCCTTTCCAATGTGGAAGGAATTAAATAGAGTCAACTTGCCATCAGTTGGTTGTCTGGTCTGCATGAGGAATGGGCCCAAAATTAATGCTCAGCATCAGTTTCTGCTGTTGACAGTACATGGGACCTGCACTGTGGGACCCATGCCTTGCCTCCATAGTTCTGAAGCAAGAAAGTAAGCATATATTGCTGGATCCTCACTCTTGATTGGTATAGAGGGGGGAAAAAGCATTTACTTAATCAATGGTGACATACAAATTGCCAGAGGCTGTATTGTTTGTCTCTGGTAAAGACAAAGCTTCCAGCACAGCTACTACAATAAAAACTACAACCTCGTGGACACAGGAAGGGGAACATCACACACCGGGGCCTGTTGTGGGGTGGGGTGGGGGGAGGAATAGCATTAGGAGATATACCTAATGTTAAATGACGAGTTAATGAGTGCAGCACACCAACATGGCACATGTATACATATGTAACAAACCTGCACGTTGTGCACATGTAACCTAAAACTTAAAGTATAATAAAAATAAATAAAAACTACAACCTGATTCATTTTCAGTGGGCCACTGACAGCTAGCATGACAGATCAGGCTTGCAAAAGTCTAATTGAATTGGGGTATGGGGGAAACATAGCCTACGAATCTTTCAAGTCTTTGATGGAAGCATTCTCTTAGTTTGTGTTTCACCAGAAGCAGAGCCTGAAAGTGGGACTGGGAAGGAGGAAGAGCCAATATATTTTGTGTTATGGAGCTACTGTGGGATATTGGAGATCAGTGTTTCTGGGCACTGATTGAGGAATTCTGTAGAATGTGCTTCAAAATTTTCCCTCCAAAGATTGAGAGACTAGGGCATTTACCCACCAACACTCATGCTCCTTGGTTGAGGACTGCCACTGAAGAATGGGTGTGGGAGTTGCTTGAGGTATGTGTGGTGCAGTCAGTGCAGAAAGAAACTCCCCCACCGGTAAAGATAAAGGACATGGTTAGCTGAAGGACAGGCACTAATCTCTACATCAACCATCCAGGAATTAGGCATTGCTTCTGATTTCCCATTTTGATATATGGGCACTTTAAAGAACTCCATTTGGTTGTCCCTTTCATGAAGCCATTATATATCCCAGTTATTCATTTGGGGCACAGATAAGCAAGCACAGAATATGATGAGTGAAAATAAATACATACAATATGAGTGTGTAGACCGATTGTATCCATTTTAAGAAAGACAAGAGCCAAGGTAATTTACCAAATACCTTATATAAGTCCCATGGTAACAAGGGGACTAAAATGGCATTTTTGTTTCCCTGACATCAGTGTCAGTTTAGACCCTGTATTTAACTGTCTTCAAAAAGTCTGGGTGATTTACTTCTTCACTGCATGGTTATTCTGGAAAATGGCAGAGATTTCTATGGGAAAGGATTAATGATAACTAATAACACACCATTATACACACATTTGGTGGCACTACAGGATTCTTATTCAAGAGAACCTGGACTCTCCCTCAATCAGTGAGTTATGAGACTGTGAAGGGAGTCAGGTCTGAGAACTGGATGAGGTTCTGTCATTTTAAATTTTGGTGGCTGATGTCAGCCTTTTGCTCACCAGATCTAGATTTCTTCTGATTTTAGAAACCAAGTTATACCTATTAGGGTATCCTTCTATCTCCCTGAAGGAATATTAATTACTATAGACACAGATTCCTGTGGGTCAATGCACTTTACTGCTACTCTAACCATGAAGCCCATTATATCAACCTTGCTTATGATGGTCCTACAACGTGGCTTCTTCTAGTACAGAATCCCATCTTCCCTAAGAGATTAGGGGGCTTAGCTCCATGGTAGGATCATCCACTGTCAACCATGGCCTGTATACAAGAGCCACTCAAGTGGATCTCAAAGGCAATAGTGGACTCTTAACCAGCACATTAGTCATTGTTTTAATAGAAAGGTGAGTTCTGGCCTTCCAAGAAAATATAGTCAGGTGATGGGTTCTAAAATTGCATAATAAATCCATTCTGTCATTGCTATCTGATATAGTTTGGATATTTGTCTCCCCAAATCTCATCATGAAATGTGATCTCCAGCATCAGAAATGAGGCCCAGTGGGAGGCGTTTGGGTCATGGGGGCATATCCTTCATGGTTTGGTGCTGACCTCACGATAGTGAGTTCTCATGAGATCTGGTTGTTTAAAAGTGTGTAGCACCTACCTCAGCCCCCTCTTGTTCCTACTCTGGCCACATAATGTGCCTGCTCCCACTGAGCTTTCTACCATGAGTAAAAGGTTCCCGAGGCCTCCACAGAAGCCAAGCAGATGCTAACGTTAAGCTTGTATAGCCTGCAGAACCATGAGCCAATTAAACTTTTTTCCTTATAAATTTTCCAGCCTCAGGTATTCCTTTATACCAATGCAAGAACAGCCTAATATACTACCTCTCTAAGACTTGTGAATCCTTCTCCAGTAGTATAAGAAGGAAGTTCTGGAATCTTTACTTTTATTACTATCGGTGATTAATAAGTCCAGGCTTTGGAGCCATCTGCAATGCTAATAGGGATATTTTCAGATGTCCTTCCCAGAACATCAAATCCCTAACAACAGGTGAGTGGCCAATTCTCAATGAATTATTACCCATCCAGCATTATATTCCATGTTCCTGGGTATAGTACCCTCAAGATACATCTTCACATGTGCTCTCTCCTATCTTCCTGGTATCTATTAACCACATGCTGCAATTCTTTTAGGTATGGATTATTTATTTTTGGATAAGGGGCTATAATTTTCTTGTTGGTTCATGCTGAGACTTAGCTCTAGTTGTTGTCTTGAGGGCAATAAAGTGTGGTGGAACTGGGTGCTGAAAAGAACAACTATTATTTTGCAACGTGTCCCTGTGGTTGCAGGAGATAATTGTTTTTTAAAAGCTACTATAATAGCCTTCTGATTTTCATAAAAAGTATTATATCAGTAATTAACTGCATTAAACCTATCCTTTTCTGCTTGCAAAGCCTCCGATGTTGTCAAAAGAAGCTATCACACTGCAATTTTTAAATTACCATTTCCTTCATATGGATTAATGTAGCATCAACTGATCCTCCAATGATTCGATCTCATCCTGTACCTCATCACACTATCTACAGATAAAAATTTTAATAATTTTTATGCCATTGCATGCTACGGGTTATTAACACTGCACCTACTGGTAATAACAAAGGTGCCCATTGCTTCTAGACAGAGAATCTATTTTAGTACTAAATCTCAACCGGTAGGTATGCATTCTAGAACTATTCCCGTAACCAGCCATCTTATCTCAGCTTCCCTACAAAATAGCATTAGTCAAAACTTAAGTGTTGATGTTTTATTTGGAGGTCTAATTCCAACAAAACAAGAATAGGAATAAAGGAAGTGCTCATGCTCAAGCAGGGAAGAGGAGAAGAAAATCAAGATGGTGAATTTTGAAACTACATTGCCACAAAAAGACAGCTGGTTTCTCATTTAGGCCTATCTATTACACCTGCAGGAGGAGAAACAGACTACAGAGCATGTAGACTGTTTCCCATATTCTCCTAGTTGGTCAAACTTCACTCAATGAGAAAATGATTTCCCTGCACTTTCTGAGTTTTATTCACCTGGCCTATTTTTGGTAAGTGTCCAGGAAGTCACATCCCGTATTCTGTGGTGTGGCATTTCACCCTAGACTAGCAAGAGTAGGAGTATCCAGTCTCCATGTTCAGATCCTAAGGACCCTGGTTCCACAGCTACAACGGTTCCAATCATCCTATGTGTGATGTAGGTCATGTAGGAGGCTGGCGCGTATCCTGGGACAGAAGCAGATTTAAGATAAATATAATTACTTATTTCATATATGTAATTTTTATTTCTAGTGCTTTTTCACATACTTCTACATACAATCACTTAAGTTCAAGGACGGAGGAAATAAAGCTAAAATTCAGTCATACGTTCTTCTAAAGGTTAAATCTAAAGTTGAAGAGCAGAGTTTGGCTGAACAACAAGGACAAGACTAACCTTAGGCAAATCCCTGGTTTTGATTGATGTGTAATAGAATTCCTGCTGTAATAAGTGTCCTTTTAGTTTAAATAATGTATCTCTTATTTAAGTGACAGACATTTGGGACTCCTATTTGCTTTCTGCTAACCTACAGAAATTTGATCCACATGAGCTGGAAATTAACTATTACAATGTCTGAATTTTTTAGCAGGCAGGCAGAAATTGGCAGAAGAGTCTCATACTTTTGCATAGAATCCTTATTGTAAAAAAAAAAAATAAATGTAAAAGGAGAAAGACTTCATGGCACACTTATAATAATTTCATGATCTTGGTAATTAAATGTGGGCCCCCATGTCTATTTGTCTCCTATCTATGTATCTATCTATGTATCTATCTACCTACTTATCTCTGTCAATCACCTGTCATCTTTCTTTCTTTATACATATCTATCTTTGTGCATACATAACACACAGAGACATATACACACACACATATATATATATACACACATACACATACATAGAGGCTTTCTTTTGGTTAACCTTTCATTTCATTCAGCTGGTGAAAACAGAGATTTAATTAAGCATGCTTAGAGCATGTAAAACAACCGTGGTTTTGGAATACAAGCAGTTAGAAATTGTTACTAGAGTGCCGTAGGATTAGCGTCTATTATTAAGCATTTTTGTGACATATAGAGAAGAAAGAACTTGCCACCATGAAGGTACCGTGAAAAGAATAGCAGATCAAAATGACACACAATATTCATTTTTGACAAGCAGCCAGAGTTTGGAAAGCATACTGGGGCACATATTAATAACTGGATTGGAAAAGGAATCTGACTGCATTCTAAGTGCTTGTCAAAAGAAGAGTGGAAGAAAATATTATAATCTAAAAATATAAATCAACCACCATTTAGTTAACATTTACCATATATCAGGTGCTAGATTGAACACAACACATACATTCTCTCCTTTGATCTTTAACAACATCTCTAAATGCAGGTATAATTATTTTACCAAACGAAGAAACTGAATCCCTGAGTGTTAAAAAAAATCTAATGGCGATAATATTTGAATTCAGATCTACATGCTGAAAGCCTGTGCTCTTTTTTTTTTTTTTTTTTTTTTTTTTTTTTTTAGAGGCAGAGTCTCACTCTGCTTCCCAGGCTGGAGTGCAGTGGTGTGATTCCGGCTCACTGCAAGCTCCGCCTCCTGGGTTCACGCCATTATCCTGTCTCAGCCTCCTGAGTAGCTGGGACTACAGGCGCCCACCACCACGCCTGGCTAATTTTTTTGTATTTTTAGTAGACATGGGGTTTCACCGTGTTAGCTAGGATGGTCTCGATCTCCTGACCTCATGATCCGCCCGCCTTAGCCTCCCAAAGTGCTGGGATTACAGGCGTGAGCCACTGTGCCCGGCCAAGCCTGTGCTCTTAAGTTGATACACTGCACGCCTCCTTACTAGCATCGATGGGGGCTTCTCCAATGTACCAGGTATTTTTTTACATTCACGAACAGGAATCTCTTCAGCTACACCAAGCTCAGCAGTGAGAACACTGGGGCTCAGCAAAGAAAAGGAGCCGGGCGTGGTGGCTCAGGCCTGTAATCCCAGCACTTTGGGAGGCGAAGGCAGGTAGATTGCTTGAGCCCAGGAGTTTGAGATCAGCCTGGACAACATGGCCAAACCCCATCTCTACAAAATGTACAAAAATTAGCTGGGTATCAAGGCATGTGCTTATAGTCCAAGCTACTCAGGAGACTGAGGTGAGAGGATGGCTGAAGCTCTGGAGGTTGAGGGTGCAGTGAGCTGTGATTGCACCACTGCACTGGGTAAAAGAAGGAGATCTTGTCTCAAAAAAAAAAAAAAAAAGCCTTCTCTGAAGCTATATAGTTAATAATTGACAGAGGCTGTGGTTTTGCCTGCATTTCCAGACATTACATCTAGTTCAGCCTTGTGAATTCTGTCTATGGCTTCTTTCCATTCCACAGCTCATTAGATCCAGAGAAAATATTTGTGTATGGGTGATAATGATTAGATCAGGACTTGCTAATACTCTCAATAATTACTTATAATCATTTAAGGGTATTGTGCTTTTTTCCCAACCCTAAAAACTATCACTATTAACCCTAATTTATAGATAAGAACTTTTTAAAATTTTCCAAGCATTACTCAATTCAAATATAATGGTAAAAAGCCAGGCTGTTATTTTTGCCTTGGAACATCAACTCCAATGCTTAAAAAAACAAGCTAGCCATTTAAAGATCCAAAGGCAGTAGAATAGAAGGCAGGCTGTTCTTTCCTGGTGGCTACAGAGACAGAGCACAGATGAAGCGGCATCCAAATGCAATAAACTCTCAAAAGCTGTCTCATCTGGCCTTGCCAAGACCTGCAAAGGTGCTTTCCCACAAACAGAAGCCTGGTGGGTGAGGACAGTGTCAGGGTCTTTGGAATAATTTCTTTGCCATTTTTCCAAGGCCTGGGCTGGAGGTAGGAACTGTAAATGACTCCTACTAACGGTCCTAGAGACTCTGGCTGGCTACGATGCTACCTGCTCCCCGGGAGAATGTGGCTGGTGACACTCTGGCACATGCATGATGTGTGCTGCAAAAGTGAGTTAACCAAATGTCACTTTCCCTCAAGGTATCTATTGTAGCTAATTTAAAAACCTAAACATGTCCCATAACATAGAATGGATAGTTAAAGGTTGAATGATATGAATTGCGAATGTGGACAATTTTTAACCTACAAAATGGTAGTCATATGATTGAATCTAATAAATAATGGCACATGCATTCAATATACCAGTGTATAGCCATCAAAAATGAAGTCACAAAGATTTTATAAGCAACATGAAAAAGTGCTTTTACTGTCATGTTAAGTTAAACAGTGGGCTAAAATATTACAAATAAAATTTTGGTCCTGAAAGTGTAGGGAAGGATGCAAAGGAAAAACCCTGAAAAGGAAGGCATCCTTGCAGCTCTCTTTCTTCCCTCCCTTCTCTGCCCATAGCCACAAAAACAAAAACACAGGTAAACAAAGAAACAAACAAAAACTGGAACTAAGCCTTGGCCAGCCTGGCTTTCAGTTTCAGTTGCGCCATCTATTCGCTGAATTATCTGGAGAAAGATCCTTTCAGACCTTTCCATTCTTGTGCTCCAAGTTTCATCTGTCAACGAAGGAGGGGAATTCTAGATGACACTTTAGGGCCCCAGGACAATACAATTTAACTGAAAAAGTCAACATGATTTGAACACCAGACTATTTTAGCAAACTGCAATTTTGTTAGACACGGCAAAACAAGAGCAGAGCTTGTTAAACTTCACAAAATCCATGGAAAACAGAGACTGAAGCACTCTTATTCCCAACTCAGTTTTCTAATTTATTCAGGTTTATTTCGGCCTACTTTGTTACTCAATTTAAAAAAAAATGTTATTTAAGTAAGTCATTTGAAATTGCTTAGTTTAATTGCATTCTGGATTCTCAGTGAGGCAAAAAGCCAGTGGATTTTCTTGATGTCAAGACGTACAGATAAGATTTTGGGGGCATGGAAACTGTTTCTTATTAACTATTTTTCCTTTTTTATTTTGAGCTTTTGGTGTTATGAACAGAATTTTAGATAATTGGATATAGTCCAGAGTTTAATATTTCTATCAAAAAAGGTTATACAAAATACATCACATACTTTAAAATAAACATGTTACAATTTTAAATATAACAATTTTATTTAAATTGCAGAACATAACAGAAATAGAAAAGCTTTTTAGGTATGACCATTTCAAATGTTCAACTTAAATATGTTTTAATATACAAGTTTACCTTGACATTTTCAGATACTGTTAGAATTTTTATACATTCCTTTTGAATCTGTTCTTTATAGGATGAAGTATAAATTAACCAATTTATGCCTTCCTCTCCATCTTGCCTATGAGAAGATATAAAATCAAAGTACATCAATCCGGAAATACAATGTTGACATTTACCAGCATCAAAATTGGTTCTCTCACATTTTAAAGAAAATTTCAAATGAGTCTATGGAGCTTTAAAACATTTATTATTTTAACCAATATTGAAGTGACATTTTGCACATAATGAACACTAAGGTAGGTGCTGGATATTCAATATTGAACTCACTGTCTAGTGAGCAAAACACATTTTAATAAAATAATTGCAAAACTGACCATCACAAAGTATGTGTGTGATGTTGCAGGAATCTCATCTGATTCAGAAGAGGACCGGGGCTACCTGAAGGTCTTCCCTGAAGATGTGCTAAGGAACTTAGGATTTGGAAATGGAAATGAATTTAAGGTTGACTTAATCTAACATTCTGATTTGACTCTGGAGGCAGAATAACATAGGGAGGTCCACCGTCAAAGCAGCTGGTTTTTATACCCAGTATCTATTGCTTAATCACCATGCATCAATGGTGATCAAACAGTGGTGATCACAGGCTTGTTCTAATTATCTATTGCTGTCTATCTTGGTTTGCCTAAGACTGTTCCAGTTTTACCACTCAAAGTCCTGCATCCCACAAAAGCCTTCAACTCTAAGCAAAAGGAAAGATTGGCCATCCACTAACAAATCACTCCAAAACGTAGTGGCTAAAAATACCGATATATTATTATCTGTCATATTCTGTGGATTGTCTGGAATACGATGGATGGCTCTTGCTTCTAGTCTTTTGTTTTGCTGTGACAAGTGGTAGCTTCAGCTTATCTGTAAAATAATGCCAAGTACCTATGTCATAGGTTGTTGCGAAGCTTCATGAGTTAAAAGGTGTAAAGAATTTAGCACACTGGCTAATACACAAAAATTATAAAACAAGTTGATCTGTTGATAAAAGTAGAATGAAGGAAAAGGGAGAGGGAAATGATAGCTGTAGTGAGGGGAGAGTAAATCCGTGTTTCAGTGTTACTCTGGCAGCCAACATTTAATAGATGCTTTACATGCACAGTCTCAGCTAATCTCTCATCTACATACACAGAACAGGCATTACCATTATCTCCATTTCAAACATGAGGAAACTGCCATTTTAAAAGTACAATACCTCCCAAGGTCTCATAGTAGTGGAGCTAAAATTTAAACACGGACTTGTGTGTACAAAACCTATGCTCCTTCCACCTCTGTGTCTGCTCTGCAGGAAACTGCAAAGCAAGCTCTTAAAATTTTTTTCCTAAAAATGTCACGTCACCAAGAAGAATTAGCAAGGATAGGGATTATTCTGCTGTATTAAACATTCAAAATATGGACCAAAATATGTGAAAAACAGTTTTCAAGATGTCTAGTAGAAGAAAAGAGACCCATGAAAGGAGGAGGAGATGAAGTTAGCACTATCATGTCCTCAGTTTTCTACCTTGAGAGAATTTCCAGCTCACAAAAAGACAGGGAGAACCCAGAGCCATGAGAACTGGCTGGGTTGAGGAGGCAGAGCCGAAAGTCAGGAAAGATAGCTTGAACCTTCAGGAGAGAGTACCACGGAGGAAAACGGCTGAACAGGAAGAAAACTCTAAATGTTTGCAAAGGATTCACCCCAAGCATTCAGGTAGTTACCAGTCAGTGTACACATACGAGAAAATGACTGGAGGTCAAGGAGAGAACTACCTGAAAGGATTAATGGTAACAGTGCCTATTGCCTACACAAGGACTGAAATAGTGCATAGAACCACCAACCAGGTTGGAAAATCTTATGATTCATGGGCATTGGATAGAGTATACAGAAGGCTCTTGACTCATTAGTGGGGACTAATAAGCACTAGACAAACTGCTGCTCCAGTCTTGTCTGAACACGTCCGAAATGCAAGAAACTGTTTTCTTGCAGGAAAATAATTAAACTGTTTTCAATGACTGTAATGCATTTCAGAACAAAGCTCAAGAATATTGACAGAAATACAAAAATATGCAATGTCCAACCAGATAAAATTCAGAATGTCTAAGTTTTAATGCAATATTACAACCATGCGAAAGGCAGGAAAACATCACCCATACCCATAATGAAAAGAAAACTTCCATCTAAATTAACCAGAACTGGCACAGATGTGATAATTAGCACACAGGGATATCAAAACAGTTTTTACAACTATATTCCACGTATTTGGAGATAAGAATATTCCCTAGAGATAAGGAAAACAAAACCGTGTTCTCCCTAAACCCCTTACCTTCAGCTGAAGAACCACACTCACTCTACTGATTCATTCTGGTCTCTCAGTAACTGGTCTTTCAGATTTCCTCAACCAGTTTTGAGCTCTGCACTACAGCATTGAATCCGATTCCAGCCAGGGGCTGTATAGTCTCTTAGAGCTTGGCTGAGACTATATGCAATGCAATAATAAAAGCCAGGAACTCTGCAAATTATGGTGCCAATTATAGAGGACTGAACAGAATTTAAAAATCTAAGTATGTGCCAAAGTTAAGGATAAAAAACTGTCCACATGAAAGTGACAGTTCAAATGTAAGAGGAACTATCTCAAGAGATTCCGTGGAGTGACCAGCACCCAGCTGCAGTGACTGTATGGAAGCTTTTTAGGGCACACGCTGCTGTATGCCCAGAAGCTTCAGAAAATTGACTAGAAGTTGATGACTGAAGGCCCTAGGATTTTAGTCTTGTGAGAGCCAATTGCTTCTTCTTCCATCTTCTTCTGCCTTTCATTGGCCACTTTTATCAGGCCCCTTGCCATCACTGGACTCTCACCAGACTCTCACTGCTATTCTAAATTCTGAATTCCACCAAGGCCATTGTATCAGAAACTCCACTTCTTGGCCAGGTGCAGTGGCTCACACCTGTAATCCCAGCACTTTGGGAGGCCAAGATGGGTGGATGCCAAGTCCAGGAGTTTCAGATCAGCCTAGACAACATGCAAAATCCCACCTCTACAAAAATTACAAAAATTAGCTGACATAGTGGCATGTGTTTGTAGTCCCAGTTACTTGGGAGGCTGAGGTGGGAGAGTCACCTGAGCATGGGAGGTGGAGGCTGCAGTGAGCCATGATCGTGCCACTGCACACTGCACTCCAGCCTGGGTGGCAGAGTGAGATTCTGCCTCAAACAGAAACGAAAACAAAAACAAAAAACAAAAAACAAAAACAAAAACAAAAACCACACTCTTATCTCCTTTGTGATATGATGCCTCCTAGATTAGATTTGTGATTTCTTATTTGCTTTAGAACTTGTTTTGCCTTCCTGTCTGATATAGTTAAGTTTTGTGTCCCTACCCAAATCTCATCTTGAATTGTAACCCCCAGGTGTTGAGGGAGAGAGCTGGTGGGAGGTGATTGGATCATGGGGGTGGTTTCCCCCATGCTGTCCTTAGGATAGTGAGTGAGTTCTCATGAGATCTGATGATTTTGTAAGTGCTCGGCAAGCTTCTCCTTTGCTCACTGTTCTCTCTCCTGCCACCATGTGAAGAAGATTCATGCTTCCCCTTTGCCTTCTGCCATGCTTGTAAATTTCCTGATGCCTCCCCAGCCATTCAGAACTGTGAGTCAATTAAACCTCTTTTTAAAATAAATTACCCAGTCTCGGGAAGTTATTGATAGTAGTGTGAAAACAAGCAGGCTAATACAGTAAATTGGTACCAGAAGTAGGTACCAATTTACTGTATTAAAGATACAGTACTTTAATGTACTGCTATAAAGATACTAAAAAATGTTGAAGTAACTTTGGAACTGGGTAACAGGCACAGGTTGGAACAGTTTGGAGGGCTCAGAAGAAGACAGGAAGATGTGGGGAATTTTGGAAGTTCTTATGAACTTGTTGAGTGGTTTTGACCAAAATGTCAATAGTGATATAGTCAATGAAGTCCAAGCTGAGGTGGTCTCAGATGGAGATGAGGAACTAATTGGGATCTGAAGTAAAGGTGACTCTTGCTGTGCTTTAACAAGAGACAGGCAGCATTTTGCCCCTACTTTAGAGATCTGTGGAACTTTGAACTTGAGAGAGATGATCTGAAATTGGAACTTATTTTTAAAAGAGAGGCAAATCATAAAAGTTTGGAGAATTTGCAGCCCGATGATGCAGTAGAAAAGAAAAACCAATTTTCTGAGAGAAATTCAAGCCAGCTGCAGAAATTTGCATAAGTAATGAGGTGCCAAATGTTAATTTCCAAGACAATGGGGAAAATGTCTCCAGGACATGTCAGAAACCTTCAGAGCAGTCCCTTTCATCACAGGCCAGAAGGCTTAAGAGGTAAAAAAGGCTGTGGGCCAGGTCCAAGGTCTTGATATGTGCAGCCTCTGGACTTGGTGCCCTGCATCCCAGTCACTCTAGTCATGGCTAAAAGGGGCCAAGGTACAGCTCAAGCTGTTGCTTCAGAGGGTGCAAGCCCCAAGCCTTTATAGCTTCCACATAGTGTTGGTCCGGTGGATGCACAGAAGACAAGAATTGAGGTTTGGGATCCTCCACCTAGATTTCAGAGGATGTATGGAAACGCCTGGATGTCCAGGAAGAGGTGTGTTGCAGGGCAGAGCCCTCATGGAGAACTTCTGCTAGGGCAGTGCAAACAGGAAATGTGGGGTTGGAGCCCCCACCCAGAGACCCCACTGGGGCACTGCCTAGTAGAGCTGTGAGAAGAGGGCCAACATCCTCCAGACCCCAGAATGGTAGATCCACTGACAGCTTGTACAATATTTCTGGAAAAGCTGCAGACACTCAATGCCAGCTGTGAAAGCAGCCAGGGCAGGACTGTACCCTGCAAAGCCACAGGGGCAGAACTGCCCAATGCCATGGGAGCCCACCTCTTGAATCAGCCTGGCCTGGATGTGAGACATGGAGTCAAAGGAGATTATTGTGGAGTTTTAATATTTAATGACTGCCCTGCAGGATTTTGGACTTTCATGGGGCCTGTAGGCTCTTGGTTTTGGCCAATTTCTCCCATTTGGAAATGGGAGCATTTATCCTGTACCCCAATTGTGTCTTGGAAGTAAATAACTTGCTTTTGATTTTACAGGCTCCTAGGTGGAAGGGACTTGCCTTGTCTCAGATGAGACTTTGGACTGTGGACTTTTGCGTTAATGCTGAAATGAGTTAAGACTTTGGGGGACTGTTGGGAAGGCGTGATTGTTTTGAAAGGTGAAGACATGAGATTTGGGAATGGGTAGGCACAAAATTATATGGTTTTGCTGTGTCCCCATCCAAATCTCACCTTGAATTGTAATAATCTCCACATGTTAAGACCAGGACCAGGTGGAGATAATTGAATCATGGGACTAGTTTCCCCAATATTGTTTCTGCAGTAGTGAATAAGTCTCACAAGGTCTGATGGTTTTTTGAATGGGAGTTCCCCTGCACAAGCTCTCTCTTGCCTGCCACCATTAAAGACACCCCTTGCTCTTCTGCCATGATTGTGAGGCCTCCCGAGCCATGTGGAACAGTGAGTCAGTTAGACCTCTTTTCTTTATAAATTACCCAGTCTTAGGTATATCTTTATTAGCAGCATGAGAACAGACTAATATATTAAATTGGTACCAGTAGAGTGGGGTGCTGCTGTAAAGATACCCAAAAATGTGGAAGCGACTTTGGAACTGGGTAACAGACAGAGGTTGGAACAGTTTGGAGGGCTCATAAGAGAACAGGAAGATGTGAAAAAGTTTGGAACTTCCTAGAGACTTGTTGAATGGCTTCGACCAAAATACTGATAGTGATATGGACAGTAAAGTCAGGTTTAGGTGGTCTCAGATAAAGATGAGGAAAATGTCTCCAGGGTATGCCAGAGACCTTCACGGCAGCCCTTCCCATCACAGGTCCAGAGGCCTAGAAGGGAAAATGGTTTCAAGGGCTGGGCCCAGGGCCCCCAAGCTGAGTGCATCCTAGGGACTTGATGCCCTGTATCCCAGCCACTCCATTCATGGCTAAAAGGGAAAAAGGTATAGCTCGGGCCACGGCTTCAGAGGTGGAAGCCCCAAGCCTTGGCAGCTTCTACATAGAGTTGAGCCTCTGAGTCCACAGAAGTCAGGAATTGAGGTTTGGGAACGTCCGCCTAGATTTCAGAGGATGTATGTAAAGAACTGGATGTCCAGGCAGAGGTGTGCTGCAGGGGTGGAGACCTCATGGAGAACCTCTGCCAGGGCAATGCAGAAGGGAAATGTGGGATAGAAGCCTCCACAAAGAGTCTTCACTAGGGCACTGCCTACTGGAACTGTGAGAAGAGTGCAACAGTCCTCCAGAACCCAGAATGGTAGATCCACACACAGTTTGCACTGTGCACCTAGAAAAGCCACAGACACTTAATGCCAACCTCTGAAAGCAGTGGGAGGGGGTCTGTACTCTGCAAAACAACAGAGGTGGAGCTGCCCAAGAAAGTGGAAACCCACTTCTTACATCAGGGTGACCTGGTTGTGAGACATGGAGTCAAAGATTATTTTGGAGTTTTAAGATTTGACTGCCCTGCTGGATTTGAGACTTACATGGAACCTGTAGCCCCTTCATTTTAGCCAATTTCTCTCATTTGGAATGGGAACATTTCTCCAATGCCAGTATCCCCCATTGTATCTAGGATGTAACTAACTTGCTTTTGATTTTACAGGCTCCTAGGCAGAAGGGACTTGCTTTGTCTCAGACAAGACTTTGGACTGTGGACTTTTGTGTTAATGCTGAAATGAGTAAAGACTGTGGGGGACTGTTAGGAAGGCATGATTGATTTTGAAATGTGAGGACATGAGATTTGGGAGGGGCCCGGGGCAGAATGGTATGGTTTGACTTTGTCCCCACCGAAATCTCACCTTGAATCGTAATCCCCAGCTATTGAGAGAGAGACCTGGTGGGAGACAACAATTGGATCAGGGGGCAGTTTTCCCCATGCTGTTCTTGGATAGTGAGTGAGTTCTCATGAAATTTGATGGTTTTATGTGCTTGGTAAGTTCCTCCTTCACTCACTCTTCTTTCTCCTGCTGCCATGTGAAAAAGGTCCTGGCTTCCCCTTTGCCTTCTGCCATGATTGTAAGTTTCCTGAGGCCTCCCCACGTATGCAGAACTGTGAGTCAATGAAACCTCTTTTTTATACGTATATTGCCCAGTCTCAGGCAGTTCTTTGTAGCCACGTGAAAATGAACTAATACACCAGCTTACAAAGGTTAGGAAAACCTATCCCTGTAATCCTTTATTAATTTTTTAATCTATTCCTGTATGAAAAGGTTAAAATGTGGCATTTTTTTTGAGACAGAGTCTTGCTCTGTCACCAGGCTGGAGTGCAGTGGCACAATCTCCACTCACTGCAACCTCTGCTCCCCAGGTTCAAGTGATTCCCCTGCCTCAGCCTCCTGAGTAGCTGGGACTACAGGTGCGTGCCACCATGCTGATAATTTTTTGTATTTTAGTAGAGACAGGGTTTCACCATGTTGGCCAGGATGGTCTCGATCTCCTGACCTTGTGATCCACCTGTGTCAGCCTCCCAAAGTTCTAGTATTACTGAGACACTGTGTCCAGCCGGCATCTTTTATTTGATTGCCTTTCCTGGTTTACCTTGCAACAAGGCAAGAGAAGGCATACTCAGAGATTTGGTGTTCACATCCCTTCCACTCTCAAGCTCTCATAACATGATGTCTCTGAAGCAGTCTGACTGAGCAAAAATTGGATGGATGAGTTTGGAGATGTGAGATCTTGTTAATTCTTTTTCATTAACTCAACTAATCATTTTGAGAAAATATTTAATTTATCTGCTTATCTTCAAACAGCCTGGTGGAACTCAATCAGATTTTCTTAATGTTCCTTGGTTGATGAATACATTTTCAAAAATAAAATTTAAGAAATAAAATGTAAGATGATAAAAGCAAAGCCCTAAGTTAATAACAGATACTGGTGGAGTGAGAGGTCTGCTAAAGTTCCAGACACTGAGACCCACCCTCTCCTGCTTGTGTTCTCTGAGGCACTTCCACAGAATGACAAGTTCTCCATAAAGAGTCATTGGGAAGCTCCTAGACAAAACAATGTCTCACGTCTATGCTAGGTCTAAAGTCACTTGAATTTTTGTTTCTCTTAAATTATGTACTAGAGCCCAATTCATTAAAAATAAAATAAAAATTATCAGTATTATTTATTTTCATTTCAGCCACCAACACAGCACAATGAAACACATTGCTGGCTGGGTTTCAGCCATGGCTATGCCATTCAAAAATTGCTGGGACTTTGGTTAAGTCACTTATGCTTTGTGTTTTCATCTGTAAAATGAGTATCTCAGGTTAGAATACCTCTAAGATCGCTTACAGATTCCTCATTCCAGAATCCAACCTTTTCTAAGCAATCCTTCCCCATCTATTAGCAGTTCATTTAGAAATCCTTTTATGAAAGGACAATTTTTCAGTATAGATTACATTGTAATGATTAGGTGGGAAGTGTGTGCCCTAATAGCCGGAATGAAGTTAAGTGTATTTTTGTAAATATGCAAACTCCTCATTTGTCTTTATGAGGTCCCATTTGTCTTTTGGCATTTTGATGAGTAAACCAATGCCAAACCAATTTAGAGCAAGTAAAATATGTTATCATGAGATATTTGTTTTGTCAATTGTACTCACAAAGTCCCTCTCTCTCTCTCTCTCTCTCTTCCTCTCTTTCTTTTAGTCTGTTCTTTCTGAATAATTACCAGACAGCTGCAAGTCAGGGATAACAGAGATTCCACATCCAATAACATGGTAAGTAGACATGCGTGAACCAAGTTGGAGAGGAAAACGAATAAATGGGAACAAATACAGGAAAAGGGGAAGAAAGACAATAGCACAAAGAAATAAAATTCCCCTTCTTACTCCCCTTTATCAAACTTTCAAGCCAAAAATATACACAGTGACAGCTCCAGATGGAGAAATAACAGTCTGTTTGCCATCTGCAGAGACAAAACAGTACAGTGAATCTTCAATTTAAAACCGAAAGTCATTAGGAATAGAGTTAAATAACGTATGTCAGAATTAAGGGATTTAGTACAAAACCCTTTGCTAAGACCCTGGGGTGCCTCTGTGTGGGTATGTGTGGTTCAGAGAGTGAAAATTAAATCCTTTGACAACTAGAAAATAAATGTGGGCCTCACTAAGGGGTAGTAAATAGGAGACTTTAAGTGAAAATCATACATTACTGAGGAGTGGGTGGAGGAGAATTAACGAACTTGCCCTGAAGCATTTGGTGATTTTATGAGACTAAATATAGATATCTTCCACTGAAGCCTAACTGTCTTCACTCAGAGGACGTATGTGTTGCATAATTAAAGAAGATCAGAGCTAATTCAGAAAGCCAGCTGAGAAAAATGCTGCTGAGCAATTGTTATTTTTGAGATTCTATAATCAAGGTCATCCTCAAGGGTATGGAATGAGAAACAAATGACTCTGGGTGGTACTCCATTGCTATCATTCCAATTCCATGTGCGGTGTGCCTAGGAAATCACATGGACATTGCAGCCAGAAAGACCTGGATTTATATCTCTTTACTACTATTCATGGGCTGGGTTGCTTTGGGCAAGTTTCTTAATCTATCTGGTCTCAGCTCTCTTCATCTATAAGATGTTGATCGCAAAAACACAGAGAGGGCTTAATGTGCTAGGTACTACTGTAAGTGTTTCACATATAATAGTCATTTAATTTTTACAAGAACCCTAGGAAGATAGCACTCTTATTAGCCTTATTTTACAAATGAGAAAATTGAGTCACAGAGAGATTAAATTTCTTTTTTAAGATTGCACAGCTAATAAGTGGTAGAGATGTGATCCTTGAAAGTAAAACTCCAGAGAACTTACGTAACCATAACACAAGGTTGTTACAATCTTCAAGAGAATGTTGGAAAGCACTCAAAACAATGGCTCATATTAGAAACCCAACAAATATTAACATGTTCATTTTCTTCCCGATCAATAATTTATTTACTAAGCATTTTAAAAGATGTTAATATATATCTGAAACCATGCCAGATCATAAAGCTAACATTTTTCACTCTCTATTATCTCATTTAATTCTTATAATTATACGCATCTATGACATAAATGCCGATATTATCAGGGATGCTGGTCTTTGCAATTCCCTTTGCATGAAATGCTTTTGTGATAGATAGCCACATGGCTCATCTCTATGCCGTTTAATTTTCTGGGACAACTTTCCTAAACACCATATTTAAAATATTAGACTTCATCATCTTATCTCCCCTTACCTTGCTTTATTTTGCTTTAGAACATAAAAGAATCTGGATATATATGCTGTCTTTCTTTCTCAAAATAATGAAAGCTTCATTAAGGCAGGAATTTTGTCTGTTTTGCTAACCTCTGTTCTGTATCACCAGTACCATTAGATACCTATTTAGTGAATAAATGAATGAATGAATGATATCCATTTTGCAGTTGAAGAAATTGAGACACAAAAAGTTTCTTGACTTCCCAAAGCTGCACAGATAGAAAGTGGTAGACCTAGAACTAGAATCTAAACTTAGGCAGACCCACTGGAGCTAGTATTAGCCACTATGCAACCTTGAGGGATGCAGAGATACATAAGATGCAGCTCCTGCTCTCAAGGTGCCTACAGTGCAATGGTGAAGTCTCATACACAAGAATCCTCTTTCATTATGCATGGATCCTTTCATCTAAGATGCATTGAGCATCTTGAAGTTAAAAGTTACAGTAGTTCCCCATTTTCTCAGGAGAATATGTTCCAAGACCTTCACTGGATGCTGCATATATGAAACCGCATATAGTATCAAACCTGATTGCCATCAGTCAGAACATATTCCTATTCATTTCTTGCATCCACAAATTTAATGCCTTTCCATCTCAACTAAGCACTTATGCACTGTGGCCATAACTTTTGCAGTTTGAGGTGTGACAGCAAAACTAGCATAAATTTATTTTTTCTTCTTCACAACTTCAGGAATAGAAGATTCACTCTTACCTTAGATCTTAACAACCTCAGCATACATTTTTTTTTTCTTAAGTGGAGAGCTTTTACCCTTTCACTTAAAGTAAGCACTTTATGGCTGCTCTTTGGCTATTGAGACTGTCAGCATCACTGCTCTTATGCTTTGGGACTATTATTAAGTAAAATAAGTATTTCTTGAACACAAGCACTGCAATACTGTGACAGTTGATCTGATAACTGAGATAGCCTCTAAGTGACTCATGGGCAGGCAGAGTATACAGCTTGGTTATGCTGGACAAAGGAACAATTCATGTCTCTGAGCAGGATGGAGAGGGACAGTGTGAGATTTTCTCCATGTTACTCAAAATAGCATGCAATTTAAAACTCATGAATTGTTTATTTCTGGAATTTTCCATTTAATATTTTCTGACTATCTATCTGTTTGGTAACCAATTTCTCATGGTATTCCTCAAGTTTCCCAACCTTTCTCACATCACGGAACATGCAGAAAATGACAATATTTTAATGGTACACTGGGTAAGTAGGTGAAGCCATTAATAGTTGCCTCCCAAAAGCCTCCAGCTGGCAGATCCCACAAACCAAACCTTTGCCTCTGCCCTAGTGCTGAAGAGAAACATATTGTGGCCACTTGTAAACCATTCATGGCACATATATGAGCCACAAGATACCATTTAGGAAGTATAGCAACGTAGGACTTAAAAAATAGGTAGTTTTTTATTTATAGGGAATATTGTGTTTCCTCCCCATGTGACTTTAGTTTTTTTGGTTGTTTTTATCAGTACAAGGATTACTGCATAACACTTCTGAGGGGAAGGAAATAGTGAATTTGAAACAGCAGCCTAGTATACTTTTTAGAAGGCTAGAATCACAGAGAAGTTTGATTTCCCCCAAAATGCATGACAGTATGTCCTGGAGACTTTGAGTTAAACCTCCTATTCTTGGCATGAAGTCCTAAGAGTCTCTAGAAGCAAATGAAGGAAAGAAAGAGAGAAAGCAAAGAAGAGAGAGAGGGAGAGAAAAGAGAGGAGAGAGACAGAGAAAGAGAGAGAGAGAAAGCAGGAAATTAGCAAACTGTGCTGTGACTATTGCTGATTGTTCTTAATTAAGTCTCACTAAGCTCTGAATGACCCTTCTAAAAAGGAAATTTAGACACATTTCAACAACGGCTAAAAACATATAATGTTGAAAACATTTTTGTTTCTCTAAAAAGGATATTTATCTAGTGTATTAATGTGCAAAAAAGGGGCTATCTTGTTGATCATGCTCCAGTGGGGTCATGAACATATTGTTGAATACAACCATAGCTCATCATCTCTGCCTTAAGGGGATAATAATGAATTCACATACCTGCCTTTTCTAGAGTCAGGACTTTTTGGTGAATTTCAACGTGTCTGTGTCTGCCTCTGAGTCCCAGTGAGCTCTCTCAGCTTGAGGTCTACAACTAAATGGAGATATTAAAGAAGGAAAAAGGATAAATCCCATCTTTGGTAGAAGGCTTCAAGCAGTACAGATAAGCCTTAAAGGTTGCTTAGCATCCTTTTAGATAAGGAATATAATAGATGTCCCAGATAAAAGAAAAGCATGGTTATGAAAGAAACCCAGGCCTAAGTTTTGGAAACATCTAAAACACTTGCAATAAATTTATTTTTCAGAATTTCAACATCTTCAGAAAAATAATGAGATTGGACTAACCCACTGATTTCCAAAGGGCGCATCACTGATAGACCTCAGAGGCTGCCTTGTCATAGATTATGGAGGATGTGTGGAGACAGGACAGAGGATCTACAGTGTATTAGTCTGTTCTTACCCTGCTAATAAAGACTTACCCAAGACTGGGTAATTTATAAAGAAAAAGAGGTTTAATGGACTCACAGTTCCATATGGCTGGGGAGGCCTTACAATCATGGTGGAAGGCAAAGGAGGAGCAAAGGCACATCTTACATGGTGGCAAGCAAGGGAGTGTGTGCAGGGGAACTGCCCTTTATAAAACCACCAGATCTCATGAAACTTATTCGCTATCACGAGAACAGCATGTGAAAACCTCCCCTATTATTCAGTTAGCTCCCACTGGTCCCTCCCACAACATATGGGGATTATGGGAGCTACAATTCAAGATGAGATTTGGGCGGGGACACAGCCAAACCATATCATATAGGTAGTTTTTCCCCACTCTAGCAGAGAAGCTCCACTTTCCTCTGTATTGTATTGAGATCTTCTCAGTAAGATTTTATTTGAATAAAAGGGCAAGCTGCTTTAGAAATCTTTGCAAAATTTCTCACTCAACAATAGCTAAGGGCCATGTTGTTTTTCAAAAGCAGTGGCATCTCATTTTAGACTTCTCCCCTAGAAGTTTGAGCTGAGTTTAACTTGTCAAGGTCCTAAATATCATACCTGAAAATGTTGAAACTCTTTAAGGTTTCCACACAAAATCCAAATTACTCTGAAATTTATCCTCTCATTGTTTCATGGTGCTTCTACCAGCTGTTGGCTTTGATGAGCATAATAGGTCCAATCTGTAGCTTAAGAAATTATATTTTTGAGGACATTCAAGCCCCTTGCTGAAATCCTTAACAGAGTACATTCTCACACATTATTGATAAAAATCTAAAAATACGTTTACCCTATGTCCAGTAATTGCTCTTGGGATACCCAATCCTATAGTTTGAATGGGTTCACTAAAGTTCATGTGCTGGTAACTTAATTCCTAATGCATTGGCAGAAGTTGACAAATAAGACATAATTAGATAATGAAGGTTCTGCCTTCATCAATGGATTAATGCTGTATTCTTGGGACTGGGTTAGTTATTGCAAGGATGGACTTGTTATAAAAGTGTATTTAGCCTCCTCTTCTTTCTCTCACTCTCACCCTCCTTTGCTTTTCTGTCTTCTACCATAGGATGACTCAGCACAAAAATCCCTTGTCTGATGCAGGCACCATGCCCTTGGACTTCCATGTCCCCAGAACTATGAACTATACAAACTTCTTTTCTTTATAAGTTACTCAGTCTTTAGTATTCTGTTATAGCAACACAAAGTGAACTAAGATACCTATTCTGGTCATAAAAGCACAAAACGAACATAAGAATACTACTCATAACATTGTTTGTACTGGGAAAAATTAGAAATGACTTAAATGTCTAACAAAAAGGAATAGATTAAAAACTAATAAATACATATGATAGACTAGAAGTTCAAATAAGTAAATTGTGTCTACTTGTAACAGTATGAAAAGTTCCCCAAACAGTACTTTAAAATTTTAAAAAGTGAATGGTAGAATGTTACATACATTACAAAGCAGGTAATGCAAAATGTAAATTGAAAAATTATATTTCATATTTTTATAAGTATGTATATAGAATACAGAAAAGACTGGAAGGATTCACCCAAATTTAAAATAATATTGTTCTTGAAGGAGGATGTGTGGTTTTGAGATGGAAAAATGTTTAGGAAAAGGCTGTGTTTAGAGACAGAGGTCAAGTGGGACTTTAAAATTTAACCAGAATGCTGTAGATGTTTTTGAAAAAGGTAAATACTATCTGTACATATATTACTTATATAATTTTAAAACAATAATATGCCTAAAAAAATGACTGGAACCAGTAGTGCCAAATTGTGAGTGGTAGTTTATTTTGACAGGTAGAAATATGTGTTATTGTTGTTCTACATCCTTTCCTATATTTAAATTCCATGACTGCATCCAAGCCCCTATGCTTAAAAACAAAGTTTTCATTAAGGCAGGGCTTATAGTATCTGGTGCTTAATTTTAATCAATTAAGTTTCTCCTGATCAATTTCAGCAATGCACTCTGCAGTCACTCAGCCACTAGCAGCATCCGTATTACAGGCAAGCCACACCTAATGTGACAAGACTGTGAAACAGACCTGTGTGAACAAACGTTTAGACTGAGTGGGCCTTAGAAAGTCAATGGACACACACAGTTCATCTTATGTAAAGAGGGAACAAAAAAGAAGGTAACAAAGTAACAAAAAATTAAGTTTTCTCCCCTGTGGTTGTACTGGATAGCAAATCAGGAGACAGAAGAGAGAGCTGAACTTGAATGCAAGAGGGAATATTTTGACTGAAATTGAGTGCAACAGAAAATTATAGGTCATGTCAAAGATTTTGTGCATCAGGGAAGGCATGATATGCTTCAAGGTTGTAAACCAAAGCAACACAGGTCACATCTCTTAGGAGCACTTGGAAGAAGGTATATAACAATGATGTGCAAACTGAGGTCACCCAGAAGTTCTTACTCTCTAGCACACCTCAAGCAGCCTGCACAGGTAGTACTTAATAGGGTGTCATAGAGCATTTTCTGCTTATTAAATTTCTTAAAATAACTTTGTGGCAAAAGAGCTTATCCTCAATTTCAGGAACTTGCTGGAGGTCTAAGATGAGAGACTATGCCACCTGACAATTTCCTTCAAAGACAATGGACCAGGGGGCTTTGAAAATTTGAACCTAGTTTGACAGGATGAACCGATGTGTTCTGATGTAAAACCAGCCCCTCTTCCGGAGAGAAAAGATGTGGCTTCTAGGACAGAAATTATCACATTATGTTATAATTGTTAGTTTCCCTGATGAGCTTGCATACTGAGCTATAAACTGCTTGAAGGCCAAGACATGACATTATTGATCAGTGTTTCCACAGTACCTGGTATAGACCTTGGAGCACAGAATATCTGTAATATGATTTTCACTGATGAATGAGTTTCAGCATCTTTTATTGGGGTTGCATGCTTACATCATCCAAAATTCATTCTCCCTCAAATATGTATGACTTTCACAAGCCTTGCTTCCTCTTACCAGTGTATCTGCAAAATGAGGATAATGTGTCAATTATTTCTTGACACAAGCCATTGTGCTAACATACCCTAGGCTCATCCTCCAGATATGAGTTGTGGCTGGGCAACACTGGATGGCAGAGTGGTAATAAGTTAACTGTCTATGGCCCCAAAGAAGAATCAGAAATTCAGCTCATTCTTCAGGTTTGATTTTCCAGCTGTTTTCTCATAAGATATTCTCAAAAAGAGGTCTAAAAGGAGCATCCTTACTGCCCTGGACCTAGAGCCGTTGAATGAGTGGACTAAATGTTTTGGCTTATGAAAGGCATAAAGAAAAACTCACCAAATCAGGGTGAGAACTTGGTGCTTAGCAAGCAAAGAATTAGCCCAAAGACAGTGGAACAGGGAGAGGAGAAAAGGCCTTGGTTTACTGGGGAGTGGTGGTAAAGATGAGAGACACAGCAACAAAGAGAGAGTGAAACTCAGACTCCCAAAGAAAAATGGAAAGAGACACATAAATAGAAAAGATCAAGCCAATTTTCTCACTTCCATTTTTCAGCTATGTTTTAGGCACTGTGCCAAGTGCTCAAGTGGAGACTGAAAAGATGTGGCCCTGCTTTGTAGCCACACAGATAAATGCCAAAGAAGGAACACTAGGGTGCGGTAATGGATTCCAGTAGCGGAAATTACTAGAGTGAGCCCTAGAAAGTTGGAAAAGTCAGAGAGCATGTGTTCCAAGTGTGGGGAGGATGTTTAAAGCCACAAATGTATGAAAGTGTGTGACACAGCCGGGTGCAGTGGCTCACACCTATAATCTCAGCACTTTGGGAGGCTAAGGTGGGCTGATCACCTGAGGTCAGGAGTTTGAGAATAGCCTGGCCAACATGGTGAAACTCCATCTCTGCTAAAAATACAAAAGTTAGCCAAGCGTGGTGGCGGGCACTTGTAATCCCAGCTACTCGGAAGGCTGAGGCAAGAGATCACTTGAACCCAGGAGGCAGAGGTTGCAGTGAGCCGAGATCGTGCCATTGAACTCCAGCCTCGGTGAGAAGAGCGAGATTCCATCTCAAAAAAAATAAATAAATAAAAGTGTGTGACACATCAGGATATCATCCGAGAAGAAGGTGGGCAGGAGAATAACTAGAGCTGAAGCCAGGGCAACATGTCAATACCCATTGAATTCCATACTAAAAGGCTTAAATATTTATCTGAGGTCAAGACGAACATGTGAAAGTCTTTAATCAAATGATCATGTCTGTATTTCAGAAGGAGGGAGATATTTTGAGAGCTAGAAATGGACATACAGAAGAAGAGACAGAAACATACTCTTATTTTCTGAGTACAGTTTGATTTGTGGCAAAATAAGCTTGACCAGTGTCCTAATCCCAGACACCACAAATTCCACGCACTCACTCTCATGACACTTCGAAGTCCGTTGTCTTTTAATCTTATTCCTTTGAAGACTGGGAAAAGAGAGTCAGGTGGCATCAGTCTGGGGTCCAGGTAGACCTCCTGCTGGGTAGCAGAGAGAAGAAAAGAGGGACCCAGCCAGATGAAAAATTATAGCCTAAACTTCTGAATTGGGATCTGTCCCCCATGCTTGACAAACACAAGCTGTCACATTGTCTAGCTGTCCTTGCCAGCAGGCATGTGGCAATGTTTTAATAAGTTGCTACTTTGGACTGGCCCAATGTAAGCAGGTCTTTTGCTTATTTCTATTTTTTGGAAGCAGACTGAGTGGCAACTACCAGGCTGTCTGGTGGCAGAGAAACATAAGCTCCGCCTTGGAACCAGGAAAACTCCAAGTTTTACAAATCACCCAAGGGAGAGAGCCAGCAGGCTTTGGAAATTTATCTAATAACATGTGTCTAGAGTTGGGACATATCTAGACAAACCAGGGTCTAAGTTCCAGCTCTCCACTTATTTTATTCATCATGGACTTCCTCAATTCCATATCTTTGCTTATCATTTTCGTTCTACCTGGACCTATTCATCTTCAGGCTTGATCTTCCTCTAGCTATTTTCAACTCCCCTTTTACCTTTTTCCCAGTGCTTATCAATGACAGCCCCTACTCTTATTATAAATTCCTGGTTTGTTGAGCTTCCTTTTGGCCTTATCCCTCTCCTACTGCATTCTCTGTCATCAAATTGTAGATATCATCTCCCTTTTGTCATTGCTCCATGTCAGAACTCCATCATCAAATATGGATTAATATTATGGCTCTAATATAATATGGAATTAATATAGAATGCATAACCTATGACAGGTATCATTCTAAGTGCTTACTTACATGGATTATTTTAATCCTCACAACAGCCTTATCAGATAGACACAGTGAATATTTTCATTTTTCAGATGTGGAAGCAGAGGCAAAGAAAATAAATAAGTGGTGGAACCAGCAATAGGATGCTGAGCCCATGTTTCTTAACTTCTTCTTTTTTTTGGAGGTGGGGACAGTGTCTCGCTCTGTCGCCCAGGCTGGAGTGGAGTGGTGCGATCTCGGCTCACTGCAAGCTCCGCCTCCCCGGTTTCACGCCATACTCAGGAATATGCTCAGCCTCCCAAGTAGCTGGGACTACAGGCACCCGCCACCACACCCGGATAATTTTTTCTATTTTTAGTAGAGATGGGGTTTCACTGTGTTAGCCAGGATGGTCTCGATCTTCTGACCTCATAAGCCGCCCATGTTGGCCTACCAAAGTGCTGGGATTACAGGTGTGAGCCACTGTGCCCAGACGTTTCTTAACTTCTTCACCACATTAGCTCTGTCCCCATCTGAGTCACTTTCCTCCACTCTGTCTTCTATGTTGAGGTGATGTCATCTTTCCAAAGCAGAGATCTGATTATTTATACTCTGTTCTACCTGCTACTTAGTAAGCACCAGAGAATAGAAAGCCCTTCCTGTCTTTATCTTAGTGGGCAGAATCAGACATAAGCAGAACTTAGGGGATTCTAAGTTTTAGATTCCATTCTGAAAGATCAAAGTATCTAGAGATATAGGAACTTTCAAGACATAAACTATTACTGTTTATGTAACAGTAGCAACTCTGGGTGTATGCTTTCTTGTGGAATTTTCGAAAAGGAATTTTAGATAAGATTTTAAGTTTCCTCTAAGACACAAGGATAGATTTGCTGAGGCAGGTGAGTGATTTTCCTGAGATGAGAAGTGCCCTGACTAATGGGAAATAGTCCAGAAGTGTGACCATATACACTTGACCTCCATAAACAAGAATCTCAGACCTGTAGAGCTGAAATCAGTAATTCAACTAAAAAAAAAATCTTAGTCATGTTCAAGGGCGATAAAGATACCCTATTCTTCCCAAGATATAGGAATGGAGTTATTTTCCTTTAAGTAGACCATAAATTCTCTGATAACACTTTTCTATGACCGATAATATTGTAGGATATTATTTCTCAGGTGATAAACAGTAAGTAAGACTGGCTTCAGTGAATGAGGCATTCAGTGATAACTACCTCACGTGTGTTGCCTCGTTTGATTAATACACATGTGCATGTATAAATAGAGGGTTTATTATTACCTCCGTTTTACAGATAGAGGTGAGAGGTGACAGCGTGCTGGCGCCCTCCCAGCCCTCACTCGCTCTAGGCGCCTCCTCGGCGCCCACTCTGGCCACGCTTGAGGAGCCCTTCAGCCCGCCGCTGCACTGTGGGAGCCCCTTTCTGGGTTGGCTGAGGCGGGAGCCAGCTCCCTCAGCTTCCAGGGAGGTGTAGAGGGCGAGGCGCGGGCGGAAACCAGGGCTTCGCGCGGTACTCACGGGCCAGCGCGAGTTCCGGGTGGGCTGTGCACTCCTAGCGGCAGGCTGGCGCCAAAGGCCCCAGGCAGTGAGGGGTTTAGCACCCGGGCCAGCAGCTGTGGAGGGCACACCGGGTCCCCCAGCAGTGCCAGGCGCTGTCACTGCACTCGAATTCTTGCCCGGCCTCAGCTGCCTCCCCGCAGGGCAGGGCTTGGGACCTGCAGCCCGCCATGCCTGAGCCTCTCCCCAGGCCGTGGTCTCCTGAGTGGCCATAGCCTCCCCGACGAGCACCGCCCCCTGCTCCAAGGCGTCTGGCCCCATTGACTGCCCAAGGGCTGAGGAGTGCGGGCGCGCGGTGCAGGACTGGCAGGCAGCTCCACCTGCACCCCGGTGCCTGATCCACTGGGTGAAGCCAGCTGGGCTCCTGAGTCTAGTGGGGGCTTGGAGAACCTTTATGTCTAGCTAAGGGATTGTAAATACACCAATCAGCACTCTGTGTCTAGCTCAAGGTTCATGAATGCACCAATCAGCGCTCTGTATCTAGCTAATCTGGTGGGAACTTGGAGAACCTTTATGTCTAGCTAAGGGATTGTAAATACACCAATCAGCACTCTGTGTCTAGCTCAAGGTTTGTAAATGCACCAATCAGCACCCTGTGTCGAGCTCAAGGTTTGTAAACACACCAATCAGCACCCTGTGTCTATCTCAAGGTTTGTAAATGCACCAATCAGCACTCTGTGTCTAGCTAATCTGGTGGGGACTTGGAGAACCTTTATGTCTAGCTAAGGGATTGTTAATACACCAATCAGCACTCTGTGTCTAGCTCAAGATTTGCAAGCACACCAATCAGCACCCTGTGTCTAGCTCAAGATTTGTAAGTGCACCAATCAGTGCTCTGTGGGGACTTGGAGAATTTTTGTGTCTAGCTCAGGGATTGTAAACACACCAATCAGCACCTTGTCAAAACGGACCAATCAGCTGTCTGTAAAACAGACCAATCAGCTCTCTGTAAAATGGATCAATCAGCAGGATGTGGGTGGGGCCAGATAAGGGAATAAAAGCAGGCTGCCCGAGCCAGCAGTGGCAATGCACTTGGGTCACCTTCCACACTGGAAGCTTTGTTCTTTTGCTCTTTGCAATAAATCTTGCTGCTGCTCACTCTTTAGGTCCTTCCTGCCTTTATGAGCTATTACACGCACCGTGAAGGGCTGCAACTTCACTCCTGAGGCCAGAGAGACCAAGAACCCACCAGGAGGAATGAACAACTCCAGAGGGGAGGAACAAACAACTATAGACGTGCCGCCTTAAGAGCTGTAACACTCACTGTGAAGGTCTGCAGCTTCACTCCTGAAGCCAGTGAGACCACAAACCCACCAGAAGGAAGAAACTCTGAACATGTCCGAACATCAGAAGGAACAAACTCTGGACACATCAAGAACTATAACACTCACCGCGAGGGTCCGCGGCTTCATTCTTGAAGTTAGTGAGACCAAGAACCCACCCATTCTGGACACAGAGGGACCAATGCTTGCTGAGATTAAACAACTTGCTCCAAGTCTATTCACATTACACATTAGGATGTTGTAGATTTGAACTCCAGCAGAGCTCCTTCTGACTCCAGAATCTGTATGTGTTCTACTGAATTCTGCCAGATTTGTGAGCAGATGTGGAAAGGAGCCTGTGCTTCCTTTTATCTGGCACTGGTGATTAAGCTTGTCATATGATCACATAGGGGGCACTAAGAAATGCACTCTTAAGGCCAGGTGCTGTGGCTCATGCCTATAATCCCAGCACTTTCAGAGCCCAAGGTGGGCAGATCACTGGAGCCCAGGAGTTCAAGACTAGCTTGGCCAACATGGTGAAACCCCGTCTCTACTAAACATACTAAAAATACAGAAATTAGCCAAGCGTGGTGATGCACACCTGTGGTCTCAGCTACTCAAGAGGCTGAGGCGGGAAGATCACTAGAACCCAGGAGGTGGAGGTTGCAGTGAGCCGAGGTCGTGCCACTGCACTCCAGGTTGGCTGGTAGAGCAAGACTCTGTCTCAAAAAGAAAAAAAAAAAAGGAAGAAAAGAATAAAAGAAATACAGGCCTAAGTATACCTCTGGTTTAATCAGTGTACATAATCTGAAGTACAGGTTTGTGTCCAGTTGATTTATCAACACCTTTCCTTGTCTCTGGAAATACCCTGGTACAAAGAAGAACATAAGCTAAGATTCTTGGAAAGAAAGGAACTTCACATTAACCACCAATCTAAACGAGAATTTCACCAAGTGTTTTGAAATTAAAAAGCCTTAGGGAACGGAGCTTATGAAGTTCTGAGTTCAAGCAGATCTAAGTTCCAGCTTTAGTTCCACCATCTGGGTCATTTTGGGCAGGTACTTTAAATTCTCTGAGTTCTAATCCACTCGTGTGAAAAATAGGCTATTAATATATAACTCATCAGGTTTTGAAAATCAAGTAATACTTGAGCAAATTGCCTATCTTCAATACCTTTGAATACCAGTATAATTACATTATTCACTCCAGAATAAATAGCAACTTGTGATCATGAAGCATTTACACATCTCCATGACAATTTCCTTAACTATTACTCTGTTTGATGTCAGCCTTATATTGCACTTTAACGCAGTGTATATTATTAGCCTTTTGATTGATGAGGAAATAAAGACCTGAATACATTTTGATTTGCTTACTTTTTTCATTTAGCTGACAATTCAGCCAGTGTCCCAGCTTTGTGCATTATTTTCTACCCACATCAAAATAGAAAAGTCAGGTTAAAATGCATTTTATAAGTTTTAAGTAACCAGTTGAATGGTTTACATACTTCTCCAAGCAGAAGATTGGCCAATATTACACTTTCCATGATCTACAGATATAATATGGGGACCAGTTACATGCGGCAACGCATCTATTATGAAGGATAATGAACACTGAAAGGAGATACACATTTTAATGACACTTAAAATGAGGAAATTACTGCCCTCTCTCAATAAAAAGAAACACATTTGCCCCCTTCCACCAGGCAGTGAATGGCTCAAGTTAGTTGTATTCAAAAACGATGGGGAAGGGAGAAATAATGTAATTTAAAGTCTGAAGTGACTATACCCATAACCTTATATGAACTCTTAAAATGTCTGCATAAGGTTCCAACAGGAGAAAAACTTTGCCTGTGATAGTGTAAGCCATGACTAGATCTATGCACTTTTAATTTTCAAAACTTGATGAAATGCTAGTTTACAAGAGTGACTAATTTAAAGTTTCTTTCTTTCCAAGAGTCTCAGAATGAGTTCCTTTTTCTCTTCACTTTTCTGATTCTGACATATTCTTCAGAACTCGATTAAAATAATCTTCTTCAATAACATTTTTTACCTCTTCTCCAAAATTAGGTTATATTCTTTTTTGTATGTTTTCGTAATACCCTTGACTTCCCATTTGCAACATCTTAAACAATTTCAATGAAATAATTACATATTTAAATAAATACGTATTTTAATGTGTTCTTTTTAGTTATAAATGTAAGCTCCATAAAGGCTAAAATATATCTGTGTAGTCTGTCATCATCCCCTGTGCCTGTGCCTAGACTGGTACCTGGAACATCCTAAGTCCTTAAAAATTAGTTCTCCAATGATTGAGTGAAAGAATGAATCAATAACTCTTGTTATAGAAATATGATAATTGGTAAGGCTGGTTAGAGAGGGTCACATGAAAGGGAGATAACTTGAAGTCATCTTTTATGGAAGGCAATTAGATTCAGGGAGAAGATAGGGTAAAGGTCATATTATATCAGGCAGAAAGTGTTATGGGAAAGATGAGAAAGAAAACCTGGGCAACACAGGAACTGTGATTTCTAACAGGGAGATACTTTGCCTCAGACTTACATGACATTTTAAAATAATATCCTGATAATGACCATTTGTCACCAATCCTCCCATCACCACCTGACTTGAATCCACCATCATCTCCTCCCTAGACCACTACAATGGCCTCCTCATTAGAGACATTATGTATCCTTTGAACTCAAGTAACAGGATCCCCATCCAATATGACAGTGAGTTTTTACAAATGTGAATCAGGTAACCTCTCCATTGCTAAAACCTTCAATAATCCCCCATCCACACTCTCACCCATGGCCTTTTAAGCACTACCTGATGTGGACACTGGCTGCATTAATGGTCTCCCCTGTGCTCACGGCCACCCAGGCATGCTGACCTTCTTCTGTTCCTGACACAAGCCAAGTCTGTTTCCTCCTCCAAGCCTAGGCATAACATCTCTAGCTGGAAATCTCTCCCCCAAGATATTCAGAAGCCTCACTCCTCATCATTTATAATGTACTCAAATATTCTAATATTTATTTATAAATGCTTTCCCTTTCTCAACTTCACTGCATTGATCCTCTTTTATCTATACCATCAACCAATATAAATTACTTGGGATAGACTCAGTTATACTGCAGAAACAAAACAAAACAAACATGGGCTTATCACTACCAAGCTTTAGTTCTTGCTCACTCTCATGTCCATCACAAGCCAGCTGTGGGCTCTACTCCATGTTTCCTCACTCCAGGAAACAAACTGGCAGATCATCCACCACTTTGGGTAAGAGTAAGGAAAGTCAAGCACTGGCTTTTAAAGCTTTCACCCAGAAGCAATACCTGTCATGTTTAATTGATCAAAGTGAGTCCTAAGTATATATAATATCACGAGTTCAGGTGCAATTCTATCATCTGTCTGGAGGGAAGACTGGAAGTTCTTGGTAAACAGCGTTAATAATTACCATAATCTGCTTTGTTCTTCTTAATAGTGTCTATTATTACCTGAAATGTATCCCTTTTAACGTGGTCTCACGTAGGCAAGGACCCAATCTTTCAAATTCACTATTGGATCCTTAGCACTTTGGACAGTGCCTAGAACAGGCTGGTGATGTTTAATATTGTCAACTTGATTGGATTGAAGGATGCGATGTACTGTTCCAGGGTGTGTCTGTGAGGGTGTTGCCAAAGGAGATTAATATTTGAGTCAGTGGACTGGGAGAGGAAGACCAACCTTCAATCTGGTGGACACAATCTAATCAGTTGCCAGTGCGGCCAGAATAAAAGCAGGCAGAAGAATGTGGAAAGTCTAGACTGGCTTAGTCTTCCAGCCTACATCTTTCTCCTGTGCTGGATGCTTCCTGCCCTCAAACATCAGATTCCAGGTTCTTCAGCTTTGGAACTCTTGAACCTTCAACCACAGACTGAAGGCTGCTCTGTTGGCTTTCCTGCTTTTGAAGTTTTGGGACGGACTGGCTTTCTTGCTCCCTCCTCAGCTTGCAGATAGCCTATTGTGGGACCTCACCTTGTGATCATGTGAGTCAATATTCCTAAATAAACTCCCCTTTCTTTATACATCTATCCTATTAGTTCTGTCCCTCCAGAGAACCCTGACTAATACAAGGCTAGATGTTCAGTATGTATTTGTTGATTATTAAAGAGCTACTGAAACTGACAAGAAGGTACCAGTTGAAAAATCAGGCCTGAGGACAGGGAAAATATTGGATGACATCTTAGAAATCTTTGTAGAACTATGATTCTACAAAGTCTAACCACTTACTTATTTAACTTATTCATTAATCCATTGACCCATTGCTCAGCAAATAAAACCAAGAAACTGTTACTGTGTTTAGTGCTGTGAAGAGGATGATGAATAGGACAGTTCTTGACCACCAGGCACTAACGGTCTAGTTAGGAAGGCAGACAGGTAAACAAATGAATTCAATATAAAGTGATCAACACCAAAGGAAAAATGACAGTCTCTCTCTGAATTATTGACAATGTGTCTTGTGCATCCCCCACCTTGGACTTATAATAAAAGTACAGATTTAGATCAAGTAAATAAGCCCATCAATGTGGATACTTCTTTCAGGACCTCACTTCTAACAGTGTTGTACAAATTGTCCACCAAGAGAAAATTGTTCAGTTTTCCAGACCTGAGCTTATAGATAGTGTCTCATTGGGGGAAGGGGACAAGTGGGGAGAATGACAAATTCCCTTTTATTGTGTGAAACAGAGATTTTAGAAAAATTCAACATCTGCAGCTCATCACTGGCTAAAAATAAGTGCTGCTTTGCAGTATGCCAGATGTTCCTCCTCACTGGAGGTACTACGTAAGAAATACAGTACGGTTAAGGCAGAGAATAGAAGCAATCAATGAGAAACACAGTTCACCCTGAGAATAATCAAGTCTTAACTGGGATCCCAGGCCACTCAACCAGGGAGGAATGTAAGAAATTACACTTAATCCCACTTTTTCTTTGTAGTGATAAGGACATAAATTCCCAAAAAGGACAAGGAGTCACTTAATGATAGAATAATGGGTCCTCTTTATTTTTCTCAGCCTGAATAAACTGTAATTTTTCTCTTTTAATCGAGAGCAGTTTTTCTTTCTCGAGTTTCTGAAAGAAGCATAGTCAGATATAAGAGCAGCAAACCAATCCTAAATACTTCAGCACACACACACACACACACACATACACGTACACATACACACACATATACACATGGTAGGTAGACAGACAACATTTGTTAATGGGACTTGTATACAAAGCACAGCATTGGGTATTGCTATTAGCAAAGCAATATTTTCAAGTGTGATAAGACAAAAATAAGGAAATACAGAAAGCAAGGTGATTCTTGTTGTCCACAATGTAGTCCGAGTCCAATAGAGATCGTAGGTGCCGGATGCATTATGGAGTTCACTCCAACTTTATGTAAATTTAAAGAAAAACCATACCAGACTATAAAATAAGTGTAAGAAGAACCAATATATTCCTGATTTTTTCATGACAATTATGTAAATTTTTGTGTGATCTAATTTTTAAAATATATTGTATCAGACAGTCATGAAAATGTGCTCATCAGATCCTGCTACAGAAAGCATAGGTGATTGATAACCCCAGCTTCTGCCCCCACTATATCTACATTAATTAATTAGTACAGATTCACTACTGTATCTATACTGAGACTAAGTTTAGCTAATGGCTGAGCACAACAGAAATACTAATGCAAGCCCATCGGGACTCCTCCAGTAGGTGACTTTAATTTGAGGACTTCTGTCAACTCAGCTGAACCTTGCTTGGAAATGCATTGCTCTGGAGAGATGATGAAGGTAGGGCAAGATAAACTTCAGCTAAAGAGATTAGGTGTGTCCCTCATGAATCTAATCAATGATTTCAGCAGAATTCCGGAATAGAGATGGAGTTATTTAGGAAGGATTTGGAGAGTAGCCTCTTGTCTAAAAATGTAAATCTGGGTGACATACATGGGAGGCCCACAGTATTTTTGAGAATGTTATACCAGCAGAAATGTTGACAGCTTGAACTGAAAGGGATGGAGACTAAGCAAAATGAAAGAAGTTCATCAGACTTCCAAAATTCTACAAGCAAGACACTAACAGTGATTCAATCTCCTTGCACTGAAGCCCAGCAGTGGACAAAACCAGCTCACAGACACAGGGCTTCAGCTTTTCAGTGCCTTCTCATTATAAAACAAAAGCAAACCAGCTACTTAAAAAAATCTCCAACATAAATGAAAGATCAAAATAGTGATACAAAAAAGAAACTGGAAGGAACTGAAATAATATCCAAATTAGGAAAAAATAGACTACTTTTCCTCTTCCCCGACATGCATTACAAAATAACCCTAACTGGAATTAATGTTCTGAGAGAGCCTAAAGATGAGGTTGCCTGCATGAAATAAAAACAGAATGCTTGAAAAAGAAATAATTACTAAACAAGAAAAAGCTCTGGAAATATAAAACTCTAATAGCTGAGGTTAAAATATCGTTAGAAAAGTTGGAAAATAAGATTGATAAAATCTCCCAGAAAAGAAAACAAGAGGAAGTACATAAAGATCAGAGCATCGTCCTATGAAGTGCAGTATTCAACCAATAGGAGTTTAAAAAGACAAAGCCGAGAGACACTGAACAGGGAAGGCAGAAAAGAGGAAGTTAACAACAACAGCAACAATAAAAGATAGTACAATGTCCTAGTAATGAAAAATACAAGTTTGTGGTACAGTACGTGTTTAGCACTGAATGGAGAAAAGAAGTACACATCAAGCATATATTTCCAGAATTCCACAATAGCAAGGAAGAAGAGGAGACCTTTAAATCGCTCAGAGAGAAAGAAAACCAAGTCTCATAAAAAGCATCAAAAATCCTCTAAGCAATATTATTCTTAACAATAACACTAGAAATTAGGAGACAGAATGGTTTTCAGTACTTTTAATAAAAGCTTAGTTTTCTTTTATCATATCATTACAGAAAGCCAAGAGCTATTATGAAAAAGAAAAATAGTAATTATGAAATTTCAGCATGTTATTTAGAAGTATTTAAATAAATACTAGGGAATGATTCTACAATTGTTAATGAAGCAGCCTTAAAGAAAATGAGTTGACAGGATAGCATGGACATTTTAGGATTGTTTGTCTTTTCAAACCATGGATATGTATGTCTTCATAAAATTATAAATTAATTAAGACAAAATACCTTGCCGAAATGCAAAATATCTCCCCTTCATATGGATTCAAAGGGCCATGACACAAGTACATATTTTAAAATTTTGAATCTTTGTAAACTAGAGCTGATAAAATATTTAAGGTGAAATCAATTGAGTGGCATTGAATTTTATCTTTAAATAATCAGTTTTGTGTGTGCATTTATGCATATGTACAATATTTGACAAATTGAGCTATAATCCCATTAAATTACTCACAACATTTTAGAAGAAACAACTTCACAGGCATTCCCCAGGTGTAGAATAAGGAAACAGCATTTTGCATTCAAAGGACAGGCTTTTATTACAATTGATCACAGCAATGAGAACCACAAATATCAATGTGGTGGGTTGACTCCCCCCTCAGACTTGATAAAGTGGTGGAACTAATTCTGTTGTTTAAATCATAATTCAATCATAATAGTGTGCTTAGCAAGCCAAACCAAAAAAGGGCCAAAAATGTATTAAAAGAAAAATGAATTGCAGGGAAAAAATAACAGGTAGCATTTTCCAATGCTCAACTTTCTCTACAATGTTAACTCTCAGTTTTAGCAATTCAGTTAATTGAGGAAATAATTTACTTACATTTCATAATTAAAAATTTTTCATATGCCAAAGAAACCTTAATTTTTATATTTTCTTCCAACTGATGGACCAAAAATAGTGTTTATCTTATTTTTTGTGTTTATCATATTTTATCATATTATGTCAGCAAACACTTATTAAGTATCTCTTACATGTCAGGCACGGCCCTAGGTACCAAGGACACACATGCTCATCATAAATGACCAGCTACTGTGGTCCAAAGTCTTCTGCAAAATGTCCCTCAGGATGCCTTGTCAATCCTTGACTTATGCTAATTTTACTAAGCCATGGATTAACTGGAATAATAATTTAGTGCTTATCTCTAACATAGCATGGGCACACCAAATAGAATGGGACTTAAGTGTGTCCCTAATGAATCCAATCATTAATGGAAATGACTAGGGAGTGTGCAAGCTGGGCCAGGCTTAATGCTAAGCAACTTGTTTTATGCCATTTAATCTTAACAATGATCCTCTAACATAGCTATTATTATTCCCATTTTGCAACTACATAACCTGAGGTTACAGTGTTTATTCCTCTTTTGGGGCCCAGGATTTACTTTATTCCCATTTCCCTGACCAAAGTTTGGCTCACTTCCACTTATCCTTCAGGTCTCATTTCAATTCTCATTTCCTTGGGTATCTCTAAACTCTCTAAAAAGTCACTGTCACAGAATACCTTTATGGCAATTACTCTTAATTGTCTTTGCCTCTCTGTTTTCTGAGGTTGGGAACTGTGAATATTTTGTTCACTCTTGTGATTCTTGGGCCTGGAGCATGACATTGAACAACAAATATTGAATGAACAAAGAAATGTGGAAATAGAATCAGATCTCCACAACTCCAAAACTGAGGCTTTAACCTGCAAACTCATTTCAATACCCTTCTACTATTAGTGACTGATATGGTTAGGCTTTGTGTCCACACCCAAATATCATCTTGAATTGTAAACCCCAGGTGTTGAGGGAGGGATCTGGTGGGAGGTGATTGAATCACGAGGGTGGTTTCCCCCATGCTGTTCTCATGATAGTGAGTTCTCATGAGATCTGATGGTTTAATAAGGGGATCTTCCCCCTTTGTTCACTCTCTCTCTCACCTGCCGCCATGTAAGATGTGCCTGCTTCCCCTTCTGCCATGATTGTAAGTTTCCTAAGACCTCCCCAGCCATGCTGAACTGTGAGTCAATTAAACATCTTTCCTTTATAAGTTACCCAGTCTCTGGCAGTTATTCATAGCAGTGAGAGAATGAATTAAAACAGTTAACCTTACAGGCAATGTGGACTGTTTGATTGAAGAAGTGGATGTTTGTTTGTTCTTTTTTCCATGTTGTGTGTGTGTATAAATAATTCTAACAGTTTTTGTTTGGGCCAAATCCTTCCAGTTTAGTATCACAGAGGTGAAGTTATGGTGGAAGTCAAAGTGGTTCCTTAAATATTGGCTTTACTCTAACAGTTTAAGAAATATAGCTAACATGACTTTCTAATTATTTAGAACAATGACTACAGCAAATCATATTTATGTATATGTAGTTATTTACTGAAAACCAAGTGTCTACAAACCTTCCCACTCTACCTTTCTTTTACTGCTACTTTCTCCCTTTTTGTCCACTTGTTTTTTCTATCTACTTCTAACATTAAGGAGTTGTAGGATTTTAGAAAAGGTCATCTCTCTGAGATTTATTCATCTATAAAATGAGGATAATACCATTCATCCCACTGTGGTAAGGACTAAATACCCGAATGTATGCACAGTCCCTAACATGTAGAATTTGAGTCATCTTCACCGTCATCACCAAATGTTGATGGAGAATTTATACACACCAGGTAAAGTCCTAGGATCTGGATTCCTAAAGATAAATGTAAGACATAACTCTCACCCCTGTTCCTTTTCCCTGAGAAACAGGCAATATCCCTCTATCACCATTATGGAGTCCTCATGGCTTGCCTGGGGGAGGAAGTAAAATAAAGATGCCCAATGGAAATATCATGATAAACACCCTTCCATGGGCCTCTAGTGCTGTCAGAAGTCAAGTTCAAGGTTTAGCACTACAAACAGACTAATTGGCATATCTAGTCTATTTAACAAGCAAACCTATTGATTCCAGTGTGTGCCTCAGAATGACAAAGATGGGTTAAATTGATATTCTTCAGAAAAATAGTGCCTTAAAGATCAGAGACAAAACTATGGATTTCTTGACTCAAACTGCTGGATATCTTAGTGTGTCAAGTCATTTCATCCCTGTCTCTCTCCTTCAGAACTCATTATCTCCCAGAAAAGATAGAAAGAGTAGGTAACTTAGAGTCTGACAATTGGAGTTGAAAATCTTAGCTACTTCCTAGCCATGAAAATGAAGTTAATTCTTTAGTCTAGTAAGGCCGTGGTTTTATTTCCTGAGAGTTGCTTGGCAGTGTCCTTAATGACACAATCTCCAAAGATGACTAGATGAGTTTGAATTTTGGCTCTGCCATTTATTAATTAGGTGACTACTTTTGTGGTTTATTTTCTCCATCTTTAAAAGTTAAAGTGATAGTGATTATCTCATAGGATTGTGTGAGAATAAGCAAGTTTATTTACCTGGAAACATTAGAAAAGTGTCTACTTGTACATGGTAAATACCTAGGAATATGAGCTTTTATTATTGACAGTAAAATGGAAAAATAACACAATTTCATATTATTGTCATTAGGATCCAATAGAATTATGAATATGAAATTCCTTTTTAAAATTCAAAGCTCTAAGTGAATATAAGGAAGTGTAATTTCTACTACTAATTTTATTCCACATCAAATTGACTAGAACATCTCAATAGCTATTGCTTTCATCATCTCTAAAGTAAATGGGTTGGCCCACACCATTTCTAATTTCCATCTTAGTTTTGACACTCTCTCATATTCTAGTAGTCAAAAGCTGCTGATGTTAAAAGGGAATTTTATTTTATTAGTATTATTATTATTTTATTCAGAGATGGTGTCTCTCTCTGTCGCCCAGGCCGGAGTACAGTGGTATGATCATGGCTTATAGCAGCCTCAACCTCCTGTGCTGAAGCAATCCTATTGCCTCAGCCTCCCAAGTGGTTAGGACTATAGGCACACACCACCATGCCTGGTTAAGTTTTTATTTTTTAATTTAATTTTAATTTTAATTTTTCATAGATATGGGGTCTTGCTATGTTGTCTAGGCTGATCTCAAACTCCTTGCCTCAAGTAATCCTCCTGCCTCAGCCTCCCAAAATGCTGGGATTACAGGGGGAAGCCACCATGTTTTGCCCTAAAGAGTGCATTCTAAACATACTCTGAAGTATGGTGTATGCTTTCCTATTTGGCTTTTCTAAAACACAAATCAACACAACTAAATTGTTGTTACTATTTTGGGGGAGAAACATGACAAAAATTTAGTCGGCCAGCACCATCAGAAAAAAGAAAACAAGGCAGAATAATAAATTATTAATTTCATCAGTTTCTAATTCTTTTTTCTTTCTTTCTTTCTTTTTTTTTTTTTTTCTCTGTCACCCAGACTGGAGTGCACTGGCATGATCTCAGCTCACTGCAACCTCCACCTCCTGGGCTCAAGCAAGCCTCCCACCTCAATATCCCAAGTAACTGGGACTACAGGCACATGCCACCTTGCCCAGCTAATTTTGCATTTTTTCGTAGAGATGATATTTCGTCATGTTGTCCAGGCTGGTCTTGAACTCTTGGGCTCACACAATCCACCTGCCTTGGCTTCCCATAGTGTTGGAATTATAGGCATGAGCCACAGCTCACACCCTACTATTTGTTTATTTCATTTCATTTGGTAAATTTCTGTTGAACAATTTATATGTGTATGATGTCTTCATCATTTAGAGAGGTATCAGGGAAAAAAAGGACAATCAAACATCATATGATTAAAAAGTATCCTATCTTAGCATACACAGGCAAAAAATATTTGTAGTCCATTTCTTAATATTCTCTTATGCCCATTTAATTTCCTCAGATGTACTTTTTTCATCTTTTCAATGCTTTCCAACATAATTCCAGTGTAATATCTATAAGCAATATAAGGATAGTAACAAAAATAAAATATATTATTTTGCCCTAGTTCTGAAAAAGTGGAGGTTTACTTTTTATTTACTATAAAAATATTTTTAACATATTAGTATTACATTCTACCCCAATGTAAAGTGAAAGTGTGCAACTCTGTTCTTTTTCTTTCTGCTGTTAAAATTAAAATTGCCCTCAGTAATGTGGCACTGGCATAAAAACATATAGATAACTGCACAGAATAGATTTAAAATGTAGACCCACACAAACATGGCCAATTGGCTGTTGACAGACTTTCTAAAGTAATTGTTGGAGAGAGGATACTCTAACAAATAGTGCTAGAATGGACACCTATTTGCAAAAACAAAAAAAACAAAAAAACTGAACCTTGACAGTCAGCCTCACACTATATGAAAAAATTAACTGAAAATGGATCATAGCCAGGTGTGGTGGCTCGGGCCTATAGTCTCAACTACTTGGGAGGCTGAGGCAGGTGGATTGCTTGAGACCTGGAGCTCGAGGCCAGCCTGGATAGCACAGCATGACACTCCTCATCTCAAAAACAAGAACAACAAAAAAAAAGCAGAAATAAATGGATCATAGATCTAAAAGTAAGAGCCAACAGTTAAAAGTTTCTAAAACAAATCATGGAAAAATATGTATTACCCTGAATTAGGCAAAAAAATTTTATATGTGACAAAAATAAACTGTTTTATCATTTGATAAACTGGACTTCATCAATATTAGTCACTTCTGCTCTTCAAAAGAAACTGGTAAGAAAATAAAAAGACAAACCATAGACTGAGAGAGTATACTTGCCAAAAATATATCTATAAAGGACTTATACATAGAAAATGTAAGGATCTCTCAAAACTCAAGAAAAGAAAAGAAATAAACCCATAAAGATTTATGTATGAAAAAAAGTATATGAAAAGACAATCACCATGATTTATTCACAAGTATATGTACATTACAATGAGACACCACTACACATCCACTAGGATGGCTAAATTTTTTTAAAAGACAATAACAAGTGTTGCTGAGGCTGTGGAGCATTTGGAACTCTGATATACTACTAGTGGAAATACAAAATGGTGCAGTCACTTGGAAAGTGGATTGGCAATTTCCTATACACTTAAACATACACTTATACAACCCAGAAGTCCCATCACTAGTTATTTCCCAAGAGAAATTAAAACATGTTCACAGATAGATTTTTACTCAAATGCTCATAGTAATAGTAAAAAAATAATACAAATGGCCATCACGTGGTAAGTAGGCAAACAAAGGGTGATACATCATAAAATAGAATGTCACTGAGTAACAAACAATAGCAATCTACAAATATACTCAGAAATATAATTTAATTCCAAAAGCATTATGCTAATCAAGAGTAGCCAGACGCAAAATATTATATGTTATATACTTACATTTATATAAAATTTTAGAAAAGGCAAAAATCTACTGACAGAAAGCAGATCAGTCTTTGCCAAGGGGCCAAAGATGGGGAAAAAAATGATTGAAAAGACACATGAGAAAATTTGGGAATGATGGAAATAATCTAGATCATGACTTTGGTGGTGGTTATACTAATATATCAAAACACACCAATTGGAGCATTTAAAACTGGTAAGTCTTATTGCATCCAAATTACACCTCAATAAGCCAATTAACAATTTAAAACCTGTCCTTGTAAAGGTCACTTGTATGAAGGATTTGTGTAAGCCTTTGAACCTCATAACATATTGCTATTTCCCATGAAATAAATCTGTAACTCATAAAATCTGAAATTTTAATTGGTTTCTTAACTCTCTGAGTAGCTAATAATACTTAAACTGACATATATGTTTTCTGAGAAGAATAAGTACATAGGGAATTACTTTGTTGAAACAGAGGCAGAACCAAGGAATTTCCTTCTCCTTTGTCAAAAACTCAGGTGCACAGTCATCGAGTAATCATAATCTTGACTCACGGAAACTTCTCATTATTGGTCCATGTATTTTCTTCTTTTATTATTTATGTATTTGTTTATTTGTTTTACCGTGGGTTCACCACTGGCACAGAAACTGGAACACTGTGACTAACATCTACTTATTTGATTATCTCCAATTTTAAGCCCTTGTCTCAAAATCTCCCCCCCCATCCCCCCCAAAAAAACAAGCCCCATCTAAAAATTTTGTGTTAATACTAAGATTTTTTTTGAAGAAAATGTCATGGTATTATATTCATTTGTATTTCTAAAAATGTATTGTTCTGTATTGTTCAGCTTTATTCGATTCATGAAAAGGGATATATTGTATGCCAGTTTTGCAGTTTATTTTGTACTTACTCATATACTGCTAATTATATTTTTACTCAGTATTATATCACTAAACATCCTTTATATGGTGTACATCTGTCATTTGTTAATTTAAACTTCATAATATTTCATTGTATTGTACCAAGTGGCTATTGAGAACATATCTACTTGATTATTTTTGTAAATATCTCCTGAAAAAATACACTGGAGTTCCTCTTAGATAGATACCTAGCAAGATAACTTGACCATATAATGTGTTTGTAGCTTACAAAATAATTTGTTTTTCAAAATGGATGTAGCAATTGACACTTTTGCCAGCAGTTGAGATATCCTGTCACTGTGCATCCTCTTTAACATTTGGTATTATTAAACTCTTTTATTTTTGCATTCAGAATAAGCATTAAATATTATTTTGATCTTGGTTGCAAAAAGACTGGAAATTACTAAAGTGACATTATTTGAAGATTATATGATCAACCATATTGAAACCATGAAATAATATATTCAAATAAATTATTCAAATAATAACAGATTTAAGAAAGGTGATTGAATTTAAGATCAATATGCAGATGTCAATTTCATATATAACAGAAACAAATAACTAGAAAATTGAATTTTTAAAAATCACTTAAGTAAAGCTGGCAAGGAGCACAGCTCGGAATCAAACAAGATAGTCTGACTCCAAAACCTACAGCCGAACATTTTGCAAGGACATTCATCACATCTATAACTGCTTACCCAACTAAAATAACATTCAAGAATGAGGAAATAGTGAAGATATCTTCAGAGTATCAAAAATCCAGAGATTAGACCACTCTTAGAGTCTTAGAGAACAGCAAATGACATATGTACATTAATAAGAAGGAAACAATGAATTTAGAAGAAACAAGATGCAAGATGCAATGTTGCAAAAAACAGTACCACCACCTTAGAAATACTGATAAATTATGTTGAAATCCATAATAATACCAATATAAAGTTTACTACAAGGTAAAACTAAAATAATAGATGACATTCTCTGGGAAGATGATAGGGAGATTAAAGTCATTATACTATACCAATGCAATGGGAGTCCACAAAGAAAGGAGAAAGAAAGAAAGAAGACATACTTTTTAAAAAGAGATAATTGCCGAACACTTCCCAAATTTGATAAAAGTTATTAATCAACAGATCCAAGAAGGCCAATGAATCCCAAGTAGTATACACACAAAAAGAACCTCACCTAACCACATTATGGTCACGCTGCTGAAAAACAAAAATAAAGAGAAAATACTGAATGAAGCAAGAGAGAAATAACTCATGTCTAGGAAAACAATACAGTTGACTGAACTTCCATCAGAAACAATGGAGGCCAGAAAACAATAGAATGACACATTCAAGGCAACAAAACATAAAAACAGTTTAACCAAAGTTGAGGAACTGGTCTTCTAGTTCATCTAAGTTGTTGAATTTGTGGTGTAAAGTTCATCGTATATCCTTCGTACATGTTTAATGCCTGTGGTAGCATCATCATATCCCCTACCTGGTTCCTGATACTGGTAATTTCTGTCTTCCTTCTTTTCATTTTTCTCAGTTCTGATAGAAGTTTATCAAATTTTCCTGATTTCTTTTTAACATTTGACTTTTTAAATTGAATTTCTCTATATTTTTTCTATTTTCAACATCATTAAATCACATTTTTAGCTTCATTTTTTTCCCTCTGCATTCTTTGGCTTATCTTCATCTTCCTTTTTCTGTTTCTGGAGGTAGAAGCTTAAGATATTGATTTGAGTTTTTTTCTTGTTTCTAATGAAAGCAGTTAGTGTAAATTTTCCTTTCAGCACTGCTGTAACTGTGTCCCATGAACTTTGATATAACAGGTTTTTGTTTTCTTCAGTGCTGTATATTGTTTTATTTCATTTCAGACTTCCTCTTTCATCTATGGTTTATTTAAAAGTTTGCTGTTTGCATTCCACATGTTTAAAGATTCTCTTACTGTCTTTCTGTCATTGATTTCTAAATTAATTCCATCATGTCCGGTGAATAGTTTCAATTCTTTTGAATCTGTGGAGCTTTGTTTTATGGCTTCTCACATTCTCCAGCCTGCAGACACTAACCACCTTCTCTGAAAACTCACTTTCCCCCAGGACTCCTTCCATTCTCTATTAGAAGAGCTGCTGACTGGACACTGAGCATTTATCCCTCCACTATCATCTCACTCAGGTCAAAATAGCCTTTTCAAGTTACAAATCTTATCACTCTTCATAAAAGCCTTCAGTGACTCCTCATTGCTCATAAGTCCAAGCACCAACATGGTCCCCAAATACCCCTAGGGGAAGACTGTGGCCAGTTATGTAAAGGAGAAATGGTTTTAAGCCTGCTTGACCAGTGACAGCTCCCTCAGTCTAATCATTACTGACAGCTTGCTTCAGGGAACATGCTACTGAAAGCCAGCCAGCAAGTGACACCCTCAGCTTTGCCATCTAGCCAGTCACTCTAGGCCACAGCCTCTGAAAGCCGGCCAATAAGCAACAGCCTCACCTGAAGCCTTACATTTCTAACACCAATGTCAACCCACTCCATCCCCATCAATAACATATTCCCTGGAAACAATAACAACTCCTGGCCCAAAGGCTCGATCCAAGATTAGCAGTCAGCTTTGTTTGGAGAGTTATCTGACCTATCTTGCCCTTTCTCCCTTAAGAATATGTACATATATGTATAGATACATACTTCAATATTTTCTACCAAGAATGGATGGTGTTGAGAGGTGAAGCAATCTGTTTGCAAGGGGAAGCTTGTCCTCAGGTATAGAAAGATCATGGCTTGTATTTTGATTGTATTATTAGAAGAACATTTAGATTGCTTGGATAGGGGAAGGGGTTCTTTTGGGGATTGAGTGGCGATCTCTCCCCTCCACAGGCCCTCCACAATCTGCTTTTGTCCTTGGTAGCCTCTCCTCAGCCACTTCTGATTTCCACTATATTATCCAGCTACAATGAAGCACCAGCAGTTTTTCAAATGGTTTATATTCCTTAATATCCCTACAACTTTGCTCCAGCTGCCTCCTTTGCTGAGAATACACTTGTGCAAGTTTCTGCCTGGACAATTTTTACTCATGTTGTGGAGATTAGTCCCCGTATATCACCACTTCAACGTTGTATTCCCAGGCTGTCCAATTCATGGATTATTTTCTCCTTTGTGTTGCTCCCCTAGATCTTGACCAAGTCTCTAAACCATAGTATTGGCCACATTATTTTTTGCAGTTATTTGTATTTTTCCGTATTCCTTATTAAAGTATGAAATTCTACAGGCAAAGACTCTCTCTCTCTCTCTCCCTCTCTCTTTAACCACAAGCACCTATCAAACTAGAATATTTCAATGGGATTCTAAAGTGGCTTCTTCCTTCAGTGAACAAATTCATAGACTACAGAAATATTCTAAAAAATGTACTATGAATACAAATTCAACAGCAGTGGCTAGTGCGTAGTTTCTATAAAAGATGGATGGTTTTGTGAAGTGAGATGATCTGTTTGCTAGGGGAAGTAGGAAACTTGTGCTGAGGTATAGAAAGGTCATGACTTGTATTTCAATTGTATAATTGTAAGAACTTTTAGATTGCTTGGGAAGGGGAAGGGGTTCTTTTGGGAACTATACAAAGTGATTTATCACTCTTTCTCACACACAGACAAGACAATTCCTGGAACTGGCACTGATGAAGAAGATGGCAGCAAATGGAAGATTGGAACCAAAGAGGAGCCTTGAGAAGTCAGAAGTTCTGTTCCAGTGAGTTGAATCAAGACTCAGTTTAGAACTGAGAAGAAAGAGCTCTTCTCTTGTTATGCTCTTGGGATGCCCAATGGTTCAACTACTAATAACAACTGGCCTGAATCATCCTGTCAGCTCGGCATTGTCTGAATAGCTGTTGGTGTGGTGGAGGAAGAAGTTGTTCTCTGCTTAAACATCATTGAGAGATGTATGCTTATCTACCAGCTTCCAAGCTACAGTTTAAGTTGGAAGAACATAGGCAAAAGACAATACCACCTTTCAGCTGTAGTTGCAAGAGTTATGATTACTAATCACCACCTATCAAGAAGGCAGCTAATTTTTGATACTATACAATAAAATAGGCTCTGCTTATTTTTCTTCTTTTTTCTTATTATACTTTAAGTTCTGGGATACACCTACAGAATGTGCAGGTTTTTTACATAGGTATACACGTGCCATGGTGGTTTGCTCCACCCATCAACCCGTCATCTATGAGTTGATTAGGTGTTTCTCCTAATGCTATCTCTCCCCTAGCCCCCCAACCGCTGACAGGCCCCAGTGTCTGATGTTCCCCTCCCTGTGTTCATGTGTTCTCATTGTTTAACTCCAACTTATGAGTGAGAACATGCAATGTTTGGTTTTCTATTCCTGTGTTAGTTTGCTAAGAATGATGGTTTCCAGCTTCATCCATGTCCCTGCAAAGGACATGAACTCATCCTTTTTTATTACTGCATAGTATTTCATGGTGTATATGTGCCACATTTTCTTTATCCAGTCTTTTTTCAAGTGACATTGACATTGGTCTGTTTAAATAAACTTATATTCCCATTGAGTTGATTCAATTCTTAGAAACAGTAAGTCTACATCTCACCTTGAATAGAGTAAGATGGGGTGGCAGATCCTTCTGCTTGTTAGGGGGAAATGAATTCAGAAAGCATAATGATATGGTTAGACTTTGTGTCACCACCAAAATCTCACCTTGAATTGTAATCTCCATAATCTCCACAATCTCCACATATCAAGGGAGATACCAGAAGGGGGTAATCGAATCATGGAGGCAGTTTCCCCCATGTTGCTCTTGTGACAGTGAGTGAGTTCTCATGAAACCTAATGGTTTTATAAGAGGTTCTTCCCCCTTCACTCTGCACTTCTCCTTCCTGCCGCCTTTTGAAGCAGGTGCCTTGCTTCTCCTTTACCTTCCACCATGATTGTAAGTTTCCTGAGGCCTCCCTAGCCATGTTGAACTGTGAATCAATTAAACCTGTTTCCTTTATAAATTACCCAGTCTCAGGTATTCTTTATAGCAGTATGAAAACTGACTAATATACATACATAAATACGTACACACATGCATACAAATATATGTATATGAATATAGGTATATAAATGCCTGCATATAAAGTGATAATTGCTCTAAAATAAGCAAGGTGAGCACCGTTGAAGGGATGCAGATCAGGAAGCAATTGATTTTTTTCAGAAATCAATTTTTCAAAAAGGAAGTTGATATTTAAATTTAACATTCAAGAATTGTCAGGCATATGCTTGCACTGTGGGAGAGAGATTTCTCACTGGAGTCAGAACCATGCAGAAAGGTAGGATAAGTTGAGTAATCTGTAGTTCTTCACACGGTTAGAGTCCTGAGTATACATTGAGCAGTGATGAGACGTAAATTAGAGAGGTAAGGCCCCAAGTCAAGCTCCACTTGTATCTCATTATAAAGAATACTATGGGGACCACGCAGGTTGCAAGCAGAGGAGAAACCTCATAAGATTTTACTTTTAGAAGATCACTATGCTCTCCAAATCAACATGCACATTTAACAGACTCTCCATCATAACCCAGAGAGTAGGGACTCCTGTCCTTTAAAAAAATAATAACTGCTGCACTCCAGCACGTCAGAGAAATTTTCCAAGCCTCCTTATTCCCTTACTTCCTGCCCAAATTTGTTTGTCCTATCCTAGATTCTCAGTTTTTTGTCCAGTTTTTTTTTTTTAGACAGAGTCTCACTTTGTTGCCCAGCCTGGAGTGCAGTGGCATGATCTCGGCTCACTGCAACCTCCACCTCCTGGGTTCAAGCGATTCTCCTGCCTCAGCCTCCTGAGTAGCTGGGATTACAGGCATGCACCACCAAGCCCGGGTAATTTTTGTATTTTTAGTACAGATGAGGTTTCACCATGTTGGTCAGGCTGGTCTCGAACTTCCAACCTCAGGTGATCCGCCCGCCTCAGCCTCCCAAAGTGCTGGGATTGCAGGCATAAGCCACTGTGCCTGGCCCAGTTTTTTGTCCTTTTACCAGGTTAAGTCTCTTTTTAGTTGTCTTTTCTTTGTCCTCTCAGTTTAATGTTGTTATTAGACTGACCAGATGTCCACTTTTAACTTACGCTTTCAATATCTCCTCAGAGCCACATTCTGCAACACATGGCCCTGTTGCATCCCATTTAAGGCTTGCTGGAAACCAACCCTTGTACAGGCCTTAAGCTTGTCCAGTGAATGCAAATACACATCAGCAGTGAGATTGATTGAAGAAAAATAAGACTGATGACAAGTAGAGTAACTTCTATATTTGAATTGTACTGAGCTATTATTATATCTCCCAGAGAAACATTCAAACTCAATATTATTATTATCATTTCCATTTTACAGTTTAGGAAACTGAGGCCCAGAGAGGTTAAATAACTTGTCCAAGTTTAATAGTAAATAAATGTATACCTGGGATTTGAAAAAATTGTCTAGTTAATAGATTCTCAGCTTCAATGCTGCATTTGGAGGTGATTATAGCAAAGATCCAGGGAAGAAGAGATGGTTTGATTGAGACCATGGGAGGGGGAATGGAAAGGAAAGAAGCCTTCCCTAAAAAAATCATTATTGGTAATATGCAAAACCTAGTGCCCCTCCTCCTGATGGTAGGACAATTTCAGGGAATGGTCTAAGAGAATAGATGGCCCTGGATCTCATCAGGATGAGACAGATGTAACAACAGGGTAAAGCTCACCTATAATTCAAAGAGCAGCTGGCAGTAAGCTCTTCAGTGAAAATAAAAGCAATAGCGTTTTAAAGTCCCAGACAACTGTTAGACCTCACTTCTCTCATCCATTTCTCCTCAACAAGCAGAAAGATTTCTCTAAAGCATAACAATGATCGTGCCACTCCTCTGTTTAGAACTTTTCAGTGTCACCCCCCAGGACCTTAGGACCAGCTGCAAACTTACGGGTGTGGCCTAGACTCAGATTCTCAAACTTAAATGTGCATAGAAATCGCTGTAGAACTTCGTTGTGATGCAGAGTCTGATTTAAGGGGTCTAAGGTGGAATCTGAGATTCTGTAGTTCTAACTAGTCCCATGCTGCTGGTTCTCAGAACGCACTTTTTTTTTTTTGAGACGGAGTCTTCTCTGTGCCCAGGCTGGATGGAGTGCAGTGGCACAACCTCGGCTCACTGCAAGCTCCGCCTCCCAGGTTCACGCCATTCTCCTGCCTCAGCCTCCCGAGTAGCTGGGACTACAGGCACCCGCCGCCAAGCCTGGCTAATTTTTTGCATTTTTTTTTTTTTTAGTAGAGACGGGGTTTCACCGTGTTAGCCAGGATGGTCTCGATTTCCTGACCTCGTGATCCTCCCGCCTCGGCCTCCCAAAGTGCTGGGATTACAGGCGTGAGCCACCGCGCCCGGCCCTTAGACCACACTTTTGAAGCAGCTACATTGTCTGGGGTATAAACCCGGGGTTTGTCGTCATCCACTAGGGAAATTTAGACAGGAACACAGACAAGGAGTTTAGGAGTGGAGGTTTAAAAAGCAGAAGAGAAGAGACAGAGAAATGGCTTCCTCTGTAGAGAAAGGGGTCTCCAAGCAGAAAGGACTGGCTTGCAGCAAATGTGCTGAATTTTATAGTCCAGTTTGAGCGGGCGGTGTCTGATTTACATAGGGCTTATAGATTGTTTCGATCAGGTATGATGTTCACCTAGCACATGGAGAAGGCTGGTCATCCCACCCTAATCTTATTATGCAAGTGGGCTTTCCAGTTGATCTCTGCCGTCTTATCTGCTCCTTACAATACACGTGGCTGGCAGAGAAAGGAAGATGAAGCTGCCATCTTGAAAATATCTAGTCCTTAGTTCCTGCCGGCATTCACCCATGCAAACTCCCAGTTTGCTTGTCTATGTCTGCAGCTCAAATTTACAGACTGCTCTTTGTTAGAAAATTGGGCTGCTTTTCATTAAAAATAAAAGCTTTACTGAAGACTCCCATACCCTTGCTATCTGCCTGAGTGATTTCTTCTTAACTCCTATATCACTTTGACTATCAGGGGTCAATAGTGCTTCAAACCTAATTCCAGCCCACCTCTGTAGCTTTATCTATGGACACTGTCCCTTGCAGTCCACCCACACTGAGCATCTTGTTTTCCCATGGATGCACCCACCTCTTTCCTGTCTTCATGGCTTTCTTACTCCCTCTACCAGTACTTTCTTCATCTAACTCCTTCACCTTCATCTTCACCTAGCGTCATCTCACACACCTTCAGGCTTCAGTTTAAATGTTACTATTCCCAGGAAGCCTTCTCATTTATCTAAAGCTAAATTGAGACCCATTCTTTAGCTCCAAAGTACCCTGTACTTACCACTTTGTGAGCTGAATTAGAATTACCTGTTTACTGATATATCTCCATTCTCTGTGTTATCTGTGATTTGTCATCTCCGTGTAATTTGTCTCTCATCCTCAATTCCTAGAAGAGTACCTGATACTTGATTGGTACACAATAAGTATCTGTTGAATGAATAAAATGGAAGGATAAATGTGTGTTTTTAATTGAGTTTTCCTTCACCTAAGGGCCTGTTCTTGGGTGGTGAAACCCAGTTACTGGTCGCTATTCAGGACGAGGCTCCCCGGGATAGAAAAAATGACACCACTCTGGATAGGGGTATAGTCCTAATGGTAAAAGTTTATCTTCAGAGCCACTCTTAGAAACCTAGTAGTATGAGCTGGATGGAGTCCAGTTCTTATCCTAGGCCATCTTGAAGTAGAGGAGAGGCTTGAAGAAAAGCATGGATAGGGATCACAATGGTGAATGATCCTCATGGGGAATCAAGACACTGTTTGGTTTGAAGGATAATGCCTTAGTAATACCCACAGATCAGGAACCTTAAAGGGTTGGGATGTGTCCCACCTCTATCTGGATTGATACTGGATATTTTAGGTTCCATTTCTATAGGAAAGGGCATCAGAGGACCTGTTAGTATAAAAGGGCTTGGGCAGAGGAAATAAGTTTGGGTAGGAGAAATAATTAATATTAATTTCTAATTCTTAAACGATCTCCTGGAAGGATTTTCTAACTAATAAAAATGCCCACAAAAGGAATGGGTTGCAGAGTGAGAAAAGCCACTTGCTTAAAAGTATAAATAAATTTTACTGTGGGTGGGAAATGTTTAATTAGAGAGTTTCAACCTTCAAAATGTAAATGAAGACAAAGAAAGAGAAAGGGGGAGTTTATACCATATAAGTAGTTACCTGTGACTAGCAAATATCTGGCACAAGAGAAGTGCTCATTAAATAATTCTTGAATTAAATATAAGTGACAGAAATCTTGGCAATATTAGACTTTTCTTTATTTCTATTTTAAAAAATCATTTAAGTTAAATAAAATACTAGAATTCTCTCAGGAAATAAAGAAAATTAATTTGACCTATTCAGAATTAAGTAATTCTTATTTTTACAGTATTAGCATCTATAACTATTATCTCATTTAGATTTTCATAAATAATCTAGAAAGTAGATTGTATTAGTCACGGTTCTCTAGAGGGACAGAACTAATAGGATATATATATCATATATACATATATATATTTTATATATATAAAGGGGAGTTATATATATGTAAATGGGAGTTTATTAAATATTAACCCACATGATCACACGGTCGCACAATAGGCTGTCTGCAAGCTGAGGAGAAAGGAGAGCTAGCACAGGTCCCAAAACTGAAGAACGTGGAGTCTGATATTTGAGGGCAGGAAGCATCCAGCACCGGAGAAAGATGTAGGCTAGGGGGCTAGGCCAGTCTAACCTTTTCACGTTTTTTCTGCCTGCTTTATATTCTGGCCTTGTTGGGAGCTGATCAGATGGGATTAAGGGTGGGTGTGCCTTTCCCAGCCCACTGACTCAAATGTTAACCTCCTTTGGTAGCACCCTCACAGACACACCCAGAATCACTACTTTGTATCTTTCAATACACTCAAGTTAACACTCAGTATGAACCATCACATAGATTGACCTGGCATAGGCCCAGTTTTAGGTTTTAACGTATTTATTTTCTAAAGTTACACAGCTAATTAAAGACACAAATACAATTGAAACACAGGTATTTCCGGTCCAAGACTGTCCTGCTCCCACTGTATCATGCCACTCCTTATTTCCTTGATCTAGAAACAGTTTATGGCTAGAGTATGCTAGTTCAGTATGCTGGACTAAATGCTATGGCCTGTATTGAAAGATGGTCTATGATACAGCTTTATGAAATTCATTATTGAATCTACTATAGAGATGCGGTTGAAGATATTGTTCATTAGTTTTCACTGCACATTTCTGTCTGAGTCACTTACACTTTTCTGAGCATTTTAGTCATTTTTACTGCAAGGATTTATCAAAATTATTTTCTTGTAATCCTGTTGGAGCTCTCAGAGCCTTGTATACGAATCTTCTCTACTCTTGCAGTAAGAAATATTGGACGTTTATGGAGACTAACTTTCCATTAAACTTATTCCTGCTTTATGTCATATTTGTACTCAGGTTTACTGTCCTTTCTCACCCATATTTTATTTAATCTTACCTATTTTTATTTTCTGGTATTTTATGTAATCTTATAACCTACTCAGATTTTTTCAGTAACAAGACAAATTATAGATAAATACATCATTTTATAAATATTTATTATGAATCTCTAAATGTTCATCAAGTATTTGATTATCAGATAAAGTCATTTTTAAAATTATTTTATGAAGTGTGTTAAAAATTTATTTATTTATTGATACACATTGAATATACATATTGGGGGTACATGTGATCATTTGATACATTTGTACAATCAATTTAGGTTAATTGGGATATTCATCACGTGAAGTGTTTTATCAAAAACAAACAAACAAAAAACATGTCAATCCCTGGGATTGAAGGATTCTGTTTTTTATGTGTTTTTGCAGACGTAAAACAATTTTCTGTGCTTTTGCATACACAAAAATTATATGGAATATTTCAATGAATTCATTGAGATATGTGGCCTCATTTAGGATGTTAATTTCCAGAAGACTTATGAATAATTACACACAAAAAGAAATTGCTACTATTAAAGGAATAATTCTAAGGTCTAATATTTTGGCAAAGGTTAATCACTTTCTTTATATTGGATTAAACATCTGACTAATGTTAATTCTTGAGAGCCAATAATGGGAATGTTTCATTAACTGAGTAATCACCCACACACTTCAATTGCTAGAATCAAATGGTATCAATTTAGTGGTGGCTTACAAATCTGTGCTTGTCCTTAGTAAGATTTAACCCGAGTCATATATCCGTCTATATATTCATATTGACTAATTCAAGTCATCATTTGGGAGATCATTAGATTTTTGTCATGATCTACATATTTGGATGAATATGTAACATTACTTAGCAGAGTCTATCTGTATTACGGAGTCCTGCTGTATGTTGAAATATCTTACATGACACCTTAGAAATCTCACTATTGAAAATGTTTTTTATTCTGTAATTTAACCCTCACTGAATTTAGTTTACATTTGTTTATTCATAATTCAGCAAACTTTACTGCATATGATAGTGATATAGTTGAGCTCTCATGTTGAATTGTAACCCCCAGTGCTGGAAGTGGAGCCTGGTGGAGGTGTTTGGGGGTGTATTCCTCATGGCTTGGTGTTGTTTTCATGGTAGTGAGTTCTACCAAGATATGGCTATTTAAAAGTATGAGCCACCCACCCCGACCCCTTGCTCCTGCTTTTGCCATAGATGTGCCTGTTCCACCTGTCATGATTGAAAACTCCCTGAGCCTTCACCAGAAGGTGAGCAGATACCAGCACCATGCTTCCTAGATAGCTATATAGCCTGCAGAACCATCAGCCAATTAAACCTTTTTTTAAAAAAATAAATTACCCAGTCTCAGGGTTTTTTTTTTTAATAGCAGTGCAAGAATGGGCTAATACAGATGGGCAAGATACTAAGCTAAGCACTTTTTTAATTCAGAAAAGTTAGTAGACAGAACCTTCGTTTGCAACATAAAGGGAGAGCTAGCTCAATGAACAGATTATTTTCATATATTTATAAATTGATAACTCTAAGAGAAGTATGGTTAAATTGTTGTGGGAGAAAGATGAGATATTTTTGATTCCAAACTATATAAGCAAGGAAGGATTCCCTGAAGTGGTGGCATGTATAGTAAATACTGAAAAGATATCCAGAACTTCAATAGCTTAAGAAGAAAGAATAGGTGAGGGAACATCATGAGTAAAGACAATGTTTTTGGAATGGCAAGGGGACAATGACAATTGTTACTATCATTCTACTACTATTACTACTAACGTTACTATCAATACTACTAGACTACTATTACTACTAGATACCAGTTATGGAGAGCCAGGAACTGTCCCCTTTACAATATGGAGCTATACAGGACTTTCTGCTGCTGAAGTAAGCACACTGCCTTGGAATCTCATGGGTAAGTCTGTCAAACTCTGTCTATCCAGAGGCCCTTTCATATCTTGTGTGGATCATGTGCATGCAAGTAAATTTGCAGCCCTCAGCTAGTATCAATTTTTCTGACCTCTTCTTCATAAGAATATTCAGCATCTTATATTTTGGCTTAGTGAATTCATTTAATCTTAGTTCAAATAGGGATGCTATTAAGTGCTAGCATCAAATAATGGATAAGCTATTGAGGATAGACATGAACAAACAAAAAACGAAGAAAGAAACAACAAGCATTCTCTGCTCATAGCTTCTTAATCAAGAGTGAAGTGGAGGTAGTGGAAGCGGTACATTTTCATCTACAGCAGAAAAGGCCAAACCACAGCATTTAAGCCCCACTGGCTTTCCTTGCTTTCTTCCCATAAAACTACAGTTCTTCTCAATGATAGTTTTAGACTTACATGAACAAAACTAACTCAGTTATAGAGGGAGGGAGAAGACAGAAAATGGAATCTTAGTATGCCAAACATAGGATTCATCAACCTGGCATTCTTTACTGAAGTCTACTTCTACAAAAGAAAAGGAGGATAGGAGTTAAATAAAGCTTGGCATTTTCTGGTTTGAGAATGTGGTGGTATCTAGTGAGAGCCCAAGACTCTTTTCCCTCCTCAACCCCTACTCCACCAATAAGGAGTGGATGAACGGGTCAAATGCAAGGAAATTGCAGTATCTCAGTAATAAAAGAGTGGCGATATTATCTGGAAATGTTCTTACCTCTATGAAGCAGATGAGGTAAGTTGAGTGTAGGGCTGCTCTTACCAGAATCTGCTTCTTTTGGAGAAGGCTCAAGATAAACAGAATATTCCAAATCTAGAACTCCCAGTGAAAATCTTGTTTTCTTTGATTCACCTTGACATCATTGAAGAGAGCATTATATGTGAACCTCTGAATAACAGGGGCCCTCTTGGGTTCTGGTCGAGCTCACTAGGTGAGATAAGGCTTTTATTTTTTTGGAGATGAGGAGGATGTGGGGCAAGAGTCTTATGATAAAAAAATTTTTTTCTTGCTTCATCTTCAAAACACCATGTCCTCTTCAAAGCTTCATGGGATATTTAGGATTTAAAGAGTTTAGAGATCCAAGTTTCCAGCCAAATTCCAATTCATTGTCAAGTGATTCTCCAAAGTGGCTGAGAAAGATATAACACGTGCACCATTGGATGCAGTACAAAGGAAAAAAGAAACACAGGTTTCTGGTGCAGGTCATAGTCCCTCTCTGGGGGGAAAATAAGGTAGTCTTATAGTGTAATCTTCCCATCATAAAAATGCAATGATGATTTATAATAAAGCAATAATAATCGGTATAAATATTATTATGAATAATATTTTTATAAATTTATTATGAATTATAATACATCAAGCACATATACGTCATTACACAACTCTATCAACAGCCACTTTGGACTAAATTATTTTTTCATTAGCTGAGATTACTCTAGTTGCACCATCAAAATGGACATTGAAAATGGTGGAATAAAGGCAAATCGACTCATCAGAAACGTGTCCAATCTCTAGGGCCTCCTGCACGTTTTCAGCAGCAATTCTGAAAACTTTCATCTGGAATCAATTGCTTGACAGTTAATAAAGAGCCTTGATGACTAACCCATTTGAGAAGATTAGTGACAAACCCAGATGCTCAAGAGGGGGAGTCAATAGCTCCCTGGGCAGTTCTGACTTAAAGGTTAATGTATTCAGCATCCAACTTTGAAGTCACAGACATGTAACCAGAATATTCTCACTTTTAAGTTGTGGAGAATCACCAGACCCAGAAAACCTTAAAGATTCACTTGGGAAAGATTACTAGAGCTAAAATAAATGCACCCAAAAGAAATCACTAACACATAGACACAGCGTGATAGAAGAGATAGAATGTGAGCTCTGGGGAAGACATACCTATTTGGGAATCCCAACCCTGTTATATATTAGTTCTGTGGCCTTGGGCAAATCATGTAATCTCTCTTGAGCCCTGATTGCATCATTGTAAAAGTAGATATAATAATCATTGCCTTGTGTGGTAGACTGCAAAAATGATTGCGGTTTTCCATCCCTCTCTGTATTCATGGTATTTTTGCAATGCTATTTTGCAGCACCTTCTATTAAGAGGTGGAGTCTATCTCTGCCTTGGGATTCTGGTTGGCCTTTGACTTGTTAGACAATAGAATTCAGGAAAAGACACTTTGTGCCCGTTCTGAGCCCAAATCTTAAAAGGACCTGCATCCTTCTGCTTACCCTCTTGGATCTCTGCTTCAACTATGGGAACAAATCTGGACTACCTTGGTGGAGGATGAGAGACATGTGTCCCAGTCATTTCTGTTGCACCACTGTTTTGACAGCTAGCTATGTGTTAGACACATGAAAGAGGCCATCTGTTTTGGGTATATGTTGCTGCGACCAACCCCAAAACACAGTGACATTGACAAAAAAATTTCTTATAATTATGTGTGTTGATTGAGTTTTTCTGGGTTCTTCTTCTGTTCTATATTATGTTGGCTGGGATGGCAGTCATTTGAGAGCTCTTCTGGACTGGAACACCCTAGATGGCTCATTCACATGTCTGGATGTCAGGTGCCTCAGTAGAGAAGGTTGAGATGCTGAAATAGCCAGGTATCTATCATGTCCTCTCTTCTCTTCTGTCATCTTCTCTCCCCTCCTCTTCTCCTTTCTCCTGTTCTTTCCTCTCTTCTCTTTTCCTCTCCTCTCTTCTCCTCTCTGCTTCCTCTCCTTCTTCCTCTCCCCTCTCTTCTTCCTCCCTGTCTCTTCTCTCCTTCCTTTCTCGCAACTCTCAAGGCCTCTCCTTTTGAATATTCTGTTGTATCTCCACAAGATCTTTCCAGTATGATAGCTAAACTTCTTATCAGCTCAGGATTCTCAAAAAAGCAAACGTCAAAGTGCTCAGGCTTTCTTAAGCTTACTTCAAATTTGCAGTCACTTCTTCTGCACTTTATTGGTAAAGTAAGCCACATGGCCAGCCCAGATTGGGTGTGAGAGGGAACTGTAGAAGGGCATGGATACCAGGAGGCATAGTTCATTAAGTCCATCTTTGAAGTCTAGCTGCCATGCCACTTTAGACTAGCCAGCTCTAGCCTACTTGTCAGCTAACTGAAACACGAGTAAATCCAACCAAGATCAGCCAAGACTAACGCAGACTACAACAGTTCAGTTGAGCTCAACAAAATGTACTAACTCACAGAATTGTGAGCTCAATATGGTGGTTGTTATGCAGCAACTTCTAACTTATACATTTTGTGTGGTGTGTCAAAATATAAGGAATATAAATATAAGAAAATATAGGGAATAGAAAGCACTTACAGCCTGTCTTACATATACTGGGCACTTTAAAATATTAATTATAATATCAAATATTTATATGAGCAGTCATGAAGACAATAATTATTTGGCACAACAATATTTAATTTAGAGAAAAATGTATCCCTAAGACAATGTGGAAAGACTTCATTTTTGTTACTGTTTGTTTTTGGAGCCTGGGTCTCATTCTATTGCCCAGGCTGGAGTGCAATGGTGTGATCATGGCTCACTGCAGCCTTGAACTCCTGGGGTCAAGTGATCCTCCTGTCTCAGTCTCTTGAGTATCTGGGCCCACAGGGGCTCGCCACCATGCCTAGTTACTTTAAAAAAAATTTTTTGTAGTGACAGGATCTCACAATGTTGCCCATGTTGGTCCCAAACTCCTGGGCTCAAGCAATTCTCTCACCTAGGCCTCCAAAAGTGGGAAGGCTTCATTTAGAATCAGGTCACTATTTCAATGACCATAAAATCCCCTTATGGAGTGCAATTCAGCACTGGAATTCCTAATCACCTATGTGGTCAAGAAATTATTGATCAGTTATTATGTACTAGGAGCTATGAAGAAATCATTGTTAATCCTAATTATGGCTTTATTATGAATATATTGTACTATTTTTTTTAATAGATGAAGACACTGAGGGTTTCTGAGATTTACTGACTTACTCAAGGCTACAGAGAGGAAAAAAAAGTAGAACCAGGATTTGAACCTGATGCATTAAAGTTCCCAAAGCACACTCTTTGCATCATTCTATGACATTATGCTGGCTTCAATTACCTCTCCTAACCCTGAGATGAAATGATGTGACTAAGAAAGAGTAGAGGGAGAAGGAAGAAAAGACAGCCAAGACAAACCCATAGAGAACAGGCCATACATGAGCTCATTCTCTTACCCTCAAAACTGTTTCATGTTTCTGTTAATGACCTTACCATCCTTCTCAACATCGTGTTTGAAAATCAGAAATTTTCTCTGACAACATGTTCTTTCCTGCTCCAGCATGTCTGTTTTTGTCCTTTTCTATTATGTTCCTGAAATAGTTCCCATCATATTCCCTTCCCTCCTTTTTCTGTTGTGTCATACTTCAGATCTGATTACCTCCAACTGCAATAGTTGCAACAGCCACCTAATGTATCTCTCCATCTCAGTTACTCCTATTGTGAATCAACATGCATGGAGCTTCCAGAAGATCACTAAGAAGAAGAGAGAGAATGAAGCCACTCCCCTGCTCTAAATCATCAGTGCCTCCCAATGTCTACGGAACAAAGTTCAAATGCCATAGTTGGTATTTTCTATTTTACACCTGGTAACATTTTAACTTTCCAGCTGTTTGTTTTAGCTCCCTTTGTATTCTCTGTGGCTATACAAAATTCTACTTTCTGGTGTTCCCTACACCTCAGTCATCAGGCATTCCATCAACAAATTGTATTGAGGGCTTACTATAAACCCAGCACAGTTGCATAGACTAAGAATACAAAGGTGAACAAAGAAGTTGTCACTCTTGCCCTAAGAGGCTTTCAATTTAGTAGAGAAAACAAAGATTAATAAAATTGAAAACATCAAGAGTAAAGTTTATGACTATTATACAAAGTAAAAAAAAAAAAAAAAAAAAAGAATCCCATAAGCATATAAGAGAATGTTGATCCAGGCTTGATGGGTCAGAGAAACCTCTAAGCTGAAGTTAATAGGATGAGGAGGAGTTAGCCAGGTGCCAATGGTGGGCAGAAATATTTCAGCAAGAAATAATAAAATATATGAAGGCCCAAAATCATAAAAGAGCAAGGATATCTGGGAAACTGTTTGACCTTGGAAACATTTTTGAGTTGTAGTTTCCTTGTCTATAAAGTGAGTATATTGATCTCTATCTTCAATTATTGTGGAGAGAAGTGAGGGAATAAGAATTCCACATGTTATGTGAAGTATCTAGCAGGAGTAATGTATAGTATAGTTGATGAATAAACAATACTTTCCCCTAAAATTATGTGCATATTACCTCTTTCTAATTCCACTCTAAATCTCCTGAGGGCATGTCTATGCCTTCGCTTGTGAAATCCAAACATCCCAGTTTCCAGGAGACTTTGATCTTAAATACCATCATTTTATCAGCCCTGTTCAAAATGCAATGGTTTTCAGGGCCTTAGGCTGACCACCTCTTCTCAAGATGGTCTTTGTTTACCTCCAAAATCCCTTAAGTGCCTCTGGAGCTGTCAAGCAGAGCCCTTCGAATCTCTGCTTCAGCCCCTGCTGAGGGTTTCACCACTGCCAGAGTCAGATGTTTCTAGGACTCTGCTGCTATGAGCTTGTAAATCTTCCTGGAGACCATGTTGAGCTCTTATGGTGGCCAGGCTAGAAGGTGCTCTGGGGCAGGATATGGAGGAAGAGGCTCCCTCCTCTTGCCTACTCAGGGCTATACTTGAGCTCTTAGGCTGCAAAATAAAACTGCTTGTGGCCTGAATTTCACCAGACTTTGTAGGTACTCAGTCCTTCCTGCTGTGCCGGAAGAAGTTAACATGTTGATATGGTTTGGCTCTGCCCCCATCCAAATCTTAAATGGGTAGCTCCCATAATTACCACATGTCATGGGAGGGACCCAGTGCGAGGTAACTGAATTATGGTGGTGGGTCTTTCTCATGCTGTTCTCATGATAGTGAATAAGTCTCACAAAATCTGATGGTTTTATAAAGAGGAGTTCCCCTGCACATGCTCTCTCTCTCTCTTGTTTGCCACCATGTGGGATGTGGCTTTGCTCCTCCTTTGCCTTCTGCCATGATTGTGAGGCCTCCTCAGCCATGTGGAACTGTGAGTCCATTAAACCTCCTTTTCTTTATAAATTACCCAGTCTTTGGTATGTATTAGCAGCATGAGAACAGACTAATACACATGTCATTTCATTTTTCTCTGTGTTATCTTTCTTGTCTCTCTTTGAAGCTCCTGAAAGTTAAAAAAAAGTACTCTTACAACAACAAAAGCATTTCTATTGAATTATGCTAACAACCATATGATTTAACTTGTCCACTTGCTCTGCAGTCTCAGAAACCCCTTTTGCACATATTAGAACTCTCAGTATATGAGTGTGTGATTAGAAACTGTGCTTCCAATAAATCCTGGATTATCAAATAAATGAAAAAATACCTAAAGCAAAACCCTGCATATACATAACAGAAATTCAATGTTTATTAAAATGCTGGCTGTAAGACTTAACGACTTTACAAACATATCTGGTACTAAAAATGTGTAAAATATAACACTTATTCTTAGAAAACTTTCTGGTATACTGCAGAGTTTCTGAACCTCAACACTACTGATATTTTTAGTGTGGGGACTGCCTGAACACTGTAGGATTTTAACAGCATCTCCTGCCTACACCCACTAGATGCCAATTCCCTTAAATTGTGACAATTAAAAAATTCTCCCAGACATTGACAAATGTCCACTAAAATTAAGAGCTGGAAAGCTCTAGAATCAAACTGTGACTGTGGCACCAATCTTGATGATTTGGGAGAAGTCACTTCATCTTTATGAAGTGGGTATGGCAGAATTGTTGTAAGGATTAAATAAAATCATATGTAAAATTTTCTGGAACATGGTAAGTTGTAAATACATTTAAAGTCCTTAAGTTATCATTAATATAAATGAAACACTTACAAAAGAAATCAAGACTACATAAAAGTTAAGCTACTGCATGAACAGGATGTTTTCTAACATCACTTTTCAATGCCCCAAAACCCAATATTGTATTTTTATATGTAGCAGAAAGTTGATAAATACTTATTGAATTGAATATAACTGTTAAGTTTCATAACACAGTAGGATTTCAAAGATACAGAAATAGGTTAGTGACCTGTTAGAGATAGTAGAGATAGTGAAATAAACTAAGCATTAATATAGAAAATATATGTTTATGAAAAATTACAGAATTCACTTATTTCAGCCTGGTTTGAACTTCAACTATGCTCTCTGTGGCCTTAGAAGGTAACAACTTCTGTGAGTCTCAGTTTCATCCTCTGTAAAGAGAGGATAATAATATTTATAACCCTTAATAACACTTTATAAAGTGTTACTAAGAACAATATATATAGGTTAAAAATTGATAGTATAAAATCAACTGACTGTAAATGTGTGTTATTTCAAAGCTCTCTATTCTGTCACATTGGTCCATGAGTCTGTTAGTCTGTCAGTATCATGCTATTTTGATTACTATAGATTTGTGGTATATTGTGAAATAGGTAGTGTAATGCCTCCAACTTTTCTTTTTTCTTTTTTTCTTTTTTTGCCCAATATTGCTTCGGCTATCTAGTTTTCTGGGATTTAATATAAATTTGAGGTTTGTTTGTTCCATATGTGTGGAAAAAGTCATTGGAATTTTGATAGGGATTGAATTGAATCTGTAGATCACTTTGGGTAGTATGAGTATTTTTAAAATATTAATTCTTTCAAACCATAAACATGGGATATCCACACATTTACAGTCAATTGTTTTTAGACAAAGGTATTAAAAACAACATTGGGGAAAGGATAATCTCTTCAATAAATTGCTTTGGAAAAACAATATCCATATGCAGAAGAATGTAATTCAACCCTCTTCTCACACCATATACAAAAATCAATTCAAAATGAATTAAATACTTAAATGCTGAATACCCTATTTACACTGATGTGATTATTATGTATTGTATGCCTATGTCAAAATATCTTCTATTACCCCATAAATATGTATACCTACTATGTACCCACAAAAAGTAAAAAAAAAATAAAAATAAACAAGACTGAAATGCAAGACCTGAAATTATAAAACTACTAGGAGAAAATATATGAGAAAATCTCTATCACAGGTGTCTGGGCAATGACTTTTTGGATATGAGCCCAAAAGCACAGGCAACAAAAGCAAAAGCAGACAAATAAGATTATATCAAAACTAAAAAGCTTCTGCACAGCAAAGGAAATAATCAACACAGTAAAAAGACAACCTGCAGAATTAAAGAGAATATTTGTAAGCCATATATCTGATAAAGAGTGAATATACAAAATATGTAAGAAACTCAAAAATTCAATAGCAAAAAAACCAAATAATTCAATTTAAAAATGGGTAGAGGACCTGAATGGACAGTTCTCAAAAAAAAAAAAAAAAAAAAAAAAAAAAAAAAAAAAAAAAAAAAGACATACAAGTATCTGAAAAGGTGCTCAACATCACAAATCCTCAGGGAAATGAAAATTAAAACTACAGTGAGATGTCACATCATACCTGTTAGAATGACCATGTCAAAAAGACAAAAAATAACAAGTGTTGGTGAAGATGTGGAGAAAAGGGAACACTGGCACTCTTTTGGTGGGAGTGTAAATCATTACAGCCGTTTATAGAAAACAGTATGGAGGATCATCTAAAAGTAAACATAGGACTACTATATGACCTATCAATCCCACTACTGTGTTTATAGCCAAAGGAAATAATATTAGTTTGTTGAGGAAACATCTGCACTCCCATGTTCATTGCAGCGCTCTTCAGAGTAGCCAAGATATGGAATCAGTTAAGCATCTATCAGTGGATGAACGGATTTTTAAAATGTGGTATATACATAACGGAATACGATTCAGTCTTAAGAAATGAAGGAAATTCTGTCATTTGTGACAATATAGATGAACCTGAAGGACATTGTGCTAAGTGAAATAAGCCAGGCACAGAAGAAAGACAAATACCACATGGTGTCACTTGTGTGGAATGTTAAAAAGACAAATTCACAGAAACAGAGAGTAAGGTGGTTTTACCAGGGCCTGGGGGACAAGGGGGATTGAGAAGATGTTGGTCAAAGGAGACACAATTTTAATTAGACAGGAAGACTAAGTTTAAGAGATCTACTGTACAACATAGTGACTATAATTAATAAATGTATTGTGCACTTGAAAATTGCTGAAAGAGTAGATTTTAAGTGTTCTTACAAAAAAATGCTAAGCATGTGAAGTAATGCATATGTTAATTAGCTTGATTTAGCCATTCCACAAAGTATACATATTTCAAACAATCATGTTGTACAACATAAATGTGTATAATTTTATTTGTGAATTAAAAAGGTGGGCATAGTAAACCACCATGGCACATGTATACCTATGTAACAAAATTGCAGGTTCTGCACATGTACCCCAGAACCTAAAGTATAATAATAAAAAAGTTAACAATTAAAATGATAGTATAGGGCTGACATGCTATAAATAATAATGGCCATGGCTATTAATATGTGTTGCTATTTAAATTATTTTTAGATGTTGTTGAATATATATTATTCTTTTAATTCTGTTTTAAGTGCACTGGAAAATTAGAACTCATTCAAGAAATTCACTCCATGAGTCACTTATGAAAGCTTTTGGTCTCAGATAATCAATTAGAATACACCTAACATTTATAGCCCTGAGACTCAGGCGCATCCTTCGAGTGAAAGGGCAGGGGAGTGACAAGCTTTCAAGGAAGGTTAGTAAAATATTTATAAATCTTGGCAGCAACTTGGACAGCAGTCTTGGCAACAAGTACCCAATATTAGGATGTTGCCCTGCCTTCCAGTGGGAGATGGGATTAGCTTTCAGGGGTCAATCCAATTACTTTCCTAGCCTTGCTTGAAAAAAAATGAAGGAGTTATTTCTACAGTTTCATCAAGACTAGCCTTCATCCATCAGATTATTTTAGTGGGCATATGGATGGAAAGCTGTAGTTGGAAATCTGAAGCCTCCTGGAAAATAAATACCAAAAGTTTCTTTGAGAATGAATGAAACTGGGATCTGAAGCTTTCCCTATTAACTTTTGATTCTACAGAAGCAAGTGACTACCATTAACTGTGGAGAAGTATGAACCCTGAATGGAACTCTCTTAGGTCTCAGAAGGGGTCAGATATTTATCTGTAAGGAGCATAGACAAATATAAGATTTTAGACTTTAGAGTGGTGCTCAATCCTGGGCAAAGTTCTTATTTGGTGTGTGTATGTGACAGAGAGACAGGCAGAGAGAAAAGGAGAGAGTAAGAAAGAGAAATGTTGAAAGGGGAGATGAAAGGAATGTCCTCTAAGTTCCAGCATTTCAGCTTGAAGAAAGACACAAATGTGGCTGCTCTTAGGCTCTGGAACAAGGACAAGCCCTGCATATAAGCCAGATTCTTAGAGTCAGGTAGATCTGAATTAACATCCTATTTCTTTTAGAATCCTACTTTTATTGCTTGCTAGCAGTGTGACCCAGAGGTAGTAACCTCTATTACTTACTTCATTATACAAGAAATGAGGGTAGTAATAACTACTTGAAGAGCTACTTAGACTTAAATATGGTGCTGATGAGGATGCTGATGAGACAATACTCAAAGAGTGTTATGAAGAGAAGCTTCCAGCTGCTTTCTGACCTAGGAGGAAAATGAGCTTGGATCTTCAGCTGCTGCATAATATTCAATAAACACAGGCGTTAAACAAATATAATGTAAAACTATCTCCACAGTCCTAGGAGAGCATACAAATAAATAATTTGTGCTTAACAAAACATGTTCTTTCTTAATGACATTTTAATATTATAAGACATTCCCCACAGTAGCTATAAGGCCTAGGGATTTAAAAACTCCTAGGAGAAAGGAGATTTGGAATTCTACAACCATTCCCTTTTAAGGGTCAACAAGATAAGAATTTCTCTGTTGCATTAGAATGGTCCGAATGTGGTCAATTAGAAAAAAAAAAAAAAAAAAGAACTCCATAGTCCCAGTTGAGGAGTTGGAACACAACAAGTATGGGTGGCTCATACATGTTCAACATAAGGACATAGAGTTTCACATTACACAGAATCGACTAGAAGCTCATCTGGACCATAGCTTGGCACTACACTTTGAGAGTCCTTACTAAGCATGCAAGTGACGACAGTCACTCCACTGTGGGAATCAGAAGAAAGGGGATGAGCCCAGGCATCAATAAAGCAACAGCCCAGATGAAGCAAGACCCATGAGACTACAATGAAAGCCACAGTTAGCGGACATATAAGACTTCATTTATTCTCTTGCCTTTTCCTCGTAGCAGACTGGACATTTGGGGGCTGAACTACCTCCCAGAGTGATTGGAAAATTCAGGGTGTGGAGGATGCTCAATTAGTATCAGATACTGGATTTTCTGCTAACAAAGCCAAGTGGAGGTTCAAGTGCCTATTAGGAAAAGTAGCATTAATATTCATACTTCTAGTAATAAGATGGCTCAACTAGGTGCATATAGATATTGTGCATAAAGTACCTGGCCCTTGTATGTGTGAGATACATTGTAGACATTATTACTAGTACTACTAGTAGTATAGTAGTAGTAGTAATTGTGGGTATCCTTGAAAATGACTTGATTATTTATCTCAGTCTTAGAATTAAGGAAGAAGTGAAGCTGAGAGACTTAACTGACGGGGATGCCATCATTTCTTACAGTTAATAGTTGAAAGTCAAGTTCCCCAAGGATACTACAATTCCTTTTCTGTACTGTCAATCAGTGGCAAACATTAGAAGTAGTGAATAAGGTTAGATTTGTAGAGAACAGAAAACGCTAGCTTTGGGTTAAATTTGTTGGGTCCTGACTACCAACACAGGGTGTTGGTGATGAGGGTGGATAGTGTTTTCTTTCATGTGGAATTAATCTTACCATTTTCTTAGTGCAGTATTATTCAGCTATAGTACAACAAGAAATAATAATAAATGTAGCTAATATTTGACTGTCAACCAGAAGCTAAGCACCATACTAAATGTTTTAAATGGATTTTTTTCACTTAAATAATTACAACAATTTCATAAGATAGTCAATATTATTTGCTCTGTTTCAGGTGAGGGAATTGCAGACTAGAGAGATTTATAGACATGCCCCATGTTAGGCAGATAGCAAGTAGTCAAGCCAGGATTTGGGCCCAGAGTACCTGACTCATTGCTGAAGCTCTTAACCAATACAAAGTGGATTCCCCTACGTTGATAGTATAGTGGATTTGTTGTTAAAAGCCCTAGGTTTGAATTTTAACCAGGAGCTCTTGGAATAAGTGAGCTTAAATTTTCTAAGCCTCAGTTTTATATTTTATGCCTAGAAATAAGAAATAGCATATAAACATGCATTTAACCTATCTGAACGTAAACTTTCTTGGCTATAAAATTGATAATAACACCTCCTTTTCTTCTCCTTCTTTTCCTCCCTTCCTTCTTGAAACATTTGTTATTGCCAAGGTTGAGTCCCTCACCTTAAAAATCTCACAGTTAATGCGGTAAAAAGGCTTATGTTACACATGTGATAACAGATGGGACATACAGTGACAAAAAAGAGTGGCCAATTGTCTCTGGGTTGGAAAGGGAGGAGGAGGTAGTCAAAAGCAACACGCACAATCAGTAGAATATCTAAACACTAGCAATAAACTATCTGAAAAAGAAATCAAGAGAACAATCCCATTCACAATAGCAATAAAAAATACTTAGGAATATATTTAACCAAGGAGGTAAAAGACTTGTATACTGAAAATTGTAAAGGGTTGATGAAAGAAGTTGAAGAGGATACAAATAAGCAAAAACATATCTCACATTCACGGACTGGAAGGAATAATATTGTTAAAATATCCATGCTACCCAAAGCAGTTCACAAATTCCATGTAATCCCTGTCAAAATTCCAATATCATTTTTCATAGAAATGTAAAAAGAAATTTTAAAATCCATATGTAACCACCAAAAACCCAAATAAGTAAAAAAATCATGGGCAAAAAGAACAAAGCTGCAGGTATCACACTACCTGTTTTCAAACTTTAATACGAGGTTACGGTAATTAAAACAGCATGGTATGGCAAAAAATTAGATACATCAATCAATCAATGGAACAGAATAGAGAGCCCAGAAATAAATATGGGTTTATTCATGGTACATATGGTCTATCAACTTTCAACAAAGGTGTCAAGAATACTTAATGGGAAAAGGATAGTCTCTTCAGTAAATGCTGTTGGGAAAACTGAATTTCCATGTGCTAAAGAATGAAATTGTATTCTTATCTCACAACATATAGAAAAATCAACTCAAAATAAATTAAAAACTTAAATGTAAGTACTAGGAAATTTAAAACTTCAAGAAGAAAACATAGGGGATAAACTACATAACATTAGTCTGGGCAATGCTTTTCCTTTGGATTTGACCCCAAAAGGGCAAGCAACAAAAGCAAACATAGACAAATGAGATTACATCAAACTCAAAATCTTCTACATAGCAAAGGAAATAACAGTGTGCAAAGACAACCTACAGACTGAGAGAAAATATTTGTAAGCCATACATCCAATAAGGGGTTAATATCCAAAATATATAAGGAACACAAACAACTCAATAGCAAGGAAACAAAACACCCAATTGCAAAGTGGTCAAGGGACCTGAACAGACATTTCTCAGAAGAAGACATACAAATGGCAAACAGATGTATGGAAAAAAATGCTTAACATTGGTAGTAATTAGGAAAACATAATTAAAACAATGAGATGGCATCTTATAGCTGTCAGAATGGCTAAAATCAAAAAGATGAAAGATAAGTGTTGGCAAGGATGTGAAGAAAAGGGAACCCTTACACACTGCAAACAGTAAAGTCAATTAGTACAGTTATTAGGGAAAACTCTATGGAGGTTCTTCAGAAAACTAAAAATAGGATTAGCATATGATCCAGCAATCTTACTTATGTGTATTTATCCAAGAGATTTGAAATCAGTTTGTTTTAGAGATGGCTGCACCCCATATTCACTGAAATACTATTTATTAAGAAATCAACCTAAGTACTATTTATTAAGAAATCAACATTAATCAACCTAATCAAATATTTTTTCTCAATCTGTAGGTTGCCTTTGCCCACTGCTATTTCCTTTGCTATGTAGAAGACTTTGTTTGATGTAGTATATATACACAATATATGCATTATGTATATATACTTTTTTAATCCATTTATGAATAAAGTATTGAATAGTTCCCATGAATAGATAAAGAATATATAGTATAGGCTGGATGCAGTGGCTCGTGCCTGTAATCCTAACACTTTGGGAGGCCAATGCGGGCAGATCACTTGAGGTCAGAAGTTTGAGAATAGCCTGGCCAACATGGCGAAACACCGTCTCTACTAAAAATACAAAAATTAGCCAGGCATGGTGGTGTGTGCCTGTAGTCCTAGCTACTTGGGAGGCTGAGGCACAAAAATTGCTTGAGCCTGGGAAGTGGAGGTTGCAGTGAGCTGAGATTGTGCTACTGCACTCCAGCCTGGGTGACAAAATAAGACTCTGTCTCAAAAAAAAAAAATACACACACACACACACACACACACACACACACACACACACACACAATGGAATATTATTCATCCTTAAAAAAAGAAAATTTTATTATTTCTGATGACATGGATGAGTTGAAGAGCATTCTTTTAAGTGAAATAAGGCAAGGACAAAAAGACAAATACCACGTGATGTAAGTGTGAAATATAAAATAATCAAACTCAGAAGCAGAGAGTAGAATGCTGATTACAGAGAGGATGTGGGGTGGGGAGAATGGGAAGGTGCTAGTCAAAAGTTATAAAATATCTGTCAGACAGTAGAAATACGGTTTTTTTAAGATCTATAGCACATTATAGTAAATATAGTTAACAATAGATTATAATTCATTTCAAAAGTGCTAAAAGAGTAAATTTCAAATATTCTTACCACAAAAAATGTTAAGTATTTGACATGATGGATATGTTAACTAGCTTGATTTAAGTATTCCATATTATATTCATAAATCATAACATCATTTTGTACAATATAAGCATATGCAATTATAAATTATCAATTAAAAATATATTTTAATGTTAAAGAAGAAAGGGAGATTCAGACCCATTGACTTTTGATCCCAGGTTTTCTAGCTTTGAATTTCACACTCACTGTTCTGATTTTAATAAATTTTCCAGCTCTATCCTAATATGGTGACCATAGGCATTCACCCTAATTTACTCAATGAGTATATTCATAATAAAAATAATATCAATAACAATTATTTACTTGATGAAAAATTATATTTGGTTGGTAGGATGTAAACAGAAAGAAGATGCATACTTTCTTACTTCAACTCCTATAAAACCACTTTGTTGAATTGTTTGCTCCTGCCCCTGGATAAACTATGGGTCAATCTAATAGCATAGATTTCCAGTTATGTTATTTACTGTCCCTCAGAACTCTAAGCTTCAAGATAAAGTTTACATTTCCTGTTTTGGATAATTCTTAAAGAATTACTGGGAAAAAAAATACATGGGATGATGAGCTATGTTTCTTGGATAGAATTGTCATTCTGACTGTTCAGCCAAAGACACTGCCATACTTATATCTTGTAAGTAATAGGTATAGTGGACATGCCAGAGGAAATAAGAGTTGTTATTTCCAACCAATAAGGTTTTCAATGGCCCACCAGCTCTTCCACTCTAGTGAGCTAAGCTGGAATATTTAGTACCATACCCAGAGGCTTCTTTTGTACTTACCTCTCAAAAAGCCTCCCCTTTCATGCTTTCCTTCCCCTGGCTCTTCCCTAGCCCTACCTTTTCTAACAGGGCATCTTCATAGGTTATGTTACCATAGCTGACATATGGGGAAAGAGAGAGAGAGACTAAATGTGTTTCATAAGAAAAGCAACATTGGTTCCCTTCCTCTTTCTCATGGAAACTTTCAACTCCAGCTATGGTGGGCTCCAATTATGATGCCCAAAGGGTCTCAATATGTACCCTGACTCTGATGGCTCTGATGTGGTCTCAAGAACTCTGGTTTCCTGGTCCTATCCTGTTGGACAATAATGTTTGAAGGTAGAGTTCTTGGGTTCTCCCCAGAAATTTATACACAATTACCCATATGTGGAAACCCTTGAGTAGTGGTATAGAACTCAATCTATGGGCCAGATGGTAGCCACATCACACTGGACTTTTAACAAAAGTTTGGAACTTCCTAGAGACCTGTTGAATGGCTTTGACCAAAATGCTGATAATGATATGGACAATGAAATCCAGGCTGAGGTGGTCTCAAATGGAGATAAGGAACTTGTTGGGAATTGTAGTGAAGGTGACTCTTACTATGTTTTAGCAAAGAGACTGGCAGCATTTTGTCCCTGCCATGGAGATTTGTGGAACTTTGAACTTGAGAGAGATTATTTAGGGTATCTAGCAGAAGAAATTTAGAAGCAGCAAAGCATTCAAGAAGTGACTTGGGTGCTGTTAAAGGCATTAGTTTTATAAGGGAAGCAAAGCATAAAAGTTCAGAAAATTTGTAGCCTGACAATGCATTCGAAAAAAAAAAATTCCATTTTCTGAGGAGAAATTCAAGCCAGCTGCAGAAATTTGTATAAGAGGAAGTGAATGTTAATCCCTAAGACCATGGGGAAAATGTCTCCAGGGCATGTCAGAGGTCTTCATGGCAGCCCCTCCCATCACAGGCCTAGGGCGTAGGAGGAAAAATTGGTTTCCTGGGCTGGGCCCAGGGTCCCCCTACTGTGTGCAGCCTAGGGACTTGCTTCCCTGAGTCCCAGCCACTCCAGCTGTGACTAAAAGGCGATAAGGTACAGCTCAGGCCATCACTTCAGAGGGTGCAAACCCCAAGCCTTGGCAACTTCCACGTGGTGTTGAACCTGTGGGTGCATGGAAGTCAAAAATTGAGGTTTGGGAACTTCCACTTAAATTACAGAGGATGTATGGAAATTCCTGGATGTCCAGGCAGAGGTTTGCTGCAGGGCCAGGACACTCATGGAGAACCTCTGCTAGGGTAGTGTGGAAGGGAAATGTGGAATGGGTGCCTCCACACAGATTCCCCACTGGGGCAATGCCTAGTGAAGCTGTGAGAAGTGGAAATGATAGATCCAGTGACAGCTTGTACCATGCCCCTGAAAAAGCCACAGACACTCAATGTTAGCCTGTGAAAGCAGCCAGGAGAGGGCCTGTACCCTGCAAAGCCCCCCATCACTGTGGGAACCCACTTCTTGTGTCACTGTGACTTGGATGTGAGACATGGAGTCAAAGGAGATCATTTTGGATTTTTAAGATTTGACTGCCCTGCTGGATTTCAGACTTGCATGGGGCCTTTAGCCCCTTTGTTTTGGCCGATTTCTCCCTTTTAGAATGGGTGTATTTATCCAATGCCTGTACCCTCATTGTATCCAGGTAGTAACTAACTTGCTTTTGATTTTATAGGCTCATAGGTGGAAAGGACTTGCCTTGTCTCACATGAGACTTTGGACTGTGGACTTTTGAGTTAATGCTGAAATGAGTTAAGACTTTGGGGGACAGTTGGGAAGGCGTGATCGGTTTTGAAATGTGAGAACATGAAATTTGGGAGGGGCCAGGGGCAGAATGGTATGATTTGGCTTTGTCCGTACCCAAATCTCATCTTGAATTGTAACTCCCACAATTCCCACGTGTTGTGGGAGAGACCCAGTGGGAGGTAATCGAATCATGGGAGCAAGCCTTTTGAGTGCTATTCTCATGATAGTAAATAAGTCTCATGAGATCTGATGGTTTTATAAAGGGGAGTTTGCCTGCACAAACTCTCTTTTCTTCCCTGCCATTACATAAGATGTGACTTACTCCTCCTTGCCTTGTGAGGCCTCCCCAGCCACGTGGAATTGTGAGTCCATTAAACTTCTTTTTCTTTATAAATTACCCAGTCTCAATATGTCTTTATTAGCAGCATGAAAATAGACTAATACAGAGGCAAAATATTACATGCTACTTCTTTGTTGGGAAGTACAGCCCCAGAGCAGGACGAGTAAAGCAAACATAAAATGAGGCAAGCAAGGAGGAGAAGCAAAGTATAATGATAAATTGCCATGCTTACCATTGTTCCATGACAAGTCTCAGAGAGACCCAGCCCGTCATTCCTCAGGCAGCCCTCCTTGGCCACACAGTGTGCCTCCTATATGGCAGAAATTCATGTTTGGCATAGTCCAATGAAAAGGAAGAAAGATATGTTTATCTTCTAGGTTCTTTTCATATTCTTTCTCTTTTCAGTCAAAGTATGCTCACAGGTACAAAACTCTCCAGAACTGCCTGCCCTCTCTGAAAGCTGCTGTTTCATAGCACAGTGTTTCATATAAGTCTTGGACTATGGTGAGGGAGCAGAGTGTGTCTAGTCTTGAGCATTAGGGGGAAATATACAGAGTCGGTTGCCAAGTTGTCATCTAAGGCTGAGCAAGACACTAAGGTTTGGGGGCACAGATGAAGCTAAAGAAATCTAAAAAGGGTGTTTTCAAATTAAAGGATGAATAGAAGCCTAGGATATTGGAAAAAGAGAATGAATGGGATGTTTCAATCAATAAAAAGAATAATTAAAATGATAATAATAATTGTTGGAATTTGTTGTTGTGTAGGGCACATTTGGGAATGGTAACCAGTCCAGAATGTCTAGAGATAAAGTCACATTAGAGATAGGTGAAACACAGCTAGCATCAGACAATGAAGGGATCTGAATGACATGTTAAGAACCTGGAAGCAAAGACTATACCAGGTATACCAATCCAGCAGTATCATAATAATGGAAGCTAACCCTTGTAAAGATCTCATCATGTTCCAGAGAGAGGGAGAGCCAGAATTTGGATACACATTGAATGACTCTAAAAGGCATAACCTTTCTTCCTGTGCTAAATGTATGTAGTGTATTGAAACTTGGCAAACTCAGGCTAATGGCAGGGTCAGATGAGGAGGCCCTTTCAGAGCCATTTTTCAATGTTGAATCTATTTACCCAGATGTCAGTGTTTTCTCCAGTAACTGTTGGGGAAAATGTTGCAGTAAAAGCTTGCCACCTGTTAATTACTGCACAAAAACAGCAGGGTCTAAAGTCATTATTGTGTGTCCCTGATAATTACAGCCACACAATGGTGAGGCGTCCTCTTGGATCCTTTTGCACGCAAATGTGCAGGCCTAAATGCCAAGTAGGTAATGACGATTTACAAGAATAATAATAAATGCCAGTGGGGGCATAGGTAATTAAGAGATGTAGGCTGCAGACAATGTACTCTGAGCAAGTCTGGAAACAGACCAGGAGAAATGGGGGAAGCTTCCATCTAATCTGAATTGCATCTGAAAAGACTGACCAGCATGTCCATTAAGTACAATTTTCTTAATGCATAAAGAGGGAAGCAGATGTTAAGATCAGAGTGGATAAATTAGCAAATACCATTCCCAGTATGGGAAACAGGCTTACTGTTCATCTTTGGTTGAATGTGCAGACATGAAATGAGCATGACTTGGAACAAGAAATAGAGATGAATGTAACGCCATAAACTAACAGCTGATGGAAATAATGAGGATGGCTACAGACATCTGCACTGCTGGAATGAAAACTAAAAATCAAAATTAAAAAAACATTTCCAAATTTCATTTAGAATTTGGCATGTTAGTGATCCAGTAAGACAATGAGCCGTTCAGAGTTTCAGAATGTCCAGACCCAGCCTGATTGCTGCCAATACTTTGGCTTATACATTTTAAAATCAAACCTATTAGATCACACCAGACTTCATTTTGCCTTTTGGTAGATATGCCCAAAATTTGCAACCTTAAATTCATTATAAGAAACCGGTGGGAAAAACCCTAAGTGTACTTCTTAAATTAATAATTTTAAATGAATTTTTTAGTCATTTAAAAAGGAAACATTGTTATGCACTTACTATAATCTAGTTCTTAAGGCCAAACTTTTGCACATAGCTTTTCATGTAATCTTTTGCACAGCACTTTAAATCATATATCATTATTTCCACAGTGTAAGTCAGAAAACAGAGGCTCATGGAGGATAAATGAAAACAAGCAAACAAACAAAAAAATTCCTTAGTAATGGTTGAGATTCAAATGTACGTCTTTACATCCTTTAAACTTATTTTCTTTCTACCACATTATATTCCCTTCCTAAGTTCCTCTCCCAGGCAGGTAAGTACTGATAAGTTTGAAAAACATCTGGTATCAGGCATTCAAACCTCGCTGGATCATTCTTCACTCGACAATGTCTTTCTGCCTAAACAATGCTTTTACCAACTGCTATGCTTCAATTGTTTATTTTGTTCTTAATTAACAATTTTAGATTTACAAAACTATTTTGAAGACAGTTCAAAGGGTCCCCATATACTACAGATTCAGTTACCCCTGTTATTTATATCTTTGATTATTATAGTACATTTGGCCTGATTAATGAGCTAATATTGATACATAATTGTTACCAAAGTCCATACTTTACACTTCCTCAGTTTTTCCATTATTAAGTTTTAGGTCCTTTCTTAAGGTCTACAGTACCATCTAGGTTACCATTAACATTTAGCAGTCAACTCTCCTTAGACTCATCTTTGTTGTAATAGTTTATCAGATTTTTCTTGGTTTTGGTGACCGTGACAGTTTTGATGATTACTGGTCATGTATTTTATAGAATGCTCCTCAGTGGGGATTTTTGTTGTTGTTGTATAATTTACATGACATAAAATTCAACCTTTAAAAGTATATAATTCACTGATTTTCAGGATATCCACAATATTTTACAACCACAAGCATTATCTAATTACAGAACATTTTCATTATTGCAAAAAGAAACCCTGTACCAATTAGTAACCACTCCCCATTTCCTCCTTCTCACAGCCCTTGGCAACCACTAAACTACTTTCTGTCTCTATGGATTTGACTATTCTGGACATTTAATATAAATAGAATCATACAGTATGTGGACTTCTGTGTCTAACTTCTGTCACTTGGCATAACATTTTAAAGGTTCACTATGTTATAGCCTATATTTTATTTCTTTCTGTAACTGAATATCTCATTGTATGAATATATCACATTTTGCTTGTACAGTCTTGCTGATAGACATTTGGGTTGTTTGCACTTTTTAGCTATGATAAATATGCTGCTAGAACATTCATATACAAGTTTTTATATGTAAACATGCTTTTATTTACATTGAGTATATTTCTAGGAGTAGGTTTATTTGGTTATATGCTAACTCTATGTTTAAATTTTCTATGACCTGCTAAATTGTCAAGTGGCTCCTCCATTTTATATTCACAACAACACTATATGAGAGTTTCAACTTCTTCACATCATCTTCAACACTTGGTACTATCTGCTTTTTAAGTATAGGTTCTTAGTATGAAGCGGTATCTCTTTATACACTTTTCAAAAATTATGTATCTGTTTTGATTGACAAAACTTTTATATATTCATCATGCACAATTCTCTGTCTTTGGCTATGGATAATTAAATTATGATGTGACTAGATGTGGTGCTCTTTAATTTTATCCTACTTTGGTATGTTTAGCTTCCTAGATGTGTCAATTAATGTTTTTCATCAAATTTAGTTAATTTTTGACTGTTATGTATATTGTGTTCTCTCTCTTTTCTCCTTCAAGAACTCCTATTATGCATATTTTTGTTGCCTTAATGATGTCTCCTAGATCTCGAAGTCTCTATTCATTTTTGTTTCTCACATCGTTTTTTCTGCTCTAGATTGGATAATTTCAATTGACTTATCTTTGTTTTGCCAAGTCTTCCATCTACTGCTCAGATCTGCTGGTGAATTTCTGTAATGAGTTTTGCCACGTTTCAACTCCAGGATTTCTATTTGTTTCCTTTTATAATTTCTATCTATGGATGTACTATACTATTGAAACATCATTCTTCTGGTTTCCTTTAGCTCCTTGTCCATCAGTACTTTTAGGTCTTTGAACATATTTAAAATAACTGTAGTAAAATATTTTTGTATTGTCTAATGTCTGGGCTTCTTCAGAGAGGCAGTTTCTATTGAATGCTTTTCTCCTCTGTGTATGGGCCGTATTTCCTTGTTTCCTCATATGTTTTATAATATTATGTTCAGATTTGGACATTTGTAATACTATAATGTAGCAACACTAGCAATCACATTCTCTTTTCCCCAGGGTTTGTTGTTGTTATTGTTGTTGTTTTGGTAATTTCTTTGAACTAATTATATAGTTTATACTTTTGTTATATGTGGCTAGTGATTGGACAGAGATTTTCTTGAACTCCTGAAAACTGTAAGTCTCCCAGTCTTTTCCAAAGGAATCTGTATGCTTGTTAGGATACAACTTCAATACTCATCATACATTTTACAGCTCTCATAGTCTTCAGCTCCTGTTTAGATGAAGCCACAAAATTAGCCAAAGATGAAAGCTTAGGGCCTTCTGAGGTCTTTCCTAAGCATGTACATAACCCTGTATGTGTGCTCAGCCCTATAAATGCATGTGGTCTTCTAGTTTTATGTAAACATGTTGGAGCTTTTCAAAGCCGTTTCTAGATATCTCACCCCCCAGCTTCTCCTTTTAAGTGTTTTTGGTCAGCCTATTTCCACAACTATTACTACTTCAGGAAGCTGATATTAAACAATTACCTCTGATTGTTTTTGACAAATGTCCCTGGAGAAAAGACTCTTCACATTGGCCAAGCTCCAGGTCTGGTCGAATAAAGATGGCATTATCTTCCAGAAAACCACTGAACAAGTCAAATGATGTCTATTCTCTTGAAAGTGGATTTTGAAAGAACCCCAAACATATTTTTCTCTGTCCAGTGGCATCCAGGCTTCTGGTTTTTACAGGAAACATTGGCTTTTGGTTTTAAAGTCTACCATGTTTCAGGGTAGGAGGAGATGGAAACAGGGCAAGTTCAAATGCCAAAAACCCATTATTCTTACTGATATTTAGCTTTTTTCTAAATATATGTTTTCCTGACTTCTTCTAGTCTCTGACTAATGTCTGGAGTTCTGAAAAAGTTTATTTTGACATTTTTTTTTGCCAGTATTCTCATTTAGTTTATGGAGGAGGTGATTTTTTAGAGGTCTTTATTTAGAATTACATTTCCCTGAATTCACATTTTGCCTCTACACAGTTGTGTGTTCTTATGTAAAATAGTTAGCTTCACTATCATAGTTTTTCTCATCTACAAAGAGAAATAATAATAACACATGCCTACAAAGCATGCAAGGTCTGGGAAAAAGTAAAGCCTCAATGTATGCCACCAACTCTGCCACTCATTCCATTTATGGGTAGCTCTGAATTTTCAAAAGCTCTATTAGGCTAAAATCAGTTGTCTAGCCACTTCTATCTTTATGGTCTCAATTTGGTTCTCTGGGTCCATAAAAAACACATATCCTCTCTTTTTCATGTAAAAAATGACTCTAAAGTTAAAAAAAATTTACATTTATGCATTTAGAAATCAAACATCCCAAGTTAGTTTATCCAGCTGTTCTTCATAAAATATTGCATTGCAGCTCTAATTTGTCCCTCTCTCATACAATATGTGGCAAGCCCATGGTGCAGGAGCATATCAGCAGCAGTGTCATCCTGCCGGTTCTTACTTACTTTGCAGTTGATGAAAATCTCCAAGTTGTTTTATAAAAGTATCTGTCAAGCTAAGTCTCACCTAACTGTTCCTTGTGAGATTTTATTTTAACCTATAGGCAGAGTTTAATACTTATTTTTAATGTCATGTAGCTTGTTTCAGTTTGCTAATCTAGTGTGTGAAAATTCTCTTTCACGTGTTGGCTATGTCATCCAACACATTAACAAGTACCTCCACTTTGTACCTTTAGAAGCCTGAGTAGGTGTCTATGTCTCTTCTCAAAGAGTAGACAAAAATATTGAACATGTGGATGATTATAACAGAGCCTGATGTTTCAGTGATCACCCCAACTTCACTTCTATCTCAAACCTTTCCTGCTGACAGAAACCTCATTAAACAACAGTCTTAGTTATTCTTTTTAACCCACCATAATCCTACCTTAGTATATTCTCGATCATCTCACATTTTTATAGCATGTCCTTCAAGCATAGATATTAAGAACATAGACTCACTTAAAGCCAAAATATTGGTGGTAGAGAGATGAACAGGACTGCCACCAGTATCTCTTATTTGGTATCCAAGAGAGGGGGAAAGAGTCCTTAGAGGTACCATGGGCTCTGGAATCAGATAAACTTGAGTTTGAAACTCAGTTTCCCTATTTCTAAAGGTATAGCTTTGAATTTCCCTCTGTCTTATTTGTACAATGAGGACAATTATGCCTCACTTAGAGACACAGCTATAGGGAGAAGACAGAACTATAGTGAGAAGCAAATAGAATTTTTTCCCTGCATCTATCCTGACATTTCCCATCCTCTCTACATTCCCATATTAGTTATCCTCTAAACTTGCACAATTTTCTCACTTATCTTGTTTATTATCTGCCTCTACTCTTCATAGCACGAAAGCTCCACAAGAGTAAGGATTTTTCATTTCCTTATTCACTGTATCTCCAATGCTAAAAACAGTCTTAGTTATTTGTTGAGTGAATTGATGAATAAAAGGATGAACAAATACATGAATAATGTATGTTTAAAGTGCTTTTACAGAGACTGGTACTTATAAGGCACTCAATAAATTCCAGCACCCCTATTCATCCCACAGCCAGGGATGAAGACAAAAGACAGAGGAACATTTTGAGATAAGTTAGGTTTTTGTTGTCTCTGGCTTTTGACTAAGATTCCAGGCTCAGTCCTTAAGGTCCACACCTCCCTTTGTTGTAAGAGACTCACTGGAATGGTTGGTAAACAAAGAATTATGTATTAGTCCGTTTTCATACTTCTATAAAGAACTGCCTGAGACTAAGTGATTTATGAAGGAAAGAGTTTAATTGGCTCACAGTTCAGCATGTCTGAGGACACCTCAGGAGACTTACAATCATGGCAGAAGGTGAAGGGGAAGCAAGGTACCTTCTTCACAAGGCAGCAGGAAGCTAAGGAGGAAGAGCTAAGGAGGAAGAGCCCATTATAAAACCATCAGATCTCAAGAGAACTCACTCATGTTGCATGACAAAACTGTAAGCTCACAAGAACAACATGGGGGAACTACCCATGATCCAATTACCTCCACCTGTTCTCTCCCTTGACATATGGGGATTATGGGGGTTGCATTTCAAGATGAAATTTGGGTAGGGACACAAAGCACAACCATATCAAATAAGAACATATAAAATAATGTCATATAAAGTAGGTAACTAAATCCAAGTTGTTTCATTAATGTGTCTATGTCTGAAATGAGGACTAGATATCATCAAATACTGTGATCAGAATGACCTTTTATAGATATTAGGGAAAGAACACTATGACACCCATAGTCTAATGATGACTGAATATTTGTTCACAAATTCATTAAACAAACCTTTATTGAGCATCTATAAGGTTACAGTTGCTGAAGATGCAATTATAAACAAAGAAAGACATAGTTCTTCATCTCAAAATACTCAGTGTCTCACTGGGTAAAGAGAATTTAAAAAAATTACACAAATTATTTGTGAACTACGGTAATGAAAAATGTAAGGAAGGAAACTAGAGTAGACAATAGAAATGTATAACAAGGGACTTAACCAAGTCTGTTGAGTCAAGGAAGGTTGATATTAAGAATCACATTCTCTTTGTTCATGTGGATTATTAATCTAAGGCAGGTGTCAGAAAATCTTGTTCTATAGAACAAATCCAATCTTGATTTTATAAATGAAATTGTTTAAAATACAGCCACTCTCCTTAATTTATATATTATCTATGGCTGCTTTTATGTTACAAGGCTTAGCAGCTGTGATACAAACTATAGTCCCATAAGCCTAAACTATTTACTCTTTTTCTCTGTAGAGAAAAAGTTTGCCAACACTTGATCTAAAGAAATAGAAATTAGAGATATATTTGGAACTATAAACTACCTTGGAGACATTATTAAAATAACAATGGCAAAAATAACTTACATATATTTTTTAATAGTTTATAATGCAATTTCAACTGCATTATTCTATTTAATCTTCACAACAAAACTGTGTGGATGATATTTTCATCTATTTTTGATGGGTAAGGAAAGGAGCTTTCCTTCAGTTCACACAGCTCAGTGGCATCAAAACTCAAATCCAGCATTTGTCTTTCACTCCAATAACAGAGTTTGCAAACACATGGTCTGCAGGCTATTTCCCACCTGTGGACATGTTTTCTTTGCCCAAATGATGTTGTATGACAAAACTGTAAGCTAACATTTTTTAATTATAGAAATTTCATATTAAAGTCATATTTTGAGATTTTTCTTGGACAAGTGGAAATTATAATCTTTTGCGATCTGAATTTCTACTTGACAATTACTATGAGCAGAGCCCCCTAAAATCATGACATTTACTCTTCAGTGTCCTTCTGTGGTTGTTTGCTTGCACAGTGTTATAATTTTTCTTTGTTGCCACCCAAATCTCATCTTAAATTGTAGCTCCCATAATTCCTGTGTGTTGTGGTAGAGACCTGGTGGGAGATAATTGAATTGTGGGGGGCAGTTTCTCCCATACTATTCTGGCAGAAGTGAATAAATCTCACGAGACTTGATGGTTTTATAAGGGAAACCACTTTCACCTGGCTCTCTTTCACTCTTTACCTGCCACCATGTAAGATGTGCCTTTCACCTTCTGCCATAATTGTGAGGCCTCCCCAGCCATGTGGAACTGTGAGTCCATTAAGCCTCTTTTCCTTCATAAATTACCCAGTTTTGGGTAAGTCTTTATCAGCAGTGTGAAAATGAACTAATACAGTGTCCATAATTTTCCCCTTCCTGTGCCCATTCCACTTTGCAATGTGACTGTAGCACTTCTCATCAAGAGGTTAGACCTATTTATCCATCCTTTTTCTCTACGCTGGTCTTTTGATTTAGTTTGATCAATAAAATGTGGCAGAAGTGATGTTAAAACAGGTCTGAATATAGCCTCAAGAGGCCTTATACACTTCCAGACAAAGTAACTTGGAAATTTATTCAGTCTCCATTTGAACAATAGGCTTGCCTGTTGGAAGCTGAGAGAGCATATGGACCAGAGACAAGCCATTCCATGTGAAATCATCAGTCTTTACCCAGCCAACCATCAACTGGCAGCAGATCTGAGAATGAGATAGGCCAAATGCAGCGCTGCCCAGCTGAGACCAACTTAAATTATTGAGCCAAAGGGTCATAAGCCAAATTAATGGTCATTTTAAATCTCTATGTTTGGAAACGCATTGTTGCATAGGAACAGCCAATACGATACCCCAATTTATTGTCTCCCTTCACTGAATTTAATTGTAGAATTCTGTTTATCATTATATTTACATTATTTTCTTGGAGTACAAAACTTTTTAATGTCCTAAGTCTACCAAAAGTCAGAGAAAATTTAACTAAAAGGAACATGAAATTTTTCATATTTCTAGGCTTCTTTACATAATTGTTTGCCTGCTTGTCCTCTGTTAGCATGTCAGTCTTCAGCTCTGTTAATACCCACAATTAACATACAGCAGATCTATTTTGCTGCAGGTTTTTAAGACTTGTAACTCTGATCTAGAATGCCCATATGGTTTGGGTGTCTGCTCCTACCTTTCAAACATTTGAGGAATTAATTTTGCTTAGAACTAAGGAGGAAAAATTCAATGCTACATTGTTCCATTCATCTGCACAAATTTTCCTTTCTTCTTTCTTTCCTCTTTTTCTGTTCTTCTTCCTTTTCTCTAGTGGGAGCAACCAACCCCAAGACTGCTAAGAATACTTCAGTTCAAGATATTGCTGCAAAAAGTGAGGTTGTTTCCTTATCTCTACATTGCAGGTGCTGAACACATCTTTGTTCTTCTAAGAGCTTCATAAAAGTAACTTTCTCTGGTCAGCCAGAAAACTTCAAAAACAATAATTTAAAACATGTTCAAATTCGATTTCATCCTCTGTAATGTGGGTGGCTGGGGGAAAGTGGAAAGTGGTCTCTGACTATTGGATTTTCCATGTTTGGAGTTAAGGTCATACAGCTTTGTGGAGAGCCATTAAAAAAAGTTTGGGAGCCTTCTCCCAAACTCTCCACCAAACTTTAGTGAACAAACTGGACTGTAATAAATAGAAAAAAAGAAAGAAAAAGAAAAAAATAGATAGGAAACAGAAAATGATGAGCTCTTTTGGGAGCAATCAGTGATTGTTCCCTAATTAAAACATTCAAGAGATGCAATTTAATCTGATTTTAATTTTTAAAGAAAAGGTTTTATAAGTTATTAAACATTACTTTAGTCCACACTCTCTACAACTGAAATATAGGTAAATTTTAGTTTGGGAAAGTTTGGGGAAAGTACACATAATTTTCTTTTTAACTGGGACATATACATTTATCATCATGAATTATGCACACATACACACACACACTGTGTGTGTGTATGTGTGTGTTGTGTGTGTGTGGAGAGAAAGAAAAAAAGAGAGAGAGAGACTCATGTTACTTAGTAACATGAGTTTTGTGATATTCAGGTCACCATATTGCTGTTTTCCAAGGCTATATATTTTTTCAAGGTAGGCTGAAATTTTTAGAAAAAGCAGAAGCAGGAAAGCATTAAAAGGTCTGCAGCTCATCACAAAAGGAATGCTACAGGAAGAAGTGGGTGCCCACTCTGCTTGCTCTTCTTACCTGGTTACCTCACTACAGATGATCTCTAGGGTGGTGACATGTGTGGTCATCTTGGGCAGTCTTTACCTTCTCCCAGGTTTTCTTCATCACAGAAGACACCCTGTGGCCATGGTTAAGCCCACTACCCCTCACAGAGCAGAGTCCATTTTCAGGCTGACCTCAAGAAGGTAGAGGTGGATAGATTTGAAGATGGATTCAATTGCTATTCTTCCTTTGGCCGGAAAAGCCATAAAGCATGGCTGATTTATGGTATGGTTAAGGGTATAATATGTGAGGTCAGGGTACCTTGGCTGGAATGTTGCCCCCCCATTACCCCTTAAGTGATCTTTGCACTCTGAGCCTCAGTTACCTTATCTGTAAAATGAAAATAATAACCAGTAGTGAAAACTAAGTTTTCAAAATATGTGTATGAACTTCTATCCCTGCCTGCTATATAGTAAGTTCTCATGAAATGTTAGTAATGTTTTTGTCATTATCATTATTATAATCAAAGAAACATTCTATTAACAACTCAGGATCCTTCTGGCATTTTTGGGGTCATGGGTTGCCTTACACATCTCACCACAATGTCATTTCCTCATGTTCCAAGCCTCCATCATTCCCACTCATGTAAGCATCTCCTTGGCTACCTTCATCATACATGTAGCATATGTGAATGCTTCTATCTCCAAGCCAGATGCCTCACATGTGAAACCACTTTAGTCTTGTTATAAACTGAGTTGTTTCTCCCTCAAACTCCAATTCATATGTTGATGCCGTAACCCCCAATGTGACTGTGTTTAGAGATAGGGCCTTTAAAGAAGTAATTAAGGTTAAATGAAGTCATTAGAGTGGGCCCTAATCCAATACAACTAAAGTCTTTATAAGAAGAGGAAGAGAAACCAGGGATGCACACGCACATGGAACAGAACCATGTGAGGACACAGCTAGAAGGTGACCATTGGCAAGCCAAGGAGAGAGGCCTCAAGAGCAACCAACCACCTGACACAGCCCCTTGATTTGAGACTTCCAGGCTCCAGAACTGTAAGAAAATAAATTTCTGTTGCTTGAGACACCCTGTTTGTGGCATTTTGTTATAGAAGCCCTAGAAGACTAATATAGGTCCCATCTCAGTAGGGATATAAAAATAAAATTGTCTTTCTTTTCAATCACTGCCTTCAACTCTGCTTTATCAAATCTCTCTTTTTCATCCTTAATTATATCTTGGTTAGATTCCAGAAAATTTCCCATCGCTTTCAGTTAATAACTTTCCATTTCATTCTGAAGCTTCAATCACAAACTTGAGTTAAATCTCTTTGTCCCACTTCCCCTTACTTCGTGGATCAAGAGACCTGAGGTAGGCAGTGGCAAGTTGCCACCTGAACTGACTTTTATTTCAGTCCTTCATCCCAAGCACCTTGAGAAGGAGGGCCTGGTCAGATTCTGGGAGAGTCATCTTCCTCCCTGTTTAATATCTACTCCTATAAATATGTTACCAGTGGAAGGTAGCCAACCAGTGGTGAATCCATATGGATCTGCAGGAACTTCAGTTCTTGCCTTCTTAGAAGAAAGAATTTGATTGAAGGGCATAAGGCAGAAAAAGAGACCGAGGCAAGCTTCAGAACAGGAGTGGAAGTTTATTTAGAAAGGCTTCAGAACAGGAAATTAAGAAAGTTCACCTGAAAGAGACCCAAGTGGGCACCTGAAGGTCAAGTACAGTGTTTAACCTTGATCCTAGGAGTTTATAGGCTGACCTCTTTCCCATGATTCCTCCTTTAGGGTGGGCTGCCTGCATGCACAGTGCCCTCCTTACCCTTGGGAGGTGAGCATCTGCAGTGAGTTTAGGAAGTTGTATGCGTGCTCATCTGAGGCTTTCCTCCCTTTTCTTGTGGTGTGCCCCCGGAAGGTCATGCTCCACAATTTTGTCTCTTAATGCACATGCCCAGGAAGTTGCTTCTCACTGCATTCAATTAACACTTTAGGGCAACAGGTGTGAACCATCATGAATAATCTCTCCCTGATTCTGGCTACCAATTTATTACTTTTAGAGAGGCAATGTGATAATTGCTGAACCATCACCCAACATTCCTAGTGGATGGGGGAGAGCCCTCTCCTACCCCATTTATGCTTGTCTAACTACCTGTAATAGATCTACAGAAGGAGCTGGAGGAGAAGGAGGAAGTGGGGAGGAAGAGGAGAATTAGGGTAATGAAGGTAACCTTTACCTTGGAGAACATCCCAGCTGTCAGTGATGGCCAGCATCTCTGCCTATTCTTCTCACCTAGTTACCTCACTACAGACGACCTCTAGCTTGGTGACATGTGTGATTTTCTTGGGCATCTTTACCTTCTCCCAGCTTCCTTCATCATGAAAGACATCCTTAGAGAGAGGCAGTCACGCCTCACCTTACTCATGAGCTAATATGGTCAATACCACCAGTCTCTTCTCTTGGATATGGACTAGACAAACTCACAGATCCTGCCACTCCCTTAAAATTCCTTGTTTCTTTAAATGGAGTGATAAAAATATCTCAGGTTTTCTTATGCACTTGTAAAATGAGTCAGAAAAGGCCATTGGCAATGTCCTCTTTCCAGGCACATTATAACACTGTCTCCTCTCACTATAGTTTTGGCAAAACTCTAGAAACCTTCCACTGGGATGGGTGCAATTTAGAGTGGAGATCACTTGTAGCTAGATTTGTTTTCCATCTCATAAGCTCATTTGCTGACAGCATTTTTTAGGATGTGGAATAATAGTGGTGCGTTTTCTTTTAACTGGAGGTCACAGTTCACAATACTCATGGCAACAGAAAAAGCACAAATCAATGTCTAATTACATGCATATTTGTGTCACTTAATTCTCTAGGTAACAGTATAAGATAGGAACCATAAATATAGACAGGAAAATAAAGGGCTGTGATGAGCCCAGGTCTGCCTGATGGTACAGCTCGTACTTGTATTCTCTAAGCCATGTTTTCACTGTACTATATTATCAACCCAAATATGGGAGGCCTTTATTCTTTATCTTCATCTTCCCTGGTTTCTAACTCTTTCATTTCCCCTTCAACTACCATTTTGTCTCTTGACTTTCATCCGCCTTCAGCCACTTTCTAATCACTCCCCAAATATTTTCTTTAAAAAAAAAAAAAAAGATTTCCCTTGTAGTATAGTTTGAAGTCAGGTAGCGTGATGCCTCCAGCTTTGTTCTTTTGGCTTAGGATTGACTTGGCGATGCGGGCTCTTTTTTGGTTCCATATGAACTTTAAAGTAGTTTTTTCCAATTCTGTGAAGAAAGTCATTGGTAGCTTGATGGGGATGGCATTGAATCTGTAAATTACCTTGGGCAGTATGGCCATTTTCATGATATTGATTCTTCCTACCCATGAGCATGGAATATTCTTCCATTTCTTTGCATCCTCTTTTATTTCATTGAGCAGTGGTTTGTAGATCTCCTTGAAGAGGTTCTTCACGTCCCTTGTAAGTTAGATTCCTAGGTATTTTATTCTCTTTGAAGCAATTGTGAATGGGAGTTCACTCATGATTTGGCTCTCTGTTTATCTGTTATTGGTGTGTAAGAATGCTTGTGATTTTTGTACATTGATTTTTACCCTGAGACTTTGCTGAAGTTGCTTATCAGCTGAAGGAGATTTTGGGCTGAGACAATGGGGTTTTCTAGATATACAATCATGTCATCTGCAAACAGGGACTATGTGACTTCCTCTTTTCCTAATTGAATACACTTTATTTCCTTCTCCTGCCTAATTGCCCTGTCCAGAATTCCAACACTATGTTGAATAGGAGTGGTGAGAGAGGGCATCCCTGTCTTGTGCCAGTTTTCAAAGGGAATGCTTCCAGTTTTTGCCCATTCAGTATGATATTGGCTGTGGGTTTGTCATAGATAGCTCTCATTATTTTGAGATATGTCCCATCAATACCTAATTTATTGAGAGTTTTTAGCATGAAGTGTTGAATTTTCTCAAAGGCCTTTTCTGCATCTATTGAGATAATCATTTGGTTTTTGTCTTTGGTTCTGTTTATATGCTGGATTACATTTATTGATTTGCATATATTGAACCAGCCTTGCATCCCAGGGATGAAGGCCACTTGATCATGGTGGATAAGCTTTTTGATGTGCTGCTGGGTTCGGTTTGCCAGTATTTTATTGATGATTTTTGCATCAATGTTCATCAAGGATATTGGTCTAAAATTCTCTTTTTTGGTTGTGTCTCTGCCTGGCTTTGGTATCAGGATGATGTTGGCCTCATAAAATGAGTCAGGGAGGATTCCCTCTTTTTCTATTGATTGGAATAATTTCAGAAGGAATGGTACCAGTTCCTCCTTGTACCTCTGGTACAATTCGGCTGTGAATCCATCTGGTCCTGGACTGTTTTTGGTTGGTAAGCTATTGATTATTGACACAATTTCAGTGTCTGTTATTGGTCTATTCAGAGAGTCAACTTCTCCCTGGTTTAGTCTTGTGAGGGTGTATGTGTCAAGGAATTTATCCATTTCTTCTAGACTTTCTAGTTTATTTGCGTAGAGGTGTTTGTAGTATTCTCTGATGGTAGTTTGTATTTCTGTGGGATCGGTGGTGCTATCCCCTTTATCATTTTTTATTGGGTTTATTTGATTCTTCTCTCTTCTTTATTAGTCTTGCTAATGGTCTATCAATTTTGTTGATCTTTTCAAAAAACCAGTTCCTGGATTAATTTTTTGAAGGGTTTTTTGTGTCTCTATTTCGTTCAGTTCTGCTCTGATTTTAGTTATTTCTTGCCTTCTGCTAGCTTTTGAATGTGTTTGCTCTTGCTTTTCTACTTCTTTTAATTGTGATGTTAGGGTGTCAATTTTGGATCTTTCCTGCTTTCTCTTGTGGGTATTTAGTGCTATAAATTTCCCTCTACACACTGCTTTGAATGCGACCCAGAGATTCTGGTATGTTGTGTCTTTGTTCTCTTTGGTTTCAAAGAACATCTTTATTTCTGCCTTCATTTCATTATGTACCCAGTAGTCATTCAGGAGCAGGTTGTTCAATTTCCATGTAGTTGAGCGGTTTTGAGTGAAATTCTTAATCCTGAGTTCTAGTTTGATTGCACTGTGGTCTGAGAGATAGTTTGTTATAATTTCTGATCTTTTACATTTGCTGAGGAGAGCTTTACTTCCAACTATGTGGTCAATTTTGGAATAGGTGTGGTGTGGTGCTGAAAAAAAATGTATATTCTGTTGATTAAGGTGGAGAGTTCTGTAGATGTCTATTAGGTCCACTTGGTGCAGAGCTGAGTTCAATTCCTGGGTATCCTTGTTAACTTTCTGTCTCGTTGATCTGTCTAATGTTGACAGTGGGGTGTTAAAGTCTCCCATTATTAATGTGTGGGAGTCTAAGTCTCTTTGTAGGTCACTCAGGACTTGCTTTATGAATCTGGATGCTCCTGTATTGGGTGCATGTATATTTAGGATAGTTAGCTCTTCTTGTTGAATTGATCCCTTTACCATTATGTAAGGCCTTCTTTGCCTCTTTTGATCTTTATTGGTTTAAAGTCTGTTTTATCAGAGACTAGGATTGCAATCCCTGCCTTTTTTTGTTTTCCATTTGCTTGAGTAGCTCTTCCTCCACCCTTTTATTTTGAGCCAATGTGTGTCTCTGCACATGAGATGGGTTTCCTGAATACAGCACACTGATGGGTCTTGACTCTTTATCCAATTTGCCAGTCTGTGTCTTTTAATTGGGGCATTTAGTCCATTTACATTTAAAGTTAATATTGTTATGTGTGAATTTGATCCTGTCATTATGATGTTAGCTGGTTATTTTGCTCATTAGTGGATGCAGTTTCTTCCTAGCCTCGAAGGTCTTTACAATTTGGCATGATTTTGCAGTGGCTGGTACCGTTTGTTCCTTTCTATGTTTAGTGCTTCCTTCAGGAGCTCTTTCAGGGCAGGCCTGGTGGTGACAAAATCTTTCAGCATTTGCTTGTCTGTAAAGTATTTTATTTCTCCTTCACTTATGAAGCTTAGTTTGGCTGGATATGAAATTCTGGGTTGAAAATTCTTTTCAAGGCTACAGTAACCAAAACAGCATGGTACTGGTACCAAAACAGAGATATAGATCAATGGAACAGAACAGAGCCCTCAGAAATAACACCACACATCTACAACTATCTGATCTTTGACAAACCTGAGAAAAACAAGCAATGGGGAAAGGATTCCCTATTTAATAAATGGTGCTGGGAAAACTGGCTAGCCATATGTAGAAAGCTGAAACTGGATCCCTTCCTTACACCTTATACAAAAATTAATTCAAGATGGATTAAAGATTTAAACATTAGATCTAAAACCATAAAAACCCTAGAAGAAAACCTGGGCATTACCATTCAGGACATAGGCATGGACAAGGACTTCATGTCTAAAACACCAAAAGCAATGGCAACAAAAGCCAAAATTGACAAATGGGATCTAATTAAACTAAAGAGCTTCTGCACAGCAAAAGAAACTACCATCAGAGTGAACAGGCAACCTACAAAATGGGAGAAAATTTTCGCAACCTACTCATCAGACAAAGGGCTAATATCCAGAATCTACAATGAACTCAAACAAATTTACAAGAAAAAAACAAACAAACCCATCAAAAAGTGGGCAAAGGATATGAACAGACACTTCTCAAAATAAGACATTTGTGCAGCCAAAAAACACATGAAAAAGTGCTCACCATCACTGGCCATCAGAGAAATGCAAATCAAAACCACAGTGAGATACCATCTCACACCAGTTAGAATGGCAATCATTAAAAAGTCAGGAAACAACAGGTGCTGGAGAGGATGTGGAGAAATAGGAACACTTTTACACTGTTAGTGGGACTGTAAACTAGTTCAACCATTGTGGAAGTCAGTGTGGTGATTCCTCAGGGATCTAGAACTAGAAATACCATTTGACCCAGCCATCCCATTACTGGGTATATACCCAAAGGACTATAAATCATGCTGCTATAAAGACACATGCACACGTATGTTTATTGCAGCACTATTCACAATAGCAAAGACTTGGAACCAACCTAAATGTCCAACAATGATAGACTGGATTAAGAAAATGTGGCACATATACACCATGGAATACTATGCAGCCATAAAAAATGATGAGTTCATGTCCTTTGTAGGGACATGGATGAAATTGGAAATCATCATTCTCAGCAAACTATCGCAAGGACAAAAAACCAAACACCGCATATTCTCACTCATAGGTGGGAATTGAACAATGAGAACACATGGACACAGGCAGGGGAATATCACACTCTGGGGACTGTTGTGGGGTAGGGGGAGAGGGGAGGGATAGCATTAGGAGATATACCTAATGCTAAATGATGAGTTAATGGGTGCAGCACACCAGCATGGCACATGTATACATATGTAACTAACCTGCACATTGTGCACATGTACCCTAAAACTTAAAGTATAATAATAATAAAATAAAAAAAAGATTTCCCGAAAACTTATATTATTTGACATGTTTTACAATTTCTACATCTGTATAAACTTTATTACTCTTAAAACTCTTCTGAGTTCCTCCCTTGAAGAGCATATGTGCTGCACCATGTTGAACCAAGGAGTGAGAGAAGACTCACTTTGTCAATGAATATAAACAGAATTGATATCTGAGCCTTTAAGAGCCAACTCATGTTTTCAAATGTTTCTCTCTCATCCCCATAGACTGTTAGTGTTCCAGAAAGGAATGTTTAATTGGCCTGTGTGTTGGAAGAAAGAAGATAAAGAGCAAAGCTGTAAGTGACCCACAAGGACATAGGAGAAGAGTTAACCTTTGTTGCTATAAGTCACTGTGGCCTTTGGAGTGGCTTATCACTCCAACACAATTTAGCCAATCCTAATCGATATTCTATCCCTTTATCTTTCTGCCTATTTCTTATTTTCTTTGTCTTATCTCCTCTTCTCTTCATTCAACTTCTTCAAACTAATCTTTTCAGATCTTGCCAAATATTTTTCTCTTACCAAATCCTATAAGCTATCTGATATCTTCTCTTTCCTACTATCTTTTTTATTCTTTCTTCAACTGATTTTATCCTATCTATCCACTATCCAATTGGAGTGAAAGGAAAATAGAGGAAGGGTATAGCCAAGATGTCTTTTAAGAAATCATTGCAGATAGGGACCAAGAAGGCACAATTCAAAAAAAAGATGAAAGGGAAACTGGATGTTCATCTACTGATCACCAAAGCCTTATAATTCAGGGCAGGATAGTAAATGTTTCATTTTTAAATGAATGCTTAGTATGTGCTAGGTACCTTGGTGAAAACTGGTTATAGAAATAAACAAAACATACTTTTGACTACCCAAAAGCAGACATTGACGGGGAAAATAGGTATAATTAGTATTTAATCTAAGTACTATAATATATTAGACACTGAAATATGATAACATTTGTCACACTAAATCTCTTAACCAACACCCTGTGCCACCTTCCTGAGCAGGTGCCATAAGAGAATAAATGAAGTCAAGGAAGGCTTGCACGAACAATGACTGCCTAATTTGAGAACTGGGGGGAAAATGAGAGATTGGGTGAAATATTATTCCAGGCAAGGATACTCACCTGGACAAAATGCTCATAGGCAAGGGAAATAACTTAACAGTTTTCTGTGGTGTTTTGCAATCTTCAAAGAAAGGAAATGAACAAAAGTCCCAGATCTTAGGAAGTTATCAGAAGAGGCATAATGCAAGCACCCGAAAAGGAATAAAATCATTGACCAAGAATGAGGACAAAACATTTCACATGTTTTTAGTTCACTGTCAACAAAGAAACAGTAACAGATACACCAAACATGTCATTTACACTTTTAGGATCAGAAGTTTGAGTATACAGCCTGCAAAGATATTTAGCTTGTCTCACACCATGCTTCAAAAACCGAATCATATTAGTTGCCAACACTAAAAAAGTGAAAGATGTTGTACTGAAAAAAATTAGATTTCTGGCTTCCCTTTCAACAGTCCAATATCTCCCTTCGGCTAAATACTGGTTGTCCCATAAGATGGGTCATAACTCTCCAGTTAACCACTGTTCCACTACCTTCTTTAGTTACTATAATTTTCTTGCACCTTGCCTGCTTCACTCATTTAATTTCTTGGTCCTGCATGTATTTAGTATTAAAACCCCTAATAAAGATTATCAACTCATTGATTTTTCAATTATATAAAAACAAAGCAAAACAAAATTTCAACATGTATGCCACTGGAATAACACTGCGTGAAGTAACAACTTCACTTCATACATGTGTGTAACTAGTAAATATCTGCCAACTCTCCATGCCAATATTGTAGGTATCAAGCTTTCTGTTGTATGGTGCTATTAACTCTGCCTGGAATATGAGCAAGTACAAGCCAAAAAATACTATCTGAGAGCTCCTGGATTTCAAAATGACTTGTTAAGCCTCACTGAGTGTAAAGATGGATCACAATGATATGCCGCTGGGAGAATACTGTTCTCCACTTGTGGATGGTCAGATAAAATTCAGAAATTGTTGCTCTGATCACTGAATAAAAACATTGCCATCATGCACTTTCCAGCAAATGTACCTTGACTTGTTAATTGCTCAGCCGTTCATTATGAATAATTGAAGACTTGAATACATGCTTACTGTGTAATCCAATTCTACAATTACCTTTCAGGATAATGTTAACAAGGACACTTCTCATGAGAAAACACATTAATGCACTACTCTGTGTTAAAAATAAAAGCACAGGTTCCTGTAAGTGGAAAGAAGAAAGCTGTATTGGATCCAGAGAATATACCAAAATAATTTTAACAGGGAGTATGACAGGGATAGATAGAAGGGAAGAAAAATATTTATTGTGAGCACACTATATGCCACAGATTATGTTGAATGTTCCACATAAATTTATTTTCTATAAACTGTCAATTAAGCATTATTCGTAGGTTAGAAAGAAAGGACTCAGGCTTGGGGTGGGGATTAATTAATCAAAGTAATTGAACTAAGTTTCTATGGCATGTTAGCAATAAATACCTAAATAAATAGAGGGAAAAATAAACAATAAATACCTAAATAAATAGAGGTCTATTCTGTACTTAGGAATAAAGGTAGGAACAGTGGAAATTTTATGAAGAAGAAGGCAGTGGCTGGAAAAATCTTTGTGTGTGTGTATGTGTGTGTGTGTTTGTGTATATATATATATATGTATATATATATATGTGTATATATATATGTATATATATATGTGTATATATATATGTGTATATATATATGTGTATATATATATGTATATATATATATGTGTATATATATGTGTATATATATATGTGTGTATATATATATATATATATATATATATACGTATATATATATATACTACAGGATATATACACACCCACTACTTTGCCTTCTTCAAACTACTTGCAGGTAAATATTTCATTTTGATTTGGGTAGTCACAATAACTCTGGTTATAAAAGGTACTACTCCACTAATTTTACACTAAAAAAACTATATGCAAAAGAGTTATTAATTTTGTCATACAATAGGTGCTTAATAATTAATAGCTATTGATATGGTTGCCTCTGAACTTTACTCATAATATTGACATTGTCAGAGAAGAGTGAGTATGATTTGGGCTACTGGATACATAAATCCAAGTAGTAAAACATTCTAACATTTCAAGATTCGACTATATCATAAGAAGAGCTAAAAGATTACGTATCTCTCAGTCATAAACAGTTACTGAGGAGGGAGGCAGAGCAAGATGATCAAATAGAAGCCTCCAGTGATTGTCCTCCCTGCAGGAACATCAAATTGATCAACTACCTACACACATAAAAAGCACATTCATAAGAACCAAAATCAGGTGAGAAGGTGGACAAGACAGTTGAATAGAAGTCTTCATCAATCATTTCCCCCACACCCCCATAGGGACACCAAATTTAACAACTATCTACACAAGAAAAGCACCTTCATAAGAACCAAAAATGAGGTAAGCAATCACAGCAATTAGTTTTAACTTTTAATTGTTGAAAGAGACACTGAAGATGGTAGAAAAAACAGGCTTGAATCACCAATGCCACCCCTGCTTTATTTCCTGGCAGTGGCCTCCTGGCGTGAAGAATGAATCTGTGCACTTGATGGAGGGAGAGCACAGTGACTGTGGGACTTTGCTTTGGAACTGAGTGCTGCCCTGTCACAGCAGAAAGCATTGCCAGGAAGAAATTAGCCAGTACCCATGGACAGAGCATTTAGATTAGCGCTAGACAGAGGCAAATTGTCCGCCCCAGCAGTCAGAACCTGAGTTATGGCAAGCCTCAACACTGGAAGGTAAAGTGCCCTGGGGTCCTATATAAATTTGAAAGGCAGTCTAGGCAGGTTCTGGTGCCATGCTGAGCTCAGAGCCAGTGGACATGGCTTACATATGACCTACTGAAACACCAGCTGAGGTGGCCAAGGGCGTGCAACCTCCCACAACACTAGGCACCAGGAGAGACTCCTTCCCTCTGCTTGAGGATAGGGGAGGGAAGAGTAAAGAAGACTTTGCCTTGCAACATGGATACCAGCTCAACTACAGTAGAATAGGACACTGGGGAGAGTCCTGATGCCCCCCTTCCAGGCCCTAGATCCCAAATGACATTTCTATACACACCTTAAGCATAAAGGAATTCATCACCTTGAAGAGAAGGACTCAGTTCTGGCAGGATTCATCACCTGCTGACTAAAGAGCCATTGGGTCCTGAATGATCAGCACCAATACCCAGGCAGTACTCACCATGGACCTTGGCGAGGCTCTGAGATATGCTCGCTTCAGGTGTAACCCAGCACATTACCAGCTGTAGTTGCTATGGGGAAAGCCTCCTTCTGCTTGAGAACAGAAGAGGAAAGATGAATTTGTCCTGCAGCTTAGATGCCAGCTCAGCCACAGTTGGGAAGAGCACAAAGTGGGCTCTTAGGATCCCCGATTCCAGGCCTTAGCTCTTGAATGGCATTTCTGGACCTATCCTGGGCAAGAAGAGAGCCCACTTTCCTGAAGGTTGAGTCCCAGGCCAGGCAGCATTCACCACAAGCTGACTGAAGAGCCGTTGAGCCTTGCATGAGCATTGATGGTAGCCAGACAGTTTTATGCAGGGCCTGGGGCAGTGGTGGCCACAAAGAAATGCTCCTATGATTGTAAAAATGGGAAGGAAGAATGGGAAAGACTTCTCTTGTGTCTTGGGTGCCAGATCAGCTCAAGTAGGAGGAAGCATCAGGTAGATTGCTAAGGTTTCCAACTCTAGGTCCCAGTTCCCAGATGGCATCTCTGGATCTACCTGGGAAAGGGGGAACTTGCCACCTGAAGGGAAGGAAACAAGGCTGGCTGGCTTTGTCATTTGATAATTGCAGAGCCCTAGGCCTTGAAAAAACATAGGCAGTAGTGAGGCAGTGGTAACTGTAGGACTTGGGAAAGACACAGTACCACACTGGCTTCAAGTCTGACCCAGCACAGTCCCAGTGGTGGTGGCCACGGGGATTATTGTGCCACCTGACCCACAGCTCCAGGCAGCTCAATATAGACTCCTTTTGTTTGGCAAAATTTAAGGAAGATAATAAGAGTCTCTGCTTTGTAATTAAGAGAATTCTTCTGAATCTTATCCAAGATCACCAAGACGGTACCTCTGTAAGTCTCCAAGAACCATCACGTTACTGGGCTTGGGTGCCCCCTAATGCAGATATGGCTGTAATAAAACCAAAACTTGGATTACAACACCCAAGTCCCTTCAAATACGTGAAAAGCCTTCCCAAGATGGATAAGTACAAACAAGCCCAGACTGTGAAGATTATAATAAATGCTTAATTCTTCAATGCCCAGACACCAATGAACATTCTCAAGTATAGAGACCATCCAAAAAAGATGGTCTCAACAAATAACTAAATAGGGTACAAGGGACCAATTCTGGAGAGACAGAGATATGTAATCTTTCACACAGCGAATTGAAAATAGCAGTTTTAAAGAACCTCTATGAAATTCAAGATAACAAAGAGAAGGAATTCAGAATTCTATCAGATAAATTTAACAAAGAAATTGAAATAATTACAAAGAATCAAGCAGAAATTCTGGACTTGAAAACTGCAATTGACATACTGAAGAATGTACCAAAGTATCTTAGTTAGAGAATTGATCAAGCAGAAGAATTAGTGTTCTTGAAGACAGGCTATTTAAAAATACTCAGCAAAGAAAAAAAATGACCTGTAATATGTCAAAATAGCCTCAAAAGGGCAAATATAAGAGTTATTGGTAATAAAGACAGGATACAGAGAGAGATGGGGTAGAAAGTTTATTCAAAGAAATAATAACAGAGAACTTCTCAAACCTAGAGAAAGATGTCAATATTCACATACAAGAAAGTTATAGAACACCAAGCAGATTTAAACCAAATAAGACTACCTCAAGATATTTAATAATCAGACTCCCAAAGGTCAAGGATAGATAAAGGATCCTAAAAGCAGCAAGATAATAGAAATAAATGACACAAAATAGAGCTCCAATGCATCTGGCAGCAGACTTTTTAGTGGAAACCTTGCAGGCCAGGAGAGAGAGGCATGACATATTTAAAGTGTCTAAGGAAAAAAAAAACTTTTACCCTAGAATAGCATATGCAGGAAAAATATCCTTCAAACATGAAGGAGAAATAAAAGTTCTCCAAGCAAACAAAAGCAGAAGGATTCCATCAACACCAGGCCAGTTCTATAAGAACTGAAAGAAAACTGAAAGAAAAGAACATTAATGAGCAATAAAAAATCATCTGAAGGTACAAAACTCATTGGTAATAGTAAGTACACAGAAAAAAAACACATATTGTATCACTGTAATTGTGGTGTGTAAAATACTGATATCTTTAGTACAAAGAAAAAAGATGAACTGATCAAAATGACAATGACTTTTCAATGCATAGGCAGTACAATAAGATATAAATATAACAAGAAAAAATTAAAAGCAGGAAGATAAAATTAAAGTGTAGAGTTTTTAATAGTTTTTTCTTTGCTTGCTTGCTGCTTTGTTTATGCAATATGGTCATCAGTTTGAACTAATGGCTTAAAAGATATTATCTGCAAGCCTCATAGTAATCTCAAATAAAAATACATACAAAAGATACACAAAAAAATTAAAAGCAAGAGATTAAAACTTATCACCAGAGGATAAGTTTTCTCTAAAAGGAAGAAAGGAAGGAAATATAGAAGAAAGGGAAGATGACCAAACAACCAGCAAACAAATAATAAAATGGCAGGAGTAAGTTCTTACTTATCAAAAATAGCATTAAATGTAAATGGACTAAACACTCCAATCAAAAACATAGAGTGGATAAATGGATTTTTAAAAAAGACCCAATGATCTGTTGCCTACAAGAAACATGATTCACCTATAAAGACACATATGGACTAAAAATAAAAGAATGGAAAAATATATTCTATGGGGATAGAAACCAAAAATGAGAACAAATTGCTATATTCATATCATAAAAATAGATTTCAAGACAAAAACTAAAAAGAAACAAGTCATTATTTAATAATAAAGGGATAAATTCAGCAAAAGAATATAGCAATTGTAAATATATGCACTCAATACTGAAGCATCCAAATATATGAAGCAAATATTATTAGAGATAAAGAGATAGAAAGAACACAATACAATACCTGGAAACTTCAGTGCCCCACTTTCAGTATTGGACATGTCATCCAGATTAAAAAATCAATAAAGAAACATGAGAATTAATCTGCAGTATATATAGATTAATGACCCTAATAGATATTTACAGAAAATTTCATTTCATCTAATGGCTGCAGAATAAACATTCTTCTCATCAGCACAGGGATTATTCTCAAGAATAGACCATATGTTATGCCACAAAACAAATCTTTAAAAAATAAAAAAAGAAACTATATCAAGTTTCTGTATCAACTAAAAATCAATAACATGAGGAATTTAAAAAACTATGCAAATGCATGGAACTAAAGCAATATGCTCTCGAATGACCAATGGGTCAGTGAAGAAATTAGGAAGGAAATTAACAAATTTCTTGAAACAAATAATGATGGAAACACAACACACCAAAACCTATGGGGTACAGCAAAATAAGCACTCAAAGGAAAGTTAATAGCTATAGGTGCCTACATCAAAAAAGTAGAAAAACTTCAAACAAGCAACCTAACATTGCATCTTAAAGATCTAGAAAAGCAAGAGCAAACCAAACCTAGTTAGTAGAAAAAAATAAATAATAAAGATCAGAGGAGAAATAAATGAAATGGAAATAAAAGAATACAAGAGATCAATGAATCACGTTTGTTTTTTGAAAAGATAAGCAAAACTGACAAACCATTAGTCAGACTAATTAATACAAAAAGAGAGAAGACCCAAGTAAATAAAATCAGAGATGAAAAATGAGACATTACAACCAATACTGCTGAAATTCAAAGGATCATTACAGGCTACTATAAGTGACAATATGCCAATAAATTGAAAAACCTAGAAGAAATGAATACATTTCTAGACACATTAAACCTACCAATATTGAACCATGAAGAAATTAAATCCCTGAAAAGACCAATAATAAGCAATGAGGTCGAAGCCATATATAAACTTAGCTAAGCAAAAAGCCTGGGACCTGATGGCTTCATTACTGAATTCTACGAAACATTTAAAGAACTAATACCAATCCTACTCAAACAGCTCCAAAAAACAGTTCCAAACTCATTCTATGAGGCAAATATTACCCTTATACCAAAACCAAAGATACATGGAAACAAGAAAACTACAGGCGAATTTATCTGATGAACATTGATGCAATAATCCTCAATGAAATACTAGCAAACTGAATTCAACAACTCATTAAAAAGATCATTTGGCCAGGCGCGGTGGCTCATGCCTGTAATCCCAGCACTTTGGGAGGCTGAGGTGGGCAGATCACGAGGTCAGGAGATGGAGACCATCCTGGCTAACACAGTGAAACACCGTCTCTACTAAAAATACAAAATATTAGCCGGGCCTGGTGGCAGGCGCCTGTAGTCCCAGCTACATGGAAGGCTGAGGCAGGAGAATGGCATGAACCCAGGAGGCGGAGCTTGCAGTGAGCCAAGATAGCACCACTGCACTCCAGCCTGGGTGACAGAGCGAGACTCCGTCTCAAAAAAAAAAAAAAAAAAAAAAAATCATTCATCATGATGAAGTGGGACTTAACCCTGGGATGCAAGAATTGTTCAACATATACAAATCAATCAATGACACATCATATCAACAGAATGAAGGACGAAAATTATCTGATCACTTCAACTGGTGTCAAAAAAGCATTTGACAAAATTCAACATCCCTTCATGATAAAAACTGTCAAAAACTAGGTATAGAAAGAACATACCTCAACACAACAAATCTATATATGACAGACCTACAGCTACTGTCATACCGAATTGGGGAAAACTGAAAACCTTTCTTCTAAGATCTGGAACAAGACAAAGATGCTCACTTTCACCACTGTTATTCAACATAGTACTGGAAGTACTAGCTAGAACAACCAGACAAGAGATAGAAATAAAGGCCATCAAAATTGGAAAGGAAGAAGTCAAATTATCCTTGTTTGCAGATGATATAATCTTATATTTGGAAAAACCTAAAGACTCCATCAAAAAACCGCTAGAATTGAAAAACAAATTCAGTAAATTTGTAGGAAACAAAATCAATACACAAAAATTATTAGCATCTCTATATGCGAACAGCCAGCAATCTGACAACAAAATCAAGAAAGTAATCCCATTTACAATAGCTACAAGTAAAATAAAATACTTCAAAATTAACCAAAGAAGTGAAAGATCTCTACAATGAGAAGTATAAGACAGTGATGCAATAAATTGAAGGGGACACAGAAAACGGAAAGAAATTCCATGTTCATGGATTGGAAGAATCAGTATTGTTAAAATGTCCATACTATCTAAAGCAATCTATAGATTCTGTGCAATCCCTATCATCATACCAAAGGCATTCTTCACCAAAATAGAATATGCAATCTTAAAATTTATATGGAACCACAAAAGCCCCAGAATAGCCAAAACTATCCTGAGCAAAAATAACAAAACTGAATGAATCACATTGCCTGACTTCAAATGTGCTACAAAGCTATAGTAACCAAAACAACTTGGTACTGGCATAAAAACAGAACATAAACCAATGGAACAGAATAGAGAACTCCAGAAGAAAATTTATACACCTACAGTGAGCTCGTCTTTGACCAAGGTGCCAAGAACACGCATTAAGGAAAAAAACAGTCTTTTCAATAAATGCTGCTGGGAAAACTGCAGCATATGCAGTTTTCTTCTTTATATGCAGAAGATTGAAACTAGACCCCTGTCTCTCACCATATATAAAAATCAAATCAAAATAGATCAAAGACTTAGATCTAAGACATCAAACTATGAAACTATTAGAAGAAAACATTTGGGAATCTCTCTAGGACTTTGAACTGGGACAAGATTTCTTGAATAATACCCCACAAACATAGGCAACCAAAGCAAAACTGGACAAACAGGATCACATCAAGTTAAAATGCTTCTGCACAACAAAGGTACAATCAACAGAGTGAAGAGACAACCCACAGAATGGCACAAAATATTTGCAAACTACCCATTGGACTAGGGATTAATAACCAGAATATATAATGAGCTCAAACAACTCTATAGGAAAAAAAATCTAATAATCCAATTTTAAAATGGGCAAAACATCTAAATAGACAATTCTCAAAGGAAGACATGCAAATAGCAAACAGGTATATGAAAAGGTGCTTAACATCATTGATCATCAGAGAAGTGCAAATTATAACTATAATGAGATCTCATCTCACCGCAGTTAAAATGGCTTATATCCAAAAGACAGGCAATAACAAATACTGGTGAGGATGTGGAGAAAAGGGAACCGACATACACTGCTAATAGAAACATAAATTAGTACAACCATTAAGGACAACAGTTCACAGGCTCCTTGAAAAACTAAAAATAAAGCTACCATATTATCCAGGAATCCCACTGCTAGGTATATACTCAAAAAAAAAAAAAAGGAAATCAGTATATTGAAGAGATATCTGCATTCCCATGTTCATTGCAGCACTATTCACTATAGCCAAGATTTGGAAGCAGAAGAATGGATAAAGGCGACATGGTACATATACACAATGGGGTACTATTCAGACATAAAAAAGGATGAGATTTTGTCATTTGCTACAACATAAGTTGAACTGGAGGTCATTATGTTAAGTGAAATAAGCCAGGCACAGAAAGACAAAGTTTGCATGTTCTCACTTATTTGTGGGAGATATTAAAACAATCGAACACATGGAGATACAGAATAGAATGGTAGTTACCAGAGGCTACGATGGGTAGCGTCAGGGAAAAGGGAGGATGGTTAATGGTTTCAAAAATATAGTTGGATAGAATGAGTAAGATTGAATATTTGGTAGCACAACAGGGTCATACAGTCAAAAACAATTTATTGTACACTTAAACGAAACTAAAAGTATAATTTGATTGTTTGTAACACAAAGAAAGGATAAATGCTTGAGGTGATGGATACCCCATTTACCCTGATGTAATTATTATACATTGTAAGCCTGTACCAAAATATATCAGGTATCCCATAAATATATACACCTACTATGTACCCACATAAAAACAAAATTAAAAAAAAAAAAAAACAGTTACTGTCCTCACTCCGGACCAGTACTACACTAGGTGCTGAGAATGGAATGATAAATACAGTCCCATATATGTTCATGAGAGGCTCATAGTCTAGTTGAGATGTGAATGAGGAAACAGATGATCCTGATTAATAGAAAATGTGCATAAGAAATGTAAAACCACAGCGTGGGAGCCACTTACAAAGTCTGCAAGGAGCAAACCATTCTTGCCTGAGCATTTGAGGCTTGAGCTGAATAAAGGTTATCAGTTTAAAAGAGTGATGTGGCCGGACGCGGTAGCTCACGCCTGTAACCCAGCACTTTGGGAGGCCGAGGCGGGTGGATCACCTGAGGTCAGGGGTTCAAGACCAGCTTCAACATGGAGAAACCCCGTCTCTAGTAAAAATACCAAAAATTATCCGGACATGGTGGTGCATGCCTGTAATCCCAGCTACTCGGGAGGCTGAGGCAGAAGAATTGCTTGAACCTGGGAGGCGGAGGTTGTGGTGAGCCGAGATCATGCCATTGCACTCCAGCCTGGGCAACAACAGCAAAACTCCGTCTTAATAAAAAAAAAAAAAAAAAGTGATGTAACATTCCACTGTATATCCTTTCTTTGGCTCCTTGAAGTTAGGAACCTGCTGCACTGGAGAGTCTGAGGTGCTTGTGGATTGCTGGTCACAATGCTACAATGGGTGGTGCCAACTGAAGTATTTCATAGGGTGATGAAGGCAGTGGGATCTGTCCTTGTTCCCATGTGTCAGCAGCAGCACATGGGTTCATGCTCCTCAGCTCGAGTGGAGTGTTAGCAGGTACTAGCCTCCATCTGGGCGTTTGCATCAGTGGTGGTCGCAGCATGGCATGGGGAAGACTGGGGGCATGCATTCATCCTGGTGGTGGTGTTAGGCTAGGTGTTAGGCAGTTGTGGGCACAGGACTGTGTGTGTCCCCTGTGCATGTTCATGGGGGCAGTGGTGGCTCCTCAAGGCAGGGATGGGTCCTCTGTTCTCCATGCTTAGTTCCACGGTGGCAGCAGTGATAGCACAGAGGCAAGATGCTGATGGGGGTGGGGTCAGTGGGCTCTATGTCAGCCATTGCTCCAACGGTAATGGCTGTGTCGTGGTGTGGTGGTGTGGTGGTGTGGGGGTGGGGAGCAGGGTGTATTCATACCAGCAGCAGTGGCATGACAGGGTGCACACACAGATACGTGCTAGATGGGAAGGAGAGGCAAGGTCTGCCCATGCACGCACATTCCTGCAGAACAATGTCGGGGGTAGTCATGGGTAAGGGCATGCAGGCAAAGTGGCATGGGGAGTCTGCATTGGGGGGGAGGGTGTGAGTGGGCTGCTGTGTGTCCATGAAGATTGCTTTGCTGGAACTCTCTGCAGTCAGGTGTGTTCCACCAGTGCAGGACCTATGATGTTGGTCCCTAGGAGGTGCCACTCATGGGCACCCAAGGCTGCACCAGAAGCATGTGTGTGGCTGGGCTGGGGTCCTGGGAGAAGCCAGTAGACCAAGGAGGGCTCAGGTCATATTGGCCCTGTCTCATGGGAACGATGGCTCTGCAGAGTTCAGGTTCAACAGTTCCTCTAGGGCTATCTTCTATGGGAGCAAGTAGAGCCTAGGGGGATGTGCAGCCCTGGTCATGCTCCACTACAGATGCTTCTGCCCCAAACCCTCTGGGCTCCACGCTGGCTGGAGTTCCATCCCTAGCCCTTCTCTAAGCAGCTCTGCCTGCCAACTCAAGTGTCTGTGGCAGTAGTGCGGTCTCCTCCTGCTAGGATTCCAGAGATCTGTGGTGAGAGCAGGTTGCTTGTTGCCAGTTCAATTCACCCATTCCACAGGAGTCCTTGGGGACCAGTAAGGAGTACTGGTGTGTAGTAGTGCCATACAGGATGAAGTTCCCAGCTTTGTCCCCCTTCGGCCCAGCACTCATGTTTTCCCCATCTTCCAAAGTTTTACTCAAACATTCCTCCCTCTGATAAGCCTTTGATGATGCCTGACTCCACTCCGTAAGACTGAACTTATTGTGCCTTTTCTGCTGTACTCCATAGTATTTTGCTCCAGCTTTTCTTAGATCACTCATAGTCTTTCACTTTTGTCTCCTTGGTATTTCAAGAGAATGTGAGGTGAAATAGAGGGAGCAAAGACTTCATTAAAATATAATTTGGGTCAGAATACAGTCCCCAGACTGGGCAGGGAGGCTCACACCTGTAACCCCAGCACTTTGGGAGGCTGAGGCAGGAGGATCGCTTGAGTACAGGAGTTCAAGACCAACCCGGGCAATATAGTGAGACCCCACATCTACCAAAAAAATGAGCAAAATTAGCCAGGCATGGTGGTGCATACCTATAGTCCCAGCTACATAGGAGGCTGAGGTGGGAAAATCACTTGAGCCTGGGGAGTTGAGGCTGCACTGAGCCAAGATCACACCACTGCACACCAGCCTAGGCTACAGAGTGGGATTCTGTCTCAAAAAGAAGAAAAAAAAAAAGAATACAGTCTCCTTTTCTTATCATATGGAATATCTGAGACAATTTCATGAATTAACTCTTACTCATATGTTTCATCCATTTTGTTAAGCACTTTACATTATCTGATTTTGTTCTCAGCACATCTTACCCTTGCATTTCATACTATTGCTATCTCCATTTATCAAATATGTAAGGTGAAGCTTAAGTAAATTTTCCAAATTGCTCTCATTAATGGCAGACTAGTTTCAAATGATTGTCTACAAAACACATTTGATGAAAATGTACCTACTAATGCTACTCAATTCACTTAATTACTTGGCATATCAGTATCTGTAAATTAAGGCTGATAATATTTATACTGTAGAGCTCTGATAGAGCAATGTAGGCTATAAACATATGGTATAGTTCAGCACTCTGTGCCTAGGAGGGGATAGTTCAACTCCACTCCATTCCAGCAGCCTTACTATTCCTCCTATTCCTCTAGGATAGCAAGCTCGATTCTTCCTTTGTAATTTTTGTTTCTTCTGAGTGCAATACTCTACCACTAACTCTTTCAGGCCGGGCCTCTATGAGTGAGCCATATCTCAGAAAACCTGCCATCTCATTATATAAGATCTTTTCAGATGACTGTAAGACAGAAGCCCATTTCCATGACTTTCTACGCACTTCAAAAAAATTCTTACTTGTTTTTTTCAACTCTTTTCACTGTGGTTATATATTTATTTGGTTATTCAGTTATGTATTTACTTGTTTGTTTATTATTTAGTATTAGTCAAGTAATTTATTTTTATTTTACCCACCTTCTTTATCTCATAGATTATTTTACTTTTATTATAATGATTATCCTAGAGACTAAAACACAAGTGCTTTATTATAATAAAATATAAATTAATAATTTTACTACTTTCCTGACAACACAAGGATCTTAAAAGAGTTCAATTAGCTTATGTCTTTCTCATTTTGGTTCCAGTTATTTAAATCTACAAATGATTAAAATTCCACATGATATTATTATTTTATTGTGCAGTTAATTTTCATCTATGTTTAACCATGTATTTACCATTTTCCTTGACTCTTTAATCTTGCAGAAAATACACCTCATTTGATGTAGAGAAGACAAGTATAAATCAGCAGTTAAATATATAAAAGGAAGCTAAACAGAGAACAAATTAATATTTATCAACTCCCTGCTACATATAAAAATATATAGTTATAAATATATACAGTGTGTCTTTGTATATGGTATTAGCATCATCAGAGAAAAAAGTATAGCAAACAGCTAGCATTCAGTCCTAGAACTTTCTGATTTCAAACTCTGTACACTTTGATACCCAGCACTGCAACTAGATTTCTCATATAATTTATTTTTAACAGTTGTTGGCTTTTTATAAAATGCTGCCTGTATGGAGGTGGAGGGAGTTAAGTGTTTCTTAGAATAGGGAGCCTTTTATTCTTGGAATCCTTTCTGACTGTTTATATTTTTCAGCACGTCTTAAAGGCCATCAAAATCATCACTTTAGTTATGCATCAATGATCATTTCATTAGATGAAGAGTTCTTTTTAAGGGAGAGATCACTGGATCACTGTAGTATTCTGAAGTTGCAGGCTTTCCATCCAATATCAGAAACTCTGAAGGTAGGTTAGTTGCAGCAAAGGATTGAGGATATATACAATATGACAAAAAACTGAAGAGGTTCTGAAGCATATTTTTTTCACAAGTGAAAAAAAAAAGATTGGCCTTCATTGGAAAATGATTCAGATTCAAGCTCAGCTAACTTACAGTGATTGTCTCTCATAGTAGTGTAACTTGAAGTATTGAGTCTACTTTCACCTGAAGAATCACATGCTTCCATTATACCAATGATACTTCATGCCCACTCCTGGGATTGAATGAGCTGAGATTATTTCTCTGTACCACATTCAGTCGTGCCGCTGGATTCTTTTCTTTGATGCTGTAACTTCAGAACCACTGTGTCCCGTACATAAGTGCTGCCACTTCCACTCGGATCTCATTAGCAGGGCAATATGAGGAAGCCCAAACATCCCTTTAGAGTTTAACTACCAATACCAAATCATCTGCATCAGATTTTATTGAAATTTAGACCCCAAATATGGGAAAGAAAAACAAAGGGGTTTAAATAAAATCTTGAAAAAATGTGCAAAATATTCTGAGTACTAATAATCTTCTCTTGAATTACCTCAGCCCCTAAATTTACTCTTTGGGGACTTCCTCTTCTCCTCCTCCTAGAGAAAGAGCTCTTCATTCATCCCTACAGTTTAAATCTACGTGAATGTTAATAAACACATGCACACACAAACATGCCCAAACACACACAAGGGACTGACATTACCCCACATACTATCTCTCTCTTAGCCATAAAGCAATTTGTAGGTCACAGTACCCTGGCTGCACATTTTCCAATGTCAGAATTATAGAGTCTAGCTTCCCAGTTGGAGGAGATCAGGAGTATAGTACCAGAGACAATTTGATGCTTCAGGTCCAGCAGAAGAGTCCAAAGTGGGCTTTGACACTCCAAATTAAAGGTGTCCTCTAAGAATTCTTAGCTTGTATGAGGTAAAAGTACGTGCCTTCATTCTCATGGAAAAGATCTGATAAGGCCAGTGAGTAATTAATATTCACAGCTTTCAGGAACAACCAGAATATTTCAGACTAGTAAATTCCAAGTCTGTTTTAATAAAAAAGTATTTTGCCTAATGGAAATACAATGGAATGGAATGTAGTCTGAAAATATTTCCCATGTTCTCAATAGAGATAAAATTGTTATGTGTAAGAGGAGCAAGAAAGAAGAGAAAGGAAAACAAAGTGGAAGAGACAAATAAAGGGGAGGATTCAGACACTAATGTATGAACTGATATAATAAAATTGAGAGAAGGGAGGCAGAGGGAACTAACTTTTATTAAGCAGTTACTATGTGCTCAGACCAGATGTGTTTATCAATATTTAATAACAGGTTTAGTATTCATTACAATCCTTTGTAGAAAGTAGTATAATTCTCATTTTATGTTAAAAGTTGTACTATGCATTTTGTGTGTGTATTTTGAGATCAGTTTTGATAATAAATTATACTCCTGTGGATTGCTTGTTTTCAGGGTGTGACCACCTAGTATATTCAGCATTTTGTAGATTTGGTTTGTTGAATTACCGTTGTTTATAAATCTTTAACTCCTATAATTCAAGAATCTTCAGAAAATAGAATCTAGATCTGATAAGTACAGTACCTCATTAAGATGTAAAATATACATTCTCTGAAAGAAAGTAAAGAATTCTAATAACATTGTTGTCCCATAACATCATTAAAGGTGTTGCTTTTTTTTTTTTTTTTTTTTTTTTTTGAGACAGAGTCTCGCTCTTGTCGCCCAGGCTGGAGTGCAATGGTGCAATCTCGGCTCACTGCAACTTCCGCCTCCCAGGTTCAAGCTCTTCTCCTGCCTCAGCCTCCTGAGTAGCTGGGATGACAGGCACGCACCACCACACCTGGCTAATTTTTGCATTTTTAGTAGAGATGGGGTTTCGCCATGTTGGACAGGCTGGTCTCAATCTCCTGACCTCAGGTGATCCGCTCACCTTGGCCTCCCAAATTGCTGGGATTATAGGCGTGAACCACTGTGCCTGGCCAAGGCATTGCTATTATTATTTTCAGGAAATGTTTGCATTTCAGCTAACAGTTCCACTAGGAGATGCTGATCCTCTTTGAAAAGAGAAATTCAGAAAATATTTACCATTTGTTACAGGGTGACTACTCTACAGAGATGCCAATCCCTCATCTGCTCCTTTTATTATTACTATTATTTAATGTAACTTAATTTTTTTAAAAAAAGATTATTTCCATAGGTTTTTGGGAACAGGTGGTATTTGGTTACCTCAGTAAGTTCTTTAGTAGTGATTTGTGAGATTGTGGTGTACCCATCATCCAACCAGTATACAACAAACCCAATTTGTAGTCTTTTATCCCTCATCCCCCTCCTACCCTTTGCCCCTGAGTCCCCAAAGTCCACTGTGTCATTCTTATGCCTTGTACCTCATAGCTTAGCTCCCACTTATGAATGAGAACATACGATGTTTGGTTTTCCATTCCTTAGTTACTTCTCTTAGAATAGTAGTCTCCAATCCCATCCACGTTGCTGCAAATGCCACTAATTTATTCCTTTTTATGGCTCAGTAATATTCCAACATTATATATATATATATATGCATGTGCAAGTATATATAACATATATATATATATACATATACACACACACACATGCATGTGCAAGTATCTTTTATGTATAATTACTTCTTTTTTTTCTGGGCAGATACCCAGTAGTGGAACTGCTGGATCAAATGGTAGTTCTACTTTTAGTTACTTAAGGAATCTCCACACTGTTTTCTGTAGTGGTTGTACTAGTTTACAGTCCCACCAGCAGTGTCGAAGTGTCCCCTTTTCACCACATCCAGGCCAACATCTCTTATTTTTCAATTTTTTGATTACTGCCATTCTTACAAGAGTAAGGTGGTATCACATTGTGGTTTTGATTTGCATTTCCCTGATCATTAGTGATTCTGAGCATTTTTTAATGTTTGTTGGCCATTTGTATTATCTTCTTTTGAGAATTGTCTATTCATGCCCTTAGCCCACTTTTTTGATGGGAAATATGTGTTTTTTTCTTGTCAATTGGTCTGAGTTCGTTGTAGATTCTGGATGTTAGTCCTTTGTCAGATGTATAGATTGTGAAGATTTTCTCCAACTCTGTGGGTTGTCTTTTACTCTGCTGACTGTTCCTTTTGCCATGCAATAGCTCTTTAATTTAATTAAGTCCAGGCTATTTTTCTTTATTTTTATTGCATTTGCTTTTTGGTTCTTGGTCATGAAATCATTGCCTAAGCCAATGTCTAGAAGGATTTTTCCTGATGTTATCTTCTAGAATTTTATAGCTTCAGGTCTTAGATTTAAGTCCTTGTTCCATTTTGAGTTGATTTTTGTATAAGGTAAGAGATGAGGATCCAGTTTCATTATCCTACATGTGGCCTGCCAATTATTCAAGCACAATTTGTTGAATTGGGTGCATTTCCTCACTTTACGTTTTTGCTTGCTTTGTAAAAGATTGGTTGGCTGTAAGTATTTGAGCTTATTTCTGGATGCTCTATTTTGTTCCATTGGTCTATGTGCCTATCTTTATAACAGTACCATGCTGTTTTGGTTACTATGGCCTTATAGTATATCAGGTAATATGATGTCTCCAGATTTGTTCTTTCTGCTTAGTCTTGCTTTGGTTATGCAGGCTCCTTTTTGGCTCCATGTGAATTTTAGGATTTTTTTCCTAGTTCTGTGAAGAATAATGGTGGTATTTTGATGAGAATTGCATTGAATTTGTAGATTGCTTTTGGCAGTATGGTCATTTTCACAATATTAATTATATCCATCCATGAGCATGGGATGTATTTCCATTTGTTCATGTTGTCTATAATTTATTTCAGCACTGTTTTGTAGTTTTCCTTGTAGAGGTCTTTCACCTCCTTGGTTAGGTGTATTCCTAAGAATTTTTTTTTCAGCCATTGTAAAAGGAGTGAAGTTCTTGACTTGATTCTCAGCTTGGTTGCTGTTGATGTATAGGAGAGCTACTGATTTGCGTACATTAATTTTGTATCCTGCAACTTTGCTGAATTCTTTTATGAGTTCTAGGATATTTTTGGAGGAGTCTTTAGGATTTTTATTAATCATATTATCAGCAAACAGTGACAATTTGACTTCCTCTTTACCCATCTGGGTGCCCTTTATTTCTTTTTCTTGTCTGATTTCTCTCACTAGGACTTCCAGGACTATGTTGAATAGAATTGGTGAGAGAGGACATCCTTGTCTTGTTCCAGTTCTCAGAGGGAATGCTTTCAACTTTTCCTCATTCAGTATTATGTTGGCTGTGGGTTTGTCATAGATGGCCTTTATTACATTGAGGTATGTCCCTTGTATGTCGATTTTGCTGAGAGTTTTAATCATAAAGAGATGCTGGATTTTGTCAAATGCTTCTTTTCTGTGTCTGTTGAGATGATCATGTGATTTTTGTTCTGAATTTTGTGTAGTGCATTACATTTATTGACTTGCATATGTTAAACCATCCCTGCATCCCTGGTATAAAACCCACTTGATCATGGTGGAGTATCTTTTGGATATGTTGTTGGATTTGGTTAGCTAGCATTTTGTTAAGGATCTTTGCATCTATGTTCATCAGGGGTATTGGTCTGTAGTTTTCTTTTTTGGTTATGTCCTTTCCCGGTTTTGGTATTAGGGTAATACCGGCTTCATAGAATGATTTATGGAGGATTCCCTCTTTCTCTGTCTTGTGAAATAGTGTCAATAGGATTCATACCAATTCTTCTTTGAATGTCTGGTAGAATTAAGCTGTGAATCTGTCTAGTCCTGAACCTTTTTTGTTGGTAATTTTTTTATTACCATTTCAATCTTGCTGCTCTTTATTGGTATGTTCAGAGTATCTAATTCTTCCTGATTTAAGCTAGGAGGGTTGTATTTTTTCTCAGGAATTTATCCGTCTCCTCTAGGTTTTCTAGTTTTTGTGTGTAAAGGTAGCCTTGAATGATCTTTTGTATTTTTGTGGTGTCAGTTGTAATATCTCCCCCTTCATTTCTAATTGAGCTTATTTGGATTTTCTCTCTTCTTTTCTTGGTTAATCTTGCTAATGGTCTATCAATTTTTTAAAATCTTTTCATAAAACCAGCCTTTTGTTTCATTTATCTTTTGTAATTTTTTTGTTTCCATTTCATTTGATTCTGCTGTGATCTTTGTTATTTTCTTTCTTCTGCTGGGTTTGGGTTTGGTTTGTTCTTGTTACTCTAGTTCCTTGAGGTGTGACCTTAGATTGTCTACTCGTGCTCTTTCAGACTTTTTGATGTAGGCATTTAGGGCTATGAAGTTTCCTCTTAGCACCACCTTTGCTGTATCCCAGAGGTTTTAATTGGTTGTGTCACTACTGTTGTTCAGTTCAAAGAATTTTTTTAATTTTCATCTTGATTTCATGGTTAGCCAGATGATCATTCAGGAACAGGTTAATTTCCATGTATTTGCATGGTTTTGAAGATTCCTTTTGGAGTTGATTTCCAGTTCTATTATACTGTGGTCTGACAGAGTGCTTGATCAAATTTCAATTTTCTTAAATTCATTGAGACTTGTTTTATGATCCATCATACAGTCTATCTTGGAGAAAGCTCCATGCATTGATGAATAGAATGCATATTCTGTGGTCGTTGTGTAGAATGTTCTGTAAATATCTGTTAAGTCCATTTGTTCCAGGGTATAGTTTAAATCCATTGTTTCTTTGTTGACTTTCTGTTTTGATGACCTGTCTAGTGCTATCAGTGGAGTATTGAAGTCCCCCACTATTATTGTGCAGCTGTCTCATTTCTTAGGTCTAGTAGTAATTGTTTTATAAATTTGGGAGTTCCAGTGTTAGGTGTATTATATATACATTTAGGATTGTTATATTTTCCTGTTGAACAAGGCCTTTTATCATTATATATTGCCCCTCTTTCTCTTTTTTAACTGCTGTTGCTTTAAAGTTTGTTTTGTCTGATACAAGAATAGCTACTCCTGCTTGTTTTTGGTGTCCATTTGCATGGAATGTCTTTTTCTATCCCTTTACCTTAAGTTTACATGAGTCCTTATATGTCAAATGAGTCTCTTAAAGGCAGCAGATACTTGGTTGGTGAACTCTTATCCATTCTGAAGGTCTGTAGCTTTTAAGCGGAGCATTTAGGCCATTTGCATTCAATCATTCAATGTTAGTACTGAGATGCAAGGTACTATTCCATTCATCATGCTATTTGTTGCCTGTATACCTTGTTTTTTATTTAATTACATTTTTGTTTCATAAGTCCTGTGAGATTTCTGCTTTAAAGAGGTTCTGTTCTGGTGTGTTTCCAGCACTTTTTTCAAGATTTAGAGCTCCTTTTAGCAGTTCTTGTTGTGCTGCTTGGTAGTGGCAAATTCTCTCAGCATTTGTTTGTCTGAAAAAGACTGTATCTTTCCTTCATTTATGAAGCTTAGTTTCACTGGATACAAAATTCTTAGCTAAAAATTGTTTTGTTTAAGGAGGCTGAAGATAGGGCCCCAATCCCTTCTAGCTTGTAGAGTTTCTGCAGAGAAAGTTGTTGTTCATCTTACAGGTTTTCTTTTCTAGGTTACCTGGTGCTTTTGCCTCACAGCTGTTAAATTCTTCCTTTATCTTGACTTTTTTTTTTTTCCAGATGGAGTCAAATGCAGTAGCATGATCTTGGTTCACTGCAACCTCCACCTCTCAGGTTCAAGAGATTCTCCTGCCTCAGTGTCCCGAGCAGTTATGATTACAGGCACCTGCCACCATGCCCAGCTATTAGTAAAGATGGGGTTTCACCATATTGGACAGGCCAGTCTCAAACTCATGACCTGAAGCGATCCACCCGCCTTGGCCTCCCAAAGTGCTGGGATTACAAGCATAAGCCACTGCACCTCACCTTGCCTTGACTTTAGATAACCTGATTACAATGTGCCTAAATGATGATCATTTACAATGAATTTCCCAGTTGTTTTTTGAGCTTCTTGTATTTGGATGTCTAGGTCTCTATCAAGGACAGAGATGTTTTCCTTGGTTATTTCCCCAAATATGTTTTTCAAACTTTTAGATTTCTCTTCTTCCTCAGGAATGCCAATTATTCTTAGGTTTGGTCATTTAACATAATCCCAAACTTCTTGGAGACTCTGTTCATTTTTTCTTATTCTTTTTTTGTCTTTGTTGGATTGGGTTAATTCAAAAACCTTGTCTTCAGGCTCTGAAGTTCTTTCTTCTGCGTGCTCAATTCTATTGCTGAGACTTTCCAGAATATTTTGCATTTCTCTAAGTGCATCCATTATTTCCTGAAGTTTTTATTGTTTTTTATTTGTACTATCTATTTCACTGAAGATTTTCCCCTCATTTCTTTTACCTTCTGTAAGATGCCTTTCTGAACATAGAAACTGGCAAAGATTTCATGACAAAGCTGCCCAAACAATCACGACAAAATCAATAATTGACAAACGGGAACAAATTAAATTTAAGAGCTTCTGCATAGCAAAAGAAACTATCAACAGAATAAGCAACCACAGAATTGGAGAAGTTTTAAGATGTAAGGAAGGGGTCCAGTTTCAATTTTCTGCATATGGCTAGCCAGTTCTCACAGTAATGTTTATTAAATAGGGAATCCTTTCCCCATTGCTTGTTTTTGTCAGGTTTGTTGAAGATCAGATGGTTGTAGATGTGCGGTCTTATTTCTGAGTTATCTATTCTGTTCCATTGGTCTGTGTGTCTGTTTTTCTACTAGTACCATACTGTTTTAGTTATTGTAGCCTTTTAGTACAATTTGAAGTCCAGTAGCATGATGCCTCCAGCTTTGTTCTTTTTGCTTAGGATTGTCTTGGCCATACAAGTTCTTTTTTGGTTCCATATGAATTTTAAAATCGTTTCTTCTATTTCTGTGAAGAATGTCAATGGAAGTTTAGTGGGAATAGCATTGAATCTATAAATTACTTTGGGCAGTATGGCCATTTTCATAATATGGATTCAACTGAAAAATGGGATCTAATTAAACTAAAAAGCTTCTGCACAGCAAAAGAAACTATCATCAGAGTGAACAAGCAACCTACAGAGTGGGAGAAAAATTTTGCAATCTATCCATCCAGCAAAGGTCTAATATCCAGAATCTACAAAGAGCTTAAACAAATTTATAAGAAAATAAAACAAACAACCCCATTAAAAAGTAGGCAAAGGACATGAACAGACACTTCTGAAAAGAAGACGTTCATGAACAAGCATATGAACAACAAACATGTGAAGAAAAGCTTAACATCACTGATCATTAGAGAAACACAAATCAAAACCACAATGAGATGCCATCTCATGTCAGTCAGAAAGGCAATTATTAAAAAGTCAAGAAGCAACAGAAGCTGGCGAGGTTGTGGAGAAATAGGAATGCTTTTGCACTGTTGGTGGGAATGTTAATTAGTTTAATCATTGTGGAAGATGACGTGGCAATTCCTCAAAGAGCTAGAACCAGAAATACCATTTGACCCAGCAATTCCAATACTGGGTATATACCCAAAGGAATACAAATCATTCTATTACAAAGATACATGCACAGATATGTTCATTGCAGCACTGTTCACAATAGCAAAGACATGGAATCAACCCAATTGCCCACCAATGATAGATTGGATAAAGAAAATGTGGTACATACACACCATGTAATACTGTGCAGCCATAAAATGGAATGAGATCATGTCCTTTGCAGGGACATGGATGGAGCTAGCAGCCATTATCCTCAACAAACTAACACAGGAACAGAGAACCAAACACCATATATAAGTGGGAGCTGAGCAATGAGAACACATGGAAATAGGGAGGGAAACAACACACACTGGGGCCTGTTAGGGCATGGGGTGGAGAAAGGGAGAACATCAAGAAAAAGAGTTAATGCATGCTGGGCTTAATACCTAGGTGATAGGTTTGTAGGTGCATCAAGCCACCATGGCACACATTTACTTATGTAACAAACCTGCACATCCTGCACGTATACCCTAGAACTTAAAATTAAAATTAAAAAATTAAAATAAAAAAGAAATGCAAGTCAAAACCACAGTGAGATATTATCTCTCACAGGTCAAAAAAACTGTTACTAAAATGTCAAAAAATAACAGGTGTTGGAGAGATTGTGGTGAAAAAGTAATGTTTATATATTGTTGATGGGAGTGTAAATTAATTCAACCATTGTGGAAATCTGTGGGATGATTGCTCAGAGCTAAAAACAGAAATGCCATTCAAGCCAGCAATACCATTACTGGGCATATACCAAAAGGAATAGAAATCATTCTGTCATAAAGCCAGATGAATGTGTTTGTTCATTGCAGCACTATTCACAATAGCAAAGGCATGGAATCAACCTAATGTCCTAATCAACCTAAATGTCCACCAATGGTATACTGGATAAAGAAAATGTGGTACATATACAAAATGGAACACTGTTCATGGAACGATATCATGTCATTTGCAGGAACATGGAGAGAGCTGGAGGCCATTATCTTTAGCAAACTAACGCAGGAACAGAGAACCAAATACTGCATGTTCTCATTTATGAGTGGGAGCTAAATGATGAGAACACATGGACACCAAGAGGGAAACAACAATTACTGGGGTATTCCTGAGGGTGGAAGGTGGGAAGTGGAAGAGGAATAAAAAAAAATTACTGTTGGGTACTAGGCTTAGTACCTGGGTGATGAAATAATCTGTATAACAAACCCTTGTGACATGAGTTTTCTTATATAACAAACCTGCACATGTACCCGGAACCTAAAATAAAAGTTAAAAAACATAAATAAAAATTAAAAACTAAAAATCACACGGGTTTTTCATAAAATTAAAAATAAACATTGGAAGATGAGGAGCCTTGATTTGTCCCATTTTTTCTCTTAGACATTTCCTCTTAGAGACTTTTATTTAGAACTCAATTATATGATTTCCTGCATAACCACTTTTATGGTTTTATCTTTGGAGGAATATACCTTTGAATTCTCAGCTAATTTATTTTTATGTTGTCAACCTAAATAACAAACAGAGGCAGGATCTCTTAAAGAAAAAGTATATGTATTCAGGAAAAAAGCATTACAGTGGGAATGCGTATTCCATAGTAAACTACGTGCACATTAGGGAAGTAAAGGAATATAAAGGTTTTTAAAGGAAAAAAATGAGAAGGATTATATAATTGTTTTGAAGTAATTATCCTTGGCTGCAAAGATCAATAATAAAGGTGACACCAGTGTGAGGTTGTGCAGGGAGTTGCTTGGAGAATGTCCATACAGAAGTATTTTTTGTATAAGATTGTGATAGCTTTTGTGCAACGTTGTTTTTGCAGTACTTGTGATAGTTTTTGTTATCAGGTGTATAAATGTGAGAACCCACTCTTCATGGCCTTTCCTAGCTCTGTTTGCCAAGCTTTTCTTTTTTCTTTTTTTTTCTTTTTTTTTTTTTTTTTTTTTTTTTGAGACGGAGTCTGGCTCTGTCGCCCAGGCTGGATGGAGTGCAGTGGCACGATCTTGGCTCACTGCAAGCTCTGCCTCCCAGGTTCATGCCATTCTCCTGCCTCAGCCTCTCTAGTAGCTGGGACTACAGGCGCCCACCGCCACGACCGGCTAATTTTTTGTATTTTTTTAGTAGAGACGGGGTTTCACCATGTTAGCCAGGATGGTCTTGATCTCCTGACCTTGTGATCCGCCTGCCTCGGCCTCCCAAAGTGCTGGGATTACAGGTTTGAGCCACTGCGCCCAGCCGCTTTTCTTAACATTAGTGACTTCATTTTGATTCTGACGACTTTCACAATAGTAATGCCTTGTTCCCATTCTTAAAGACTTGAGAGTAGATAGCTGTCTCAGACACATATTTTTTCCATCACTACAAAGTGCCTGGCAGTAGGCTGAAAAAAAATATATATATATACATACACACATATATATATATACACATATATATATGTCATTTTCATATTAGTGTATAGCAGGCACTCACTAAGCATAGATGAGTTAAAGAGCATAATAAACACTCTCTATACACTTATAAAATTGATGTTGGATGATAGAATGAACATAAAGAGAGCAGGGAAATAAATACGTGGATGAGGGATAGATGGATAGATACATGGGTAAAGAGATAGTTGAATTAATAAAAGATGGGAAAATACGAATGAATTATTGAGTTTTCCAATAATTTCCATGGATTTCAATAACACTTGTGAGGTGTGCCTGATATTTTTAAGTTTTTAAAACACACAGTAAAACGCTTGCAAAACTCATTTTCTCTAACTTTTCTCCTGTTATCAAAATAATGGGTGATTGCTCTGCTTTCTAAGACTTTTGCTCCAGTGCAACATCAATTAACAAGGATATCACATCATGTTTTGTTGTTTTGCCTTCAGTATTTTCAGTCTCCCTCAACTGTCTTCCTTTTTGCCTGTTCTAATAGTTCACTATGTCACTATCGGAGAAGACAATTCCCAATAAGTAATAATAACAATAACAGAAAATATTTTACTAACAGGAGATAAAGTTGATTGAAAAAGTACCTTTCTTGAAATCAAACTTCAAATACTAAAAGTAGACATTTCAAAGCTAAGTAGCTACGTTGGGAATATAGACCATTTTTTAAAAGGGTCCATTATTAGGAATATCAAGATTTGGGTTTAAATTTGAAGCTGCCACTTACTATCTGTGGATTTTAAGGCAAGTTACTCAATAATTTTTAATTGCCTATGCTTAGGGGATTTTATTCCTACATTTGATAGTTGAGGGATAAATTAAGTTAAATAACTAATTTATGCAACATGTTCAGTTTAGTGCCAGGTATGTATTAAGCCTTGAATAGAAAGCAGCTGTTAATAGCTGCTTGCTTCCTTTGAAAAATCAATTTACAAATGGATATGATATTAGTGTATAGCAGGCACTCACTAAGGAGAGTTGAGATAAAGTGCATAATAAATACTCTTTATATGCTTATAAAATTGATGTAGGATGATAGAATGAATATAAAGACAGAAGGGAAATAACTCCAGTTTAGTTAACTCCAGTAGTTGACTAAAGCCAATGTAGGTATCTTACAACACTTTATAAGTTATAAGCAATATGCATATATATAATTTAATTTTTATTTGTTATCTTAATATTACAATCAAATAAATTGTATCTCAGAAGACGTGAAGGGATTGACCCAGTCCTCACATCTGGAAGTAAAATGGCAGCCAGGCTTCTGGAGGCTGCATGTCATGATCTTTCCTCTACAGAAATATTTCTTGTTATCATCTCTCACATTACTGAATGTGTTATCAACAGGAGATACACCCAATATAAACTACAGCAGAGCCCACAAGCCAGACTGAACATCTAGATTTCACTCTTACCCAGTTTAAAATCCCCAAATTTCTCCAACAGCAAAAATGTATGCCCTAGCTCAGGATGGTGGAAGTGGAAGTGGGTTAGGCTTTAGTTGCTTCCCAGGAGCCATGGTAACTTATGATGGCGGTGTGGCAACTGTCTCCGACATGTCATTCTTTCCATAGAGCCTTTCAATAAGGCTTCATGTCTTACAGCAACAGTTCTCAAAATGACTAGTGTAAATCCCCAAAAGATGTAACTATTTTCTTTGTTGGCAGTACATTAAGCAAAAGTTCATTAAAAGTGTGTGACTGTTAAGAAGGAGGATGGAAGGATTTCTTTCATACCCAACACAAAAATTTCTCATGCTAGACCCCAGCTCAAGAGGGCTAAGTGATTGTGTTAGGTGGTTGGCTTTACTAGTAGGCCAATGCAGGATAAAGACTGAGTATCTCTTGGGAATTCCCTCTAAACTAGAAATCATTACATGATACTTCTTGAGTGAACAACTAAAACTCCCTCCTACTCCACTCCCATTCTCTCCTGGGAAAACAAGCAGACCCTATTACAAGCATTGTGTTCAGCTCTGGAAGATCATGAGAAACTCCAGCTTTTATGCTGTTGCCATTGTGAACTTGGTTTTCCATGCATCATGAATGCTGGGGAAATTTCTATGAGATAGGGAAGAGGTAACACAAGATGACTATCAACAGAGCTGTAGAAGAGTGCTCTACTTCACTCTACAGGTGTAGTGACTACAGATACATGTAAAGACTACTAAACATTTGTAATAATGAGCATATTTCAGGAGCTATAGTTGCAAAGCAAGAATGCATAGTTTTTCCTCCTGAAATTTGGATAGGCCCATTTAGGAAGAGTTAAGGACTTTTTCAAAGGCTCAGAATTAGATCAAGTACTATAGTTATTCAACTAGCCTAGGAGTGGGAAGAGCTAGAGAAAGAGAGAATAGCCAGCATCTTAGTAAACACTTAAGAGTCAAAGCTGGTGAAATTGAATGCTATTATTTTTAAGCTCAGGACTTGAAATCCAGACAAAGCTAAGAGGTTTCAAAGTTGATTGGATTTTAGAATGGAGTAGAAAGTAAGAAAAACACAATCCAAACAAGAAACCCCAAGTTAAGAGTTAGAGTGGGACTGAAGATTCAGTGGGGTCTTCCAACAGTTCTTGGTTATATAGTGCACAGGTGGACTAGCCCTGAATAAAAGACATAGGGTTAAAACAGATAATTTTGTTCTCAACAATGCTGAATAACAGGGGTTCATCAGTGATTGCTCCCTTTTAATCTTTTTTAAAATTTATTTTATATTAATTTTTTTTCTGTTGATGTATAGTAATTTTACATATTTACAGCATGGAATGTGATGTTTCAATACATTTATACGCTGTGTAATAATCAAATTAAGGTAGCACTATCCTCTTTAATCTTAAAACAGTCTAGTGGTCAATGTCCTAAAGAAAATAAAGTGTGTGCACACACACATGCACAAACACACCCTTTATGCCATAATATGGCATAACTTTCCAGCTCAGGAAATACAATATATTATACTGCTTGAATTTCACTTTCACCATATGGTTCTTTAAGTTACTCTTTTCTTCATCTCAGTGATCCTTGTGTCCCCAAAAGACTTTGTGTCTCTCTTTTCCCTCTGAGTTTAAACCTGTGCAAAATGTGGTGGCTTCTACTACTCTTTCCCAGGGTCCAAACTTGAGGAAACATATAGAAGTTTATGCCTTTCTCAAGATATGGTTACCAGGATTTTGAATATGTTTTGGGATAAAGGCAGGCATAAGAAAGTGGTATTTCACGATTCAGGAAGGTGAGATATGATTTCTCCTAAATAATAGATACCATGGGTTAGGTGCATGTTACCTGAGACATCTAAGACAGAGTTGCTCTTGTGACCTTAACCTGTTTCGATCACTTTCCTATGTACCCAGTTCAGTTTCCCTTCTCAGAAGCTTCCAGCCCTGTTCTGCTGAAGAAGTAGGCCTGGAACTACATGTTTGTATCAGATTGTGCCTTAGTCTTACCAAAGGTAATTGGACACATTGCAGAATTGTGGTCCTTTAGCTGATCCCCACTTTTGAGAATCTGAACTCAAACATCAAAAGCAGTGCATATTGGGAAGTGAAGGTCTAAGCGCACATAGAGAAGACAGATTTAGAATTCGAGTTAACAGTGTTAACTCAAAGTTAACAGAATAGTGCCTTATCAAGGAAGCTGGTTTGCAGAGGAAAAAATGGAGCATTCTTATAGAGAAAAAATAAATACATATTTTGTCCCAAGAAAGGAATAGAGAGAAGATGTCTAATGATTTTGAGGTTCCTATGAACTCCCCTTGTTTAACTTCTTGTCTTTGAGTTCTCAGTGAGGGTCCTTTATCCTTTCCAAAAAAAAAACAACAACAAAACAAAAAAATGTTTTTCTTAAACTTGTTTGATAAAAGAACGATCCTTGACTAGAATATCCTACACATGACTGAGTCTCATGGACTGGCAGGTAGATCCATGGGATAGAATGTGTATAAGTTATTTTTAAATGATCCCAATTATCTGTCAAATTAGAGCAATTTAGGATCCAAGTTTCCAGTATGTAGCCCTAGACTTAAAATGGTTTCCTGACCTTAAGATACAGCCTACTTGGGACTTTTAGCAAGAGTTTTAGCCTAATCAGTTAGCACATCGTGTAGGTCATCCATGACTAACCACCTACCAGCCACTACCATTGCGGATGACTAATTATATTCAGCTATAATGCTGGCTGGCTTGGGACAATTAATTATTGCAATCAAAACTGAATGCGATTAATTAGGTGGTTTTGAGTCACTCAAAACAATTCCATTGCATCATTAATAAAAGGACATGAGAAAAATCTATTTACAATAAGAAATAGGCATGAATAAAGAACTTCATAAGAACTTTTGGTTCATCTTTGAGTCATGGGTATGATAGCAAGGGAGGATTCTCCCAAATGACTTCTGTTACCAAAAAATAATCTAATGAGTCCCCTACACATGTGAAATTATAATAATAGTGCCCAATTTGAGGAATACATGGATGTCCATATTAGTCATAATTTGATTCATCTGAGGAGGGGATAAGTTTCTGGATAAAGAAATTTGCTTAAAACAGGTCAAACAGATACTTGCTTAGACTTCTCCAGTTTATTTCATCAGCTCTCTCTTAGAGCTTCCTATTACCAGCGTTCCCATAACAATGCCACATTCATGTAGCAGCCACAGTAATCTTTCCAAAACACAAACAAAGTCCTTTCCATCCACCACGGCATGATCCTCAAACTTTCATGGAGGTAAAGATCATTTGGAGAAATTGTTACACAGACATTCCTGGGGCCCACATTCAAAGATTCTAAGGTAGTTTATATTTGATGGAGTCCAAGTTTATATTTAATTAGCAGCCCAGTGGGTTCCAATACAGTGTCCCAGAGAAAATACATGGTTTTGTATGCTGCAATGGCTTGTGGTGTGGTATGGCTCCTCACACGGGGCGCCGGTTGAGGTATTGCTCCTCACACTTGAGAGCATTTGCTGTGGGGTCTGCCCGCAGACCCTGACCCAAATGATGGATGAATAAAACGTACACTGACACACAGATATTCTGTTTTGCCAGTCCTGCTGAGTGTCTGACCACCTACACACCAAGAGAGGTTTGTCACTGCGGCTGGTCCTGAGCAGCTCGCACTCCAGGCATTTATTTAGTATACAATTAACAGCAGAAGCTTTGAGTAAACACACTTGTGGATAATTAACATGGTTAGGAGAGTAGTTCTACGAATGATTAAAGCTCAGGTACCTTGGTCTAAAGTAAATATCACTGGGGGCAACATCCTTGGTCAACCTCCCCCCCACCAAGAGGGCCAACTGGCTCAAAGGTTAGTTAATGGAGGTAGGGTAAACAGACTTAACTGGGGAAGCCTCTATTGTCCCGAGTATTTACCCTATGACCTAATGCTCTAAAGTAAGAACTGGCTGCCTTCAGCCTGTTCAATTATTACAAGCTGTGTAACCTTTCGGCCTTCCAAAATGTTTGTGACTATTTCCTATAACTTTCTCTAATATTTCTCTTTAATATTTCTGCCACCATCCTGAGTGAATCCCAACATTTTGGCATAAAGCCTATAATTCCTTAGCATGGCAAGCAAGGCCCTGCGTGATCTAACCTCACCTGCACCTGGTTTCATGCCCCACTTCTCCATGCCTTCTTGTGTACACTCTTCAGCAACACCAAACCATCTGTGGCTCCCCACTCTCCCCCATGCTCTAGCAGGCCTAGGTACTTTTTCTGTTGGTGTTCTCACTCTGGAATGCCCTTCTCCACTTAGGTCTACTGAGATTGGGTAAATGGTTGTGCAAGCTCTTGCCAGTGAAAGGCTGAGGGGCCTCAACCCAGAGCCAAAATCCAGCTTGTCCCAGGGTGCTGTCAATATGGAGGCAGGGATACCTTTACCTAATTGAATGCTCAGAGGGCATATGCTTTTGTGGATTTATATGTTCAAAGTGAATAATTTTTCAAATTCTGAAAAACGGCTTGTGCTGGAGGCAGCCCTGTTTCTTCATCTGGGCACAACCCTATTCATCCTCCAAGACCCGCCAGGTTACCACTTCTTGCTGGGTTGGATGTCTTTCCTCTCTACCCCTGCATTGCCTCTAATTTCACACTCATTACATAGTGCTATAATCACTGTGCCTGTTTTTAAGGCTGCTGTCACTTCACCGGCCTGGGTCATAGTAGTTGCACCATAAATATGTGTTACTATGAAGGTATCTCAGAGAAAATTTTGGTAACGACTAATGTGTCTGAGATTAACAAGAAAAGCTGCTCTGGTTTCCAGCCCCCTCTAATATTCAACAAACTTTATTGAGTGACAACCCTGTGCCTTGTACTGTACCCAGCTTTGAAAAGACAGAGGTGGATTCTCTCCTATACTTTTCTTAAAATAAACTTAACTCTTCCCCTGAATCAGTGCTCTGGCTCCCTTGCCACTCATCTCTAGCAACCTCTTGCCTCTCTGTATTAGTCTGTTCTCACACTGCTATAAAGAATACCTGAGACGGGGTCATTTATAAACAAAAGAGGTTTAATTGACTCACAGTAACACATAGCTGGGGATTCCTCAGGAAACTTACAATCATGGAAGAAGACAAAGGTGAAGCGGGCAACTTCTTCACAAAGCAGGGGCAAGCAGAGAAAACAGCCACTTATAAAACCACCAGATCTCATGAGAACTCACTCAGTATCATGAAAACAGCACAGGGGAAATCACCCCCGTGATCCAATCACCTCCCACCAGCTCCCTCCCTGTGGGGTTTACAGTTTGAGATGAGATTTGGGTAGGAACCCAGAAGCAAGCCATATCACTCTCTCCTATCAGATCCTAGAAGGCACTACACACTTCATCACCACTGGGCTTTCACCCCTGGTGTTTCCTCCATCTACTCAAATCCCGTTGTCCACTTTGTCAGCATGTAATCATCCTCCAAGAACAAGCTCTTGGTGCATCTTCCAGGAGCCTCTATTGATTTTCCATTCTACTCCAAACAATACTTTCCTTGAGCCCAAAGTCTGGGGATGATGGTATGCCAAAGGTGTAATTGTCCACTATGCAGAGAGAGAAAAGGTATTACCTGGTGCTTCTCACCAAGGCTTATACTCAGGTATGTTTTTGTTGTTCTCACACAAAGGGGTCTGTTAACCATGCCTGTACTCATGTGATTTGTCTCCACTTGAAGGAGCCCTTTTGCCTAATTTAAACAAAGACTCATATAGTGGCAGCATTCCCCCTACTTTCTGTAACTTGTTGGAACTTACTATGATTGTAGCATGAAGAATTCTGTTTAGGGTTTGTCAGTTTCTGCAGCTACTTTGTATGTTCCATGAGATTGGAGATGTTGTCTTACTGCTCTCTATGATCTCTGAAGCAAAGTGCTTGGTTCAAAGCAAACACTGAAAAGACATTTATCAAATCAATGAAACAAAGCCTGGGGAAATCTTCCACTCATTGTAAATGTCCAGCCCACTGACTCACTCAGTGTGTGATTCACACATCCATTCATTTATTTTTCATTCATTTCTTTTCAATAATATGAACCACTCTGGGTTTCAGTTTTGTCACTATAAAATGAGAGTCATGATCCCTCTTTCATTACCTTACTAGAAATTTGTAAGGTTTAAAAGAGATGATGTTTAAAAGGCACCTATCAATGTGTAAAATTAAGAAAAAGAACCATGGGGAGTGAGGTATTGAAAATATAGATACATTTTGGCATTTTTTCAGGAAATGATTTTGTTAAAGCAGCAATATCACAAAATTAGGTATTTTGAAAAACATAATTCGGTGGTAGCTCAGTTTTGAATACAGTGCATCTTTCAAAGAGTTAATGAAGCTTTTTAACTGCAAAAATTTCAAAGTCTTCAGTACAGTGATGCTGTCATACACATCCAAGGCATATTTTCCCAAACTTAATTGGCCAGAGAAACTCATTGATTTAGAATTAGCTAATAAAACAGTCCCCTCTGCCTGAGAACACATTCTAGAAAAAGATTCAGGAAAACACTTTATTTACATGCACAGCCTTTAGTCAACTTAGTACTAAATTTCACCCAGCAGAAGGAGCATCCTTCTAGGTTTATAAAACAACAGATTTTCAGAAAACTAATACAAATCTTTGACAGAGGCAGAATAGTATATTTGATTATTTCCCTGGAGCTCAATAAAGCCACAATATATTTCAAAACAAGTTTATTTTTATTACTACAACTGCATTTTGAAGTATTTTGAGATCCATGGTAGACGTTATTTTATGTATCACTTTTGCCCCTGTGTTTCTCCATCTGTCTTAACTCCAGACCATGTTAAGATAGACTCTTCTCTGGAGTGAGGCCCATCTAGGAAGTTATTACAAATCAACTTGAGCCAACACTATTCACTTACGGAAATCATAGCCTCCTGTCTAGCCAATTTATCCAATGCTTCCCCCAAACATGTATTCATTCTAGTTTCCCTGACTTTGCTCATGTTACCTCCTCAATATAAATTCTTCCTTTCTATTCTTCACTCTTCTTTTCCTCTTTGGATCCTTACCTATTTCCCCTTCTTTCTTCTTTCCTTCCTTCTTCCATCTACCCGTCAACCCACAAGCATTTATCTGATACTGTATTAGGTCCTGGAGGTACATACACAGCTAAGGTTTTTTATCTGCCTTAAAGAAACTTAAAAAGACAAATATGTAAGCAATGAAGTTTGCAATACAATGTGATCAGCTCATTACAGAGAAATTTATAAGACACAATAGGTGCACACACACATGCACACACACCCACACACACATATACACATTGAAGAGACAAATCTTCTAGGGAGGACTAAAAGAGAAGATAAGAGCAGGGACAACTTTCCAGCAGAAGTGTCTAAGAGCAAAATCTTGAATATTAATGTTATGACATACACAAAGACAAAGAGCTGTCCAGTCGGGAGGAAAAATACATGCAAAAGCACAAAGGTTGGAAGCAAAATATATTTGAAGAATAGTGCCTGACAACAATAGCTAATATTTTTGGGGTGCATAGAGTGTTTCAGGTACTGCCTAAGTAGCTTAACTCAGTAACACTTTAAATTTTGTTTTATTATTATGCCCATCACACAAACAAGAAACGTGAAACCACGGGTCACAGAGCCAGTTAATTACTGGAGCAAGGGCTGAAACTTAGACTTTTGTGTTCTAAGATCTGGTTGCTCAATTGCTTTTATGTGGCTGTAATACAGGAGAAGAGTGAGATGAAGTCACATAAGAAAGGAGCTGCCATCTCACAGAGGGTCTTTTATGCCTTCCTTAGGTCTGTAAAAATTTCTGGATGCCTTCCCTGGCCACTCTCAACGGACTGTAACACTCTCCTCTTTTGGAGTCTCATAGGCACTTGCATGCACGTTACCTGCCCACATCCCTTGAACTGAACAACTGGATTGATGTATTATTTAACTTACTCTCCTAATTAGATTCTGAGGTATCCAGTGGCAGGCACTGCATCCTCTTCTCCCCTTGATGTTTTGGAGAAGGCTCTCCACAAAATAGACACTTAATTGAAAAAAAATGAATGAATGAGCCCTTGAATCAGCATCAAAAGTAGTAACTCAAGGTTTCATCATGTATAGAGCATTTTCACATAATTGACTCTGATAAAAATAAGGCTATGAAGTAGGTACAATCTTCATGTCTATTTTAGATATGGGGAAACTGAGACTGAAGAACTGAGGGTTAGGTTAATGTCATTCAATGTTGCAATGGCAAAGGAGTGGGTAGAAATTAAAGCTCTGGAGGTTCTAATCCCATTCACTAGTTTTCCGTTCCATCTCTGCTAATCATTTTCAAAAATACTTTAAGAGAAAGAGGAGAGGCATTTGTAGGAATAGAGTCTATATTTGATACATTTAATCCTCACTTCCTTTCTAAAACTCCATTACCATCCCAGAACCTAGCCCATAATCCAGGTTTCATTTGCTGAGGTAAAATAACATATCATGGAAGCAGAAATGGATAACGTTGGTCGAGTTGCTAAGAAACCCAGAACATTTTTAAATATGCCAGGTCATTGTCCTACAGGGAAACCAATAATATGTCATGTCTCCATAGTAACTCACTATGAACAGGATGTGAGTTGAAAATAGAGGAAACTATGAGAATGGTAATCAGTAATAAACCTGAAAAATGCTGAGTAAGAAAATATTCAGTATGGTTAAAAAACTCGGAGAGAATTAGTAGGTAAAGCATGAGCTTTAGATTCGAAGAGACTGAGTTGAATCCCAACCCTCCATTGAAAAGTGTAAAACCCAGGCAAAACAGTGAAACTCTCTGAACTGCATTTCCCCAGCTGGGATGTACAAGTGTTAAGCATTGCCCTACTAAACTCCCAGGGATGCTGTGATAAAAGGCTACACAGACATAAAATATTTTTTGAAGAATCATTAGCATTTCTGTCATTAAAGAGGCACATTGTCTCACATAATCTGAGACAGTCAACAACTAAAGGTTTATTTTAATTTGGCTCTGGCTTATTTTACGTTGTCGAATTTTCTGTTAGTGAAATTTTATTTGTCAGATTTGTTATGACTGGGATGAAGTTAAATCAATTGGTTGTTTACTTGTAAGAAGCTTTGAAACCCAGATTTCAGCTATTATCTCCCTACGAATATGACCCTGAGCAAGTCATTTGGCCTCCTGGTAAAATAACAATAATAATATTGACAAATAATACCCTTAGACTCTCACGGGGGGATCCCTGCCTGAACCCTGTGCCTCAGTGGGCTCAGAGCTTTGCAGTATTTCCTGAAAGTGGTCTAAGTCTGCCCCTTCCCCGCTACCCCCCATTGCTTGGAACCTGCTGAGAACAACAGTACAACCCAGACAGAGGACTCCAATCTTGTACCAGGACTTGGGTGGACTTCAGTCCCCCATTTCTACCCTTCAGAGCAGTATCCAACCATCTTCCCTGTGTGGGGTCAACCAGTTGTCCCAAGCTGCTCTGAGATCTGTGTCTATGAGGTCATTTTTGGGCCTAGCCCTGCTTCTAGGAGTATGGCCTGGTGAACAAATTACTTCCATTGGTCGGTGTGGTTTTTCTTTCATGGTAAAGGGCAAAATTAAGCTTCCAGAAAGGTACTAATGTGTTGATTTGGGGTGACTTTCACTCACACTGCATATAGGAAAAGTTCAGGTCTCTGACCCAACAAGAGCCCACTGCCAACCCTTCAACCTAAGCTACATGTATAGGCCTGTGCATCAGTTACCATCCATTTATGTATCGACTGTGGTACCATCTTTGGTCTACAGCACCTGAGGGTAGCTGAAGTAGAGTTATAAATTTTTAATGCTGTGCCACTGACATCTGGGGTCCCAGTCACTGACCCCCATTGAAGGTTCTGTGTTATATTGAAGATATTCCTCAAGAGTTGGCTACATCTGTCTCCCGCAAAATCTTCAGAGATTTGCTCAACAGCAACGAGCCCTTCCAATTGATGCTACTCTTGCTTCTGACTAATATAGTGACATTGTACTCTCCCCAGGTAGATCTTAAGTCATGCTGAATGAGAGATAGAGATTTTTTAAATAAATTGGACTATTCTGTACACATTCCTCCATGCCGGGGTCAATACATTAGAGGCAAAAGTGTGATCACCATTGGAAGAGATCACATTCTAAGAATGCAGTGATTACTGCCTTAAGAGTTCAGGAGCAGGGATGGTTGATGGATGCACCTTTATGCTATACAATTCTGAACAGTTAATATAACATGGCTAGAAAATGAATCATCATTCAAGTTTTCCTGCATATTTTGGGTAAGACTTGCACTTTTGTTCATCATCAATAAAGCACCATAATAACATCAGAGAGCCACTGAAAGTCAATATACACAAGTGGGTTAAAGAATGATGCTGCATCGGAGTAATGTTATAGCTGGTAATTTGTTGTAAATTATATTAGGGAACTGCAGATGTAAGAGAATCTATATTGTTCCAACACAAACAGGCTCCAAAGAGCCATGCATTATGAGTAATGCTACAGTTTCTTCTAATGTGAAATATGAAATTTGATATTAAGAATGGCATGTTTGACAAATAAAGAATATGGAGAAATGACTCCTGTACTTGAACACAAAGAGACAGTGCCCAGATACTAGAAAAAGTCTTTATGTGCAATGATTGGACAAAAAACAAATATGTAAGTACCTCTTCTCTACACATAATTCTAAATCCTCACTGATAAACCACTATGCTTCACATGGACTCATTAGTTTTATAACTGTATTTTTAATCAAATTGCATGTTTAGATAAGGACCCCACCAGACATACTTACATCAGGCCTTATACATTGCAAGGTGACAGATGCTGACTATGCTTTTGTCACAGGGATAATAAAAATACTATCACCACCACCACCAACTATTATTATTATATTAATTATTCTGTTAGAAAGAATAATAATTACTAGTAAAAGGTAAAAAGCCATTCCTGACACATGCATGTCCCCTCACCCCTGAGAAAAACTGACCTCTCCCTTTTTTATGCCACCTTTCTTCCTATTCATGGTAGCAGGAACACCACACTGTGCCTGTTTCATGCCAGGTGTATGAGCTTTAGGAGAGGGAGCATATACGATTGTTTTCTGAATTCCTAGCACTTGCCACAAATCCTGATGCTGCATTGGCATTTTGGTGAATGAATAAAGGAATTAATTAATTTATGAATTACAATGTGAGATAGAAATGGAAAATTATTACAGTAATATTATCATTTCTTTATAAACTCACATTTTAGGACAGAATGAGCCAGAGTGATGAATTGACAAAACGATGCAGAGGTATAGCATTTATTTTTCAATTAAAAGGGAATAATTTATTAAAATATTCTATAGTAGGTATCTTAAACCAGTGATTCTATGAGTCTCATAGCCTTTTCACCCACCATGAGAATCAGCTTTCATGCCCACCAAACATACAAATTTCTGAGCCCCACACCAATCCTATTTAATCAGAATCTCTGGGCTAGAGGATGGGAGTTTGGTGGGGGAGGCATGAGGCCCAGGAATCCACATACTTAAAAATATTTTTCAGTTGGTTCTTTAGTACTCTGATGTTTCAGATTCATTTTTATAGAGTAATATATTCATCTCAATTTTTTGCTATTCAGTTTCTGAATCACATGAATTCTTGCACCTTTAATTAAAAAGGAAATGGGATTCAATACCAGGAGACTTCATGAGTCACAAATTGGTTTATGTTCTTCCATGACCACACTAGACAACTGGGGGACATTTACCTGCTCCTATGGCATCCTGTTATTTTAGTATCATAGGATTTCTTACATGTTACTTCTATTGCATGTAATATCATTTTTCCTCTTGTCTACAGTGTGAGCTACATGAGGACATGGACCAAGGCTATTTGGTTTATCATTATGTTTCTAGCTGCTATCACAGTGCCTGGCCTTCATGAATGCATGGACAAATAAATGAGTTAGTAGGAATGACTGAATGAGTAAATAAGCAAATGAAGAAAATACTTTCATCTGATATTAGTTTCATCACATTTATTTATTTATTTATTTATTTATTTATTTATTTATTTATTTTTTGAGATGGAGTCTTGCTCTGTGGCCCAGGCTAGAGTGCAGGGGCATGATCTCAGCTCACTGCAACCTCCACCTCCCAGGTTCAAGGGATTCCCCTGACTCAGCCTCCTGAGTAGCTGGGATTACAGGCACACACCACACACCCAACTAATTTTTGTATTTTTAGTAGGGACGGGGTTTCATCATGTTGGCCAGGCTGGTCTCGAACTCCTGACCTCAAGTGATACACCTGCCTCGGCCTCCCAAAGTGCTGGTATTACAGACATGAGCCACCATGCCCAGCCCTATTTTTACCTTTTGTTCCATGACAATTTTGGTTTTTTTTCGGAGACAGGATCTTGCCCTGTCACCTAGGCTTGAGTGCAGTGGCACGATCACAGCTCACTGCAGCCTTGACCTCTTGGGCTCAGGCAATCCTTTCATCTCAGCCTCCTGAGTTCAGCTACTTCCTGAGGAAAATGCCTTTGGGAACTATCTAAATTAATGATAACTAATTAAATGGATAAAAGAAAGAAAAAAAAGGAACATGATCAGTGAACAACATCCCTTTACTCTCTGTGTTTTCCATTTATGAGGATTTGGAACCTTAATATATCTTAAAGAAGAACAAAAACAAGAACAAAGTTAGTAAATTCCAAATATGAACCATGCATCTACCAAACAAGAAGACGACTAGATGACTTCATCAATCACCAGGGCAAGCAAAAGTATGAGAAATGCCTAATGATGCAGGGCATTCAACTCTGACTCCATTCAGTCCCGAGGCTAAAGTCTCATACTTTCTCCCTATGTCTTCACTGTTAGAGTTTCAGAGAGTGTGTCTTTGTTATGTTTGAGGGGACAAAAAAAGGAAGAAAAAAAGCCTTTAAATTTATTGGCAAGCAAATCAGGGCTTAAATTTAGGGATGGGAGAAATTATTCATATTAGTTTACAAGGAGACTTCAAAAAGTTTGTGGAAAGATAAAAATTAAAAATATAAACTTTATATCCCAATATAAGCCCCATCAAGTTCAAGACACTTTTTTAGTGACAATATCAATCATTTAGTCCATCCCTAAAAAGTGAGAATCCTGAGAATTTAGCCATGTCAATGCAATCTTTTTAAAATTATTAACTGAAGAAAAATGGGTGCCCTTTACAGATGTTTTTAGATTAGGAAACAAAAAGAAGTCAGAACAAGCCAAATCATAGCTGGAAGGTGGATGCCTAATACTTTCCCACTGAAAATCTCACAGAATTATCCATGTTTGATGAGAGGAATGAGCAGGAGGATTGTCACCATGAAGAAGCACTCTCTGATGAAGCTTTCCAGGGCATTTTTCTGCTAAACCTTTGGCTAACTTTCCCAAAACAGTCTCATAATAGGCAGATGTTAGTGTTCTTTTGCCTTCCAGAAATGTCACAGGAAAAATACCTTGAGCATCCCTCATATGGTTTGGCTTTGTTCCCACCCAAATCTCATCTTGAATTTCCACATGTTGTGGGAGGAACCTGATGGGAGGTAATTGAATTATGAGGGCAGGTCTTTCCCGTGCTGTTCTTGTGTCAGTGACTACGTCTCATGAGATCCGATGGTTTTAAAAAGGGGAGTTTCCATGCACAAGCTCTCTTCTCTTGTCTGCTACCATGTGAGACATACCTTTCATCTTTCACCATGCTTGTGAGGCGTCCCCAGCCCCATGGAACTGTAAGTCAGTTAAACCTCTTTCTTTTGTAAATTGCCCAGTCCTGGGTATGTCTTTATCAGCAGCATGAAAACAGACTAATACAATCTCCCAAAAAACGTTGCCATGATTTCTGCTCTTGATCAATGTGCTTTTGCTTTGAGTGGACCACTTCCACCTCTTGGTAGCCATTGCTTTGACTGTGCTTTGTCTTCAGGATCATACCGTTAACCTATTTCATCTTCTATTACAATTCCTTGAAGAAATGCTTCAGAATCTTGATCTTACTTGTTTAACATTTTTTTGAAAGCTCTGCTCTTGTCTGCAGCTGATCTGGGTACAATGGCTTTGGCACCCATCGAGTGGAAACTTTGCACAACTTCAATTTTTCAGTCAGAATCATGTAAGCTGAATCAACTGAAATGTCTATGGTGTTGGCTATTGTTTGTACTGTTAATCATTGGTTCTCTTCCATTTTGGCATGAACAAGATTGATTTTTTTCCTCTCAGATTTTTATGGATGGTCTCCCATCTTAGGCTTCATCTTCAATATTGTCTTGTCCCTTCTTAAAGTGGGCTACCCATTTGCAAAAGATACCAGTCTTATTGGATTAGGAGATGATCTTTCTTCATTATGAACTCACCTTAACTGCAGTGATCTTATTTTCAAATAAGGTTACATCCTGAGGTACTGGAGGTTAGTACTTCAGCATACTAATTTTGGGGGGAGTGTCACAACTCAACCTATAACAGAATGTAAACTCAGTGAAGATACCAATTTTTTCTTGTGATCACTGCCATAACTCCAAAACATAGATTGTCTAGCACATCATAGATGACCAATGTATACTTACAGAATAAATGCATGTGTCTGTTAGCCAATCAAATCTACATCTCTAGTGACATATCTGATGCTCTTTACACTATATAATTAAGCCTCGTCCTCTTTGTCTTATCCATTCCAGCTTCTTGAAAATTTATTTCTAATTAATCTCTTTTGTAAAACTGTTCTCCTGCTACTATTACAATAATAATCCCAATTAATCATTAACTCATATCTAGTATGATAATCACTAACATAGTCATTATCTAAATATTAAAAATGTGTGCTTTTCTCACTAGCATTTTTATTGTTAATTATATGTCATCCCAAAAGTATATGATTTTTCTGGAGCAGGGAAGAAGGCACTAGCGAGACATCAAAGACATCAATCTATATACTAGCTGTCTTGGCAATGTACTTCCTGGCTCCCATTCTCTCAGGGCTGGAAAAATCTAATCCTTATCTTCAGGCCCATCTCTGCCTGGGTCTGAGGGTCAATACTAACCTAAACATGTAGGGATCTAAAGAACTTCATTCTGACTGAGACATACATTATAGTTTCAGAAATACATGCATAAATCGATGAACAGCCTACAAGAAGAGGATCTTAAGAAAAGGATGGAAAACCTTTATATTTGCCCAATATTTAGGAAAGAAAGTCTAGTTTCAGAATGCAGGGATGACTCAAATAACTCCTCTAATTCTGAGGTGTTAAGAGGTGCAGTTTTATTCATTTATTCAAAAAGACAAAAATTGTTTTGGGGCATGTACTAGATACCCAGCACTGTAACAAGCAATGGAAATATTGCAGAAAAGAAGACAACCATGCTCCCTACCCTTAGGAAACTTGCAGTTTAGCAGAGGGGAAAACATATTCATGTAAGAAATGAAGCCTAAAAGTAATTGATGTAAGTTGTTAAGAAGGAGAAAAAAAAAGATTAAGCATGTATATCAGAGTAACTAATATTTATGTGGAATCAAGAAGGGCTTTTCTTCCAAAAGTTTATTATTTTTAAAATTGAAATAAAGAATGCCTGGAACCTCCATGGCTGAAGAATAGAGAAAAAGTAAAATATTTTACTACCAATGAAGAACCTGTGATGATTAAAATAATAGGATTCACCATTGTTGGATTGTGACTGGGTGAAACAGAAGGTTGTTTCCAGACTGCTGAATCAGAAAACTACTGTGCAGGTGTGAACACTCAGGCCCAAGGAGACATGGTCCATTTTCTCTCTTCATGGAACCTGCTCACCCTAAGCATGAAAGAGCCATCACTGTTTTTTTTTAATATTATACTTTAAGTTCTAGGGTACATGTGCACAACATGCATGTTTGTTACATATGTATACATGTGCCATGTTGGTGTGCTGCACCCATTAACTCCTCATTTACTTTAGGTATATCTCCTAATGCTATCCCTCCCCACTCTCCCCACTCCACGACAGACCCCAATGTGCGATGTTCCCTTTCCTGTGTCCAAGTGTTCTCATTGTTCAATTCCCACCTATGAGTGAGAATATGCGGTATTTGGTCTTTTGTCCTTGCCATAGTTTGCTGAGAATGATGGTTTCCAGTTTCATCCATGTCCCTACAAAGGACATGAACTCATCATTTTTTATGGCTGCATAGTATTCCATGGTGTATATGTGCCACATTTTCTTAATCCAGTCTATCACTGATGGACATTTGGGTTGGTTCCAAGTCTTTGCTATTGTGAATAGTGCCGCAATAAACATACGTATGCATGTGTCTTTATAGCAGCATGATTTATAATTCTTTGGGTATATACCCAGTAATGGGATGGCTGGGTCAAATGGTATTTCTAGTTCTAAATCCTTGAGGAATCGCCACACTGTCTTCCACAATGGTTGAACTAGTTTACACTCCCACCAACAGTGTAAAAGTGTTCCTATTTCTCCACATCCTCTCCAGCACCTGTTGTTTCCTGACTTTTTAATGATTGCCATTCTAACTGGTGTGAGATGGTATCTCATTGTGGTTTTGATTTGCATTTCTCTGATGGCCAGTGATGATGAGCATTTTTTCATATGTTTGTTGGCTGCATAAATGTCTTCTTTTGAGAAGTGTCTGTTCATATCCTTCACCTACTTTTTGATGGGGTTGTTTGTTTTTTCTTGTAAATTAATTTGAGTTCTTTGTAGATTCTGGATATTAGCCCTTTGTCAGATGAGTGCAAAAATTTTCTCCCACTCTGTAGGTTGCCCATTTACTCTGATGGTAGTTTCTTTTGCTGTGCAGAAGCTCTTTAGTTTAATTAGATACCATTTGTCAATTTTGCCGTTGCTTTTGGTGTTTTAGACATAAAGTCCTTGCCCATGCCTATGTCCTGAATGGTAATGCCTAGGTTTTCTTCTAGGGTTTTTATGGTTTTAGGTCTAACATTTAAGTCTTTAATCCATCTTGAATTAATTTTTGTATAAGGTGTAAGGAAGGATCCGGTTTCAGCTTTCTACCTATGGCTAGCCAGTTTTCCCAGCTCCATTTATTAAATAGGGAATCCTTTCCCCATTTCTTGTTTTTGTCAAGTTTGTCAAAGATCCAATGTTTGTAGATGTGTGGTAATATTTCTGAGGGCTCTGTTCTGTTCCACTGGTCTATATCTCTGTTTTGGTACCCTCCCTCACCACTCCTATTCAACATAGTGTTGGAAGTTCTGGCCAGAGCAATCAGGCAGGAAAAATAAATAAAAGGTATTCAATTAGGAAAAGAGGAAGTCAAAGTGTCCCTCTTTGCAGATGACATGATCATATACTTAGAAAATCCCATTGTCTCAGCCAAAAATCTCCTTAAGCTGATAAGCAACTTCAGCAAAGTCTCAGGATACAAAATCAATGTGCAAAAATCACAAGCATTCTTATACACCAATAACAGACAAACAGAGAGCCAAATCATGAGTGAACTCCCATTCACAATTGCTTCAAAGAGAATAAAATACCTAGGAATCCAACTTACAAGGGATGTGAAGGACCTCTTCAAGGAGAACTACAAACCACTGCTTAATGAAATAAAAGAGGACACAAACAAATGGAAGAACATTCCATGCTCATGGATAGGAAGAATCAACATCGTGAAAATGGCCATACTGCCCAAAGTAATTTATAGATTCAATGCCATCCCCATCAAGCTACCAATGACTTTCTTCACAGAATTGGAAAAAACTACTTTAAAGTTCATATGGAACCAAAAAAGAGCCCGCATTGCCAAGTCAGTCCTAAGCCAAAAGAACAAAGCTGGAGGCATCACGCTACCTGACTTCAAACTATACTACAAGGCTACAGTAGCCATCACTGTTGGTTCAGAGCCTGTGAGGTCCAGTATCTCACTAAAAGAGGCCCTATTCCCCCTTGACAGTGTGCCAAGGTTCTACACAATAAGCTTCTGCCTGAGAACCACATTCAGGTCAGGTCTCTGCCGTATGTGTGTGCTCCGTGAGAGGTCAGGGTTACTGCAGGCCAGACGTGTGCCACCCAAGGGACCTAGGCTAGGCCTGTCTTTATTTGAGGGTGGCTTTGGAGCTAAGCTTCAACAAGTTTAATGTTGAATTTTCAAATGTCTTATGGGCAATAAGTGCTCCTGGCATGTAAGTATATTTGCCTGTAAAAAAGAGAACACTAGGAGAAATATTTTGAACTATGTTCAGATATTCAAGGCAGTTCATATTTAGTTTAAGAGGTGGTCTTTAGAATCAGGTGGCTGTCAGTTTGAATCATGGCCTTGTCAGTTAATGGCTGCATGATATTCAGAACGTTACTTCATATTTTTGAACTTCAGTTTTCTAATATGAAAACGAGGTTAATAGCAGCACTTACCTCATAAACTATTGTGAGGACAAAAGAAGATATAACATACAAAGTGTTTAGGACAATTATTTACACACTGTACATATTTAATACGTATACTCTGGTTCTTATTCCTGGTAGGGTTTTTGAGATTGTGCACAACTTCTGATCAAGGCAAGTCAGAAAACAAACCTTATAACTAATGGGTATTTGCATTTTATCCCTGTTTCTCCTTGAGTGGACTCAGTCATTCTCTCACAAAACCTCATACATCAAACATATCTATGTGCCTTCTCAGAGTCTCTCATTCTCAACTGTCTCCCACACATATACTCACAAACTTAGCCTCAGCTATCACCATGACTCACAGACCACATGTGAACCCAGGCCATCTATGACCTGATATTGAACAGTTTAGGGTCTCTGGCTCTTCTTCCCTCTTCCCACCTGTGTGTCCCAGGACCTGGGTTCCATAGCAGCTGTCAAAGGGGTCAGTTCAGTGTTGGAAATTTTAACCAGTGGGACGGGAAAAAGTAGAGAGCCTGTGGCCAATTTTCTGTTTCTCTCTACAACATGTCAATGCGCTGTTCTGTACAGCCAGATATGTCAAGAATGCCCTCATGACAAACAGGACATACCTTCATAGAAACCAAATAGGGCTCTTCTTGGCTCAACATGAAGCAGAGGCCAGAGTGGTTAATGCATTGTTTTGCATTGTTTCCCATGTTTGCTTACTTTCTTCACTTTTCCCTCCCTCTTGCCTCCTAAGATTATATTTCCCAAATAAAACATTGACAGTTAATTTATATCTCAGGTTCTGCTTCTAGAAAACCCTACCTAAGATTATTGGTAACAGAAGTGGTCTTACAAACACTCTCAGAAAGAATTTAGGAATTGGATTTCCCACTGGTGTGAAGGCAATAAAACTCTATTGCTTGTAGTAAGTGGCATCATGAGTACATAGGTTTCTATCTGTCATTAATGGGATCAGAAGAAAACTTTGGGAGATTGAGTAGCTCTGATGCTTAATCAATTTGGTACCTATGAAAATTATAAGAATTGTGGAGCAGAGTCATTTTCTGGGGGGAGGGGGCATGGGAGATTTTCTACACACACCAAAAAAAATTCCAGTGCTGGTTAATTGTCAACTGTAAGCATGATCTAAAAGCCAGAAACATCTATGATAAATTAAAAGACACTTTTAGCCCTGGCAGCCAAAGGACAGACTATGCAGTAGAATAGATTGTAGCAGGGGTGGAAGAATTGCAAAGATTAAAGGAACTGTCTCAACAAGTCTCATATATCAAAATCAGAGGCCTGATAAGAAGAAAGCTGAATCTTGGAAAAGGATTATTTGGGATACGATATAAGATAGGTGTTGGATAGGAATATCTAGGCTAATGAGCCAGATATTAGCCACCTCCTAATCTTCTAAACTCTAATCCTCTAAACTCTCCACATAGCAGAAGAAGCGTTTTACTCTTTTCCAGATGAGATCTCCTTTTGCCTGGGGATCATGCAATGGATTCACCTGAACTGGTGCCTTGCACTATGATACTTGATCTCCTACCACTTTCCCTGTCCCCAGCTTTATAACTAGAGTCAAGTTTAGCAGAGTCCCAGAAGAGAAGGGCTATACACTAACAGACTTGTAAAATCTAGCTCATATGATCTGGAAGGAACTGAATAAATGCATGTAAGAGTAAGTATGGTGGCTGTTAACCAGGTGAGAAAAATAGAACAATGAACAGGATAGAATTTATTGGCATGAAGGCACTTACCTAATACTTGATATTAATGATCTGAGATGAGTTTGGTGAGATAGATGGCTCCTCCAGGCCTGGACTGGAAGATGGCTTACAGTAAAGCAAAGTGGAAGTGCCAGGACATTTCAGCATGCTTACAAAAAAGGAGTCTCTGTTGAATTTGATTTTTACATCACCTTAGACCAACACACCTTCTACTCCCCTGGCCTACAGAGGTCTTAGCAATGGGTTGCTATGTCCTTATGGCTTCAATCCAGGTTTCTACTACTGCCACAGCCAGCCCCACATGTAGCCACAGACACAGCATCACATTATTATGCCACATTTGCATCATGGCTAGGCTGTATCCCTGGGGGAATCCAGGCCAATTTGCTAAAATAGTGTATCTTCCATTTGCCTCCAAACATGCAATGGCCTCACCTAAACAGATGCCTCACAAAATGGCTTTTTTTGTATATTTACTTCATTACCCCTCAAAGCATTCAGGCTAATAACGAAGGTTAGACCTGAGACCAATTTAAGTGACAATATATAATCCCTGATCCAGAAGAAAAAAACATATACATCTAAACAATTGCAAAACATGACTATGTACTACAGGAACTAGGGGAACATGACTACAGAATTCAGTAACCTAGAGAACTCAAATGCAACTCCATAATTAGATTCCAGGAAGGATTGGATATTGGTTTGCTAGGTTGACTTCTTGAACCTTAGACACAGTGATGACCCCCAGTAAATGAGATCAAGATGTCAGAACTGCCTCGGCATAGTATTGAGGGAAAAAAAAGAATGGGCAAGAAAGTAGGGATCTTCCTATCCATGACCCCATAACTGCATTCCCCAGGAAAGCCCAGGGATTCTCCTTTTACCAAAGCAAAAATGAACATAATAATGAGGAAATAACTAGCATTGTTAGACGTTCAGCACAGGCTGACCTCTGTAGACTGGTATTTGGAGCCCACTTCAAGTATGGGATTGCCTCCAAGAGAAAAATCTGCCTTTCTCCTTCTTGAGTCCCCTTGCATTGGAGCTAATAACCAGGTGCTCAACAAATTCCCCCTTGTTTCATGTATTTAAACCAGATAAAAGAAATTATCCTAGCTTGGAACTGAACTTACATTAATTCCAGGCTCTGAATTTTTTTTCTTTCTTCTAGGTTTATAAACACACACACACACGTTTTTAATATGTTTCTCCCCAGTACATTTTTATTTCTAGAATAATTTGGTTAAAATAATGCCTCCATAATGAACTCATGCTTGCCTACCTCTTTTTGAGATACTCTGTTTTCTCCTCTTTGACTCTGTATAGGATAGAAAATAAAACTTTTGACTTATTTGTTCCATAAAGGCAAATGGGAAGAGGCCACTGAATTTGCTCTTTAGATTCTCTTCATTGCAGTGTATGCAACTTCCCAAATTAGGGCCAAGTCATTTTAAGCAGACCACTACAAAGTGGGACATTTCTTTTTTCTTTTTCTTTTTTTATTAGACTTTAAGTTCCGGGGTACATGTGCAGAATGTGCAGGTTTGTTACATAGGTATCCACGTGCCATGGTGATTTGCTGCACCCATCAACCCATCACCTACATTAGGTATTTCTCCTAATGCTATCCTTCCCCTAGCTCCCCACCCTCCAACAGGCCCCGGTGTGTGATGTTCCCCTCCCTGTGTCCTTGTGTTCTCATTGTTCAACTCCAAAGTGGAACATTTCTATAAAATTGCACTATTTTGAAAATATACAGGTGCTTTTATTTCCTCAATAAAACCTCTTCCCACTTGTTTTCTATTTATAAAGACCCCCTCCAGCCTCTCACCAAATGGTTGAGTTTCAACTCTTCTTGACACCCGAAAACCCAGCTGTCTTTTGAAACAGAGAAAAACAGCCTCCTGTAGAATCTGAAATGGCTGCTCACAGGACAGAAAAGAATTTAGGCTGTTTTTTGTCTCCCAGTAACTCAATTGATCAGCAACTTCTCAGGACAGAGTGTGAGTCTCTTCTCTATGTATACCCCATGGCCAGCACTTTTGCAGCTACATAGGAAGCACCTTATGAATCTTGAGTTGATTTTCTTTTGTAATTGAGACTTGTTCTAAGCAGGTAAAGTGAGGTGTGTCATAAATAAGCATAGCCAGCTTTGCTGATTTCTTCCTGTGTGTTAACCACTGTTCTATGGGCTTTCCGTGTATTCTTCCCTTTGACCCTCATAATAACTTACTGTTATCTCTTGCTGCTAGATGATAAAAGAGAGACACATTGTGGTCAAATAACTTGTGCAAGTTTATTCAGCTTCTCAGGGTTAGCTCCAGGGCAGCATAGGACATAGAGTGATTCACTGCATAAAATCATGGGAACGATCTGCTAAGAGCCCAGCAAATGCATGGGAGCAGTTTCTAGAATGGGTCTCTGGGCTGCAGGAATATTTCCTTACAATCCCTGCATCTCCATTTTCACGCAGATTGCTGATATCTATGCTCCATCCCCCTCAACCTTTTCTTTACCTCCCCAGCCTCCCTTATTACATTTCTATCCAGGCTTGGCACATATCTTGTTGAGTAGATTTTAGAATTCTACTGTCACCAGCTCTATTCCGACCTTATTGATAAGAAGCTTTTTTGACCTACCTCAACACACAGACACCAGTTATTGATTAGAGACTGTTTGGCACTGTACTACGTATTTGGTAACGTTTTTCTTTATTATGGCAAAACCTGTTAGCACCCAATCTGCCTTCAAAATCCATTTGAAACCATACAAATAAACAACAACTGCTTATGCCTTCAGTTGGCATGAAACAAACATAATGCCCTATGAGGTTTCCTAAAGATGTCATAGGGTTTCTTGTTTGCTTTGTTATTCCTCAAAAATTTCTCACACTTTTACCACCTCAAGACTTAGCCCTCTTGAACCTTAGATGCAGCCACTGATATTTGTGTGGGCTCTTATTTTTTAGTAAGTTTACTTTTCATTTGATAACTTAGATAGATTTAGTATATTGAATCATTTCTAACCACATACCACAGTACTATGTTCATAGAAATCCTTAAGGAATTTGCTGGAAAATGTTATCACTTTCTGTAGTTTCTTTGTTTCTGAAACTCTTCATTGTATTTGTGAATTCCTAGAAATTTCCTAACCATGTTGAATGCTCTAGCCTTCTAAATCTCAGCCTATTGAACATGTGGACTACATTATTAATTCAGCTGATTATTCTTGAGCATTATATCATGTGCTCAGAACTATGCTCTGTGGTCAGAAATAGTTTCCCAAACAGACCTAATCCTTGTCCTCAGAGAGCTCGCAGTCAACTAAGGAATCCCTGATTACCAGGGTCCATCATAGTCAAAGAAGCTGTGTAACAGCCAATGACAATTAATGCTACCACTAAAGATAACAACATCATATATTTGTGTAGCCCTCCGAAATTTATAAGTGCTTCTGTGGGCATTAATGCATGTGTCCTGATGGAGCAAAGACATTCTCTTTCTTACCTTAGAGATGAGAAGCATGATGTTAAAATCAAGTAATGTCTAGGCTAAGGCTGCCTCAGAGAGAAAGGCTTTTACAAAGACCTTTTATCCCTCAATATTACAACACCCCAAGCCGCCCTCGGTGCTTCCATCTCTTGTCACCTGGCACCACTCTGTCTCCAGTTATTGGTCCACCCATATCCACACTGGGGCAGGGGTTAGAAAGGAAATTGATAAGGAGGAAACTTTATTAGGAGATTGACCTTGTTACATTGCCTTTGTTAATAACCTCTGATGCTGGCAGAGGGTGAAGGACTTCAATTTGCTTTAGGATCACAGAATTGGTCAGCGGAACAATCATAACTAAATTAAAGACAGAAAATTGTACAATCAGATGCAAAGAGTTAAACTCCTCTTTTGTGCATAAATAAAAGAGTGCATTGAATTCTTACAGGTAGTTTGCAGCATTTGGTGTGTCATAGAGAACACGAGACGTATACTCCTACTAACTCACTAGATCTGTGATCTTGAAAAAGTAACATTACCCCTTTGACCCTGTTTCTAGGATTGTACCATGTGAACTAGGGCTAAGCCTATCAGTACATTTCTTCTCTCTGACCGCATAGATTGACCAGAGAATAATAAGTGACCTAAGCCATTACAACCATGGTAAATTATACTATAATACTACAAGTATTGGGACAATGATATTCTATTTCCTGCTGGACATGAAAGTGAAGGTATATATAGCTTTAAGAAATTATTGACAGCAATTTTTCAACTTTAAGGAAAATTAAACTTCCATTGAAATTGACCCAGAAGAAGGCAGGCCAAGGAAACTAGGAGAATATAGGTCCTGGTGACATTTACTTGTGCCTCTGGTTCAAGCTGTGCATGAATCTAGATTACCAAGGTATTTTTCAGTTATTCAAGCAATTGCATTTCCTTTGGTTTTTATACCAATTGTAGTCAGGTTTTATATCATTGCAACCAAAGCTTCCATACAATTATTAATAGTAAAACCAATATTTAATGGTGAATTCCTGGCATTAAAAGAAGATAAAGAGAGAAATATCTTGAAATAAAAGGAAAAAGCAATGTAACAAGCTCAATCTCCTAATAAAGTTTCTTCCTTATCATTTTCCTTTCTAACCCCTGCCCCAGTGTGGATATGGGTGGACCAATAAGAGGAGACAGAGTGGTGCCAGGTGACAAGAGATGGAAGCACTGGGGGAGGCTTGGGGTGTTGTAATATTGAGGGATAAAAGGTCTTTGTAAAAGCCTTTCTCTCTGAGGCAGCCTTAGCCTAGACATTACCTGATTTTAATGTCATGAAGTTGCCATGCAGGCTACAAAGTCATCTAAGATTTAGCCAGCCAATCCAGCTCTGCCTCTTGTATCTTTTATACTGAATGCAACAAACAGTTTCATAAGAGCTAAAAAAAAAAAAAAAAAAAATCCCCCTGGAGTGCCACTTGGAGTAGTTCCTTAAAAAGAAAGGTACAATTTAGTAATTAAACATTATTAAAAATCTGTTCATTCTATGTCAGCAAGGTTAAAAGCAAAGCTAATTATATGCCCCAAGGATTTCAAAAGTACTCTTCACTGGCCTTGATTGGGCTTTTCTTGTAAATTAAACCCAAGTAAGTAATTCACTAAAGTAGACAGATGTGTTCTGGATTGTACATTATTTTCTCTGTGATTGCCTTCTCAGTCTTAGCTCCTCCTCATCTTCCCCGGGAAAAGGAGAAGATGCCTTTAATGAGACCAATGCATCCTACTATCTACTATACTCTTAGCTATTATAGTACAGGCCTCTGTCCTCTTCTTCTGTATATCCCTGGGCCTAGCAAAGAGCCTGGTTTATAGTAGCTGCTCAAGTAATGTTTTATGAAAATAAATAAAACATGGTTCTGCTAGACTTCAAGTTCACTCTTCAAATCAAGACTGCTAAGTAGAACTTGCACTAGACAAACAGCTAAAGTGGACTTCTGTGTACTTCCATTCTCCTTGCAGTGCCCATTTCTTTTTCTTTGTTAAATTAATCAATTCATTCTTTCAATAATTTTTAATCCTACATTTATTATTTATTTTTAACTTTTATTTTAAGTTAAAGTGTACATGTGCAGGTGTGTTACATAGGTAAATTCGTGTCATGGGGGTTTGCTGTACAGATTATTTAATCACCCAGGTATTAAGCTTAGTACTCATTAGTTATTTTTCCTGATCCTCTCCCACCTTCCAGCCTCCACCCACCAATAGGGCCCATTGTGTGTTGTTCTCCTCTATCTGCCCATGTGTTCTTATCATTTATCTCCAGCTTATAAGTGAGAACATGCGGTATTTGGTTTTCTGTTCCTGTGTTAATTTTCTAAGGATAGTGGCCTGTAGCTCCATCCATGTCCCTGCAAAGGAAATGATCTTGTTTGTTTTTTAAGGTTGCATGGTATTCCATGTGTATAAGTACCACATTTAGACTGGGTCAACAAATGTTTACATTCATAGCATCTCTTATGTGTCAGAGAATATGATAGGGTCTAAAGTTAAGGGTCTAGTAATTCCCAGGAGTCACTAGGCAATGAAGGAGACAGAGGTGTAAACAATTGTTAGAGAGCTTTGTTAATCTTTTAATATATGGCATTTATTCTCTGATGACTGGTCAGCATCCCTTTTCTCAAATGTTGTAAGTACCATGATGTCTGGCACCAATTCTGGCCTTGCCTGCATTTGGCATCCTTGGTGCCTACCTCAGTGTCTGGCACAGCGTAAGTACTCGCATGCATGATGGAGAGAAACCAGTGTCAACTTTGGTCATTCTGTTCCTTCAGGTCTGGAAAATAGGAACTTAAACCCTCAATACAAGACATGAGGAAAGTCCACGGTTTATTCACACACACCCACACATACACACTTATAAGAAATTGGCTTGCATGATTATGGAGGCTGAGGAGTCTTGAGATCTGCAGCCAGCAAACTGGAGCCCCAGGAGAGCGAGTGATGGAGTTCCAGATTAAGTCTGACAGCCTGAAAACCAGGAGAGTCAATGGTATAAATTTCAGGTCAAGTTCATGAGGCCAGAGAAGATCCATGTTCCAGCTCAAAGACAGGCAGGAAGAGTAAATTCTCCCTTCCTCAGCCTTTTTTTTTTTTTTTCTGTTCTTCCCTCTAAGAGATCGGATGAAGCCTGCCCATACTGGAAGTGGGTGGGGGAAAATCAGCTTTACTCTGTCTTCTAATTTAAATTTTACTATCATCCCAAGACACTCACAGAATAACATTTAACCAAATATCTGGGCACACTGTGGCCCAGTCAAGTTGATAGATAAAATAAACCATAAGTTTACCTTTCTAATCACCTTTTCGGTACAACACATACAAGAAAAAAAGTTGGATAATCCCCGTTTCATAGTTTAGAAAACCCAAAACTTTATCTCGGTAGTACACTCTAATGAAATATGGCATAATTTAGTGGCTTTCAATGCTCAGTGGGGTTAACCTGGCCTTCCAGATGCTGAAGGAGATACAAAGCAGTAATTGATTCAAGGAACATCATTTATTTCATTCTCATATAGATAATTAAGCCCCCTTTCTACCACTGAGGATTTATGAGCAAGAGTTAAGCCATCTCAAGAATTAAATTTTAAATATAGCAAGAACTCCAACTGTATAAGATATATTAAAAGGAACTGCTTTATCAGCAATCATATTTTATGGAAAACAAGGAAGCACCTTGATTATTTACAAAAACATTAACTTAAGGAAACTGGAATTACTAATCCTAATTTGTCCTGTAATAATCTGCTAAAGTCTGAAGCAATAAATTCTATTCTGGATTTTAGATATGGAGAACATAGACAAACTTAAGCCACATAGAGAAAAGACAGCAGGACATTTAAATACTTTCATTTGAAGAACTGTTGAAACAATTAGGGATGCTTAACCCAGACAGGGGAAGACCTTGAAGGGAATATATCACTTCACATTTGTGGGATCAGCTTCCTTATCATCTGCAACTTGACACCTGAAGAATAAATAATCCTCAAGGACTCCTCCAGCTCCCACCAGCTGAAGCTCAGATTTTCTGGCATATGCCTGAAAGCTACAGTTTATGATTGCTCTAAGACTCAGAACTTCCACTTTGACTTTATTTATTCATTTATATTTATTTATTTTGAGGCAGAGTCTCACTCTGTCACCTAGGCTGAAGCACAGTGGTAGGATCTCAGCTTACTGCAAACTCCACCCCTGAGTTCAAGCTATTCTCCTGCCTCAGCCTCCCAAGTAGCTGAGATTATAGGCTCAAGCCACGATGTCTGGCTAATTTTTGTATTTTTTGGTAGGGACAGGGTTTCATGATGTTGTCCAGGCTGGTCTTGAACTCCTGACCTCAAGTGATCCACCTGCCTTGGCCTCCCAAAGTGCTGGGATTACAGGCGTGAGCCACTGTGATTGACCAGAATTTCCACGTTAAAAAAGCTGCACCAAATTGCTTGACATCTGGGGAAACCAGATACCCACAGCTGATTTCCTTCCTTAATCATTTACTATATTATTGAACAAATAGCTGTGAAGAAAGGTGTTCTAATTTATTATTCAATCCACCTGACTCCTAGATTAATAGAAAGCTAGTATATTTACCTGAAATGTGATAACTGTTTATATATTTGACAACATGAACTTAGTACTTGCAAAATGCTATCAGATTGAAGGGAAAGGAAGCTGTATTAGTCTGTTCTCATGCTGCTGATAAAGACATATCTGAGACTGGGTTAATTTATAAAGAAAAAGAGGTTTAATGGACTCATGGTTCCACGTGGCTGGGGAGGCCTCACAAATCAAGGTGGAAGGCAAAAGGTATGTTTTACATGGCAGCAGGCAAGAAAGAAAATGAGAACCAAATGAAAGGAGTTTGCCCTTATAAAACCATTGAAACGGGAAAAGTTCTTTTATCCCCTTTGCAGGGCGTGCAACAAGGATGCGGCTTGCTTTTTCTGTGCCCTGCAGCTCGGACCGCTAGGGAGAGCGTATGCAGATGGGCAGGTCGTGGGGCTCCAACCCCAAGGCAGCGTCTAGGGTTGAGTTTGCAGCTCCCGAAGTCCTAGTGGGTATGCGTTACAGTGTGCAATTTCAGTTTAGCTGTCCACAGGCAGCTTGTGTTAATCAGCTCAATTAGACCCTCTGCCTTATTGCAAGGATAGAGGACTTTCTGTATCCTGGGTTCTTGCCCTAATACTGGAAAAATCGGATCACACGTGGGCTGGGAGGATGTGTACAAGGCTTTATTAAGTGGAGGTAGCTCTCAGCAGATGTACAGGGAGCCAGAAGGGGAATGGAGTGGGAAGGTGGTCTTCTCCTGGAGTTGGGCCCCTCAGCCGCAGGGCTCTCTTCTGACCGCCCTCGCCCTAATTCCATGTCATCCATATCGTTCCACCGTCACTGCTGACATCTGTCAGTGTGTTCTTCTATCAGTGTGTTTCTCTCAACGTACAGCCACTTGTGTGTGTGCCCACTAGGGTCTCAGGGTTTTTACAGGCACAGGATGGGGGGGACGTGGTGGTCCAGAGTGGTCTTGGAAATTGCAACATTTGGGCGTGAAAACAGGAATGCCTGTCCTCACACAGGTCTGTGGGCATAGGCCCTAGGATGGACCCCTCACCAGGGACCCTGCCCTTCTCTATCCAGCACTTCCGTAACCCCCTCCCATATCACCATCAGATCTTGTGAGACTTAATCACTACCACAAGAACAGAATAGGGGAAACCATCCCCATGATTCAATTATCTCCCACCAGGTCCCTCCCACAACACATGGGAATTATGGGAGCTACAATTCAGGATAAGATTTGTATAGGGACACAGCCAAACCATGTCAGAGGCTAAAGCTCATTTTGGCAAACACAAGCTGCACAGCACAGGAAAGGGAAGGATGGTTCTAAGTCCCCTTAAGGGTATGGAATGAGGAATGGAGACTCTGGAGATGAAGGAATGGCATGGACTACAGCCAATGGAATAATGCCATCTTTAGAATCTTGACTTTGGGATTGCAGGTCATCTAAGAAAGCAACAGTACTGAGTGTTAGTTGTGTACAGGGTTTGGGAGTTACCTAGCCTGGGTATAAATCCAACCTCTGTCACTTACTAGCTGGGTGATCTTTGGACATAGATAATGTGATGAGTTCCTACCCTGTATCTGCAGCCCAGATCCCTCTATACCCCCAGACATGTATATCCTGCCTGTATATCTCACAGATAGATCAAACTGAGCATGACCAAGATGGAATGGATCATTTTCATCTTTTCCCCAAATCTACAGTTCAGGCCACTGTAAAACAGATCTGTGTAAGACAGGCTTGATTTTCCTTTCCTCCAGTCACCCAATTTTAGCCCTCATTCTGGCTATTGTGTGTTGGGCTGTGATATCAACAGGAAGCCATTTTCCTAAATGAATCCCTAAATTTAAAAAACTCCACGTGTGTGAAGATGAGGATGAAGAAGAGAAGAGTAACAGATGGAGCAAAGAGAAATGAAGAAAGACAATGGAGAAAGCAAAAGCACAGTGAGGGAGAAGATATAAAGAGAATGTGTGCAACCTGGTAACTTCTTTGTGTGCATTTTAATTCCAGATCCTGAAAACAGACTCTGGGTGCCGCAAGACATATTTTGTAGCTATTTCTGGCCACACATTTACAAATTAGAAAATTATAAATGCCAACCTCAGCCCTAGAGGGCCAGCACAAATGAGGTAACCATTCATATTCTCCCAATGCTGATTTCTCCATTAGCCTGTGTGAAAGAAGAGGCTTGGGGCTCATCAGGGAATGTGAGCTGCAGCAAGAAAGCCAAAAGAAGAGGGTAGGAAAAGACAAATTCCTCTTGAGATCAGGAAGGACTACAATTCTCTGCAAATAAGCAGAGCATCTAGAGGAAATATAAACTCTCACTGTTCCAAGAGCACAAGGTTGGAATAGCAATGATTAGCCTGGAAATAAATTATTTTAAAAGTTATAGAAGTAGATGTAGAGTTACTTTTTAAAAATAGAAAAATGCAAAAAGCAAAAATAATATTCAATCATGATGACAAAATTAGATTTTGAAGTATATGATCAAGCAATAAAATCTCTCCCAATCTATCCTTTCCAATATGGAAGTTTGAGATCGTACTACAAATATTACTAAGCTGTTTCCCTTTTCTCACAAAACTGTATATAGTAGATACTTTTCCATTTTGGTACTTTGTTATTAGCCCCACTTAAGTTTCTTTAACTTTCATTTTAAGTTCAGGGGTACATGTGCAGGTTTGTTATATAGGTAAGCTTGTGTCATGGGAGTTTGTTGTACAGATTATTTCATCACCCAAGTATTAAGCCTAATACCCATTAGTCATTTTTCTCAATCCTTTCTCTGGTCCCACCCTCCACCCGCCAACAGGCCCCATTGTGTATTGTTCCCCTCCACATGTCCATATGTTCTCCACATTTAGCTCCCATTTATAAGTGAGAACATGCGGTATTTGATTTTCTGTTCCTGTGTTAGTTTTCTAGGATAATGGCCTGTAGCTCCATTTATGTCCCTGCAAAGGACATGATTTCATTCTTTTTTATGGCTTCATAGTATTCCCTTGTGTATGTACCACATTTTCTTTAATGGTTATTGAGCATCTTATTATGTTATGTTTAATTTAAACTCTTCCTTCTCTCATCAGAAGTCCTTCTGGTCATTTCTAATTTTTTTATTGTTATTACTAAACTTACCAGAATAAAATTACTATGCATATATATCTTAAGACAATCTTCCTATTGCTTCTGTAATATAAAGTAAACTTCTACAGAATACAATTGTTTAAATGGAATTTCAGGGACATAGGTTATGCATATTTTAAAATTTTAATATAAGTTATAAAGTTATCTTACAAAATAACAATGGCAATTTAAAATTCTGTATATAGCAGTGCTATTTTCATACACTCTTGTTTTACTTCAGATGCTTTAAATGTCTTAAATTCCAGTCAGTCCAAATGAAGAAAAACCTATTTCTTCATTTCAGTTTTTATTTTAGAAAATATTAGATGAATATGTTTTTGTTTGAAACCATTCACATTTTTGTGAATTTCCTTTGACATTTGTTTCTTACTGCTTTTTAAAAACTAAATTTTTCATAGATTTGTGGGATATATGTATATTTAAAACTATGAACTTTCGCTCTCAAGTATCTCTCGAATGCGTTACAACAATTATTATCATATACTAAGCAGAAGTTTTAAATGTTTAAAGTGGCTGTATCTCTTTATCTTTGCTTGATGCCTTTAGTAGTCTGTATATAGAAAAGCCTTGCCCAATTCTATGATTATTATAGAAATACTATATTTTATTTGCCTTATAATACTGCTTCTTTTTTAATATTTTTATTGTAGCAAAATGCTCATAACATAAAATTTGCCATTTAGCCATTTTAAACTGCAAAATTCAATGGCATTTTCATACAGTCACAACATGTGAAACTATTACCACGGTCTAGTTTCAGAACATTTTCATTAGTTTAAAAGGAAACCCTGGAGGGTGGTGGGTTTGCAAAAACATTGCTTTTTTGAAAAAAAGGAAACCCTATAACCATTAAACAGTGACTCCCTCTTTCCACCTCCCCTGACAACCACTAATCTGATTTCTATAGGCTTTTCAGTTATGCATATTTCATGTAAACAAAATCAGAAATATGTGGACTTTTGCATCTGACTTCTTTCACTTGGCATAATGCTTTCAACATTAATCCATGTTGTAGCATGTATTGATACGTGTTAAGCCATTTGTGTTGCTATAAAGGAGTAACTAGGCTGGGTAATTTACAAAGAAAAGAAACTTAATTGGCTCACAGTTCTGTAGGCTGTACGGAAAATGTGGCGCTGGCATCTGCTGGACTACTGGTAAGGCCTCAGGAGCTTTTTTTCATGGTGGAAGGCAAAATGAGAGCAGGTATGTGACATGGCAATAGCGGAAGCAAGACGTGGGGGATCTTCCACTCTCTTGTAAACAACCAGATCTCCCATGAACTCAGGAGAGAACTCACTCATTACCATGAGGATGACACCAAGTCATTCATAAGGGATCTACCCCATGACCCAAACACTTCCCACCAGGCCCCACCTCCAACACTAGGGATTATATTTCAACATGAGATTTGAGGGGGACAAATATCCAAACAATACCACTGTACTTTGTTCTTTTATGGCTGAATAGTAGTTCCTTTTCTGGATGGGTCACATTTTATTTACCCATGCATCAGCTGATGGTCATTTGGGTGGTTTTTATATTTTGGCTACCGTGAATAGGGCACTAAGGAACTTCATTAGGAAAGTTATCCCTCTTATTTACTAGGGGAAATATCAAAATTTAAAGCACTTTTCAGGACATTCTACCCCAGTGCAAGATGCTGCACAAATGCCAGTATCAGATGCAGGAAAATAAAAACAAAGTTTGATGTAACACTCAAGACATCCAGCCTTTGAAGCAATTCATGAAGCCTTAGCTCTCTCCAACTCATGTCTGAAGAAACCGGTTGCCATATTCTACAAGGCTATTACAAAAGAGCACGTTTCCTAGAGCTGGAACTTTAGTGATGAAAACACTTTCACAGGACCACTTAAAACAAGAATCGCCTGAGTCTAATCTAAGTAAAACATGCCTTCATTTCTCAGCTGAATCAAATGGCTCCATTTCCCCAGTGGCTGAAGCTGCTGGGTAAAGAAAACAGAATCAGTTGCTCCCTTTCATGAGCTGTGGACAAGAAAGGCTCTGAAATGCGAAGCTTAAACTTGTTTTACAGTCTAGGAACAAGGTGTAAGTACACCTCTGCTGGCTTCCCAAGAGCTAGCTTCCAAAGCAAGGTAATTGATTGCAGCATCCCACAAAGTAAGTAGGCAACCCATCTTTGACCTGCTGGCATGGCAAAAGCCTGACACGCATGCATGGGCGCTGTAATAAGAAAGATAATGCAGCCCTGGTGTCCCAAAGGTTGAGGAGCTCCTAGCAAAGGGTTAGAGTGGCTAAAAGGGCCCTGGAGATGAGCCGGTCCCATGTTCCCCCAAGAGAGATTCATGGAGAGTTGCCTCTCCATCTCGAGTTCATTCGTATTTGGTGGGTCCCAGGGAAGGAGTTGGCAGTAGAGGCTGGAACAGCTTGAAAAACAAAGTCTGTTCATGTTTTAGGAACATTATCATTGGCTTGAATTCCCCAATTGGTATTTGGAACCAGTGGGGAAACATTCACTGACTTACTTGCAGAACCAGGAGGCATCCAGAGAGTTGAGTTTTCTGTTACAACAAACTTCAATGTTTTAAGATGCTAGCCCATTTCAGTCAACAGCGTCAGAGCTCAGAGTAGCCAGAGGTTGTACTCACTTATGTCCTGTGTGCCACAACATCCCTAAAGACAGATAATAATCCAAAGAAATCCAATAAACCCTTGCCTTTTCTCAGGGGTCATAACCCATGTGGCCTCTCCCAAATTAGATTTTAAGAATTTTAATATCTGAGTCTCCCTGATATCTGAAGAGTTAAGAAATGGAAAAAGAAAGTCTAAAGGGATAGTCTCTGCCCCCATGGATGGAATGTGAACCACATAGTTTGTGATTTTTAAGATCTTGATCTAGAAAATTTGCTCCTTTTAAAGTCAAATACTTGTAAAAATATTTATTGGTGATTACCCGCAGAAAATCTCAGTTCTATATGTGTCCCCATCTACTGATAAAATAAGAATAATAAATACAAATATGGATGATTACCATATTCTGGAGAGGTGAACAACAAATCATGTACTATTTACTGAGTTTTCCAGAGAGCAGTTTTTAAATTAATCCATTAAAAAATTATTTGTAAAGCACCTCATAAGAATTAATGATTACAAAAATTTGTTTCAGGCAATGAGGATTCAGCAGAGAACAGAACAGACAAAACCCTTGCTTTCTATTGATGACAGAGCCAATATTTTGGGGTGAAGAATTTGGAGAATAGTTGTTTTAAAATAACTCTGGCTTAAAGGAAGAAGAGTAAAATAGTTACATCCTTAAAGGAAAAAGAATAAAATCTTCCATCCTACAGAATGTCTTTCAATTTGAAAAAATGCCCCAAAGTATATCAAGGTTTCATGCCATTTTTCAACAGTTAGTAGCAAAAATAGTTGAGACACAAGCTATTTGGAGATATCAGCTTGTCTTTGGAGAAGATTAAAAGGAACTTTTTGGAGAAAGCAAGACTGAAATTACCTCCTGATAAATGCCGGTGTTCCTCGGATCACAGGGATTAGCCAAAGTGAGGATGAACATAGAAATTGTCACCGTCTGATTTTTTCTCCTTCTGGGAATATGATGGATATGACATAAAGTTTGTGAAGCTTATTTCATGATTGCTAAACCATTAATGATGTAACTGTGAGTTATAAGAATAAGATCAGGGTAGATTTGACCAAGCAGGAGAAAGCTAGAGAACAAAAGGAATCTGTCTCATCAACCTAGGTTCTTCAACATTTAAGGAAATTAGTATTGAGCCATCCATTGACTGGGTACTCATTACTCTGCAAAAACTATTATCAGCCCCTGACTTAGCCTTAGCTGACCCTAGTAAGTCCCTTACTGTGCATACAGGAGTGAGCTTTGAAGGACCAGAGGTGAGCAAAAAGGAGGCATGCAGTTTTTAACAGCAGGAGAGTGTCAGAGCACTAAGCAGAGTACTCTACTCACAATTCAAAATCTTTGCCTCAAGATGGACAATCATGTGTATTTCAGGCATGTGTATACAGTGGCTTTCAGATTGTAGACTAGCAACATCCCCTGCATCCACTAGTGCCAAACAAAATACCAAGCGACAGTGGCAGGTGGACACAATTGCTGTTTAAATGTATAGTCCAGCAGCTGAATGTCAAATATAATTAAGAAAGAAATTTTTCTGCTAGATCCATTCTTAGATCCTGAAGCCATTCTTAGTGATCTAGGATTTTCAAGGTATCGGTCAACTCCCCATAAAAATATGGAAGAAAATGGGTCTGCTTCCCCAAGCTGTGCTGGGGGCAACTGTTCAGCATGTAGCATTACACAAATCATCTCTACTTCAGTCAGAAACAGAAAAAGGGAAAGGGGAAAAAAATGAGGGCTGAACCTGAGCTACAGGTTAAAGGGAATAACCTAGGATAGAAGGCATGGAGTCTAAATTGCAATACCTGTGGCCCCTGCACGCAGGAGAAAATTAAGTGGGAATCATGCCATTCAACAAGTTCCATGTCCTTAGAAATAAACTTCAGAATGTTGAAAAAGTAGTAGCATCCACTGATGCCCATGCCTGTTATCCCCAAGTGTATCACAGCTAGGCAAAAGAGGTGTCCAGAATGTCCTGTATAAGGCATCCAGAATGTCCTGGACTGTGGGAAAGAAAATTTTCAAAGCATAGCTCACCACTAGGTTTTACACAGAGCAGGTGAGAGGCTAGAAGACAGTGACAAGGGAACAGAAATACAGAACTATTCCGTTCCATCAATATGAACACTCACATCCAGGAATGGGTGCTGTTTACTTTTTTAACTCTTTGCAAGCATTATGACTTTGTACAGTAATGCATCCAACATATGAGATATTGAGCACACACCCACAAAGCCCTCCGAGCAAACTCACCTTTTATTTGTTGATGTTAGAGTAGGAGTCTTTGCTGATCATAAATTTTTTTCTATTTTGAAATGCATTTAGGATACAAGACTTCAGAAAACTTACTTAGTATGTAGGTTATCCATGGGTGAGTTTCAGGAATGGTTCTGGTCATCTACTGGTGCTACTTGAATAATACAGATAGAAATAAACTTCATTAAGATGCCAAGTTAAGCTACATAAATTTGCAAAAAGGAAACATGATGCTACTTGGAACTTTCCTGTCAAGATATAAGAAACAGAATGCGAAACATTCCTCATTGCATTGTAGTGAGGCTCTGGTAGTTTACTCTGCAAAGTGCAAGCAAAGTGGGCAAGGCCAGACAGGAACTTCTACATCAATATATTGTTTAAGAAGGAAAATGGTTAGGTAACATGTTCCTACATGCCAAAATGCAGATGAGAAATGATGAGGTGGAACCAAGAGCAAAAATATCTCAACAGGAATCAGAGAAATGCTACTCCCAATTTACTAGGAAGCAGGGAACAGCAAATGAGCAATGAGCTTTAATTAAAAAAAAAAAAAAAGGAGTAATAATCCATCTGGTCCCACCAGGAGAGATGTGTACATCCACAGTTCAAGGTATTGGTCCATTGAAGGTACCCTTTGAATTGAATGTTCTACTCATGGGGACTGCTCTGTAGGTGGAAAACCATAAAAATTAGTAAATTTACATGCTTTTCATTCAAATTTGAATGGGCTAAAATGCCCAGTTAAAAAATAGGTCCTCGGCTGGGTGCGGTGGCGCATGCCTGTAATCCCAACACTTTGGGCGGCCGAAGTGGGCAGATCACCTGAGGTCAGGAGTTCAAGACCAGCCTGGCCAACATAGTGAAACCCTATTTCTACAAAAATACAAAAATTAGCCAGGCATGATGGCGGGTGCCCATAATCCCAGCTACTTGGGAGGCTGAAGCAGCAGAATTGCTTGAACCCGGGCAGCAGAGGTTACAGTGAGCTGAGATTGAGTCACTGAACTCCAGCCTAGGCAACAGAGCGAGACTCACACCACTACTGGCTAATTTCTTTGTAGCTGAGACCACAGATGCACACCACTACTGGCTAATTTCTTTGTATTTTTTGTAGAGACTGGGTTTCACTATGTGCCTAGGATGGCCTTGAACTTCTGAGTTCAAACGATCCACCTGCTTCAGCCTCCCAAAGTGTTGAGATTACAGGTGTGAGCCACCCACTGCGCCTGGCCACATTATTTTCATTCATGTGCAAATTTTTACAACAGTTATATCATGTATTAGAACACAAATAAAATATAATACATCCTAGAAAGCAAAAAATTTACAGACCATATTCTCTGACTACCATACAATAAACCAAAAAATTACTAACAAAAGAATGACAGCTTAAAGTCAATATGCCTTTTCAAAGCAGACTATATTTTTGGAATAATTTTAGACTTGCAGGAAAAAAACTGAAAAGATAGAATGGAAAGTTCCATATGTTCTACATCTGGTTTCCCCTACTACTGACATCAGTGTGGTATATTTGTGAAATTTAGTGAACTAATATTAATGAATTATTATTAAATGAAGCCCATTCCATATTCAGATTGCCTCAATTTTTACCTTGTGTCCTGTTTCTCTCCCAGGATCCTATCCAGAATACCATATTACATTCAGTTGTCGTGTCTCCTTGGGTGCTTCTTGGTTGTGACAGTTTCTCAGACTTCTTGTTTTTGATGACCATGACAGTATTGAGGAGTACTGGTCAGGTACTTTATAAAACTCCGCTCTTTAGAAACTTGTCTAATGTTTGTCTCATGTTAGAGTAGGGCTATAAGTTTGGGGGTGGAAGATCACAGAGGTAAGGTGCCATTTTCATCATATTCTATCAAGAGCACATATTATCAGCATGATTTAGTTCTGCTGATATTGCCCTCAATTACCTTGCCAAGGTAGTGTTTACAAAGCTTTTCCACTGCAAAGACACCATTTCTTTTCTTTACTGTACTCTCAAAGGAAGTCACTATATGCAGCCTATACTTAGGGAGTGGGGAGTTCTGCTTCCCCTCCTTGAGGGAGATTTGTCTCTTCTCCCCATTAATTAATTTATTCAACAATTTATTTATGACTCATGGTTATTTTATTATTTGAGTTATGATTCAACCCATCTTTGTTTATATGTTGCTCAAATTGCTCTCCCCTTCACCACTGGGAGATCCTTAAAGTGGATCTTATTCCACTTTAACATACCTCATTAGTGTGGGCTATGCCTTTAATCACTTCCTTAGTTTCTGGCATTGAAGGATCTTCCAGACTTATCTTACCTAATTTCTGTCCTAGTCCTAGGATCAGCCATTTCTCCAAGGAGCCCTGGTTCTTTTTATTAAAGACTGGCATTCCAAACCAAGATCTAGCTGCTTAGCTGTACTGGTTGCCACTGAGGTGCCATGGCTTCTAGGCCTCTCTGCCGACAATGCAAGGAAATTAATGTTGTATAGTCTCAACTTTGATCCATTAACACTTAGGACATTCTAGCCTTCTCCCTCCTGTAAACTCCCACTCTAGCAGAGATACACCTGGCTTATGCCTCCCACCATCCATTTACTTAATTGTTCAATTCTAGTATACAGTTATAGAAGTATCAGATGATTAAACCGTACATATCATGGGAAAATCTTTTTCAACTAGAGTGCAGTGCTTCTGTGCAATTTGTTTTGCCTTAGTCTTATGGATTTCAATCATTTCCAAAGCTACTTAGGTCAGTCCTTCCCTACTCTTACTTTCCTCACTGAAGTTGTTTTATAATGTGTAATACAGTTATACTCTTTTTTTCATAGTCTGCATATGATTTGGGGAAGCAGTAAACTGCTAAATGATCGTTTTTAAACATCACTCTTTATGCTCAATGGGTTTTGACAAATGCACAGTGCCATGTGGTCTCCATTATATTATTATACAGAATGGCTTCAGCAGCCCCCCAAAAAGAAAAAAAAATCACTTATGCTTCACCTATTCCATGTTTTCCTCCTACCCCAGAACTTCTGGCAACCACTAAACATTTTACTGTCTACAGTTTTGCCTTTTCCAAAATGTTAGGAAATTGGAATCATACAGTATGTAGCCTTTTCAAACTGAATTTTTGCTTTAGAAATATGCATTTAAGTTTACTTTAGGTCTCTTCATGGTTTAATGGCTTATTTCTTTTTATCACTGAATAATCATCTATTGTGTGGATTACTATAGTTTGTTTATCCATTCATCTATTGAAGAACATTTTGTTTGCTTTCAGTTTTTACAACTATGAATAAAGCTACTATAAACATTTACTTGCACATTTTTATGTGGACATAAATTTGCGTAGCAGTTGGGTAAATACCTAAGATGCAATTGCTTGATTTTTTGGTAAGACTATGTTTAGCTTTGTAAGAAATTGCCAGACAGTTTTCCAAAGTAACTGTCCCATTTTATACATTACCACTAGCAATGTATGAGAGTTCCTGTTGTTCTATATCCTTGCCAGCATTTGGTACTGTCATTGTTTTATGGATTTTAGCCATTTAGTAAATATGTAATGGTATCTTATTTTTGTTTTAATTTGCAAATCCCTAATCAAATGATGAAAATCTTTTCACATGCTTCTTGTTTGTCTGCAAATATTTTTAGTGAATTGTTCAGATCTTTTTTAAATTTGTTTGCATGTTTTCTTCCTGTTGATTTTTAAGTGTTTTTTGTATATTTTGGATGCAAGTGCTTTATCAGATATGCGTTTTCCAAATTCTTTCTCCCAGTCTGTGATTTCTCTTTTAATTCTCTTAACAGTGTCTTTTGCAGGGCAGAAGTTTGTAATTTTAACTAAGTTCAATATCATTTTTTTCTTGTATAGATAATACTTTTAGTGCTGTACCTAAAATGTCGTTGCCAAAGCCAAGAATACCTAGATTTTCTCCTATTTTCTTATAGATGTTTATAGTAATAAAACTTAAAAACTACATTTTTTATTTTACATTTATGTCTATGACCCATTTTGAGTTAATTTTTGTGAAAGGTTTTAGGAAGGTCTGTGATTAGGTTCATTTTTCTGCATTGGGATGTCTACTTGTTTAAGCAGCATTTGTTGCAAAGCCTATTTTTTTCCCATTGAATCGCCTTTGCTCCTTTGTCAATGATCAGCTGACTATATTTACGTGGGTCTATTTCTGGGCTCTCTATTCTGTTACAATGATCTATGTTCCTATTCTTTCACCAATACCATGCTCTCTTGATTAATTTAGCTTTATAGTAAGCCTTCTGGTTGAGTAATGTGAGCCCTGCAACTTTGTTGTCCTCCTCTAATATTGTCTTGGCCATTCTAGGTATTTTGCCCTTCTATGTAAACTTCAGAATCCATTTTCAGATCTTCACAAGAAGAACTATAAAACACTGTTGAAAGAAATCACAGATGATACAAACAGATGACAAAATATTCCATGCTCATGGATTGAAAGAATCAATATCCTTAAAATGGCCACACTACCCAAAGCAATCTACAGATTTATTGCTATTTCTATCAAACTGCTAATGTCATTTTTCATGGAACTAGAAAAAACTATTCCAAAATTCATATAGAACAAAAAAAGAGCCTGAATAGTCAAAGCAATTTTAAGCAAAAAAAGAAAACCAGAGGCATCACATTACCTAACTTTGCACTACACTGTGAGTCTACAGTAACTGAAACAGCATGGTACTGCTACAAAAAGAGATATATAGACCAATGGAACAGGGAACCCAGAAATAAAGCCACACATCTACAGCCATCTGATTTTCAACAAGGTTGACAAAAATAAGCAATGGAGAAAGGACTCCCTGTTCAATAAATGGTGCTGGGATAGCTGGCTAGCCACATGTAGAAAAATGAAACTGGACCCCTACCTTTCACCATATACAAAAGTCAACTCAAGATGAATTAAAGATTTAAATATAAGATCTCAAACTCTAAAAATCCTGGAAGAAAACCTAGGAAATGCTATTCTGGACATTGGCCTTGGGAAAGAATTTATGAGTAAGTCCTAAAAAGCAATTGCAACAAGAACAAAAATTGACAAATGGAACCTAATTAAACTAAAGAGCTTCTGTACAACAAAAGAAGCTATTAACAAAATAAACAAAAAACCTACAGAATGGGAGAAAGTATTCACAAACGATTCATCTGAAAAAGGTCTAATATCCAGAATCTATAAGAAATTAAACAACTCAACTAGCAAAAAACAAACAACCCCATTAAAAAATGGGCAAAAGACATGAACAGACACTTTTCAAAAGAAGACATACAAGTGGGTAAGAAATATACGAAAAAAATGCTCATCATCACTAATCATCGGAGAAATGTAAGCAAATCCAAACACAATGTGGCACCATCTCATACCAGTTAGAATGGCTATTATTAAAAAGTCAAAAAATAACAGGTGCTGGCAAGGCTGTGGAGAAGGGAACACCTATACAATGTTGGTGGGAAAATAAATTAGTTCAGCCACTGTGGAAAGCAGTTTTGAGATTTCTCAAAGAACTGAGAACTACCATTCAACCCAGCAATCCCAATACTGGATATATTTCCAAAAGTAAGTAAATAGTTGTACCAAAAAGACACATGCAATCAAATGTTCATCACAGCACTATTGACAATAGCAAAGACATGGAATCATCTTAGATGCTAATCAATGATAGATTGGATAAAGAAAATGTGGTATACATACAACATGGAATGCTCTGCATCCCCCAAAAAGAACAAAATCATATATTTGCAGCTACATGGACACAGCTGAAAGCCATTATCCTAAGAGAATTAACTTAGGAACAGAAAAACCAATGTTCTCACTTGTAACTATTGGGTACTCATGGACATGAAGGTGGCAACAATAGATACTGAGGACTACTAGAGAGGGGAGGGAGGGAGGGAGACAGGCAAAGGTTGAAAAACTATTGGGTACTATGCTCAGTACCTGGGTGATAGGATTAATTGTACCCAAAACCTCAGCAACATTCAGTATACCCAGGTAACAAACCTGCAAGTGTACCTGCTGAATCTAAAATTAAAATTATAGAAAAAAAGAATCCCATTTTCAATACCTGCAAAATAGACTGCTGAGATTTTGATTGAGATTGCATTGAATCTATAAATCAGTTAGGAAGAAATAACATCTTGGTGATATTGAGTCTTGAAAAACCATGCACATGGAATATCCCTCCATTTATTTAGTCCTCCTCTGAGCTTTTTATCAGATTTTAGTTTTCCAAGTATAAATTCTTTACATATTTTGTTAGATTTATACCTAAGTGTTTCAATTTTTGGTGCTATTGTAAATTGTACTTTTTTCAATGTCAAGTTTCAATTGCTCATTACTGGTTTATATTAGAATATCAATTAACTTATGTGTGTTACCTTGTATCATGCTACATTACAATAATTGCTTATTAGTTCTAGGAGTTTTTAAATTTATTTTTAATTTTTTTAATAAACAGTCATCTCATCTTCAAATAAAAACAGTTTTATTGACCAGGCGCAGTGGCTCACGCCTGTAATCCCAGCACTTTGGGAGCTCGAGGTGGGTAGTTCACAAGGTCAGGAGTTTGAGACCAGCCTGGCCAATATGGTGAAACCCCATCTCTAATAAAAAATAAATAAATAAATAAATAAATAAATTAGCCGGGCATGGTGGCAGGTGCCCGTAGACCCAGCTACTCAGGAGGCTGAGGCAGGAGAATTGCTTGAACCCAGGAGGCAGAGTTGGCAGTGAGCCACGATCATGCCACTGCACTCCAGCATGGGCAGCAGAGTGAGACTCTGTCTCAAGAAAATAAACAAACAAACAAACAAAACAGTTTTATTTCTTCTTTCCAATCTCTATACCTTTAATTTTCTTTTTTTTTTTTTTGTTTTATTGCATTAGATATGACTCTGGTACATTATTGAATAGGAGAGGAGAGAGAGGGCATCTTGCTTTATCACTAATCTTGGGAGAAAGCGTCTAGTTTCTCATCATTATATATTATATTACATGTGGGTTTTATGGAGATATTCTTTATCAAGTTGAGGGAGATAATTCTATTCCAAATTTTCTGAGTAAGAGGTGTTGAATTTTGTTAAATGCTTTTTCTATATTAGTTGATAAATCATATGCTATCTCTTTTTATCCTGTTGATGTGGTGATTTTGTAAACTGACTTCTGAATTTTCAACCAGTCTTGCATGCCTGGAATAAATATCACTTGGTCATGGTGTATAATTCTTTTTATATATTGTTGAATTTAATGTGTTAATTTTTGAGGATTTTTGCACCTACAGTATGGGAGATATTGGTCTGTAGTTTTTATTTCTTGTAACATCATTATCTGCTTTGGGTATCATTACAATGATGGCCTCCTAGAATTATTTAGGAAATGTTCCCTCTTTATTTTTTGAAAGAGATTATAGGCAAGCTTGTTAGAAAATTGCTAATTTTTCTTATTTTAATGTTTGGTAGAATTTATCAATCAAATCAATGGTATTGTGTTTTAGTTTGAATGTTATTAATTATTGATTTAATTTTCAATTGGTATAGACCCACTCAGTTTATCTATTTTTTATTGTATGAGCTTAAGTAGCTGTTTTTTTTTTTTTCCAGGGAATTCACCTCTTTATGTTTTCAAGTCTGTGGGCATGAGTTGTTCATAGTATTCTTTCATTAGCCTTTTAATGTCCAAGCATCTGTGGTAATGGTACATCTTTCAGTTCTGGTATTAGTGATTTGTTTCTTCCTTTTCATTAATTAGCTTGGCTGGAGTTTCATCAATTTTATTAATATAGTCAAGGAACCAGCTTTTAGTTTCATTGATTTTCTCTAGTAATTTCATTAAAACGGATTTTTTAAGAAATAAAACACACATATACACAAACAAAAACTTTCAAATGAGCCATCAGTTAAGGAAATAAACTTTTCAACTACAGACTCCTTAGAATGGCAGTGCATAATGAACCCTATGAGATGAGGCATAAGTGGCATTCACTCATTTAAGCCAAAAACTATTTATGAGAATAGAAGCCAGGTTGGAAATAAAGAAGTCTTTTGAGGAAAGTAAAAAATGGATGAGAAAACTAATGTAAGAAAATTGAAGGTAAAGCGGATGTAGAAGTTAGGAATTAAGAGACCAGTAGGGTCTTGAGAGATTACTGCGTTTAAACCTGTAATTTTTACTGGTAGGCAACGTGAAGTTCAGAAAAGGTCCTTTGACCAATAATAACAATAAAATCAGTATCAAAACCAATTTGAATTCATATGTGAAATGTTCTGGGTCCCTAACTACATTCCTACTAGTAAAGGAGAAGAAATAAGTTTGACCCAGGAAGGAAAGTAATCCGCATAAATGAACCTTTGGTAGAGTTAGCTGTTGGGAGTTGAAGGAGAGAAAGGGCAGAGGTGAAGAGTTGCTTGTAAGCCTAATACATAGCACCTAGAGACATGTGGAGAACTAAAAGTTGCTACAAGTTGATGTCAATTTCCAAAAGGAGTCACGAAGTTATTTTTAATAACAGTTACACAAGTCCATGTTATAAGCATGATCTTATGAGAGAACATAGAGGGAGTTGGACAGGACCCAACTTTTCTGAAGTATAAAAATGGCTCCAGAATAAACTCACATGATACATTCAGGGACCTGGCAGGAAATACATATAACTGAAGTTGGCATATGTTAGTAATAGAGTGTAATGGGACATTAATAAACTGATGAGTTACATTCATTTGTAAGAATCCAGTTAATAACAACTGGGTAGTGAAAAGCTATAATTTGACATGCACTTGAATTCATGTAAGGTTCATTGGAAACCAAGATTTCAGCAGTAGTGAAAGTGAAGTCCCAGACTTTACCTATCAATGGGTGGGGGCTAGTAATGTACTGCTATCTTGGTGAGAACTGCCTGGAAATTAGTTGGAACCAAATATGTGGAAGGAAAAAATTATTGATTCCAATTGAAAGGGGCTGGAGATGACAGGACTGACAGCTGATGCCTAGTTCCCCACTGCCAGGGCCAAATCGAATCTGGAAGATTGGAAGTTATGTGAATCAGCCCAAGGTGGAATTACAAACTAGAGAGACCAGCTGTGATGTTTCTGGACATTGCCAGAGAAGCCAGAGATGGTCCCAATCAAAAAGACAAAACCAGTGAGGGGCATCTTAAGGTCATTAAATAAAAAATAGCATTGATTGTTAGAGCCAAAAGACTTTTTAAGCTCATAGTCATAGGTTAAGGCAGGAATTCAAGGACAGCAGATAATTTTAAGAAAAGGAGAGCTTTCAGAGAACTCAGACTGGCAAACACCTTAATTTTAGTCTTGTGATACCCTGAGCAGAGAACTCAGCCATTCTTTGCCAGACTTCTCACCTAACTGATGAGCTAATGAATCAGTGTTGTATTAAGCCACTATGTTGCTGGTAATTTGTTATGCACCAGTTGAAAACTAGCACAAAGAGCGTGCCCCTTGAATCCTACCTCTGCCCTAGCTCTAGTAGGCGCTCAGAAAATTGCTCTGATTGGTATATGCCTAAATCTGAACCAATCACTGCAGCCAGGGTAAAGGAGAATTTCCCCATTGGCCTAGACAGGTCATGAGCCCACCCCTTAACCAATGGAATTGGAGTAGAAAGAACAATTTATAAATAGCAGTCCTCATGGAACATTGTCAAAAATGTAGTTGATGCAGAGGATGTGCAGGTGGGTGGATGCTGTTTACAGAAGATGGAAGGAATGTATGTTACAGCAAGAAACACTTTCAGCATCACAAGAAAAACAAAATTAAATTTTCATTCTGGCTGAAAAGTGAAGAAAGGATTAGATACGGACAGGACTGTAGACAGGGGATTAATGCGAAGACACTTGCAGTAATCTCTTAGAGAGAAGACTGTTGCCTAAACACGAGTAGTACCAATAGGAAGTAATACACCACCTAGCCCAGAGGCTGGCACAAACTTAGCACTAAATATTTTTTTGAAAAAATAAATGAATGAATGAATGAATGAGGGAGGATTGACAGAAATGTGAATAATTTCTAGAGGTATTTAAAAGATTTAACCAAAATTAGATCAAAGCACTAAGAAAAATCATTCCTTTGAAATGGTTCTTTAGCTGTGCAAACTGTGTCTACAGGACCGCAGAACTAAAGCCTTCTTTAACAGAGCAGGCATGTCAGACTGTGACATTAGAATGCTTGATACTTTTATGCATCACTGGGACATGATTACATAACACCCTGGATGCCTTCAATCTGCCTTCGCAGACCTCTTGCTGTTATTTATGAATCACTGCAAGCTGACATAACTTTGCATTTCCTCCTTTGCCATATGTCTCCAGTCCCTTGTCATCATTGTTCATCACCAAGGTAACCCCCTTGCTTCCTTTCCATTAATTTGCATGACTAAGATGCCCTCCCAATCAAATGAAGCCCCTTGTCCTCCGATGCCCGCTGTGGCTGCCTTTGCTGAAAGCCCTTGCCTGCGCTGTGACCTTGTTTAACTCTGATATTTTCCAATTCATTAACTCTGAAAATGTCCTTAGATGGGTGAAGTTATTTCCCTCCATTAACTTTCAGCAATACGGCCTTGTGTTCAGATGTAGACCCTAGTAAGTAGCCAGAAGTGGAGGTGAGAAGCCAGACCATTGAATCAGGGCACCAATAACTCTAGATAAATCACTTGGCTTGTGCTGCTGAAGGTGATTAATCTCTGGCTTGGGTCTGTCTTCTTATGTTTACCTATCCTGTAGTTGCAGAGTCTCGTGAGGTCTGACCCACAGGACTATAAGTCTTGAGGGCAGGAATTATACTCAACAAACAGTTGAGGGCCTTCCATGCCTTTGGTTCCATACCAATGGCTGGGCATATAATGGTTTGGAAAATAGGCATGTTCCCATCTTTCATGGAACATAGAGTTGAGTGGGGAGATGAGCATTAGTCATATAATCGAAGGTAATAATCAGCTGTAGGAATACTCTAAAAGTGTAATAGTAAAGAAAACCCTACTGGAAAGAAATGACATTGAACTAATATGTGAAGTATAAACAGAAGCTAAGGAGCTAAAAATGACACAGTAAATAATCCCTCTTCTATCTTCTAGAGCTATTATAAATAAATGTTCTCTCCTTTATATATAAGAGCCCTCAAATCATATAGTTTATTATATCCATATTTGTTTGTTTCTTCTTAGCAAAACAAAAACATCATGCTATTTTTAGCCCCTATTCTTACTACCTAAGTCTTTTTCCTCTCAGTAGTTCCTTGTTTGTTTGTTGATGTCCTGATTGAATTTCTCAGTGTCACTTCAGGGACGATATTAATGCAAAAAAAAATTCACATTTCTTGGCCACTAATATTTGAGGCACTGTATGAGGCACTTTACAGATGTTCATATTAACCTTTAAGGGAATGAGCAGTTATCACTAGCCTTATTTTATAAATGATTAAACTGAGGCTACAGAATGTATTGAAGACCACACAGCTGTCGGTGGTACAGTGGGTCTTTTTGATTCCTAAAACATTGTAACTTCTTCTGCATTACACTATATCCATGGATTTGGCCACCACGTATCTGTGTAGCCTGAGACAGCATTAGCTTTTTCAGCAGCCATGTCATATATCTGGCTCCTTTGGATTTTGTGGACAAAGGAAACATTAGATCTTCCTAGACATCTGTGCATGTCTGTGTTTCTATATACAGATACACCTGTACTTCATCACTTTTTTGCTGCAATTGACTTAGATTCCAATTCTGTGAGATTTTTTGTTTATCTCTATTAGAGTTCATCTTGCTGAGCTTCAAAAATCTTTCCAGTTTGCTAAGTGACTTTAAGTATTGATTCCTTTACCCAGCATGTAGTTCTTCTTTTTAGCTCCAGGCAATGTGGAATGTATGCTTTCTATGGTCTCCTTTAAGCCTTTTTAGTTAAAAGTGATCAATAAGATTATATCTCGTGTTTGGAATCTGAAATCCTATGTTTTCTATTCCAAAACTTTTAACCTCCTTTCTTGTCTCTTCATTCTTATGGATTCAAATCTATGGCCCCATTGAACTACCCAAAATTGCCTCAAATGCTCAGTGCCTGTTTTCATGGATTGGAATAATTAATATTTTTAAGACACCTGCAACTACAAAGAGTGATCTGCAGAGTCAATGTAATCCATATCAAAATTTCAATGGCATTTCTCACAGAAATAGTAAAAATGATCTTAAAATCCATGTGGAACTACCAAACGACCTCTATACCCAAAATAATTTTGAATAAGAAGAACTAAGCTGGAAGCATCACACTTCCTTATTTTAAACCATATTGCAAAGCTATAGTAATCAAAACAGTGTGATGCCAGCATAACAGCAGACACATAAACTGATGAAACAGAATACAGAGCCCAGAAATAAACCCAGTCATATATAGTCAAGTAGTTGTTAAAAGGGCCATCAAAAATATACAATAATGAAAGGATAGTCTCTTCAACAAATGGCATTGAGAAAACTGAGTATCTACATGAAAAAAAATAAATTGGACCATTATCTTACACCATACACAAAAATTAACTTGATGTAAATTAAATGTTCAAATGTCAGATCTGAAATCATGATCTTACACGTTTCCTAGATGAAAACATTGTGGAAGAAAGCTCCTTGAAATTGGTCTTGGCAATGGATTTTTTAATATGCCCCAAAAGCAGAGGCTATAAAAGCAGAAATAAACAAACACTATTGCATCAAACTGAAAAGCTTCTGAACAGAGAAGGGAACAATTGACAAAGTAAAGAGACAACCCACAGATTGGGAGAAAATATTTGCAAATCATATATCAAAGAAGAAGCTAATATCTAAAATATATAAGGAACTCCTACAACTCATTAGCAAGAAAACAAATAACCTGATCCAAAAATGAGCATAAGACCTGAATAGACATTTATCAAAAGAAGGCACACATATGGCCTCCAGGTATATGAAAAAGTGCTCAACATCACCAATAAGCATGGAAATGCAAATCAAACTACAATGAAGTATCACCTCACACTCATCAGGATGGTTATTATCAAAAATACAAGAAATAACAAGTGTTGATGAGGATGTGGAAAAAAAGGGAACCCTTGGACACCATTAGTGGGAATGTAAATTGATACAGCCATTATGAAAAATAGTATAAAGATTCTTTAGAAAATTAAAAATAGAACTAGCCTATGATTTTAGCAATCTCATTTCTAGGTACATATCAAAGAAATGAAATTTTTTTGTCAAAGAAATGTTTGCACTCCCATGTTCATTGCAGCATTATTCACGATACCCAAGGTATGAAAGCAACCTGAGTGTATGTTGACAGATGACTGGATAAGGAAATTGTGGCACACACACAAACAAACAATGGCATATTATTCAGCCATAACAAAGAAGGAAATTCTGCCATATGTGACAACATGGATGAACCTGGAGGACAGTATGCTAAGTGAAATAAGCTACACACAGAAAGATAAGTATTATGATCTCACTTATGGACGTAACCTAAAAATATCAAACTCAGAGAAGCAGAGAGTAGAATGGTGGTTGCCAGAGGCTGGCATGGAGGAACAGAATGAAGAGATGTTGGTCAAAGTTACAAGATAAGCATGTTCTGAGGATCTAACTACACCACAGTGACTATAGTTAATTATGCTATATCATACACCCGAAATCTTCTGACAGAGTAGATGTTAAGTATCCTCACTGCCCCCTAGCCCAACCAATGGTAACTATGTGAGGTGATGGGTGTGTTAATTAGCTTGATTGTAGTAATTATTTTGCCACTGGCACATAAAACATGTCTAAGAAATACTGATTTTTACTTACTTTCCATGTTCCTTCCTTCCTTTGCAGTATGGTTATTACATACTACAATGTGATCCAATCATCACATTGTACACCTTAAATATATGCAATTTTTATGTGTCAAATATATCTCAAAAACCTGGAAATAAAAAGAGTAAACAAAAAGAACAAAACAAAAGAATAGTATATTCCCAAAGCCCCCTGCCATCAATCTGAATTCAGTGTCCTTGCTGCTTGTTTCTTAAGCCCAGAATGTATTCCTATCATGTTACTTTTATACTGTATAGTAATCTGATTTTTTCCTTGCAAGACTAAAAAAGATATTATCTTTCCTGTCCATGAGACCCAATGAAACACATGGCACATTTTATTTTTGGGGTTGTTTTGTTTTGTTTTGTTTTGTTTGAGATGGAGTCTTGCTCTGTCGCCCAGGCAGGAGTGCAGTGGCGCGATCTCGGCTCACTGCAACCTCCGCCTCCCAGGTTCAAGCGATTCTCATGCCTCAGCCTCCCGAGTAGCTGGGATGACTTACAGGCACCTGCCACCACACCTGGCTAGTTTTTGTGTTTTTAGTAGAGAGGGGGTTTTGCCATGTTGGCCAGGCTTGTTTCAAACTCCTGACCGCAGGTGATCCGGCTGCCTCAGCCCCCCAAAGTGCTGGGATTACAGCCGTGAGCCACTGCGCCCAGCCCACATGGCACATTTTAAAAGCTCAATGTGTGTAAGTAGCATTTAAGATGCCTTTAACTGAATCAGGTGGGGTTGCATTGGTCTCTGTTGTGCCTTCTGCATAATAATAAAGCAAGAAACAATAAATGAATATCCTAAAGACTGTCCTATTTTTTTTTTATATTGATCAACAGGTCAAAAAGTGCAATGCTGTTCTTTGAATTTGCCATGTGCCAATTTCTGGAGAAGTCTGCCCTTCATGCTTTCCAAATGTTCCCTCAATCCATATTCAGTGCCCCAGGGAATAGTGACACTAACTGCTTAAGGCTGCCACTCCACCAGCACAGAGAGCACCACAAAAAGCAACTGTGTCATTTCCCAGCCTTGAAGAAGCACTGACGTGGCTTCCTACAACTGCAAATCACTGACCCTTGAAACTGACTGAAACCCTTGAGTAACACCAGGAGAACAGAAAATATGAATCTTGAAAATGATGTCACCCATTCCTAGACCTTCCAAACACCATGGCCATGATCAGATTTAGATTCAACACAGATCATTTGAGTGCCTAAAGTGTGCCCTTTTTTACTCAATCTTGTACTCTGTTATGGTCTAGTATTATTATGCCCATTTCAGAAATAAAATAAGTCTCAGAAAGAAAGCCACTGCCAGGCCAACAACAATGTGTCTATGGAACAGGTACAGATTCCTCAGGGTCACCTTGCTCTCACCTGTGGATATTCAGGAGACACAATGAGAGCCTTCTTTTGCCTTGTCCACCAGAGTGATGACTTGGATAATGATTTTCCCTCTCATTGGGATGTGACGTCTAATCTATACCTGTACTTAGAGATCCATCTATAGTAACTTGTTGAGCTTACCTGCCTGTCACTTTACATACTTTATTTTAGTTTATCTTTATTAATCCTTACAAGGTCTATATTATTAGTCCCATTTTCTAGTTGAGGAAACTGAGACATAAAAAGATTAAATAACTTGTTCTAAAAATATAGTTAATAAAGAGCAGGGTTGGGATTCAAATCTGGGCTGTGCATTCCAGCTTTTAATCACTAAGCTATACTGCTTTACTCTCTGAGCTACTGCTTATCCACAAAGCCTTTTTTAAGCCAGTAGTCAACAGAACTCTCCCCTTTGGAATAGGATCTTTTATGAAGAGGGAAAGCTCTGGAGCTATAATTCTGAGGTTCAGTTCCCTGCTCTGTCAGTTACTGTGTGCTCTCTAGCAAGTTATTTAACTTTTTTTCTATTTTCCATATGTGTACAATTTTAATGTTAACAATACCTACTGAAAGAGATGATTGTAAGTGCTAAATTAGTGAATACAAGTAAAGCATTTAGAAGACTATTCAGTGCCTGTTAAGCACTTACAGGAGTTAATGACATTGCTATCTCCATTAATGGCACAGTCTACTCCCTGCTGTGTGGTCTATCTTCCCTGTAATACCATAAGGTCTCTGAGAAGTACCTTATTCTATTAATTTTTATATCCCCATATACACAAAGGCACAGAGTAGGAATTCAATAGATGTTCATTGAATGATTGATGAAAGACCAGAAGAATTCACTCCTGCACCTAATTCAGACCTGCATTCCCCTACATCAGACTTCTAGGTCACTTTCCCTGAGTTTAGCAATTTGATAAAGTAATTTAAGCTAAGAAATAACTGATAGCAATGAATTATTAAACCATCTTAAGGTGCTTTCCACCTCAATCCTCAGAGTATTTTAATTTTAGAACACAATTCCATTTTCCATTCTTACAACTAACATTTATTGAGTTGTCTGTGCTAGGTATTAATAGAAACACTAAAGGGTTATACAAAGGTAAATAAGCTATGGCATATATGTTCAAGGAAATAATGTTTTTGCAAGAAAAGGGTATCACTAATAACCATACTACAAAGGAAGGAAAGAACATGGAAAGTCAGTGAAAATGAGTATTTCTTAGACATGTTTTATGTGCCAGGCATTTTACATGTTAATGCTTCAGTTAATACTTAGAACAGTTATAATTAGGTAGTACCATTATCACTGTTTTACAAATAGGAAAACAGAAGCTCCAGGAAGTTAAATAAATTGCCAAGAGAAACACAGCTGGGAAGTGATAGGGCTAGAGTTTGAATCCATGACCATGCTAAAGCTGGTAAGTATCATGGCATAAATGAAGTAGGTCAAAACACCATAAGGAAACTGGTTATAGAAATCCACTCAAGTCTTTAAACTCTGCTTCGCCTTATTTTCTTATCTACAAAGTGTAGTCTATAGAGATGATTTTAGAGGCTTCATACCTAATTTGAGACCTTAAAGATTATCTAAAGCAATGTTCTTCAAATACATTAGATAGTTTTTAAGGTTCTAAATGCCCTCCCCAAAACCTTTCCCAAAGCCTTCCAAGGAATGCTCAGGCGCTAATAAAATTATAAATCAGTTTCTAGGAATTAACCATCGTTCACACTTGTACTTTATAGCATCATGCAATATCTCCTTTTCCACCCCACTCTTCACAATAGCCCCTCTCCCACTAAACTTATGGAAGTCATAATACTCAGCTATCCAGAATCTCATTATGGAGAATTGCTCCAGATATGAATATCTTCAGAACATCAAATAAAACAATAGTTTAAGATAGTATTTTCTAGAAGACTCTTTAATGAACCATTATAGCACCAAAATTTCACATTCATCATGGAGTTCTATATTTCCTGTAAAGATCAAAGCATGGCTTTGGAAATTGTGTGCTTTGGCCCTTTTTGACAGATCCTGAAGGCAAGAAGAATTTCAGTGGTAAGCATGATGATGAATTTCCTCTTGTGATCTAGATTTTATCCCCAAATTGTTGTTACAAAAATTCATGGTTTGCGGGTAGAGTCCTAAGAAAGCATGTCAAAGGGCATAGATAGCATGTTGAAGAAATATCAAACCCTGTAAATGTCATTTATTTACTTATTTAAGTATAAGGAATTATTTTTAACTCCTAAGGACTTTTCATCACCTAAAAAGTTTAACTCCTAAGGACTTTTCATCACCTAAAAAGAAAAAAAAAAAGCACAATACTTAAAAACAGAATAGATTAATGATGTTGATTATTTCAAATATAACTGAGATGTGTTCTGGAACTAAAAATTTTCAGGTTATATTGGATGAAACCACCAAGTAACAATTGTATGTGACTTAAAAAAAGTGTGTGTATTATGCAGTTAGGTAGTTAAAACGTATTCAATCAAATCATAATATGAAAAATAATTCTGATTATAATCAATTTTGTTTCATTATATCTCACAAAATGTTTGCTATTTTCTGTCTCCTACTTAAAAAAGTAAAATTTAATACAACTGGACCAATTACTTTTTAGCAGTATGATCATGTCCAGCAAATTTAATTGAGCCACTTTTGAATTTGTATTTATTATTCTGATTTAATTATTTCTAGAGACCCAAATACTACAGCTAAACAAAGGACTACTCATATGTTTCCTGAAGAAATAGCATAGCTTTCATTTATGACTTACAACTTCAACTACATTAAATTGCACTATTACAACATAGTTATATGCAATATATGGATTAATTCTTATGTTTATTGTTAATCTGGATGAATTGATTATGTTAGCTCTTAATTGTGTTGATCATGATAATTTTTAATTATCTTTGAAGATGCATTCTGTTATTTAATTTGAATGGTTTTTATTGTATAAATGTACACAAACATCTTTATTTAAATTTTTTAATTAAGACACATTTCTCAAGAAAAATATCTGATTTGGTTGACTGATTTTTAAGGTGGCTGGTCTGTTATTAAATGATGTGATAAATATTTTGAATATAATTTAACCTAATTCTGCAGCTCCAATGTTTTAACAAATAGATGTTTTCCAGCATATGTTGAATAATATTGTTTTTTTGAGACAGAGTCTCGCTCTGTCACCCAGACTGGAGGGCAGTGGTGCAATCTCGGCTCACTGCAAGCTCCGCCTCCTGGGTTCACGCCATTCTCCTGCCTCAGCCTCCCGAGTAGCTGGGACTACAGGCGCCTGCCACCACGCCTGGCTATTTTTTTTGTATTTTTAGTAGAGGCAGGGTTTCACCACGTTAGCCAGGATGGTCTCGATCTCCTGACCTCGTGATCCACCTGCCTCGGATTAGAGGCGTAAGCCACCATGCCCGGCCATGTTGAATAACATTTTTTAAACCCCTAAATTTAAAAATAACAGGTCATCTAAGAAATGTTGATTAAAAACTTTTTGTATGCTTGCCAGAAATTTCAAAAATGAGGGTCTCTAATGCCTAGGTAACAAATCCTTTGGTAAATCACGTTTTTTCTAATTCGGCACTTCCAACAAAATTGGAGGAAGACCTAAGAGAATTGTCAACTGATATATTGCTAAAAACACATTTATTATTGATCAATGTTAGTCTTTTATGGCATATAACTCAAAATAATTTCAAAGAATTGAATGACATTGTCATAAAGCTCTTTCTGTTCTTCTCTCAACACAAGATTTCTCAGAATTATAAACTGAAAAAATTTAAAATAAATTAAATAAAAGCAATTCTAACCTGCTTCATTCTGACAAAATGTAACATTCACCTACAGATACATTGCTCCCTGCCATTTAAAAAAAAAAAAATGCTTTCATTTGCCAAACACCTGCCTCCTAGAGTGTTTGAGCCAGAAACTGAAGAAGTAAAGGGCACACTCACCTCTGGAGAGCTGCAGTATCCCTGACCAATCGCCCTCACTGACCTAGACACAGGCTTCTGCTATGAGCCCACTGCTGTGCTTTGGACTCCATTCCCTGGGAGAGAGACACAGACCCCTCCCAACCATCCCTGTCCCTGCATAGAGGTACATGTTTGACTTTTGAAGGGTAAAGTGACCATATGCCGTCATTTGGGTCTGAGTTTAGGTCTGTGGCTCAGTGCAACTATTAATAATGTCCCCTTTTACTCTCAAGGTTTTGATGATATATGAAAGGGTCAACCTACTAATGAGAAGACTCACAGATCTCAGACATCTAGGATAGAAATACTGGCTGTGATGGACATACACTGAGCAATGTGATGATCTAAGTCTCCCTTGACATTTAAGAACCTTTAGAGTGTAATGCTTTCACTTTGTCTCTCTCCTTCAATCTCACTCTTGCTCAGCATGTATTAAGCACCTACCATATACAAGGTTCTGCTCAGCTCTAATGAAATAGAGATAATAAAATCAGAGTTATCTTCAAGGAGCCCAGTTTAAGGGCATGTTTCCAAGCCTCTCTAGCTGCTCCCTCTTGCCTCCCTACCTCCCAAACATACCTTTTCTAGGCACATACTACACAAAAGATCCATGCTCTTATATTTTCCTTCAACTTTGTCTTTCTCATTCCCCACCTCACTGATTTTAGTCTGTTAATATCTCAGCCTTACATGGAATCCAGAAGATCTGGCCTGGTTATCTACTCATTTGAAACTAGCAGGCAGCTTCAATTCCCCAATCATCTTTGGTAGAATGGAAATAATCACATGATGTTTAATACTGAGTATCTAGGAGCCAAGATGGCCGAATAGGAACAGCTCCGGTCTACAGCTCCCAGCGTGAGTGACGCAGAAGACGGGTGATTTCTGCATTTCCATCTGAGGTACCGGGTTCATCTCACTAGGGAGTGCCAGACAGTGGGCGCAGGTCCGTGGGTGCATGCACCGTGTGCGAGCTGAAGCAGGGCGAGGCATTGCCTCACTCCGGAAGCGCAGGGGGTCAGGGAGTTCCCTTTCCTAGTCAAAGAAAGGGGTGACAGACGGCACCTGGAAAATCAGGTCACTCCCACCTGAATAATGCGCTTCTCCCACGGGCTTAAAAAACGGGGCACCACGAGATTATATCCCGCACCTGGCTCAGAGGGTCCTACGCCCACGGAGTCTCGCTGATTGCTAGCACAGCAGTCTGAGATCAAACTGCAAGGTGGCAGTGAGGCTGGGGGAGGGGCGCCCACCATTGCCCAGGCTTGCTTAGGTAAACAAAGCAGCCAGGAAGCTCCAACTGGGTGGAGCCCACCACAGCTCAAGGAGGCCTGCCTGCCTCTGCAGGCTCCACCTCTGGGGGCAGGGCACAGACAAACAAAAAGACAGCAGTAACCTCTGCAGACTTAAATGCCCCTGTCTGACAGCTTTGAAGAGAGCAGTGGTTCTCCCAGCACACAGCTGGAGATCTGAGAACAGGCAGACTGCCTCCTCAAGTGGGTCCCTGACCCCTGACCCCCGAGCAGCCTAACTGGGAGGCACCCCCCAGCAGGGGCACACTGACACCTCACACGGCAGGGTACTCCAACAGACCTGCAGCTGAGGGTCCTCTCTGTTAGAAGGAAAACTAACAAACAGAAAGGACATCCTCACCAAAAACCCATCTGTACATCACCATCATCAAAGACCAAAAGTAGATAAAACCACAAAGATGGGGAAAAAACAGAACAGAAAAACTGGAAACTCTAAAAAGCAGAGCACCTCTCCTCCTCCAAAGGAAGGCAGTTCCTCACCAGCAATGGAAAAAAGCTGGACGGAGAATGACTTTGACGAGCTGAGAGAAGATGGCTTCAGATGATCAAATTACTCTGAGCTACAGGAGGACATTCAAACCAAAGGCAAAGAAGTTGAAAACTTTGAAAAAAATTTAGAAGAATGTATAACTAGAATAACCAATACAGAGAAGTGCTTAAAGGAGCTGATGGAGCTGAAAACCAAGGCTCGAGAACTACGTGAAGAATGCAGAAGCCTCAGGAGCTGACGCGATCAACTGGAAGAAAGGGTATCAGCGATGGAAGATGAAATGAATGAAATGAAGCGACAAGGGAAGTTTAGAGAAAAAAGAATAAAAAGAAATGAGCAAAGCCTCCAAGAAATATGGGACTATGTGAAAAGACCAAATCTACATCTGACTGGTGTACCTGAAAGTGATGGGGAGAATGGAACCTAGTTGGAAAACACTCTGCAGGATATTATCCAGGAGAACTTCCCCAATCTAACAAGGCAGGCCAACGTTCAGATTCAGGAAATACAGAGAACGCCACAAAGATATTCCTCGAGAAGAGCAACTCCAAGACACATAATTGTCAGATTCACCAAAGTTGAAATGAAGGAAAAAATGTTAAGGGCAGCCAGAGAGAAAGGTTGGGTAACCCACAAAGGGAAGCCCATCAGACTAACAGCTGATCTCTTGGCAGAAACTCTACAAGGCAGAAGAGAGGGGGGGCCAATATTCAACATTCTTAAAGAAAAGAATTTTCAACCCAGAATTTCATATCCAGCCAAACTAAGCTTCATAAGTGAAGGAGAAATAAAATACTTTACAGACAAGACAATGCTGAGAGATTTTGTCACCACCAGGCCTGCCCTAAAAGAGCTCCTGAAGGAAGCACTAAACATGGAAAGGAACAACCAGTACCAGCTGCTGCAAAATCATGCCAAAATTTAAAGACCATCAAGGCTAGGAAGAAACTGCATCAACTAACGAGCAAAATAACCAGCTAACATCATAATGACAGGATCAAATTCACACATAACAATATTAACTTTAAATGTAAATGGACTAAATGCCCCAATTAAAAGACACAGACTGGCAAATTGGATAAAGAGTCAAGACCCATCAGTGTGCTGTATTCAGGAAACCCATCTCACGTGCAGAGACACACATAGGCTCAAAATAAAAGGATGGAGGAAGATCTACCAAGCAAATGGAAAACAAAAAAAAGGCAGGCATTGCAATCCTAGTCTCTGATAAAACAGACTTTGAACCAACAAAGATCAAAAGAGACAAAGAAGGCCATTACATAATGGTAAAGGGATCAATTCAACAAGAAGAGCTAACTATCCTAAATATATATGCACCCAATACAGGAGCACCCAGATTCATAAAGCAAGTCCTGAGTGACCTACAAAGAGACTTAGACTCCCACACATTAATAATGGGAGACTTTAACACCCCACTGTCAACATTAGACAGATCAATGAGACAGAAAGTCAACAAGGATACCCAGGAATTGAACTCCGCTCTGCACCAAGCGGACCTAATAGACATCTACAGAACTCTCCACCCCAAATCAACAGAATATACATTTTTTCAGCACCACACCACAACTATTCCAAAATTGACCACATACTTGGAAGTAAAGCTCTCCTCAGCAAATGTCAAAGAACACAAATTATAACAAACTATCTCTCAGACCACAGTGCAATCAAACTAGAACTCAGGATTAAGAATCTCACTCAAAACTGCTCAACTACATGGAAACTGAACAACCTGCTCCTGAATGACTACTGGGTACATAACGAAATGAAGGCAGAAATAAAGATGTTCTTTGAAACCAACGAGAACAAAGACACAACATACCAGAATCTCTGGGACGCATTCAAAGCAGTGTGTAGAGGGAAATTTATAGCACTAAATGCCCACAAGAGAAAGCAGGAAAGATCCAAAATTGACACCCTAACATCACAATTAAAAGAACTAGAAAAGCAAGAGCAAACACATTCAAAAGCTAGCAGAAGGCAAGAAATAACTAAAATCAGACCAGAACTGACGGAAATAGAGACACAAAAAACCCTTCAAAAAATTAATGAATCCAGGAGCTAGTTTTTTGAAAGGATCAACAAAATAGATAGACCGCTAGCAAGACTAATAAAGAAAAAAAGAGAGAAGAATCAAATAGACGCAATAAAAAATGATAAAGGGGATATCACCACCAATCCCACAGAAATACAAACTACCATCAGAGAATACTACAAACACCTCTACGCAAATAAACTAGAAAATCTAGAAGAAATGGATAAATTCCTCAAAATACATACTCTCCCAAGACTAAACCAGGAAGAAGTTGAATCTCTGAATAGATGAATAACAGGCTCTGAAATTATGGCAATAATCAATAGCTTACCAACCAAAAGGAGTCCAGGACCAGATGGATTCACAGCTGAATTCTACCAGAGCTACAAGGAGGAACTGGTACCATTCCTTCTGAAACTATTCCAATCAATAGAAAAAGAGGGAATCCTCCCTAACTCATTTTATGAGGCCAGCATCATTCTGATACCAAAGCCAGGCAGAGACACAACAAAAAAAGAGAATTTTAGACCAATATCCTTGATGAACATTGATGCAAAAATCCTCAATAAAATACTGACAAAACGAATCCAGCAGCACATCAGAAAGCTTATCCACCACGATCAAGTGGGCTTCATCCCTGGGATGCAAGGCTGGTTCAATATATGCAAATCAATAAATGTAATCCAGCATATAAACAGAGCCAAAGACAAAAACCACATGATTATCTCAATAGATGCAGAAAAAGCCTTTGACAAAATTCAACAACCCTTCATGCTAAAAACTCTCAATAAATTAGGTATTGATGGGACGTATTTCAAAATAATAAGAGCTATCTATGACAAACCCACAGCCAATATCATACTGAATGGGCAAAAACTGGAAGCATTCCCTTTGAAAACTGGCACAAGACAGGGATGCCCTCTCTCACCACTCCTATTCAACATAGTGTTGGAAGTTCTGGCCAGGGCAATTAGGCAGGAGAAGGAAATAAAGGGTATTCAATTAGGAAAAGAGGAAGTCAAATTGTCCCTGTTTGCAGACGACATGATTGTATATCTAGAAAACCCCATTGTCTGAGCCCAAAATCTCCTTAAGCTGATAAGCAACTTCAGCAACGTCTCAGCATACAAAATCAATGTACAAAAATCACAGGCATTCTTATACACCAACAACAGACAAACAGAGAGCCAAATCATGAGTGAACTTCCATTCACAATTGCTTCAAAGAGAATACCTAGGAATCCAACTTACAAGAGATGTAAGGACCTCTTCAAGGAGAACTACAAACCACTGCTCAATGAAATAAAAGAGGATACAAAGAAATGGAAGAACATTCCATGCTCATGGGTAGGAAGAATCAATATCGTGAAAATGGCCATACTGCCCAAGTAATTTATAGATTCAATGACATCCCCATCAAGCTACAAATGACTTTCTTCACAGAATTGGAAAAAAACTGCTTTAAAGTTCATATGGAACCAAAAAAGAGCCCGCATCACCAAATCAATCCTAAGCCAAAAGAACAAAGTTGGAGGCATCACTCTACCTGACTTCAAACTATACTACAAGGCTACAGTAACCAAAACAGCATGGTACTGGTACCAAAACAGAGATATAGATCAATGGAACAGAACAGAGCCCTCAGAAATAATGCCGCATATCTACAACTATCTGATCTTTGACAAACCTGAGAAAAAAAAGCAATGGGGAAAGGATTTCCTATTTAATAAATGGTGCTGGGAAAACTGGCTAGCCATATGTAGAAAGCTGAAACTGGATCCCTTCCTTACACCTTACACAAAAATCAATTCAAGATGGATTAAAGACTTAAACGTTAGACCTAAAACCATAAAAGCCCTAGAAGAAAACCTAGGTATTACCATTCAGGACATAGGCATGGGCAAGGACTTCATGTCCAAAACACCAAAAGCAATGGCAACAAAAGCCAAAATTGACAAATGGGATCTAATTAAACTAAAGAGCTTCTGCACAGCAAAAGAAACTACCATCAGAGTGAACAGGCAACCTACAAAATGGGAGAAAATTTTCGCAACCTACTCATCTGACAAAGCACTAATATCCAGAATCTACAATGAACTCCAACAAATTTGCAAGAAAAAAACAAACAACCCCATCAAAAAGTGGGCGAAGGACATGAACAGACACTTCTCAAAAGAAGACATTTTTGCAGCCAAAAAACATACGAAAAAATGTTCATCATCACTGGTCATCAGAGAAATGCAAATCAAAACCACAGTGAGATACCATCTCACACCAGTTAGAATGGCAATCATTAAAAAGTCAGGAAACAACAGGTGCTGGAGAGGATGTGGAGAAATAGGAACACTTTTACACTGTTGGTGGGACTGTAAACTAGTTCAACCACTATGGAAGTCAGTGTGGCAATTCCTCAGGGATCTAGAACTAGAAATACCACTTGACCCAGCCATCCCATTACTGGGTATTACCCAAAGGACTATAAATCCTGCTGCTATAAAGACACACGCACACGTATGTTTATTGCGGCATTATTCACAATAGCAAAGACTTGGAACCACGCCAAATGTCCAACAATGATAGACTGGATTAAGAAAATGTGGCACATATACACCATGGAATACTATGCATCCATAAAAAATGATGAGTTCATGTCCTTTGTAGGGACATGGATGAAATTGGAAATCATCATTCTCAGTAAACTATCGCAAGAACAAAAAACCAAACACCTCATATTCTTACTCATAGGTGGGAACTGAACAATGAGATTACATGGATACAGGAAGGGGAACATCACACTCTGGGGACTGTTGTGGGGTGGGGGGAGGGGGGAGGGATAGCATGGGGAGATATACCTAATGCTAGATGACGAGTTAGTGGGTGCAGTGCACCAGCATGGCACATGTATACATATGTAACTAACCTGCACAATGTGCACATGTACCCTAAAACTTAAAGTATAATAATAAAAAATAATAATAATAAAATATTGAGTATCTACTTGATTGAAGGATGCAAAGCACTGATCCTGGGTATGTCTGTGATGGTGGTGCCAAAGGGGAGTAACATTTGAGTTGGTGGACTGGGAAAGGCAGGCCCGCCCTTAATCTGGGTGGGCACAATCCAATCAGCTGCCAGTGAGGCCAGAAAAAAAAGCAGGCAGAAGAGTGTGAAAAGACTAGACTGGCTTAGCCTCCCAGCCTACATCTTTATCTCATGCTGTATGCTTCCTGCCCTTGAACATTGGGTTCCCAAGTTTTTCAGCTTTGGGACTCAGAATGGCTTCCTTGCTCCTCAGCTTGCAGATGGCCTATTGTGGGACCTCACCTTGTGATCATGTGAGTCAATACTCCTTAGTAAACTTCCCTTTATATATGTATCTATCCTATTAGTTCTGTCCCTCTAGAGAACCCTAACAAAAATCATAACACTTCACAAAAATAATCTAAAAATGTAAAAAAACAAATTGGAAGAATATATAGTAAAATATTAATGGTTATCTTTGACTGTGGGATTATAAATGATTTATTGTTGTTGTTCCTGTTGTTGGCTGTTGCTGTTATTATTAATATCACCATTGTTTCTTCCTTTATATTCTTTTCATTTTTTCTAAAGTCTCTAGGAAAGAACTATACAGTCAGCGTGCCAGCAGAAAACAGATAGAACACTGGAATAGGATAATGGAAGACTATTTAATGCAGGTACCAATTAAAAGTGAGGACAACAGTAAAGGAACTAAGGAGAGACAATGATACACCCATGACAACCCTTTGACCTATGATCCAACAAGAGGAAAGTGGCAGATCTGCCTAACAAAAATTTTCCATTTTTAAATTTTTGGATGGAACAGAACATGTTGAAGTCATTCCAAGAAAATTCAACATGTACACTCAGACACATTGAAGACCTTCCTTTCTTCTTTTTTCTATTTCCTTTCTCCTTCATTCCTTTCTCCCCTACATCATTCCTCCCTTTTCTCCTTTTTTTCCTCTAAATGCAGGGTTGTATTTTGGAAAGTGTATGAGCATCAGTGTTAGACAGACTTCAGTTCAATTCTCATCTCTTTTATGAGAACTAAACATGTTACCACTCTGTGAGGCCCATCTTTCTCCCCTATAAATTGGATATACCAAAACATATTCCATAGAACTATTTTGAAAATTAGATGAGAGACTGTGTTGTTAAAGCAAATAAAACAGATTTAATGGGTACAAACATGCATTTCAGAGGTAGCATTCTTGTGTTCAAAGCCTGGCTCTGCCCCTTTACTTAACTTGTCTATACCTCAATTTCATCATCTTTAAAATGGCTATAACCTGATTTCATAGGGCTACAGTGATAATCACATGAATTAGTATACGCAAAGGATTTATAATTTGGCCTAGTTTATTTTTAACAAGCACTATATAAGTGTTTTAGTAGTCATAACACATGCTAGTTGTCACAGTGTTATCATTCTTGGACCCTTACAATATGCCAGAAAGTAGTGAATCATGCAAATGGTGAGGTAACTGCTACCCTCTTCTCCATTTCCATCCTTTGGTGTTCACACCAATGTACACCTTCCCCAGTTTGTTCCAAGCCAAGGACTGAGCACAGTAGGGGTACTAACTCTGGGTGATTTCTACCTGATAAGGGACTCTTCTAACAGACAACCTTTCCTCAAAGACTGCCCATTGACCTGGCCACAGCTTTTTCAGAACTGCACAGCTGTCTGAGGCTCATCGGGTTTGGGTTTCAGAGGCTGTGTCAGTTTGCATCCTCTGAGAAGCCAATGGAAAGAGCAGATTAGATGTGCAGGAGATTTATCAGGGTAACACTTCTGAAGAATACAAGGGAAAGATGTAAGAGTAGGTGAGACCCTTTAGATTGTGATGGGGGTCTGATACTTACGAAAGGAGAGAGGGAAGGAAGAAGGATTGGGTAGAAGTAGCCTCAGACTGCAGTGGACATCTAATTTAAAAAAAAAATCTTGTATTTTTCATTTTTTATTCTCAGAATAGAGCAGAGTAAAAATCCAAGGACCCAGATATATGCCCTGAGGCCAGTCCAGCTGTCACCCAGTTTTACTATGGTGTCATCTGCCAGTTGGGCTGGGGAAGGAGGGAATGCTTCTAAGCTCCCTCCTGTCATTGCTGGCAGGTCTTCACCTTTTGCCACCTGAATCCTTCTACTGGCCTATTTCACAAGCTGGAAACAAGTTTCCCTCAGGGCAGACAATCAAAGAGACAGTGAGAGAGAACACACAACCAAAACAAAACACACAGTTTTTTTGTAACCTAACCCAAGTGAAAAATCATCACTTCTGTTGGATTCTTTTCATCAGTGTCAGTAAGTCCAGTTCACACTTAGAGAGATTATCCAAGAAGGTGAATACCATGAGGAGGAGATTATTGGAGACCATCCTAAAGACTTTCCTCCCCTAAACTAAGTGCCCCGCCAGTGATTTTCAGAGCCTCTTTTATCTCTTCAGTTAGAGACCTTAGCATGCCATATTCTCACTGCTTATTTACTTCTCTTAATATACCTTCAAACTGTAAACTTTAGGAAAGCAGGCACCTTATATCTTTAAATCACATTTGTATTCTCAATGTCTAGCAAAGAACCAGCAATATAAATATTTGTTAAATAAATTAACTTGGAAGAAATTTGTCTCCAACATATTGCACACTCATCTATCTTCTTAAATAGAAGAGAAACCCATTTCACTTGACTATTTTTGACAGTTAAACATTATCATTAAAAACACCAATTGTACCAGATTGTACAATTTTTATCAAATCATATTACAAATAATAAATGTGTTGACTGTAATGATTCCTATTTTAATTAATAAATGATAAATATAAATAAATTTATAAATAAATTATAAGTTAATAAATAAATTAAAAATCTATGCTATGAGATGCAACAAACTCTTGGATGCAGAAAATGCTTTCCAAGAGTTTGTTGAATCTCAAAGCATGGATTTTTACACTACAGGAATAAACAAACTTATTTCTCATTGGCAAAAATGTGTTGATTGTAATGGTTCCTATTTTAATTAAGATGTATTTGAGCCTAGTTATAATTAAAAATTCACTGTCTGAAACCACAATTACTTATGCACTTTAGCAATTGTGACTTAAAATGAAGAAGAAATAGGAGGAGGAGAAGAACAGGGGAGTTAGTTTTGCCTTGAATCAAGAAAGATCAGCTTCTATTGGGAAATATCAGTCCTATTTAAGAAGTCATGATTTTTAAAATATGGTTACTGGGAACTGCTGTGTTACAGATCTAAAAGTCTGTCTTCAATGCAAACCAAAATCACAATGAGATACCTCTCACATCAGTCAAATGGCAATTATTAATAAGTTAGGAAATATGTTGGCAAGGTTGTGGAGAAAAGGAAACATTTATAGACTGCTGGTCAGAATATAAATTATTTCAGCCACTGTGAAAGCAGTTTGGAGATTTTGCAAAGAACTTAAAACAGAACTTCTATTCAACCCAGCAATCCCATTACTGGATATATACAGAAAGGAATATAAATCATTTTACCAAAAGACATACGTGCTCATATGTTCATCACAGCACTTTTCACAATAGAAAAGACCTGGAATCAACCTTGATGCCCACCAATAGTACACTGGATAAAGAAAACATAGTATATATACACCACGGAATACCATGCAGCCATAAAAAAGAACAAAATCATGTCCCTTGCAAAAATATGGATGCAGCTGGAGGCCATTATCCTAAGAAAATAAATGCAAAAACAGAAAACCAAATGCTGCATGTTCTCTCTTATAAGTGGAAGCTAAATGTTGAGTACACATATAGTTTCAAAGAGGTGAACAATGGACACCAGGACCTACATTAGGGTGAAGGGTGGGAGGAGGATAAAGGTCAGAAAAATATCTATTAGGTACCGTCTTCACTACTGGAGTGACCAAATCATTTGTACACTAAACCCCAGCAACACACAATTTATCCATGTAACAAACCACCCCGTGTACTTCCTGAAACTAAAATAAAAGTTGAAAAGGAAAAAAAAAGTGACTAAAATAAAAGTCTGTCTTTAACATCTTTAATTCTTGAAAGTCATTTACCAGGCTGCTTTTATCCTCAGACTGCTTCTTTTAAATTGCTCAGGCTGTTTGTTTGTTCCACTTGATACTGAATCCCTCTGACACTGTCTTCCCCTTGGAATAAATGCTCCATTTGAAACTCTCCATCTCCATAGCCCTTTCCCCTCATGCACGGCAATGCTACAGGGACACAGCTATATGCTTACTTACACCTCTCTTTCTCCTCCTCTTCCTTTTTTTCAGCAATTAAATAAATCATACATTAATTCGTCTTACCATGAGGGTCCTAACTAGTGTATGGCTTTGAATTACAGAGAAAAGCAGTGGCCAGGCCGGGTGCGGTGTCTCACGCCTGTAATCCCAGCACTTTGGGAGGCCGAGGTGGGCAGATCACGAGGTCAGGAGTTTGAGACCAGCCTGGCCAACATGGTGAAACCCCACCTCTACTAAAAATGCAAAAATTAGCTGGGCATGGTGGCAAGTACCTGTAATCCCAGCTACTCAGCAGGCTGAGGCAGGAGAATCACTTGAACCCAGGAGGCGCAGGTTGCAGTGAGCTGAGATCGTGCCACTGCACTCCAGTCTGGGCGATAGAGCAAGACTGCATCTCAAAAAAAAAAAAAAAAAGAAAAGGAAAGGAAAAAAAAAGACAAGGCACAGCAGTGGCCTGTTGGAGTGCAGGTACCTCTGGTCATCTCACTAGTCATGGAATCTTTGTGAGATCAGTGACTGTTAGTGCTCAGGACTTTGAGCAGTCAGTTGCGCTGGGCATGAAGCAGGGGTGTGGACGCTAATTAACAAGGTTCCCTTAACTGGGAGTTCTGAAGATTTTGCCCAATTGTATGCACACCTTTTCTGATAATATACACTGCTAGGTGGTTGGCTTTTTTTTTTTTTTTTTTTTTTTTTTTGCAATAACCCAAGAAGACTGGCACCCACTCTGTTCCACCTCCCAAATATGGGTAGGACTAACATCAATCTTGCCCCACATCATGTTTTCATCAATATCTCTCCACGCTAAAATTGAAATCTATGAATTGTGTGAAATTAGAATTGGGAAAGTAAGTAAATTCTTTTCCTGTCTTGGTTATTTTATGAAAAATTCTATGAAATAACATATGTAAAGTTCCCAGCAAACATTGTGTTTTCTGTCCTCCCTTTCTTTTCTCCTTTCTATCTCTTTTATTCCACTGTCTTTCATTCTCTCTATAGTTGATACTGAGGCTCTGATCCAGAGCATTGCCATACAGCCAGTAAGTAGTGGAACCAAGATTCAAATTCTGATATTCCACATGCATTATTTCAAAAAAGTTTTTCTTGGTTAGTAAAGATGATAATATAATAACATGGAAATCAAAAAGAAAAAAAATACAAGTTATTCTTAATAAATTAAATATTGTCATTGTCTCTAATTAAATCATTTGTCCTTGTGCTAAATATTTCTGTAGTGATTTCCACCTAAGCATGCACATTACATCATTATGTCTTCACAACCATCTTATGTTATTGTGCATTTTACGTATGAGACACTCGTGGCTCACAGAGAGTTCAGTTGACTATTCTAAGGGTATACAGCTAGAAAGGGGCATTTTGTAATGACAGACTGGTAACGGTTACTAACCTTTCTAAGAAGACATGGAGGAAGGTAAGATGGCAATTTATGTGATATGGGAAGACAGGAAGGCAGAAAGGAAGGCGGGAAGGCAGGAAGGAAAGCAAAAAGGAAGGAAGGAAGACAGAAAGGAAGGAAGGCAGACAGAAAGGAAGGAAGGCAAAAGGAAGGCAGGGAGGGACATTATCGAGGTGACTATTTTCCTGTAAGGAAATAATTTTACCATGTTTTAATCTGACATATGGTACATATTGGTTATCAAAAATTTGGTAATGATGCAGAAAGCTTCCAAGGAAACTCAGTTCTCAAAGGCCAGTTCCATGGCATATGCCATGAACCTTTAGTCAAGTTATTTAGCCTTTTCAGCCTTGGTTTCAACATCCATAAAATGAGATAATAGTAATAGCTACTCTTAGGGTCAATGGGAAGATTAAATAAGGTAAATATGTAAAGCACCTAACAACACATTCTAGCTTCTGTGGTTGTTGTCATTGCTTTTAATCTTCATGGTCCGAGGTTTTAGAACCTTTAAATTAAGACTTAGAGTAACTGAGATAGCTGAGACAAGTATGTGATTGTTCCTTTACCTACGTTATTTGAATTAGTTCTCCCAATGACAAAGTAAATTGGAAATAATAATCCCTTCATGCAGAAGATAAATGTTGAAGCACATACATGTTAAATAACTCATCAAAATTTACCCCTCAAAAAGGGGCAAGGATGAAATTTGGATCCAGTTTTCTCTGGCTACAAAGTCTGTTCCTTTTTCTATATGATTACATACATATTATTTAAGGTTAATTGAGAATCTCTTTATTGGTACAATTTTAGATGTTAAGAAATTTCTCTCTCAGTTTAAACACTTCATGGGACTTGGGTGTGGAGGCACAGTGGAATTTATTTAAGTTGCTTTGTGACTTTGCTTTTAAAACTTAGTAATTTAGCTTGATTTTATTGGAAAGAGTATCTGAAAAACTTTGCCCCAGTTTTAGTTTTAGTCTGAGACTATATAAAGCTCTTGCAAAAATTATCACCCTGTAACTTGGCTTCTCAGAAGAGTGTCTTCTAGCATTTCTCATCATGCCCACCTCTTTGCACTCTTTTTTTCTGTCTCTCACTCTAGGTCAGGCACTTCCAGGCATCTGTTTCCTCTTGGGGACTCATGATTAATTTCTGCCTGACTCTGATGACTCTCATGTAGAAAATGCCTAGAAAAAGAGTAACTTCCAGCAGGCGAGCCTGCCTTCTGATTATTGATTGAGTGGAAAACCCATATTTCAACTCCCATCCACTAGCCGCCAGGATCAGCTATTCTATTTTCTAAAGTAAACCAAGGTGGTGGCCATTTAGCTCAGTTGGTTAGAGTGTTGCTGAAGAAGTAAACCAAGCCTGCAGCCTTATAGTATATATGGTTATAGAACATGTCTCTGATCATGATTGTGAAGCCTGAGAGTTAAATCCAATGCCCCTCCTTATCTCAGGGCTCCACAATGGTCTACTTTGGCCTCAGCTAGACTGACAGGGACCACCATGCTCCAAAAATTTGAAACGTCCTCCTAATGAGGACTTGTCTTACCTGAACTCCTGGTTATCTGATATATTTGAGTAAGATCTTGCACTAATTGTCTCAGCTCTGTGAGCCCCAGTTATGTCCTCTGTATATTGAGGCTAAGCAGACCCAGATCACAGTCTTACTGTGAGGATGGAGTACAGTGGTATTTATTCCTGGGATGTGGCAACTCCTAGATCACTGATCCTTTCTCCAACACAGTGTTATCTTAAATTCGAATATCCACTAAGATAATGCTCCCCTTGCCCTGGCTTCTCACTTTCTTGACTGTCCCTCCTCGAATGATCTTGTCTTTCATCGCAGTTCAACCATTCATGTCACCAGTCATATCCCAAATTTGTGCTCTTTCCATAAATCAATTTCCAGATCATTTTTCTAGTCACACAACTCCAGTAATTCTTTGACACCATTATGTTCTATAATCCTTGATGCTACCATTTTCTCACTCTCTCTTACCTCTGTCCCCCCATCTTCACTTCCTTTCAGCTTAGACTCCATGGTCCATCGTTAAAATCACCATCAGTATCACCTCGACTGCTTTGCCTCTCCGCTCCTTTGTCAAATTCACTTGCAAAACACCACCTTGGTTAAGTGACTCTTCATTCATTTAGTTCCTTAACCTGGTAAACTAAGAATGACTGGAGGAAAGTACATAAATATGCAGATACAAAAATCACTTTAGAAATTCTAAAGTCATTGTCCTCAAGCGGGCTCTCAGTCTTAATGTTACAGAGAAGGGGTCCCAATCCAGACCCCAAGAGAGGGTTCTTGGATCTCATACAAGAAGCAATTCAGGGCAAGTCCACAATGTAAAGTAAAAGCAAGTTTATTGAGAAAGTAAAGTGGTGAAAGGACAGCTACTCCATAGTCAGAGTAGAACGTTCCAGAAAGTACGAGGAGGAACGCGTCCACCCTAGGTACAATGCCTGTATATATGGGGAGATGTGCTCTGCTACAAGGGTTTGTGATAAAGGATTAATTTTCTTAATTACTGTATTTTGCAAGAATTGATATTATCTTTAAAGCAAAATTAGGAATGCCTTTGTTCTCCAGATATCGGGATATCTGGACACTCCCAAGTCTGGGTCTGTGTAGTAAACACTATTTGTTCCCCTAACCGTAAACATCCAGAGGCTAGGAATGCCTAATTTTCTGAGCATGCAGCCCAACAAATCTCAGCCTCATTTTCCAGCCCTCACTCAAAATGGAGTTGCTCTGGTTCAAATGCCTCTGACGCTAACAGCAATCTTACTACGTCTCCCTATAGATACTTGATTTTTCCATTCATCTTCATGACTATTTCATGCCTTCTGCATCCTCAGATTGGAAAGTTCTCCTCTTTCCACCTTCATCAGATGGCCTTTCTATTTCCCTGAGAAAATAAGCAAAAGATAATTTCTCCTTGCTCCCCTCACCTCACCTACAACTTGGCTGCAGCTGTACATATGGTCTGCTTTCCCTTCAGTTATTGTGAATGTACTGGGGTCTCATCAAGACATTCAAATTCTCTTATTACAAGAAATAGCCCCTCAGAAGGCAGAAGATACCGTTAAGATACTGCCCAGTGGTAAGGACCTAGGTCAATAAAGACCAATCCATTGTAAGAAATAATACAGAGAAATATCCTATAACCTTCTTGCTCAGTTCTCTCTAATGTTAAAACTGTTATAGTTCACTATCATAATAGGAGAACTAACATTTATGCAATCCACAAACATTATTCGGATTTTACCAGTTTTATATGCACTCATGTTGGTGTGTTGCACACTCACATGTGTGTGGGTAGTGTATTGAGTTAAACGCAATTTGATCACAGGTGTAAATTTCTATGACCACCCCCACAGTAAAGACACAGGACAGCTTCACCACAAGAATTCTTCATGCTACTCCTTTATAGACACAGTCACCTCTCTCCCTTCCCTAATCCCTATGATGTTCTTCATTTCTATAATGTAGTCATTTCAAGAGTGCTACATAAATGGAATCATATTGTATGTAACTATTCCAAATTGGCTTTTTGTACTCGGAATAAATCCTTTGAGACCCATCCAAGTTGTTGCGTGAGCAATGTGTTCCTTTACGTTGCAGATTAGTATTCCATGACATGAATGATTCAGTTTGTTTAACCATTCACCCATTGGATGACATTTTAATTATTTGCAGTTCAGAGTTATTACAAATACAACTGCTATAAACATTCATGTATAGGCTTTTGTGTGAGCATAAATTTTCATTTTTGTGAGATAAATGAAAGGATGCTATTGCCAAGACTTATGGTAAACCCATGTTCAGCTTTATAATAAACTTCTGACTTGTTTTTGACTCAAATTTGTTTACACAAATATTAAGGGAATGCCTATTTAATATCAAGAACTATGCTAATACCTAAGAAAAAGTATAACATAACAGATACTGTCCTTGTTCTTACAAACTAGAGGAGAAGATTGTAAAAAAATCAAATAAATGTAATAACATTTTTTATGAAGGAATATCTCTGTGTCTGGATGGGAGAGGACTTCTCAAATCTAAGGGTCAGGGAAAGATTTCATGAGGCATTTAAGCCTGTGCATAGGCTATCATTCTTGCTTCTTCTCTAGAATTGCTTTGAAATATCCCTTCTGAGAGGTCCTATGTAGATTTCATTGCCCAGCTCAACTCTGGCTTCTAATGTGACCACTGTGTCTAACTCTGGTTTAATTCATATGAAAAATGAGGATGGAAATAGAACATCTTCTCAAGGTTTCTATAAGAATTAAATAAAGAGTAGATTTAAAAATCTTTATCAAGTACCTGGTTTAGAGAAATGTAATTCTTATTACTATTATATGGCTTTTCATTAACCCAACTCCTGTAAAAAATTATCTCTGCCAAAGATAGCCTTGTGGGATGATGTTTAGCTTTCATTAAGGGATCTTGCATGTTTTTTCTCTGGTGATAGCAGAAGTGGGTTTTCTGTGTTATTTTCCAAAGCAAAGGTTAATAACAGTGAACAAGAACCCAGGGCACAAGGCCCAGCAACACACCCCCATGTATATGTGCCCATAGTTCCCAACTTTGGAAGACTGGGATTTAGTTTATTGAAAGAGAATATATTATACCTCCCTACTTTTTCTTTCCCAGACACAATCCAAAATTTTATATTTCTTCTTAAAATGTTATCTATCTACCATAGCAAGTTTAGTTGTTGCTTCATTAAGGTTTCCCTTGAAGATAACCCTACACAGTTCTACAATAAACTGCAGAAATGACTGACTTCTCCACTAAAGAATGAACTCCTGAGAAGCATAGGTCTGCCCTCATGTGTGCTCTCTCTCTCTTTTTATCTAGTATCTCTACATTGAATCTGCTGTGTCAATTGATTTTCTTTATCAATTGATGTCCCATATCAATTAGCGTACAGGGCCTACCATTAAATAGGTAACCAAGCAATGTTTGCTGAGTTGATGCGAAAACACAGTGACACCTATATGCTTCCAATGCGATCTTCCTAAACACAAATTTTAAAACCTTAAATGACTTTCTCCACAGAACTCAGAAGAGGGTAGAATATATGCTAAAAATAAACCTGAGTTCAAAACCATACTATCAGTTATTTGTTTGAGCTAACCATCTTGAAAAAGTCATTTTACATCTTTGAGCTTTAGGTTCCCAAACTTTAATTTTTTAAAAAAACAAAGTTAACAATATTAATATTAGCTCATGGTTATTCATCTTCTACTCTATGCTGAGATTTATATGCATTACTTCATTTAATTTCCTCAACAACTCTACGAGGTAACTGTTTTTTAAAACTGTCATTTCCCAGTTGAGGGTAATGAGGTTTAGAGATGATAAACAGGTTTCCCAGTGTCATACTCTCTATAATGAGAAGAGGAGTGATTGAGCCCATCCATTTTCAATCCAGAGCACACATTTATCTCATAGCATTATTGGGAGGACTAAGTGGGACATGTCATATAAAATCCATGACCTGAAAAATGCTTTAAAATTTTGTTTTTATTCAGTGCACAGATCTAAACTAACAGCAATTACACAATATCAAATTTTCCACTAATTTCTCTGTCTTGTTCATTAAGCAGCATATTTGTATGTATATTTGTATGAACTGGAATATGGTGGATGCTCTATTAAGATAAGTTATTTTTCTCTGCTGTTTAACTCCAGTTCTCTTAATACAACATGTGCAGCAGCAAGAATCTGATTGTGCATACAGAAGCCAAACACATGTGAAGCAGTCCTTTGTTAATTGACTTATTAGTCTTATTAGTTATTCAGGGAAAGTGTTAACTGGATTCTAGATAAATCTTTCAGGTGGTTCTTCCCTCAGATTCTCACATAATTTAATACAACTTAGTAAAAGATCTATTGAAAAAACTCATCATAGTCAAAAAGCACTGTTATTTAGGCACTATCACAGTTGCTGATGGAAACAGAAATTGGTACAACGTTTTGGGAGAAAACTGGCACAAACAGGAAGGGATGGCTAAGGTAGAGTTATAAACTGCCTAGCTGAGTGTTGAAGATGTACTCCAACAAACACATAGAGACTATCTGCAAAGAATGGGAGACTTATTAATTGCAGGCATCAAAATAAATATCAATTCAATAATTAGCTGACCAGTAAGCTAACTAAGCAGAGACATCAATGACCATACATGACAAAGAAAAGGTTTTACAGAATTAGTAAGAAAAGTTACCAAAGAGAAAACAACAGCAAACTGTAATAATAACAAACCATGGGGAGGTGGAGGAATCTGAATTCCAGAGTTGTCTCATTATATTGTCAATAGAAACTGTCCCTGAGGAAGCCCAGATAGTAAACTTACTAGAAAAATACTTTAAATAGTTATTTAAACTGTGTCCAAAAACTACAGTAAAGTCATGTCCAAAAAACTAAAAAGGTTTGTGAGAACAATGATTCCCAGAGACTATCAATGGAGAGACAGAAAACTTTCAAAAAGTAATTATAGAGTTGAAAAGTACGATAACTGAAATAAAAAAAAATCACTAGAGGGACTCATAAAAGTACATATGAGAAGGCAGAAAGAAATGACAAACTTGAAAATAGGTCAATCGAGATTATGTAGTGTGAGAAAAGAAATAAAAAATAAAGAAAATTGAACAAAGTCTCAGAGACCTGGGGGGACACCATCAAGCACATCAACATATGAGTAATGGAGGTCCTAGCAGGAGAGGAGGGATGGAAAAGGGCAGAGAGAATATTTGAAGAAATAAGGTCAGAAACTTCCAACATTTGATTTCTAAAAAGATTAACCTACACATCCAAGAAACTTATGGACTCCAAGTAGAATGAAATCAAAGAGGACCACACTTAGACACATCATAATCACTAAACGACAAGGACAAAGAAGGCATCTTGAAAGTAGAAAAAGATAAGTAACTCATCATGTACAAGACATCCTCAATTAGATGAGCAGACAATTTTATCAGAAAACACAGAGGCCAGTGGAAAAGAGATATTACTCCAAATTCGGAAAGAGACATCAACCAAGAATTCTATATTCAGCAAAACTATCCTTCAAAAATGAAGGAGAGCGTTGCTTCAGTGGCTCATGCCTATAATCTCAACACTTTGGGATGCCAAGGTGAGAAAATTGCTTGAGTTCAGGAGTTTGAGATGAGCCTGGGCAACATAGTGAGACCCCATCTCTACGAAAAATAAAAATAAAAAATTAGCCTGACATCATGGCAGTTACTCTGTAACCATAGCATCAGTTACTCTGGAAACTGAGGTAGAAGGATAGCTTGAGTCCAGTAGTTCAAGCCTTCAGTAAGCTATGATCACACCACTGTACTCTAGTCTGGGCTACAGAAAAAATTCTGTCTCAAAAAAAAAAAAAAAAGAGGAAGACAATTTAAGGCAGCCCCACATAAGCAAAAACTGACAAAAGTGCTAACAGGCCTCTCTTACAAAAATACTGAAGTGATTTATTCAGGCTGAAAAGAAAAGACAATAGAGAAATTATAACTCTCATCTCTTATAAGTGGAAAGGTAAAATGGTGCTGCTACCTTTCAAAAAATGTTTGGCAGTGCTTCAATAAGTTAAACATAGAATTATCGTGTAACCCAGGAATTCCACTCTTGTGTGAATAACCAAAAGAATTAAAAATAAGTTTTTTTAAATCTATATATACAAATGTTTATAGTAATACTATTCTAAATAGTCAAAGGTGGAAATAACCTAAATATCCATTGACTGATAATTTCAAAGGATAAGACAAACCAAACCATATATATATACATTACATATTTTATATATAAATGGTTACAGCAACCATTTTGCTTCACTGAAACATTTATTAATATATATTTTGTATATATTTGATTATGTTAGCAATATGATTTACTTTCCAAATGGTAGGATTTTACCACTGAATACATTTATATATCATATATCCATGCAATGGAATATTATTCAGCCATAGAAAGAAATGAAATACTCATTCATGCTGTACCATGAATTAACCTTGAAAATATGCTATATGAAAGATGCCAGACACAAAGTGTCACATGTTGTATGATACCATTTATATGTCCAGATTAGGCAAATCCATAGAAACAGAAAGTATATTAGTGGTTTCCCTGACGTGGGTGCAGGAAAATAAGGAGTGACTGCTAATGCGTACATTTTTATTTTATTTTATTTTATTTTATTTTTACCCCATAAATACATAAACCTACCAGGTATCCCATGCCTGTTTTGATACAGGCATGCAATGTAAAATAAGCACATCATGGAGGAGTATGTGGTTTCTTTCGAGGGTAATGAAATCACCATATAAGTGGTGATGACTGCACAACTATTAAGATCACTGAATTGTACACTTGAAAAGAGTGAATCTCATGATATCTAATTATATCTCAGATTTAAAAATTATAGTTTTCATCACAAAGGGAAGGAGGCAATTAGTTTAATAAACCATGTTCCAATTCTACAATGGCATGCTATATAGCCCCTTAAGGGATAGAGAGAACTTGAATATGAGACCATGAGAGAAAAGGTCACTCTAAGCAGAAGAAACAGTTTTAAAAAAGGCACAAGAGCTAGGAAGCCCAACGTAGGCTTGGAGAATGTTCTGAACATCATGCTAAAAAGTTAGAAAATAGTCTGAGTGCTTGGTTCAGAGAAGTGTTGTGTTAGTCCATTCTTACTTTGCTGTAAAGAAATACCTGAGACTGGGTAATTCAAACGGAAAAGAGGTTTAATTGGCTTATGGTTCTGCAGGTTGTGCAGGAAGCATAGCCCTGGCATTTGCTCAGCTCCTGAGCTTTTACTCATGGTGGAAGGTGAAGCAGGAGCAGGCACATCACACGGCAAAAGCAGGAGCAAGAGAGAAGGAGCTGGTGGGGGTGCCACACTTTACCACAACCAGATCTCGAGAGCACACATTCACTACCCTGAGGATAGCACCAAGCCATGAAGGATCCATTCCCATGACATAAACTCCTCCTACGAGGCCCCATCTCCCACACTGGTGATTGCAATTCAACATGAGATTTGGTGGGAACACATATTCAAATCATACCAAGTGGCATATTTGGGGCTAATTAAGCAATCTTGCATAAGTGAAATGTGAAGCTTAAACTCTTCATTCTCCTTCCACCAAATCACTGTGTTCAACCATTCTTTGTTGAAAATTCATTTTTTTCCAACTAAATTTTCAGTCACTGTGGTTAACTTATTAACTCCTAAGTGCAGTTGAAAACTCTAGTCTCACATTGGATTCAGATCTTCACCCCTTGCTATTCTCAGTCATATTTTGCCTCCTGGACTTGAAGTAGGGGCAAGGCATACAGGTTCTATTCTTTCCGTCCTTCTGTCACCTCTTCCAATTTGGTACAGATAGAAACAGCAGGAGAGATGAAAGGAGTGTTGGTTTGGGAACACTTTCTCCTCTTCTTTCCTCTTCTATATCTGTCTCTAGTGTTGAGGAAAGAAGAGAATAATGGAAAATATAGTAGAGGTTGAATTTACCACACTGTCTGATGTTGATTATACCCTAGTGTCATTCCAGCCTGTGGTGGTCAATAATTTGATGATCTCCATCTAGATTGTGTGCCTGACTTGCTTGGGATGGTACTTATGAATTGTCCTAGCCAGTAAATCACACCTAACGGCCTCATTAGGGAAGGGGGCACCCTTTCCCTTGGCAGCCACCTGGGCTATTACAAGGGTCCTGCCAATTCCTTATCCTCCCTGTTCCTCTGTGTGGACCCAAAGGAATCACCAAGTTCTTCTTCTAATGACATCTGTAGCCATGTAAATGAGATCAGGTGATATGTAAACCACATCAGGAGACAGGTAAGCCCACTTCTTCAAAAGCACCCTATTTCATGGTCCTTTCTCACTCTCCTGGTGCCCAAGGGCCCTGCAACCATCACTTCCACCTTCAGAAATATCCAGTCTCTGAGTTAACATACGTGCCCATACTCCAGGCTCCCCACAGAACAGTGCTAACTGCAGTTGAGAGCATCGGGATGGGGATGCAGCTCTTTGCAGATTAACAAACAGCCATACAGAAAGCAAGGTGCCCACCTTTCCTTCATGCAGAAAGCTCTGAGGAATCCTTTGGAGGATCCTTTCTCTCTACTTTAGAGTGGGAGTAAAGCACCCCTGCTGATGAGAGGAAAAGAAACAACACTACACCTCAAAGCCAATATCTCAGGACACTGAGTCACTCCAGACCCCATAACTGGGCTGAGAAGGAGCAGGGGATGATGTTCAGATTGTGGCTGGCATTAGCAGTGCTGCTCCTATCATATCTTAGCGAACCTGCAGGAGATACTTGATTCCTCCTAACTTAGAATCTTAGTCATAAATCCCAGGGTAAGAGGATAAGTTTCAATATCCCACTACACTAGGATCTGGATTTCAAGAAGATAATTTTGGTGACTATGTGAAATATTTTAAAAATACAGCTACAGCAGTGAAGCATGCAGTGCAGGCAAGATGTTCTTGAATGACTACAACAAGAACAGTAGAAATGGATGTGCTGAGTTACATGCATCTCTCTGGATCTTCCACTATAGAGCAAGTGATCTGATTTAGATGGATTCAAAAACTCTAAAACATGCTCTTAAATTATGGGGTGGTATGAGTTGGTCCATTTGCTCTCTTCATATAGAATGCCTAAACAGGATATTTTCTGTAGTTTTCAAAATATTGGGGAAATCATTAATAGTTATTTTAAGATGATAGTTCTATCTTTAAATTTTTGAGAAGGTTTTATACTTTTTCATAATGGCTATACCATTTTACACTCCCACCAACAATGTACAGTGGTTCTCTTTTCTCCATACCCTCATCAACACGTTATCTCTTGTAATTTTGATAATAGCCAACCCAAAACGTGTGAGGTGATACCTAATTGTGGCTTGAATTTGAATTTCTATGAAAATTAGTGATGTTGAGCACATTTTAATATACCTCTTGGTCATTGTACATCTTCTTTGAAGAAATGTCTATTCAGGTCTTTCACCCATTTTTTAAATAAGGTTATTTGTTTTCCTGTTGTTCAATTGTTTGAATTCTTTACATATTTTGGATATAAACTATTTATCAAATGTATGGTTTACAGATATTTTCTCCCATTTTGTAAGTTGCCTCTTCACTCTATTGATTGTTTATTTACTATGTAGAAACCTTCTAGTTTGATGATAACCTATTTGTCTATCACTGCTGTTTTGCCTGTGCTTTAGGGATCGTATCCAAATAATAATAATTTTCCATACCAATGTCCTGACTAGTTTCTGTATGTTTTCTTCTAGTATTTCTATAAGTTTTAGGTCTTACTTTAATACGTTTTTGGGCTTTTTTTTTTTTTTTTGCCTGTGGATATCCAGTTTTCCCATGAACATGTATTAAAAAATCTATCCTATAGCTTTCTCCATTGTGTGTTCTTGGCATCTTTGTCAAAGGCCAATTGACTACAAATGTATAAATGTATTTCTAGACTCTCTTTTTGTTCCATTTGGTCTACGTGGCTGCAGTTTTCTCTGTGGGTTCTTCCATCAATACACTCTTTATCATTATCCAAAACTGTGTTATTTCTCACATGGTAAAATTTCCACCTTCATCCATTCTCTTAACTGGTTTATTTTATACATTTTCTTTATACTTTGATATACTTTATTTATTTTTTTCTATGCTTCCAGATTTTTTAATCTTAAAGTATATTAGGAGGAACAGGAAATAAATACATTTTTGAGATCTGCCATCTTGAACCAGCAGTAGTTTTTGGTGTTTTGCTTGGTTGATTGGTTGGGTTTTTTTTGTTTATTTGTTTGTTTGTTTGGGGCTCTTAAAAATTATTTCTTGTCTATATTTCTAATTGATTAATAATAAAATAGGGCATTAAAAATCAAAACTAACAACAAAATCCATCACATTTCTCCATGCACTAAAAATGTTCCTCTACCTATGTGTCCTTTGTATCCATCCCTCAGTGGTTCTTATCCTGGATAAACTTAAAAGTATTTGGAGAGAGAAAAAACACCGAGAAATACAATGTAGTAGTCCTGTGATTGAGATTGTACCCAGGGTTAGGGACTCACAAGAGCAGATAGAGATAAGAGTCAGCTTTCAGAAGGTGAGGGCTGGAGCACAGTCTGAAGGGAGCCCAGAGCTGAGACCAACAAATATAGGGGAAGAGGGTCTTGGCAGAGAGTGGCATGAAAGAGTGTTGTGTGGCTGTTGATCCACCCATCGTTATGTCCTGTTGTTTCTCCTTCCAACATGCCTTTTCAGTCCTTTTATTCTCCATTCACAGCACCAATGTGGGGTAGGCTGATAGACCTCATCTACTAAAAAAGAATATTCAGGCATGCTGACTTGGGCCAGTGGTCCTAGCTACTTGGGAGGTTTAGGCAGGAGGACCACAGTAGCCCAAGAGTTCAAAGCTACAGTGAGCTATAATGGGACCACTATACTCCAGCCTGGGTGATAGAGCAAGACTCTGTCTCAAATAAATAAATAAATAAATATAATTTTTAAAAAGAGAGGATGAGGATGAGTGGTAAAGATAACACTTGAATAAAATCTTGAAAGATATGTTGAGGTCATACTAGCAATATTAATACTAACACTCATTTCTAGTGCTAATTGTGGGCCAAAAATAGTTCTATAATCTCTGCATGGCCTAACTCATTTATTCCTCACAAACCCTATGAGGTAGATAATACCATTATATCCAACTCACAGATGAAGAAACGGAGGAACAGAAAGGCTAACTCATGCCCCATAATTAGTAAGCAGTAGATCTGGGATACAAACCCTGCACAATAGCTCCAGCATCCACATACAGGCTGTGGCATGATCAGAGAGGAATAACCAGCCAGAATGGATGATAGAGAAGAATGGTTGAAATAAAGAAAAGATGTAATAGGAGATATGTAAACAGTGTAGGACCGGGTCATTCACAGTCTTGACTATACGTACTTGTATGTATGCTTCTATGCGTAATGACATCAGGCCATTAACATATTTGCTTAAGTACTAGTTGCCTTACTGAATTGCAGGTTTAGGGCAGGCAAAGATTATGTCTTATTCACATCATTATTTCCCATCACATTTCTCACATTGCATTGTACGTAACGTGTGTTTGACAAACAAAAAACAAGTACGTGTTCCATCAACTAACCACAGTGAATATACTCCGCTAAGGCACAATATGTATACCTTTATTCCCATATATAAGCATCTTACCTGCTAACTTTTATCTGTTTTCTCGATCAAATTATAAACCTCTGCATCTTAGCATTCTGAAAAGCTGACCTAGTAAGTGCTCTATAGTCAGTCCTCAATATATTGTTTTCAACAATTATAAATTAATCATAATGCAACAAAACTTCAAAACAAATGAGCAGGGAGAGGAAAACCAAACGATGGCTAAAGAATTCCCAAGTAGGGCTATGTGACCTTGCAAAAATTGCTTTGCTTCTCTGGGACTCAGTTTCTCATCTAATAAAATGAGATTGTTCTAACAGGAATCTCAGTCTTAAGATCCTATCATTAAAGATCACAAGTTTATTTTTTAATCTTTAAAATTTTAGAAAAAGAATAAGAGCCCAAGAAGGAATCAGGACTAGCTTTATCAAAAATATAAACCATCATATTATTAGTACACAGATATCAAAAGACAAAACTGGTTTCCATGAGAAACCACCCTCTCTTGCCACTGCTTAGTGAAGACACAAGAGCACTGGAGTACCAGAGGCAGCTATTACAGGTTATTAACTTCTTTCCAGTTAAGGGCATACATTTAATTTGCATTACTGAATATGCATGAGCAGCTTTCAGCTGAAAAAGAATTTTGGCAGTTGTGACAAGGCCTTCACCAAAACTATGACATGAGTGTTAAGTGATGAAGAAGTAGAGTTTCCTCTTTCAACAGGAAGGTTGAAGATCTGGCAAGCTTTCCTGTTGGCTCTGTGGGCGAGTGTCTCACTTTCTAACAACCACGTAAAACAAAATCAGTTCAGACTGGCTTCTGTTGGCATAGGGCTCATGGGGACATGGCTAACAACTTCTGCTTCATATGGTAGTGGAAAGAACACCAAATTGAAGGCTGAAGACCACGGTTCAGATCACAGATTGGCTGTTAATCATCTGACTCATTGAGCAAGCCACTGAGCATTTTGGAGCCAAAATTTCACAGTATGAAACAGGGACTATGATGTCAACTCAGCGTTGTTTGAGAAAAAGATGATACTATAATTATGACAGCACTTTGAAGGCTCTGAAGGATTATCAAATCTAATGGATTTTTACTAATATACAAATATGAGACTGTATTATTACTCACCTCCAGAATATACTGGAATGAAAACAATGTTATTTATTACACATTAAAAAAATGAGTTAGATTGGTATGGAAAGTAAAATGTGACCCACAATAAACAGTTTGCAAGTGTTGAGGCAGCACAAATTCCTTACCAGCTGCAGGTAAAAATGCAGATCATTCCCAGTTATTTAAATGCCAAACCATGTCACAAGGGTCTCTGCAAAGCCAACCATGGTTTCTTGTTAATATCACTAAACATTAAGAGTCTCAAAACCATCCTAGGCCACACATGTCATCATATTCACTTGTAATGACATAGGAGAGGAATCAGAGCTTGCTATCAGTACAGCACCAGGCATTTTTTTTTTTTTTTCTGCACAGGGAGCTATCTCTTTGACACCCCCACCTTATCCAGATGATGATACAAATGCCAGGGGACAAGATGCACATTAAGTAGGTATAGGGGCTTTGGTTTAAACATTTTATGCCTCATGGGAGCCAGTATCAGACAACAATTCCATAAGCACAGCTTCCTGGGTCATCAGAGAGATGTGTCCAGTTACAAGAAGCACTGCACTGAGGGAAAATCCAAGCCATGGAATGTTAATCAGGTGTGTGCAGATTACCACTCATGGGGTTATGATGAGAAACATTGCCTAATAACATAGCTGACATTTTTATTCTTATTGAATACAGCGCAACTCAACAACATAACTAGGTGGACATCAAATTGTCATGCAGTAAGGGAAAGTCTTTTGTTAACCCTTTATCCATGGTTATTTAGGACAGCAGTGTTTATTAGCAGCAATGCATTGTTCAAGTCCACATCACTTCATCCTTGAACGACTGACTGTCAAGCCTTGGAATGTGTCTTACTCTTTCACTCATACCCCATCCTCCAAAAGCCGGCAGAGTGATTACTCCAAAACAAAGCCAATTATGTCATTCCTCTGGTTAAAACTCTTCAAAGGTAGCTAAACTTTTTGGATACAGAAGCACTTTCAGCATGGCAGAATAAGGACATCTGAAAATACATTCCTTCATAAAGGCAATAATAGCACTAACAAAAAAAGGTCAACATCAACGTTTGCAGAAGCCTAGAAATTGACCAAAGCCTTGCAACAATTCGATGAATGTTTATTCATGAAAAACTGCTGAATCCTGTTAAGAATAGAGAGCTTTATAAATTTTAACTTGCCCTATTTTCATCACTTTCTTCCAAGCTCCACAGTAACCTTGAAAACTAAGAGACTCACACCATGGGAGCTGTGAAAACCAACAGATTAGGAGCCACTGGAGGAGGCAAAATTGGCTTGAAGCTCAAGATAAAGCCCTATTCCCAGAAAATTGTCACTATTTGACGTATCTGGGAAAGATCTGAAAAAGCCTCATTAGCAGGGCTTATCTTTATTTGATCTGACTCAGAGCTCACCCAGTAGAAAAGAACCTACTCTGATGGTATTTGTTGAAAATAATCAGAGGCAATCGTTTAACATTACAGCTTCCTGAAGCAGCATAACCAGTTGGAGCAAGCATGAGAATGGACAAAATCCTTAAAATAAAAATCTGGAAACTGAAAACTTCATAGGGACTTTGAAAAGCTCCAATATATTTCTGGCCACTTCCATATGCAGATTCCTAATCTTGTTAAGGGTAGTTAGACAGGCATGAGCAGGGCAGGAGTGGGCTCTTCTGCCCCACCAACTAGGATTGTGAGGTGATGGTTTGACAATTACCACACTGCCTATCCAAAAATGATAATTCAGCAGCAGGAGCCAGGGCACCATGGAGAGAAAATCTCCTGATGACCCACAGCTGTGAACATTAAAGTGTTAATTGAATGGAGATGCCAGGAAGAAGCAACTTCCTGGACATGCACATCAAGAGACAAAATGGCAAAGTATGACCTTCCAAGGGCACTCTCCCAGAAATGGGAAGAAAGTCTCAGATGGGCAAGCATACTACTTTTTTTTTTTTTTTTTGAGACGGAGTCTGGCTCTGTCTCCCAGGCTAGAGTGCAGTGGCACATCTCCGCTCACTGCAAGCTCCGCCTTCCCAGGTTCACACCATTCTCCTGCCTCAGCCTCCTGCATAGCTGGGACTACAGGCACCCACCACCACGCCCAGCTAATTTTTTGTATTGTTTTTAGTAGAGACGGGGTTTCACCGTGTTAGCCAGGATGGTCTCAATCTCCTGACCTCCTGATCTGCCTGCCTTGGCCTCCCAAAGTGCTGGGATTACAGGCGTGAGTCACCACACCCGACTGCATGCATACTACTTTCTAAACACACTATGTGCTCCCGTCCCAAGGGTAAGGAGGGCACTGCACCTACAGGCAGCCCATCCTAAGGGAAGAATCATGGGAAACAGGTCAGTCTATAAAGTTCTAACATCAGGGTTAAACATGACACTTAACCTTCAGGTGCCCACTTGGATCTCTTCCAAGTGAATTTTCCTCTCTTTACTTTTGTAAAGCCTTTTTAAATGACTTCCACTCCTACTCTGAAACTCACTTTGGTCTCTTCTGCCTTATGCCCCTCAGTCAAATTCTTTCTTCTGAGGAGGCAATAATTGAGGTTACTGCAGACCTGTATGGATTTGCCACCAGTAACTCGGATACCTGCCACTGGTAACAATCTGTCACCTCTAGCTGAACTTTAAGGCTATTTGCAAGCAGGTAGTGTTGTCAACTGCCAGAGCTTATAAGCTACCTGCCAACAAAAACACAGAACCTTTTACTTAAGAGGCTATTTATTGATTTAAGGCATTTAAGGTAATCTCTTCCAAATCATTAGCTGACCACAAAGCTAATCAAACAGATTTCAGTGACTGCACACAACAAAGAATATGGACTTTGTGGAATTAGTACAGGAAATTTACTAAACAAGCAGCAACATCAAAAATAACTACTATAAATAGCAACAATAATAATAAACTGTGAGGAAAGGAGGGAATTTTATTACCAAAGTTACCATGCTTTATTATGTTAATCTAGTTTTCAACCAAAATTTAGTTCATGAAAAGAAAGAAAATATGGCTCATACCCAGGATAAAAAGACAGGCAATAGCAACTGTTCCTGAGGAAGCTCTGATGTTGACCTTACTAGACAAAGACTTTAAATCATTTATTTTAAATATGTTTAAAGAACTAAAGAAAACCATATCTAAAGAAATAAAGGAAAGCATGAGAAGAATAATGGCTCACCAAATAGAGACAACCAATGGAAAAAAATATATAAAAAATGACCAAGTAGAAATTCTGAAGTTGAAAACTAGGTTGACTGAAATAAAAAATGTACTAGGAAGACTCAAGACAATATTTGAGCTCTCAGAAGAAATAACCAGTTAACTTGAAGATAAGTCACTTGAAATTGTCCTGTGTGAGGAAAAGAAAAAATATAATGAAGAAATGTGAACAGAGATTAGTGGATCTGTAGGATATCATCAAGCATATTATCATCTCTATAATGGGAGTCCCAAAAGGAAAACAGAGAAGGGAGAAAAATTTGAAGAAAAAATGACTGAAAACTTTTCAGGTTGAAAGAAAAATATTACACATCCAAGGATCTCAACAAATCACAAATAGGATAAATTCAAAGGGATACACATTTTGACACATCATAGTCAAACTGTTAAAAGATAAAAATAAATAGAAATTCTTGCAAGTATCAAAAGAAAAACATCTCATCACATGCAAAGGATCTTCAATACGATTAAAAGTGGATTTCTTATCAGAAAACATGGTGGCAAAAAGGCAGTAGGATTATATAATCACTGTGCTGGAAGAAAAAGAATGTCCACTAAGAATTCTATTTTCCCAAAATTGTGTTTCAAAAAATAAAGTAAAATTAAGACATTCCAAAATAAACAAAACCATAGAGAACACCACCCTGGAAGCCCTGCTTTATAAGAAATACTGTATCCAGGCCACATCTTGAATGTTTTGCTTCTTAGAAATTTCTTCCACTAAATACCATAAATCATCACTGTCAAGTTTCAAGTTCCACAGATCTCTAAGGAAGGGGCAAAATGCAGCCAAGTTCTTTGCTAAAGCATAACAAAAGTGACTTTTACGCCATTCCCAATAAGTTCCTTATCTTCATCTTAGACATCATCAGCCTGGCTATCTCCATATCACTATCAGCATTTTGGTCACAACTATTCAACAAGTTTCTAGAAAGTTCCAAATTTTCCTTCATCTTCCTGTCTTCCAATCTCTGCCTGCTACCCAGTTCCAAAGCTGCTTCCACATTTTCAGATGCCTTTCTGGCAATGTCCCATTCCTCAGTGCCAATCTGTATTAGTCCATTCTCGCACTGCTATAAAGAAATACCTGAGACTGGGTAAACTTTTTTTTTTTAAAGTTTAATTGATTCACAGTTCCCCCATCCTTCTACAGAAATCATGCGGCTGGCATTCTGCTCAGCTTCTGGGGAGGCCTCAGGAAACTTATAATCATGACAGAATGTTAAGGGGGAGCACACACATCATATGACTGGAGTAGGAGCAAAAGAGAGAGTGGAGGTGCTACATACTTTTAAACAACCAGATCTCACAAGAACTCACTATCAGAAGAGCAGCACTAAGGGAATGGTACTAAAGCACTCATGAGAAATACACCACTGTGATCCAATCACCTCCTCCAAGCCCCATCTCCAAAAGTGGGGATTACAATTCAACATAAGAGTTGGGCAGGGACACAGATCCAAACCATATCAGCCATGTGCAAAAATTAATCAAGATGGAATAAAGATTTAAACATAAGACTGCAAACTATAAAATCCTAGAAGAAAACCTAGGAAATGCCTTTCTTAACATTGGCTTGGCAAAGAATTTATGGCTAAGTCCCCAAAAACAATTGCGATAAAAACAAAAACTGCCAAGTGAGACCTAACTAAAGCGCTTCTGCACAGTGAAATAACTTATCAACACAATAAAAAGACAATGTCAGAATGGGAGAAAATATTCACCAACTATACATCTGACAAAATCTAATATCCAGAAAATACAAGGAATTTAAATCAACAAGCAAAAAACAACCCACTTTAAAAAATGAGCAAAGGGCATGAACAGACACTTTTCAAAAGAAGACATACAAGTGGCCAAAAAGATATGAAAAAAAAGTTCATCATCTCTAATCATTAGAAAAATGAAAATCAAAACCAAAATGAGATATCATCTTACACTAGTCAGAACGGTAATTATTAAAAAGTTAAAAAATAACAGATGCTGGTGAGGTTGTAGTAAAGGGAAATGCTTTATACAGTGTTGGCAGGAATATAAAAACTAGTACAGCCATTGTGGAAAGCAGTTTGGCAGTTTCTCAAAGAACTTAAAACAGAGCTACCATTCAAGGCAGCAATACCATTACTGGGTATATAGCCAAAGAAAAATAAATGGTTCTATTGAAAAGACACACACACTCATATGTTTATCACAGTGCTGTTCATAGTAGCAAAGACATGGAATCAACCTGGGTGCCCATCGGTGGTGTTTTGGATAAGGAAATTGTAGTACATATACATCATCCAATACTATGCAGCCATAAAAAAGAATAGAATCATGTCCTTTGCAGCAAGAAGTATGCACCTGCAAGTCATTATCCTAAGCAAATTAGTGCAAGAACAGAAAACCAAACACTACATCTTCTCACTTATAAGCAGGGGCTAAACACTGAGTATACATGGACGTAAAGGTGAAAAAAGTAGATACTTGGGATTACAAGAAGGGGGAGGGAGAGAGGGAGCATGAGCTAAAAAACCACCTATTGGATATTATGCTCACTACTAGGTGATAGGAACATCTGTACCCCAAACTTCAGCATCACACAAGATACTCATGTAAAAAACTTGCACATGTACCTCTTGAACCTAAAATAAAATTTTAAAAATAAACTTATTTTTATTTTTGATGCTTCTATGTGATTTAAAAGTTAATTGCACAATGCAATAACTACACAAATGTATAGATTAGCTTAAAATGTATAGTGATATAATTTGTATGATGACAACATCATAAAGGAGAGGAAAAGAAATGGAGCTATTTTGGAACAAAGCTTTATATATGTTGAAATTAAGTTGTCGTTCATCTGAACTAGATTGTTTTCAGCTAAGGTGTTAATTTTAATTCCCAGGGCAACTACTAAGCAAATAGCTCAATAAATATGGTAAGAGAAATAACAAGTGAATTAAAATGGTGTACTAAAACAAGTCTATTTAACACAAATTAAGTAATGAAGAAATAGAAAAGCAAAACGGAAATAAGACAAATAGAAAACAAATAGCAAAATAGCAGAAGTAAATGTTACCTAATTGGTATTTACATGATATTTGAATGAATTAAACACTCATATCCAAAAACAGAGATTGATAGAATGAAAACAAACACACAATTCCACATGCTGTTTAAAAAATCATACTTTAGATTCAAAAACACAAAAAGATTGAAGACAAAAGGATGGAGAAAGAATGAAGCAGTAACCGAAAGAGATCTCAAGTGATTAAAATAATATCAGTCAAAATATATTTTAAGGCAGAAATTGTTACTAGAGACACAAAAGGACATTTTATAATAATAAAATATCAATCTATCACAAATACATAACATTACATTATATACATAATGTGTATATACAAAATACATAATAGATATATGATGTATATCTAATAACTTATATATGTAATTATATATACACACACACACATATATATATTCACCACAATGAAGCTCCAAAATACATGAAGAAAAAAAATCTCCAAAGGTCCATTTTTACTTTCAGAATAAATCCTTAAAATCCAAACTTCTGAGCCTAGAATAATATAGAGTTCATGGCAGGCCCTTCCATGTTTCCATTGATAGTCTTCCTGCCACTTCCATTACCATCCTATATTCCATGCATACACACTACTTTAGACTTCAAAGTTTCCATTTCCCTTCTAGCCTTTTCACATGCTATTATTCTGCCTGGAATGTCATAAATCAATTCAATGTCATCTCTTAAAATAAGCATCCTCTGACACGTCCAGGAACACCAAAATATGTTCTCCTGTATGTGCCCATTTCTTTGATTTTACTTTTATTGTAAGTCTGACTTGTAAGACTTACACTTGAGTCAGACCTGCAAGTCAACCTATTAACATCTAAATCACTGGAAAGCAAACACCATGTTCTAATAGCCTTTCTTAACCCAGGGGCTAGTACAGTATTTAGCATAGGCTATGTTCACAAAAATAAATATTTGCTGGATGCATGAATAACAGAGTGCTAGATATGTATGTCTTAGTCAGTGCAGGTTTCCATAACAATACCATACTAGGTGGTATAAACAATATAAATTTATTTTCATATACTTTTGGATGCTGGAAGTCTAAGATCAGGGTGCTAGCATGGTCAGGTCCTGGTGCGTACTCTCTGCCTGGCTTCCAGACAAACACTTTTTTGCTGTGCATTCACGTGAATTTTCCTCAGTGCTTGTGTTGAAGGAGTGGAGAGAGAGAGAATGAATCTTTCTCTTCTAATAAGGCCCCCAATCCTATCAGAATCAGACCCCACCTATATGACCTCATTTAACCTTAATTACCTCCTAAAAGCTCTATCTCCAAATACAGTCATACTGGGGGTTAGGGCTTCAACAAAGGAATTTCGGAGACAGACAATTTAGTCCATAGCAATATACAACAGTATTTCTGTTATATTCATGTCTAGCAGTAATCCATATACTAGAACATTACCAGTTCACCCAGGCCCATTCCCTTCTATGTTGTCTCATTTTGGAACCAGTGTCTTTGACCTTGCTCTTCAAGCTGAGATCCCAAGGTAAGAAAAATATGTTGATTTATCATTGGGCAATCCATAAATCAGCATCCATTTCCCCAATCCTCTTGATTTGCATAAGGAGCCTCTTGTCCCAGCCTGACACTGGTAGAAATAGAAATGTACCAATTAAATGATTGTTCTGCTTATCAAAATCCTCATTGGAATATGTTGGGAAGGAAGCAATTTTCTCCTCTCTTATTTTCATGAATATACATAGGATTGAAACATTGAAACCAAATACACATTAATCTGATTCTATAAACAAATGATGGTGGTTCTGATTTTTTTTTATTTTATAGCTTTAGGAAAAAAACATGAATAAAGAGGGAAGACAAAGTCATCATATTTTAAAAGGTTTAACAGTTTAGAAAGAATGTATATATGTACTTTTCTTTTTGAAGGACACGTTTTAGGTGTTCATTACTTCACAGATAATACTTTGAAATGCTAATTTTCCCCAAGATAATTCAGCTGTTAAATCACCAGTGAATTTAATTCCATCCACTAATTTCAGCGTCTGTGTTCCTCCCCGTCACTAGCTGCCTCAAAAAATCCAAAACTTAATTTTTATTTTGCTCTGCACTTTACACATTATTTTGGCATATACTAACTTAACCCATCTGTTCACAACAGTCTTGTGAGCTGGGCATAAAGAAATTGAGGGTGAAACTTTTTTTAAGAGACTAACACAGGCAAAGCCCCAATTGAAAGAGTTTAATTCTGAGCATCATTAGTCAGCCTGAGATTCACAGCACCCAATGCACAACATTACTCATACATCCCTGATGACTGGCAGGCCTTCCCCCTTTCCTAGCCTGTCCTGTCTAATGTCTATTCCTTTCTTCATTGCAGCTTTGGTGTCTAGTTCCTTGGGAAACTGAGCCCAACCACTGAGCTGCTTAAAGTTCCCCTCTCTAGGCTTCTTTTGTATTTAATGAATGTCTTTGATTGGATGTAAAAAGCACCAACCATAAAAAAATGACAAATATAGGCTTTATTTTTTGAGTTTTAAAAATTGATTAAATAATGCTTTATGTATATATGAGGTACATGTGAGTGTTACATGCACAGAATGTGTCATGATAAAATTGGGATATTTGGGGTATCCATCACTTTGAGTATTTATCATTTCTATGTGTTGGTAGCACTTCAAGTCCTCTCTTCTGGTTACTTTGAAATACACAAGATGTTGTTGCTAAGAATAGTCATTCTTTTCTGCTATCAAACATTAGAACTTATTTCTTCTAACTGTATGTCATGTCCATTAATGAACTCCTCTTCATACACGCTCCAACCCAGCCAACCTTCCCAGTCTCTGGTATCTATCACTCTATTCTCTGTGTCCATGGCATCACTTTTTAGTTCTCATGTATGAGTGAGAACATGTGGTATTTGTCTTTCTGTGCCTGGCTTATCTCACTTCACATAATTTCCTCCAGTTCCATTCATGATGATGCAAATGGCATGATTTTATTTTCATGGCCAAATAATATTCCATTGTGTGTACATATACCATGTTTTCTTTATTCATTCATTTATTGATGGACACTTGGGTTGATTCCATATCTTTACTATTGTGAATAGTACTTCAATAAACATGGAAGTGCACGTATCTCTTTGATATACTGATTTATTATCCGTTGGCTAAATACTCAGTAGAGAGATTGCTAAATCATATAGTAATTTCATTTTTGTTGTATCTATGGTTAACAAAGGGCTCATATTCAGAATATATAAAGAACTTCTGCAAATTAATAAGAAAAAGACCAACGGCTTCATAGAAATTGACCAAAAAAAATTGATAGGTACTTCAAAAAAATATTCAAAAAGTCAATATACATGAAAACTCTCATTAGTAATCAGAAAAAAAGCAAACTAAGATCACAATGAGATACAATTTCACATTCAAAAGAATGACTAAAATTTAAAACTCCTGACAGCATAATTATGGTGAAGATATAAAATCCACTGGAAACAATAGTCTTCTGTTGGGTAAATTAGCATTATTTTTTATGGTTAAACAATATAATCTCAATAATGCAGAAATGTCATTCCTGGATGTACAGCTAAATGCAATGAGTGCATATCTACACAATAAGTCATGTAAAAGCATTTAAGTGATATGCAATAGCAAAAAAAGAAACTGGGGAAAAGAAGCTTCTGTCAATGATAGGTTAAATTGTGATACATATACATTGGAATTTTATACTATAAAAACATTTTAAAAGTTACAGCTATATACAACAACGTAAGTGAATCTCAATTAATATAACATTAAGCAAAAGATGTCAGACACTAATTGAATCTGTATAATTCCTTTTGTATAAAATTAAAAATCAGAGAAAACTAATCTGTGACGTATAGAGTCAGGATAGTTTTTACATTTTGATAGGATATGAAAAGACTTCTATGGTGACAGAATATTTTGTTTCCCCACTTTTGTGATACTTGTGTCAGTTGCAATTATTTTGTGATGATTCATTAAGCTGAAATATGATTTGTGCATTTTTCTTATATGCTACATTTTGAAAGCAAGATTTTAAGTATTTCTTATTGTTTGAGGATAGAGGAATGTAAAGACACAATAAAAATACCTGCTACATCAGAAAAATTACAGAAAAGAACTGGAAAGGAACCTTAGATGTTCTCTAGTTTAATACCCTCATTTATCAAGCAGAAAATGGCGACTTAGGATGAGTCGCACGAATTGGGTTTTTCTTGACCATCATATCTGTCAGTATCTCAAATAGTAAAAATTGTATTACAGATTTATATGATCATTTGTTCCCTGAGAGCTCAAATGAGGTCACAAATTTTGTTTAGGAAAAGAAGTAGTTAAACTGTAATTGTAAGGACATGCGCTCCAGCCCCTCTGTCCTAGACTACTGGGCAGACATTCATTGCCCTGTTGGGAAGTCCTTTCACCCTGTTCCTGAGACTAAGCTGACAGTGGACATGTAAACATGCAGAAAACAAAATAAAGAACGTACTGAAAGATTAAATTTATTTTAAAAATGCACTAAAAATAACAGCTATTACTAGATGAGTTATATAACAATACAGAACAGAGAAAAACACTGGCAAATGAAAATATGAGGTTAGAATAAATTTGCTATGAAAAGGAAAGAACTCAGGTTAGTTCACAAAACAAATGCTAATTATGTGCTATATTTAAGAGGTATGTCTAGAAGGAAGAGAAGCAGAAAAGTTTAAAAGAAAAGAATGGGCAACAAACTAGAAAAATGCAGACCAAAAAAAGTAGAGACCTGTTATAAATAATAAAGTTTAATTCAGAACAAAATGCATTAAACTTGATAAAATAGGTACCTTATTAAAATAAATTTATTATAAAATAAAAAATCTTTCACTATTTACTGAATATGTAAAAATCTTTAATGAACCAAATTCTATGGAATTCAAATTCATAAAGCAAAACCTCATGTGAATATAAGAAACAAAAAAGAAATATAAAAATACTTAGGTATTTTAATTCACCTTTTTCAGTACATATTAGGTAAAATAGATAAGTGAAGATATAGAAGATTTAAGCTACAAAATTAACAATTTAAAGCTATTACTTCCTGACTAACTGAATGCCCTCAAAAGAAAACAGAAAGTTTTCTTCCAAGGGTCTGTGAAAGATTTGCAAAAATTAATACAGATTAGGATGCAAGAAAACCTTAATAAATTTCAGAAGGAATAAAGAGTACAGAAAAGCCTTTGACAAGGCAAACCAGTATTTAATTTTTTAAACTTTAACTAATAAAAAAATTCCATTCTATCAAAAAAAGTTTTAAATAGTAAACTGTCTGAAATCATGTATAAATAAAAAACAAATATTAATAAATGACTGGAAAATTATAATAACAAAAATATATAACAGAACTTTTGGGATTTAGCTACAGCAATGGCCAAACGAAAATTAACACAGAATCGCGTTACTCAGAAAGAAAGAATGTAAATAAATAAAAGCATCTGTCTGAAAGTTAGATAAAGAACAACAAATTAACCCAAGGCAATAAGTAAAAAGAAAAAAGTCAAAATGCACAAATTAATAAAACAGAAAATTATAAAATAGTGGGACTACCAAATTTAAAAACCTGTTTCTTTATGGGGGTAAATAGCAGTAAACCAGATAAAACATAACCAAATCCAATTAAGAAAAGAAAAACAATGACTTTTTAATATGCACTGTGAGTAACAAAGACTTATAAAATATTGTTTTGCTCAACTCTATTAATGAAGATTTAGCCAAATGGAATAATAAATGATTTTCTAGAACAATTCATACCACCAAACTTTACTTCAGAAGGTATAGAACATATGCATAGTCTAGTCACCATCGAAGAAACAGAAATTTGTTGAAACAATCATTCTCCCAAGAGGACATTAAGACCAAATTGTTCCCAGATGGTTTCAACCATGCAAGAACAGATAACTAAAACATATTTAAATTGTTTCAGAACATAAAAAGAGAAGTACAGATTATAAAATATTTTTATAAAGAAAATAAATCTAAGAAAAGTGATAAATGTATGGGAGTACTTCCTTAACAAGAGAGAGAGAAAAAAATTAAATACATGACAAGAAGGATGGTTACCAGAGGCTGGGAAGGGTACTGGAGGGATGGCCGGGAGGGGAGGATGGTTAATGGGTACAAAAAACAATTATTAGAAAGAATGAATAAGACTTACTATTTGATAGCACAACAGGGTGACTCTAGTCAATAATAACTTAATTGTACATTTTTAAATAACTTACAGAGTGTAATTGGATTGTTTGTAACTCAAAGAATAAATGCCTGAGGAGATGGACACCCCATTCTCCATGATGTGCTTATTTCACATTGCATACCTGTATCAAAACATCTCATGTACCCCATAAATATATACATCTACTGCATACCCACAAAAATAAAAAATAAAAAATAAAAATAAAACAAAATAAAATAGATGCATACCTTGAAAATATTGCATGTTCAGTTCCAGACCACTGCAAGAAAGTAAATTGTTACAATAAAGCAAGTGATAGGAACTTTTTGGTTTCCTACTGCATATAAAAAGTTATATTTACACTATACTATAGTCTATTATTTGTGCAATAGCATTACATCTTTAAAACTTACATACTTTAGGCCGGACATGATGGTTCACACCTATAATCCCAGCACTTTGGGAGGCCGAGGTGGGCAGATCACTTGAACCCAGGAGTTCGAGACCAGCCTGGGCAACATGAAACCTCATCTCTACCAAAAATACAAAAAAAAAAAAAAAAAATTAGTGAGGCGCGGTGGTACACGCCTGTAGTCCCAGCTACTAGGGAGGCTGAGGTGGGAGAATTGCTTGAACCCAGGAGTTCAAGGCTGCAGTAAGCCAAGATTGCACCTATGCACTCTAGCCTGACGTAGAGCAAAACCCTGTCTCCAAAAAAAAAAAAAAAAAAAAAAAAAGTTGTAGTTATTAACCTGCTGGAAGATGTTGTCTCAATGCTGATGGCTGCTGACTGATCAGGGTGTTGGTTGCTAACAACTGCAGTAGCTGTGGCAATTTCTTAAAATAAGACAACAATGAAGTTTGCTGCACGGATTGACTCTTTTTTCCATTGAAGATTTCTCTTTAGTATGTGATGCTATTTGATAGCATTTACCTACACTAGAACTTCTTTCAAAATTGGAATAGATCTTCTCATACCCTATTGCTGCTTTATCAACTAAGTTTTGGGAATGTCCTTAGTCCTTTGTTGTCATTATAACAATGTTCACAGCACCTTCACCAGGAGAAAATTCCATTTCAAGGAACCACTTTCTTCATAAGAAGCAGCTTCTCATTGGTTGAAGTTTTATCATGAGATTACAGCAATCCAGTCACATCTTCAGACACCACTTCTAATTGTAACTGTCTTGCTATTTCTACCACAGGTACAGTTCCTTCTTCCACTGAAGTCTCGAGCCTTTCAAAGTTATCCATGAGGTTTGGAATCGACTTCTTTCAAACTCCTGTTAATGTTGATATTTTGACCTTCTCCCATGAATCACAAATGTCCTTAATGGCAACTAAAATGATGAATCATTTTAGGTTTTCAATTTACTTTGCCCAGATTATCAGAGGAATCCCTTCTATGGCTAGAGTCATATGAAATGTATTATTTTAATAATAAGACCTAAAGTGAAAATGACTCCTTGATCCATGAACTGCAGAATGGATGCTGTGTTAGCAGCATGGATGTAAAAACAACATTAATCTCCTTGTGCATCTCCATCAGAGCTCTTGGGTGACTAGGTCCATTGTCAATGAGAAGTAATATTCCGAAAGGAATCTTTTTTTCTGAGCAGTCGGTCTCAAAAGTTGTCTCAAAGTATTCTTTAGTCCATATTGTAAACAGACGTGTGTTATTTGGGTTTTATTGTGTTATTTATAGAGCACAGGCAAAATAGTTTTTGCATAATTCTTAGGGGCCCTAAGATTCTCAGAATGGCAAATGAACATTGGCTTCAACTTAAAGTCACCAGCTGCATTAGCCCCTAAAATGAGAGTCAGCCTGACCTTTGAAGCTTTGAAGCCTGGCATTGACTTCTTCTCTCTAGCTGTGAAAGTCCTAGATGATATTTTGTTCCAGTATAAGGCTGTTTTATCTGCACAGAAAACCTTTTGTTCAGTGTGGTTGCCTTCATAAATGATCTTAGCTAGATTTTTTGGAAAACTTGCTGCAGCTTCTTCATCAGCCCTCACTGCCTCACTTTGCAGTTTTACGTTATGGAGACAGCTTCTTTTTTTAAACCTAATGAACCAACCTCTCATATCTTCAAATTTTTCTTCTGCAGCTTCCTCATCTCTCTCAGCCTTGCTCTGGAATACACTTTGGCTTAAAGGAATACTGTGACTAGTTCCATTTTTCCAATCCGGACCACTAAAACTTTCTCTACATGAGCAGAAAGTTGTTCCACTTCCTTATCGTTTGTATGTTCACTGGAGTAGCACTTTTAATTTTTGTCAAGAACTTTTCCTTTGCATTCACAGCTTGGCTGTTTGGCACAAGAGACCTAGCTTTAGGCTTATCCTGGCTTTCAACATGTCTTTCTCAATAAGTTTAGCATTTCTAGCTTTTGATTTAAAGTGAAGAGATATGGGACTCATCTTTTCATTTGAACACTCAGAGACAATTGTAGGGCTATTAATTGGCCTAATTTCATGACTGTTGTGTCTCAGGAAACAGGGAGGTCCAAGGAGAGGGAGGGGTACAGGAGGACAGAAGAGAGCAGTCAGAACCCACACAACATTTATAATTAAGTTCACCATCTTATATGGGTGCAGCTCACAGCAGCCAAAACAATTACAATAGTAACATCAAAGATCACTGTTTACAGATTACCATAATGACATAATAATATTGTCATATTGTAAGAATTGCAAAAATGTGACACAGAGAGACATGAAGTTGTCACTTGCTGTTGGAAAAATGGTGCCAATAGACTTACTCCATTCAAAGTTGCCATGAACTTTCAATTTGTAAAAAGCATAATATCTGCGGTGCACAATAAAACAAAGCACAATAAAATGAGGTATTCCTGTAGTCATAGATTTCAGCAGGTCTTTCTAAGAAAGACATAAAACCCAGAGGCCATTAATAAATGAATACATTTGACCACGCAAGAGTTAAAAACCTCTGCATATAAAAATGTTCATAAAGTCAAAAACATAAGACAAAGAGGAAAGAAAATACTTCCGAGGCAATATAATCTGTTACCTATAAATGTAAAGAGTTTATCTAAATAAATAAGAATTCATTAGAAAAATAGGCAGAGGACAAGGACAGAAATTTCACAGAAAAATAAATACATTTTGCTTTTAAACATATGGAAACACTCTTACTATTTGTCATAATTTTTTTTTCTTTTGAGACACAGTCTCGCTCTGTTGCCCAGGCTGGAGTGCAGTGGCGTGATCTCAGCTCACCGCAACCTCTGCCTTCCAAGTTCAAGTGATTCTCCTGCCTCAGCCTCCTGACTAGCTGGGGTTCAGGCATGCACTACCACGCCCAGGCAATTTTCTTGTATTTTTAGTAGAGACAGGGTTTCACCATGTTGGTCAGGCTGGTCTCGAACTCCTAACATCGTGATCCACCCACCTCGGTCTCCCAAAGTGCTGGGGATTACAGGTGTGAGCCACTGCGCCTGGCCTATTTGTCATAATTTTTAAAATGCAATTTAAAACTTTAATGGACTTTCCATTTATATTTATCTTACTGACAAAGACTATAAAGTTGGTATGGCGGGAGTTATTAATAAGAGAGTAAATCAGTATAATCTCTTTGAAAGGTAATATGGAAATGTCTACTAAAATTAATAGTTCCTAAGCCAACCAATCCAGCGATTCCATTTCAAGAGATTTACCCTACAGATAGGTGCACCAGGAAATATGTAGAAAAGTGTTTATTTCAGTGTTGCTGTCATTAGCTAAGTCTATAAGCAACCTAAATGTTCATCTATGAAGCAATTTACTGATTTAATTTACTGAATCAGAGAAACCATATTCTGTTTGTATTGATAGGAAATGTTCTCAAAGTGACATTGCTAAGAAAAAAAATAAGATGCAAAACTGTGCATAGCATGCACATATAAGATGTATCAAATGCATGTATGCATCTGTCACATTTCAGAAAGATGCCAGACTCTGGTAACAGGAGTTGTCCCCAGGGGGATCTGGGGAACTAAAAGTCTGTGTTGGCAGAAGATTTAACTTTCACTGTGGACCCTTTTTAATTTTCTCATATGCATGTATTAATATTTTTATTAAAATCCTTAAAAAATAAGCAGAGTGATCAAACAAAATGCAAGTCAGGTTCACTGCGGCCTCTAGACAAATAATAACAATGACAACAGTAATAATGAAAGCTTAATAGTAAGTGTTATGCTATTTGTCAGGGCCTCTGCTAAGCACTTTATATGCATGGTCTCATTTAGTCTTCATCAGAAACCGAGGAAATGAATACTTATATTGTTCTCATTTTACATATGAGAAATATGAAGAATAGAATCTGGATTATAAAGAAGACTGCCTGCCTCCAGTGAATGAGCTGGGGGTACCTCACCTTGCTGGAAACATAAGGAGCAGCCATCATCTCCCTGTGCAGAGAACAAGATGCTATCACAGCAAGTTGATCCTGTTCAAGGGAACAAAGTTTTGCAGAATACCTGTCTCAAAGGCAGAAACCTGGGGTAGAAAGTTTACTAACCTTAAAGTCAAAACTCCTGCTCTTACTTGCTGTTGTCAAATATTAGCTGTTGTCTAAAAGCCTTAGACATGTGTAAAATGGGGATAATGTTTTCTGTTTTTACACATAAAGTATTGATCCCATATATAAGAAAGCTTAAAAACAAATGAACTATACAGAATTCTCATACAGGGCCATACTTGGTCAGCCAAGGGCTCCAGGATAGAGACCATGAGTAACTCATCCCATAGTGACCAGGATATTTGGAAGCAATGCAAAAACTTGACAACCACCAAGATAGAGAGTAGTTCCTCTTATATGATAATAGCCCTTCTTTCCAATTCAAACACAATGATTCCCCATGTAGAGGGTAAACCCTAAGTCTTGGCAGCCCTCATGAATTGCAAAAGAAAACATGGTATTGCCACATACCCAAGTCCAACACTGAAAAATATTCCATTGCTTTTCCAAATCAATACTGATTGAGACCCAATGTATACACCAAATGAGGTTTAGAGTAAAAATATGACTTAAATTCCTCCACTAGACTGTGAGTTCCTGGAGAATATGCATGGACTTCTATACCACTAAATTTATAGTATAGCACAGCAAGCATTTGTTCAAGACTCAGTGGGAGGATGGATGGATGGATGGATAACCACAGAATTTTACTAAAAATAGATAATTATTTAACTCATAACATAAACTTTAATCCTTTTTATAGAAGGCCGTATGATAGAAGACAAAAGGTATAGAATTCGGAGCTCAGAAGATTGGGGTGAAAATTCAGGTTCTTCTTACTAGTACTATTACTCTCAATAATTTACATATTCTCCATGAACTACAGTCTCTTAATCTCTAAAATGAAAAATGCTAACACACTGTAGCTGTATCTTATGAAGTAGTTTCTGAAGTATGTGCATAAGACAAAAGCAAAACTATCCTTGAAAACCTCTCAAATCACTATCAGAATATTATATACATAGCTTTGCGATACTACATAATTTCTCCATACAAAGCCAGTTTTTCCTTCAGTACTAAACAGGTAGCTATTGCTTTGATTGAGTGCCAAAAATAGTTCATAATTTGGATCTATTTATTATTAAAAATGCTTTTTTTGCTAATTTCTTCTGCTGAGTATATGTAAATGAATTACAATTAGGTGTAAGGTATAACTCCTGTATATGTGATTTGTTTTTTAATATAACAGCTTCATTGAGATATAAGTAACATATGATAAAATTTACCCTTTTAAATTGTACAATTCAGTGATTTTTAGTATCTTTACTAAATTGTGCAACAATCATCATTAAATAATTTTAGAACATTTTCAAATTTCTTTTTAAGGCTGAATGCTATTCCATTGCATGGATAGACCACAGTTTACTTAGCCTTTCATCAATTGATGGACATTTGGATTATATTCACTTTTTGGCTATTATGAATAATACTTCTATGACTATTTATGCAAAAGTGTCTGTGAGGACATACATTTTCAATCTTTTAGAAGAACTACTAAACTCTTTTCCAAAGCGGCTTCACCGTTTTACATTTTCACCAATCATGTATGAGAGTTACAATTTCCCTACATCCTTGCCAATACACGTTATTGTCTGACTTTTTTATTCTATCCCTCCAAGTGGATGCAAAATGGAAAGTAGTATATATATGCTCTCTGATATCTATGTGTTTTCTCACAGGATTATTACTGAGTATATGAAACATGTTTTAACCAGAGGAGAGCTACAAAAATATTTGTATTATTATTGTTACAATTGTGAATACGTAATATGCTATGCAAGGTTATTGATCTTAAAAATAAAATATGAGAAAAAAAGAAACCATCTCTGATTAAGGGAAAGAAAGGAATCTGTTGGAAGAATGTTTGCGGGCCCATAGACTCAAAAGGAAGGATGGATAATGTGACTCAGAAGACAGGCAGAACCCATGACAGCCTGAGAAATCAGCCCAGGCCAAAAGATCATGAAGCAAGACAGTGGTGGGAAAGCTGCAGCCACTGCCCCATCCAGGTGATCTGGTACCCTAGCCCCTTATCACTCTGCCACATACCTTGCCACTGCTGTAGGAATAAACTTTTAGTTTCTCCTACCTCTTATGTCACTTACCCCAGACCAAAAGTTCTGGAAGGCAACATTCTATTGGCCAGTCTTTGTTTGTTTGTCCACTGGGAGCAGGAAGAGGAATTATCTCCCTTCCTTTAGCTTTCTTGGACAAATCAAAGCCAAAATTCCCATTACAAATAACATATGTAGAAGCACATAGTATGGTGCCAGGCACACCACAAAAATGTGTAAATATATTTCTGTTCCTCCTCCTTTCCTATAATGAATGTATCTCTTGAGAAAAGGGAAGGGCCGTGCTCACTAATTACTGATGATCCTGGTTCTGGCCCATACTATTCAAAAGCCTTGATGGGATCCAAAAGGCTCCTTCAGGCACCCGGAGAGCTTAGTTAATTCCCAGGGGCAGGATCGGCTCCTGTTTGATTTAAATGAGTGTTTCTTAATCCTGCCACATACTAGAATCACCCATGGAGCTTCTTAAAATATTAATGTCTGGGCCCTACACTGAAAAAGTCTAATTTAATTGGTCTAGTGTGAAACCCATTATTAACAGAGTTTTGGAAACTCCTCCAGGTGACTCCAGTGCGTGGTCAGGTTTGGGAACCACAGGTCTGGAAAAAATGATTAAATTTAATCTTTCTGTGTTTTTTTTTTTTTTTTTTTTTTTGAAGCTCCTGCCTCTCAATTAATATAAATGGGCATTGCGGATGTACCTGCAGTACAAAGAGAACTTGCCAAAAACCTCTGGAGAGGAGTTAACCATGCAACAAAGAAGGAAACACATTCAGATAGAAAAATTATCTCGAAAATGTGTATAGCACTAAACAGACTCCCAACTTAGAAGCAGAGGAATGGTATTTTTTTTAAACTTCCTAATGAACATTGCACTTAGCTAGCTGTCAAATATACAAACAGACTAATTTTTCCTTCTAATTATTTTGGGATGTTTTCCTTGGATAACATGATTATGTGGCTAGAATTCCTAATTCTGTGTATTCGTTAATTGATGCTTACTTAGGGTGATAAAGATCCTCCAAGCCTCAGTCCACAACAGTGGCTGAACACCTTACTAATAAAACATGCCAGTGCCTTTTTGGCTTACAAACTTAGCCATGAGGTATCCAACTATATATATATATATATATATATATATATATATATATATATATATGTATATATAAATAAAATTGGATATATAGCTATATATTTATCTAATCATGATATATACACATATATATGTGTATGTATATCCAATCATATATATGGAGATATATATATGATCATATACATGGATATATATGTGTATATATTATCATATATATGGATGTGTGCATATATGTATGTATATATGTGTATGTATGTACATATAATTGATAAAAATCATATATATTTAAAGTATAAAACATGATTTGATATACACATACATTGTGTAATGATTATTACAATCAAATTAATGCATCCATCACCACTCATTAGATCCCCAGAACTTGCTGATCTTATAACTGAAAGTCTGTAACCTCATCAATATCTCGCCATTTCTCCTGCACCCTCAGACCCAGCAACCATCATTCTAATCTGTTTCTATAAATTCAACTTTATTAGATTCCACATGTAAATGACAAATACAGTATTTGTCTTCCTGTGCCTGGCTTATTTCACTTAGCACAATCTTTTCCAGGCTCATCCATGTTGTTACAAATGACAGAATTTCTTTCATTTCTGTGGCTGATTAATATTTCATTGTGTGTGTGAGAAGGTGTGTGTGTGCATGCGTATACCATGTTTTTGATTTATCCATTTATCTGTTGAGAGACACTTGGGTTGTTTCCATATTGTGGATATTGTGGATAATGCTGTAATGAACATGGGGGTGTAGCTATCTCTTCAAGGTACTGATTTCATTTCCTTTGGATATATACCCAGAAGTAGGATTCCTGGATCATAAGGTAGTTCTACTTTTTTAAAGGAATTATATATTGTTTTTTATAATGGCTATACTAATTTACATCCCCAACAATAGTATACAAGCTTGGGTTCTCCACACCCAAGCCAAAACTGTTATCTCTTGTCTTTTTGATAATAGCCATCCTAACAGGTGCGAGGTAATATCTTACCATGGTTTTGATTTGCATTTATCTGATGATTGTGATGTTGAGCACTTTTTCATATACTCATTGGCCATTTGCATGTCTTCTTTAGAGAAATGTCTATTCAAGTCTTTGTACATTATTTGGTTTATTGGTATTGAGTTGTGCAGATTCTTTGTAAATTTTGGACATTCACCTTTTATCAATACATGGCTTGCAAATATTTTCTTTTATTTCATAGGTTGCTTTTTCATTTTGTTGAATTTTTTTCTTGGCTGTGAAGAAGAAGTGCTTGGTCTGATGTAGTCCCACCTGTTCATTTTTGCTTTTGTTGCTGGTACTTTTAGGATCATATTTTAAAAATTTATTGCCAAGACCAATGTCAAAGAGCTTTTTCTCTCTGGTTTTCTTCAAGGGGTGTTATGGTTTCAGATTTAAGTCTTTAATTAGTTTAGAGTTCATTTTTTTGTGTATAGTGTAAGAGAAAGGTCTTATTTATTTTTATTTTTATTTTTTTCTGCATGTGGACATCCAGTTTGCCCAACATCATTTATTGAAGAGGCTGTGTTTTTCTCATTGTGTATTTTTGGAAACTTTGTCAAGGATCAGTTGACCATAAATGGGTGAATTTATTTCTGAGCTCTCTATTCTGTTTCATTGGTCTATGTGTCTCCTTTAATGCAAATACCATACTGTTTTGATTACTGTAGCTTTGTAATATGTTTTCAAATTAGGACACTCCAGACTTGTTCATTTTTCTTGAGATTGCTTAGGATATTTGAGTATTCTTGTGGTTTCCTATAAATATTAAGATTTAAAAAAATTATAAGAAATGCCACTGGAATTCTGATAGTGATAGCAAGTTATGAAATCAACATACAAAAATAATTTGTGTTTCTATACATTAACAGTGAACAATCCAAAAAGTAAATTAAGAAAACAATCCCATTTACAATAGCATCAAAAAATAAAATACTTAGAAATAAATTTTAGGAAGTGGATGAAAACAATATGACATCAATAGAAGAAATCAAAGAAGACACAAATACATGGAAAGACATCCTGTGTTCATGGATTGGAAGAATTAATATCATTAAAATGTACATACTACCAAAAGCAATCTACAGATTCAGTGCAATTTTATCAACATTCCAATGGCACTTTTCACATAAACAGAAAGAACCTTCCTGAGCTATCCAATTTTGAATAAATTCATATTCCTACCACTTTTAAGGAAAAAGTGAAAGGAGCTGGCTAGGCTAGAAGGAGAACAAATGGTTATAAAAAGGGTTTAATCCTGTATATTTCAGGTATCTGGCAGCTGAAGGAGAAGCAATGTTAGTCAAGGAAAACCAAGGATCCAACGTCAGACAAGCAAAGAGTGTATCAGTCTAGAGGGTAGAGGCATAATTAAAACTGAGAGACAGAAGCAATACTCTGTAGTGAAATAGAAATTGTGTGGTAAGCACCTGCCATTTTTCACCTGTCCTTTGAGGTTGCATAGCTCTATAGCTATGCTTTTGTTTTTACTTTTTTTGCTTTGTTTAATTGTTTTGTAGCTGTGTCCTAATTTTCTTTTGAGGAATTATCTCCTTATTGCATACCATTTTAATGGAACAATATTATCAAGATGCCTGCCTTCCTTTGGCCAAAGAGTGGACAAATGACCCCAAAATAATCCAATCTGACATTCTTTCCTGGGAATCTGAATATTAAGCACAGAGAAGAGGACAGAATGTGGCTGGAAATGATTCATATTGCCTATCAGTTTCTGCTCCAATCATCAGGGTAGACCTGGATTCTTTCTTAGAAGACTGGCTGTTCGGCTTTCCTTGTGATTCTGTTAGATACCCTCCATTCTTCCAACAAATTTACATTTTGCTTAAAATAGCCAGTTGGTTTTATTACTTGAAGCAAACAAAGGGGACCCCAAAGAATTATATTAGCGGGATATGATAGAATATGCTACAGTAATGGACAATCTCTCAAGATCACTGGCTTAAGACAGCAATGTTATTTTTCTATACAAAGTCTATGGTGGATCCAGGTGACTCTTCAGGGAAGCTGTTCTTCAGCTGGTTACCTAGCCCCTCATCCACTGTTACTTTGATCTTATGACAAAAAGGCACATATTCCTTGATTTCTGTAGCTTTCCTACTAATCTTTCAACAGTAGTTACTGCTCGACTAACTGTTTGGTTCTCCCCACATTTTCTCATTCAATTCCAAATAAAAAACTGATTAGCCTAGCAAATCTCCATTGCCCTTCTTTAGATTCCAACTGATAAGTCATCTGGACTGATTGTCCTTGAGTAAAATGCTCAGCCCTGCTCCAATCAGCGGCTACCCCTCAACCAAACATGAGCCTGGGATCACCTCCCCTAGTGGAGCCCACAAGCAGGGCACCATATGTGAGCTACTCCTGCTGGACTTATAAGAATTTAAAAAGCATCAGTTGGAAACCACTGAGAGAGCTTTGGGCAGAAATATAAATTAAATTCCTATCAGCAGAGTGACCTTGAAACATCATGTTACTTTTGGGGCCCTCTGATTCTTCCTCTGTAAAATGGGTTAGCCAGCAGTGTTTTCACAATTTGGGAAAATTTATAAGGATTGAGCATAGAATTTCATGTGTGTTCAGATGGTGTCTATTATGATATTTTGTAGTGAGGCCAAGTTATATAATAATTTAAAATAAAATCTTGAAAGCAAATAGATAAAAATTCCAGTTTCACCTTGCTCAATACTAAATTATGAGTTCTCAGGCTTATTGTCTGACCATTCAATCATCGTTTGTAAAATGATATTAACTAATCCTGTTAGATAACTTTGTTTTATTAACTAAATAAGGTAATGTAAGCAAATTGCCTGTGATACCATAGCCCCTTTAATAAACTGTAGTTTATCAAATAAGATTGGGTGATTTATCCTTTGTCACAAAGTAGCAAAACTAATTCAAACTTAAAATATCCAGTCCCACAGTAAGAACATAGTAGGCATTAAATAAGGGTCAATTAAGTTTAATCTATTTCCAACGTTACTGCCTTGATTATATCTGTGTTTTAAGTTTATTCTGGCTCAAGTATCACCTTTTAATTCCCCACAGGTGGGTAGCACTTCAAGTTTTACAAAATCCTGTCTCATAATATATATCACTACATGTCTGCGAAAGGAGCTAAAAAGAAAGCGTTCAACCACAGTTGCCTCATTCATAAAAAGGGATAATAACACTAACCTTCACAAAATTGCTGTGAGCATCAAAGGATACCATGTCTCTATAGTGCTTATCACAGTGTCTGGTAAAGTGTAGGCATTGAATATGTAATGGCTTCATCTCTTCCCTTCTGCCAGCTTTATCCTAAATATAATTCTTTCATTCATGCATGCATTCATTCATTTATTCAGCAAACAATTACTGATATTCCAGGCTCTGTGCTAGGCACTGAAAATATCAAGATAAGTACAATATAATATTTTCAGCTCACCCTTTTTTGTATCCACTGCATTTATTTATTAATGCTTCTGAGATTTTCCCCTGGTACTTTAAAGTAGTCTTTTCCCCATTCTACACCATCTACCCAGTTGGAAAAGATTCCTTTTTGCTTCACTCCGTGTCTCCTTTGGCACACTCTGCCTGCCCTGTCAACGTTGACACCCATTAGCACAGTCACTGGAAAAAGGTGTAAGTTCCTGCTCAACAGACTGGACACTAACCCCCATCTAGCAAATAGAGTCCCATCGATTCACCCAAGTCTGAAGAAAATTATTCCTCAAGACTGAAAAAGAGAGCAGCTTCATTCAGTTGACAAATAGCTTGACTGCCTGCCTCCCAGGGCTAGAGGACTGGAGAATTTGCAGTAATTACTTATAAAGGCGGACTTAAACATAATTTATTATTCTGCCTTAATAAGCTTGCAAATCAGAATCCTCCCGTCTTCCTCCTCCAATTTCTATAATGGGAAGTACATCCCTTTTAAAAAGTACAACAAGTTACTGTCCTCAAAGCATATTTACACATTAATATACAATTATACAACTCTCACAACAATCTTTTGGATAATACAGAATTGCTGATTTTATCTCTGTTTTCAGATGAACAAACTGAGTTGCGGGTAGAGTCAGTGGCTCTCAAGCTTCCCATCATCAGAGCTCTTTACAGCCTAAGATTATATGCTTCGAAAAATTTTTGTCAGAGTTCAGAACACAAAATGTATCTACAGTATAACCCAAACTATGAAAACAAGTGTGAATGTTCATAGAATAAAATGACAAATATAAAAAGAAACAAACATGGGAACATAGTTTGTCTCTGCAAGATAAAACTATAATAGCTTTTTCATATTTTTTATTTTTTCTATAATGCATATATACATATTACTTTAATAAAGATAAAAGTTAACTCATATTCTTTTCCAAAGAGTTATCACCTTGCAATCAAATGAAATAATAATTTACATATTCCTTTTATTCATTAAAGGCAAAAAGAGGAATTAAGGCCATTAAAAACAACAGGTAGTAATGAAGATGTTTCTAATCTACTAAGAAAAACAGCCTTTCTGAGAACAAGTCAGTAAATTTTCACAAAAGAACATAAACAACCCTCAGACCAAGACATAGACAAGGCCAATCCATGATTATATATGGAACAAGACTTAGGCAATGCCACTCTGCAACACAAAAATGACTGAGCATCCTGTCTTCTGAATAATGTTCCATTACTCAGTGGTTGCTGAATCTTAGCAAGACCATTCCCATGTGCTTTAATTTTCCTGCTTCCTAGATGCAATGGACCTCAACTGCTTTCCCTGAAAATTCATATGTGTAAGCCCCAATCTCCAACGGGATGTTATCTGGAGATGGGACTTTTGGGAGGTAATTTGGTTTAAAGAAGATCATGAAGGTGGGGTCCTTGTGATATAATTAGTGCCCTTATACAGAGACACCAGAGAGCTTGCTCACTCTCTGATCTTCTGCAATGTGAGGACACAGGAAGAAGGCAGCCATGCATAAGCCAGGAAGAGAGCCCTAACCAGAATCCAGCCATGCTGACACCCTGATCTCAGACTTCTAGCCTCCAGAACGGCAATAAAATAATTTCTATTGTTTAAGCTGCCCAGTATATGATATTTTGTTATGGCAGCTTGAGCTAATACACTAGATAAAAATTACTAATATATTCACTCACCAAATTGAGAACTTTAAACTTATAACTTGCTTTCCTATTTTCTCCTTAAAAAAATCACTCAACATAAGCAGGGTGTGGTGGCTCACACTTGTAATCCTAGCACTTTGGGAGGCTGAGGTGGGCAGATCACGAGGTCAAGAGATAGAGACCATCCTGACCACCATGGTGAAACCCCATCTCTACTAAAAATACAAAAAATTAGCCAAGCGTGGTGGTGGGCACCTGTAATCCCAGCTACTTGGGAGGCTGAGGCAGAAGAATCACTTGAACTTGGGAGGCGGAGGTTGCAGTGAGCCAATATTGCACCACTGCACTCCAGCCTATTTATTTATTTATTTAAATAAATAAATAAAATTAAAAATCACTCAACATATACCCATACACCCTATAACAATCCCCTGCCAATTTTTCTTTGCTGAGATGTTCCCAGAGTTTCCCTAGAGTGCCAAAAAAAAAAAATCTAACATTTTTTAAGCTTCAGGTGTGTTCCTATTGGCCATTCATTGATCAGAGCACACCAACTATCCTAGAGGTCCTACTAAGATTCCAAAAAGAAGCCTACCACTGCAAAACAGGACCTTGAAAACAGTGTGCTTATCTAAGACCCCTTGAAAGTCCACCTACTCAAGGCTACTTTGCCTACTACAGCAAAGTAAGTTTCATGATGAAGCTAAGTTTCAATTATTGCTTGAAATCTGGAGTGTTATTTATATCTGGTTTCTTAGGCTTTTGATTTCACATCAAATTATATTGTTCCTTTGCAAAATTTAGCTTTTAACACCATCATCTATTGTCTTTCTGTTTGTCCAATATCTTGAGCACTTTTCGTCTTTAAGAGAAAGTCTATGGAGACAAGGTAGACATAGACCCTGTAAATCTATCCTCAAGCTGGCCCCAAAAGCTGATGAGTTCCAATGTTCTCATCAAACTGACAGCCTGTGGATAAACTTTGCTTTGGATCACCTTATCAAAGCCCTATAAAGACCTTCCTCACAATTGTCTTTGTTTTTCTGTTTGATTAGAGCTGCTGTGTCTAAGTCAATCTGCCTGGACTTTTGGGTTCCTGGGCCAGCAGTTGGTCAAAGCTGGTCTATGTCCAGATTCCAGAGACATAAGTTAGCATTTTTGCATTTATCATGAGCCCTAAATCTAAGCTCCCTCCAGGCCAAACCCTGTGTTTTTCATGTTTTTGCATTATAAGTATTATCCATGTACATGTCTTTCTAAATGCCATAATTTCACCAAGAGCAATTTGATATCACAGTGACTCACTTTGGAGAACTCTGACATTTAACAACATTGATCATTTGTGAAAAGCCTTAAATAAAAAGAAAATAAAATCTTAGATATCCTAGGGTTTGTATTCTTTAAATGTTATGGGGAAGTTCCCACAAATTTTGGATTTTAAGATTGCCTTCCTGAAAGACTTTCCAAAACCCAGGATGGAGAAAAAAAAGTTGATTAATAATTTAAACTTGCATTTGAAGCCTCATTGGCTACTATGTTTGAATGCTTGTTGCCTCAAAAACTCATATCAAAATTCAGTTGTCATTGGAAAGGTATTAAGAGGTGGGACTTTAACAGGTAATTAGGCTCCACCTTTATGGGGCAGGTTTAATGCATTTAGAAAGGGGCTTTCAGGGGTGGGTTTTCTCTCTTTGCTCTTCCATTTTTCTGTCATGTGAGAAATAATGTTCCTCCTCCCTGGAGAACGCTTCATTCAAGGCACCATCTGGGAAGCAGAGACCAGACCCTTGCCAGACACCAACCTGCTGATGCCTTGATCTCAGACTTCCCAGCCTCTAGAACTATAAGAAATAGGTTTCTGTTCCTTGTGAATTACCCAGTCTCAGGTATTCTGTTATGGGAGCACAAAATAGGCCAAGATACTGACTTCTACCTTGGTTGGAAAAGTTTGATTGGCAGGACCTTGAAAATAAATTACAAGTTAGTAAACTCTCAAGAAGCATTGACATCCTGCCCCCACTTAGACAAGACATTTGTCAATATTTTAAACAAAAGGGTCACTAGAAATTTAATTGTCCCATCCTAGCCAATAAAGAAATAAGAACTAATAGTCTCTGAGGAATTTTGAAGTGGTCTTATGGAAGATGAAATGCCTAATTTCTAATGATAGGGAAAAAATGATCTTTTTCTAATTGACACTGGGACTATTCTGTTCATTCTAAATTCTACAACTATATATCTCTTTTTAGAGTCATAAGATTGGTCAAGTGGTGATGATCAGTAATGATTAATGATATTCAGCATATTTTTATGTATCTGTTGTTCACTTTCATGTCTTCTTGGGGAAATGTAGATTCAAGTCCTTTGCTCATTTTATAAATCACATTATTTGGGATGTTTTTGTTATTAGATTGTGTCAGCTCCTTATATACTTTAGATATTAACCCTTATCAGATATGTGGTTTTCAAATATTTTCTCTCATTCTGTAGGTGGCTTTTAGCACCTGTTATTGTTTTCTTTGCTGTGCAGATTATTCTTAGTTTGATTTAGTCCCACTTGTCTATTTTTGCTTGTGTTGCCTATTCTTTTGATGTCAAATCTAAGAAATCATTGTCAAGACCAATGTTATGAAACATTTCTCCTATGTTTCTCTTCAAAGAGTTTTATGGTTTCATGTCTTACATTTAGGTCTTTAATCAATTTGTATTTATTCCTGTGTATGATGTAATATAAGGCTCCAATTTTAATTTTTGTGTATGATGTAATATGAGGCTCCAACTTCATTTTTATATTCAGTTTCCCCAGTGCCATATATTGCAGAGACTATCCTTTCCCCATTGCGTAGTCTTGGCACCTTTGTCAAAGATTACTTGACCATACATACTTGGCTTTATTTCAGGGATCTCTATTCTGTTATATTAGTCTATATGTCTGTCTTTGCCAGTACCATATTGTTTTGATTATTGTAATATAATCAAAAGCTTTGTAATATATTTTGAAATCAGAAAGCTAAAGGCCTCCAGTTTTGTTCTTCTTTTTCAAGGTTGTTTTGACTATATGGGCTTCTTGTGGTTCAATATAAATTTCAAGATTGCTTTTTCTATTTCTGTAAAAAAAAAAAGCTATTGGAATTTTGATAGGAATTGCCTTGAATCTGAAGATCAGTCTGGGTAGTATGCACATTTTAACAATGTTAAGCCTTTGAAACTATGAACATGGGTTATCTTTCTGTTAACTTGTGTCAACTTTCACTTCTTTCAGCAATGTTTTATAATGTTTAATATACAAGACCTTCACCTCCTTGGTTAAGTTTATGCCTATTTTATTTTTTTGATAGTATTGTAGATGAAAATTTTTTAAATTATCTTTTCAGACTGTTTATTGTTAGTGTATAGAAACGCAACTAATTTTTGCATGTTGATTTTGTATTCTGCAGCTTTGCTGAATTAGTATATTAGCTTTGTTGTGGCAGCTTTAGAATTTTCTACATATAAGATTATGTCATCTGAATAAAAGAGATAATTTTGCTTCTTTTATTATTTTTGTTGTTGTTATTGTTAAATTGTTCTGGCTAATACTTCCAGAACTAACTGGAATAGAAGTGGTAAGAGTGGGTATACTTGTCTTTTTCCTGATCATAGAGAAAAAGCTTTGTTTTTTCTCTCATTGAACATGATGTCAGCTATAAGCTTTTTATATTTGGCATTTATTGCATATTTATTTTTGAAAAAAATGTAAAATAATATGTTTGATAATATACATGCAAGATAATTATATGTTTTGGGAAAAAAGAGAAAAATTTTGTCTTAAAGTTAATGGGTCCTAATCATGCTAGAATAAAAAATAAGTATATAAGATCAATTTAAGGGTATACTCTAAGTCTAGAACACCAGAAGAATTGAACTTAATTTTTTGGTTTACTAGTATCAAAATAATGAACTGAAAAAGAGAAATGAAACGTGTTAAAATGATTAATAAAATAGGGCTTGTCCATAAGAAAAAAGTTATGACTCTTATACTGAAATATGAGGTTTTATATATTTATTTTATGTATCACAACATGTTGTGATATGTATGATGTATAAAAATACTGAAACTAGAGTTTTCTTTTATTGAACTATTAAAGTTGCTGTATGCCCAGATAACAAAAGTTTTTATTATCAAGAAAATGATATGCTTTAATTCTTGATAAAATCTTAAGTTCCTAATAATCCATGTTACTTATTGCTGTAATTTAAACAATATTGCTTATAACTTTCTTGCTATAAGCAAATTTTCTCTATTCTGACGGCACTTCTTGATTTTGCCTTTCCCAAATTCAGACTCAAATCCAGAATAATTTTTCATAAACTGTGTTTAGATTTTTAAATGAACACTAGATAACACAAATTGTTTTTCCTAACCTTAATAAAATAGCAGAGGGGGGGATATCAATATTTAAGAGTGTTTGAAATATATACAATGGAGTATTATTCAGCCATAAAAATATTGAGATGCTGCCATTTGCAACAACATGGATGAATCTGGAGGTCATTATGTTAAGTGAAATAAGCCAGACAAAGAAAGAAACTATCCATGTTCCAACCTTCAATTAAATCTAAAGTATTATGAGAGCTCTTTCGTTTGCCCAATGTAAGATTAAAAAAAGAAACTAACAAATCAGAATGTAAGTTCAGAAAAAGTAAACTGATGTACATATCCTTTAATACTTTTCAGGATGAAAAATGTTAAATATACTAATATGCTTGTCAGGATGAAATACATATACAATAATTTAACAATTTAAGAAAAAGGCTTTGTTATATACCCAAACTTATCAACAGGTAGAAACAGTTTTGCCACAACGTCACCCTAAGAAACTCATGAATTGATCTGAAATTCAAAGATTTAATCTTCTTCAAGAGGTATTTAATTATTCTGCAATGTGTACATGCATCATAACATCACATTGTACCCTATAAATAAATGCAATTACATTTGTCAAGTTAAAAAATAAGAGAGAGACATCAGAGAAAACCACCTCTGATTCCTGATTAGGTCCTGTTAACAACTAGTACAGAATTAGTGCTGCAGAGTGTTTTATCTTTGAATCTATGCTTCCCAACTAAAAATACACAAATTGAATTAGGCCATTCTTGCATTGCTATACAAAAATACCTCAGACTCAGCAATTTATAAGGAAAAGAGGTTTAATTGGCTCTTGATTCTACAAGGTGTACAGGAAGCATAGCACCAACATCACTCAGTTTCTGATGAAGCCTCAGGGAGCTTTTACTCATGGTGGAAGGCAAAGTGGGGCCCTGTACATCACGTGGCAAAAGCAGGAGTAAGAGAGTCAGGGAAGGAGGTGCCACACACTTTTAAATGACCAGATCTCAGGTGAACTCAGAGCAAGAGGTCACTTGTCATCAAGGAGATGGCCCATACCATTCATGAGGGATCTGCCCCCATGATCCAAACACCTCCAACCAGGCCCCACCTCTGATGTTAGGGATTATATTTCAATATGAAATTTGGACAGGGACAAATATCCAAACTATATCATTCCACCCCTGGCCCCCTGGCAAATCTCATGTCCTTCTCACATTGCAAAATATTATCATGTCTTCCCAATAGTCTTCCAAAGTCTTAGCTTGTTCCAGCTCAAAAGTCTCAAGTCCAAAGTCTCATCTGAGACAAGGCATGTCCCTTCCACCTATGAACCTGAAAAATCAAAACAAGTTATTTACCTCAAAGATACAATGAGGGATATAGGCATTGGGGAAACATTCCCATCACAAAAGGGAGAAATTGGCCAAAACAAAGGGACTACAGGCCCTATGCAAGTCCAAAACACAGCAGGACATTCGCAATTTTTTTTTTTTGAAGGAGGGATAGAATCTTACTCTGTCATGCAGTGGCACAATCATGACTCACTATAGCCTCAACCTCCTGGACCCAAGCAATCCTCCTGCCTCAGCTCCCTGAGTAGCTGTGACTACAGGTGCACACCACAAGGCCCAGTTATTTATTTATTTTTGTACAGACAGGGTCTCACTATGTTATCCAGGCTGGTGTTGCACTCCTGGGTTCAAGCAATTCTCTCACTTAAGCCTCCCAAAGTGCTAAATTACAGGCATGAGCCACAGTACCTGACCCATTAATTCTCAAAGTTCTAAAATAATCTCCTTTTACTCCATATTCCACATCCAGGGTGAACTGCTAAAAGGGGTGGGCTCCCAAGACCTTGGGAAGCTCTTCCCCTCTAACTTTCCAGGGTGCAGCCCCAGGGCTATTCTCATAGGTTGGAGTTGAATGCCTGTAGCTTTTATACACTGAGGGTGTAAGCTGCTAGTGGATCTATCATTCTGGGGTTTGGAGGACAGTGGCCCTCTTCCCACAGCTCCATGAGGTAGTGCCCAGATAAGGACTCTGTGGGGGTCTCCAACCCCAAATTTCCCCTCCACATTGCCCTAGTAGAGGTTCTTTGTGAGAGCTCTGCCCCTGAAGCAGGCTTCTGCCTGGATATCCAGGCCTTCTCATATGTCCTCTGAAATCTAGGTGGAGGCTGCCAAGAATTATTTATTCTTGCATTCTGCACACCTACAGGCTTAACACTACATAGAAGTTGCTAAAGTTTACAGCTTGCATTCTCCAAAGTGGAAGCCTTAGCTGTGCCTCAGCCTCTTTGAGCCACAGCTGAAGCTAGAGCTAGAGTGGCTGGGATGCAGGGATAAGTGTCCTGAGTCTGTGCAAAGCAGCAAGGCCCTGGGTCTGGCCCATTAAGCCATTCTGTCCTCCTAGGCCTCTGAGCCTGGGATGGGAGGGGCTGCCACAAAGGTCTCTGAAAGGCCTTTGAAGCCTTTTCCCATTGTCTTAGATATTAGCACTTAGCTCTCTTTTAGTTATGCAAGTATCTCTAGCAAGTGGTTCCTCCTCAGCCTACTTGAATTCCTCTCCTGAAAAAGCTTTTTCTTTCTCTACCACACGGCCAGGCTGCAAATTTTCCAAACTTTCATGTTCTGCTTTTCTCTTAAACATGTTTTAACTTTGTCATTCTTTTGCCTCTGCATCTGAGTATAGGCTCTTAAAAGCAACTTCAAGTCATTCTTTTACTCCCACATCTGACAGTAGACTGTTAGGAGCAGCCAGGCAACTTCTTAAACACTCTATTGCTTAGAAATTTCTTCTGTCAGACACCTCAAATTATTATTCTTAAGTTCAAATTTACACAGATTCCTAGGGCATGAGCAGAATGCAGCCAAATTATTTGCTAAGGCATAACATGGGTGACTTTGCTCCAGTTCCCAATAAGTTCCTCATTTCCATCTGAGACCTTGTCAGTCTTGGCTTTACTGTTTATGTTACTATCAGCATTTTGGTCACAATCACTTAACCAGTCTCTAAGAAGTTTCAAACTTTTCTTCATCTTTCTATCTCCTTCTGCACCTTGCAAACCTTTGCCCATTACCCAGTTCCAAAGCTGCTTCCACATTTTCAGGTCTCTTTATAGCAATACCTCACCCCTGGTACCAATTTTCTGTATTAGACTATTCTTGCATAGCTATAAAAAACCTAAGACTGGATAATTTATAAAGAAAAGAAGTTTAATTGGCTCATGGTTCTGCACACTGTATAGGAAACATAGCACCAACGTTGCTCAACTTCTAGAGAGGCCTCAGGGAGCTTTTACTTATTGTGGAAAGCAAAGCAGGAGCTTGTACACCATATGGCAAAAGAAAGAGAGAGCAGGGGAAGAAAGTGCCATATGCTTTCAAGCGGTCAGATCTCATGTGAACTCAGAGCAGCAGTTCACTTATTATCAAGGGGATAGCCCAAGAATTTCATGAGGGATCTGCCCCCGGGACCCAAACACCTCCTAAAAGGCCCCATCTCAAACATTGGGGATTACATTTCAACATGAAATTTGGGTGGAAACTAATATTCAAACTGTATCACTAACCATCTTTCCAGAAAACTATACATACACTCCATTAGAGGACCTTAAACTGAGAATTTTTAAGAATTCTCCAGGTGACAATCATTGGAGTGTGACTACTAACCCATGAATATCACATCAAATCGATGATGACACTAAGTAGACAGCTTCCACCCAAATTGACAGAACAAGGTTTCTTTTCTGATATATTTTCTCTTCTCTTCCTCCTTACTTTACTGATAATCTTACTAGTTATATTATGTTGGCCTTCTCAAACGTTGTAAACATCATGTGTATATTAACTTATTGGTAGACTTCCTTGAAGACTAGTAGAACCAAAATTGGGAACTACTAGTTTAAGTAATTTGACCAAAGTTACATCCTAAGATTTGGGAATGAACATGAATTCATTAAAACATACACAGTTGAATCAATTTTAGTGTTTCTGTACAATGAAATACCATGTAGCTGTGGTTGTCTCAAGAGAGAAGACAAGGCCATGGAGACAAAGGGAACTGATTGAATCGGTGTCCAAGAAAATTTACTAAGGTGATGGAAATTTTCTAAATCTCAATTGTCGTGTTGGTTACATAGATATATATAGTTATAAGTTGTAATTGAACAGTAACTTTAAAATCTGTTCATTTTGCTGAACGTATTTATACCTCAATAAATTTTTCATTCTATCTTAAAAATCAAATAGATGTATATATTTAGAAAAAACCCAACTAATAGAACAGTATTACAGTATCATATCATTTTTTAAAGATCACACACACACACACACATGCACACACATACATATATATATATATATATATATATATATATATATATATATATACACATTTGCTTTTACATGTATAAAAAATTCCTGGAATTATCAAAAGAAAATAAGTGGACATGTCTAGGGAACAAAAAAGTGCATTGAGAGGAGAGAACCCGGACTTTTTACCTTAACCCCTTTGTTTGATTCTTTATAGAGAAGGTATGTTTCTGTAATTCAAAAAATTAATTAGCATCATTCATACATTGCTAGTGGGAATGACATAAATACTCTGGAAAATGGTTTGGCAGTTTGTCATAAAACTAAACATGCATGTATATAACCTGAAAGTTGCACTCCTAGGCATGTATCCTGAAGACATAAAAATTTATATTTAAGCCAAATACTGTGCATGAATATCCATGGTTTAATTTGTAACAGTAAAAAACTGGAAACAATCCTAATGCTTTTCAATGGGTGACTGGTTAAACACACTGTGGAGCATCCACTCAGCAAAGAAGAGTAAACTATTCATGCATGCAACAACCTGAGTGAATCTCCAGAGAATTTGCTGAGAAGAAACAGCCAATCTCAAAAGGTTATGTACTATGTGATTCTATTTATATAACATTCTTGAACTAAAATTATAGAGTTGAAAAACAGATTAGAGGTTGCCGAGGATCTGAAGGGAGATGAGGGGAGATGGCCATAGTCATAAAGGGATAACACAGAAGTCTTGTGATGATTGAAAAGCTCTATGTCTTCATCATGATGGTGTTTATATGAATCTACACATGTAATAGAATTCCATAGACACACACACACACACACACACACACACAAATGCATGTAAACTGATTAAATCTAAATAAGTTCTGTGGATTGTACTAATGTAGATTTCCTGATTTTGGTATTGTATTATATTATGCAAAAATGTTACCATAAGGGTGCAGAGGAGTTCCCTGTATATTTTATGAAATTTCTTATGAACCTATAGTTACTTTAAAATAAAAAGTATTTAAATAATTAATTAAATACATATCTAGACCGGAAGTTTGGAAGGTTCCTTGAGTGTTAGTGAGTAGGTTAAGACAAGGCATTACATTCCCTTAACATTCCTACATTTTGGTCCCCATAGAAATCAAACAAAATGTAAAAAATTTATTTACTATTTCTTTTGCTCCAGACTGAATTCCAAACATGTTTTCTGGGAATGTTAAGAAGTGTTAGTTGAAGATGAAAATGTTCTGATAAATTTGGTAAGCACTGATTGAATGAGTTGTACTCATTTTCTGTCGCACCATAACAATACCACAAACAGTATCAGAAAACAGCAAAATGTACTACCCCACAGTTTCTGAGGGTTAGAATTCACAGTGAACTAGACTTTGTCCTCTGCTTAGGGTCTCATAAGGTCAAAAGCTCAGTGTCAGCAGAGCTGTAGTCCTTGATGGAGTAAAATAAATAAGGAAAGGGGAGAAAACCTGGGTAAGTGTTACAATTTTAAGTTGTGCATGCCCACTGAGAAGTTAATATTTTCACCAAGACTAGAAGGGTGTATCATTGTGGGTTTCTGAAAGAACAAGGTTATCAGTAAAAGCCCGATTTTGGGTATGCATTTGGTATGTCTGAGGAGCAGTAAGGATAGTATGACCAGAACTAAGCAAGTGAGGAAAAGTGTAGTAGGAAATTATGTCAAAAAGTTCATGGGGTGCCAAATTGTATACACCCTTATAGTCCACTGTAAAAATATCATGAAATTAAACAGCCATTGAAGGGGTTTAAGCAGAGTTGTGACATAATATTACTTATATTTTAACAGGCTCATTCTGACTGCTATTCTGAGAATACAGTAAACAAGAAAATAGCAGAAGTAAGTAGACCAGTTAGGGGGTTAATGTGACAATTGACAAGAGAGGGCCAAGGTGATAATGATAGAAGTGATAAAAGGAGACTGGATGCAGTGGCTCATGCCTGAAACCTCAGCACTTTGTAAGGCTGAGGCAGGAGGATAACCTGAAGCCAGGAATGTAAAATCAGCCTGGACAACATAATGAGATAGGCGTTCAAGGCCAAAAAAGTGAGCTATGATCACGCTACTGCACCTCAACCTGGGCAACAGAGCAAGATTGTGTCTCTATTTTTTAAAAAACCAGTGGTAAAAAAAAGGTCAGATTCTGGATATCTTGAAGGTAAATGTAATGTGGCCTGCCTGGAACAGTGCCTAACACAAAGTAGACTTTAAAAACAACACATTTATTAAAGGAAAAATACACAAAAAAATGTAAAATGTTGTTAACTCTGGGAAAGAAAACTCAAAATCTTGAATCAGGCATGGTACAGAGACTTATTTTTAACTCTATACATGTTTACACCTGTTTCCCAAAAACAATTTAAAGATATGATTAGACCAATAAGAAAAGTTATTTCAATTCCTATATGCATTGAACTTGATGTGGGAAGTCAGTCCTATAGCTGGAGAAAGGAGTATATCTCTTATACTCCCAAAAAAGTGAAAGAGATTATCCTAATTAAAGAACGAAGAAAATTCTATATTGGTTTTTCTTCATCAAAGAAGAGATCACCCTATTCCTTCCCTGTGAGATAATCCTCTGACAAACTTTCCATAAGGAGGAACTCTTATAACAAGAGACACCTCTCTATCGTGGTAGTAGAGAATCCAGCCAAATACCCTACATTGTAATCCTTCAAGCAAGCAAGTGGAAATGACAAAGCACTGCAACCTGTGATTTGGACTACTTTTAATTTCATATGCTTCGTGAATTCCCTTTTTCTACTTAGAATTTGCGAACCTCTTTTGAAGATTGCCACCCAATTCAGCTAAGAAAAAGATAGCTTGTCTATATTTGCGCATTCAAGGAGAGCACCGTCTCCGCCATGGAGACCAGTGTAATAAAATAAGGAAGTCCACCCCAAAGGGAAGCCGAGACTCTGTGAATGGGGGCAAGAAAGACTGACCAACCATCTATTCTTTCTGGAAAGCCTTTTTCCAGAATAAATCTAAGGGCATATACCTGTGATTTTTCAGTAGCAGACATATGTCCTCTAGGTAAGTAAGGATGCAGATCTTCTTGTGACTCTCCTGAAGGGAAGTCTCCTTAGGGTTCTAATGATAATTTACCTCTTTCTTCCCCTCCAGACTGCAAATATTCATTTTCCTTCTTACGTCTACACAAAAAGTGAAAGTTACCATCCCAGTAACCTGTCATCTAAGCAATAAAAAATGTACTAATTTTAACTAAGAAGACAAAGAAAGAAAAACAAAAACCGACAACAATCAAAACCTCAGTACAAGAAGAATATTATTACATCATCAGTGATGAGTGCCTGCTTGAAAGTGCTCACAAAACTGTTACTGATTCACTGACTACAGCTTCTTTTGGCTGCTGCTGTAGTTGACCGTAGGCCAGCATATATGCCCCCAATTGTAGCTCAGAAAGGAAACTCATAGGTTGGTGCCTCTGGTAAAGTAAACTAGTAATCTAATAATCAATGAGCTCACTGTCTCCAAGAGTTTGTTAGGATCATATTTATAGTTCCTATGGTACTAGAAGGCTGTCCCTCCAAAATGCCCCTGCTTATTTATTCACTGGTCAGTCTAATTATGTGATAAAATCGCAGATGAAATCACTACTAAGCAAGGAAGAGGCAGTGAGGTCCACTATGTTGGCCAAACTTCAAACATCAGGAGAAGGCTTGGATCAGGTACTGCCATTTTGAAACACTGATTTTGTTAGTAGCTGAGGGATGTCAGGAGCCAAGATTATCCAAAACACTGCTGCATTAGCAACACACAAAACCTGTATCTTACCACAAGAAAAATGTGTTTCTTGCTCATGGTACAGTCCAATGAGTTAGGGGTAGGGAATTCAGAGAAAGTTCTCTTTTACACAGTAGTTTAGGAACCCAGACCACATCATCCACCGGGAACTTGAGTCCCCTGCAAAATGCTGAAAGAATGTAAAGAATTGCATGAGTTTTACGGGACAGACCTGAAAGTAGCATATACCTGTATACATGTGATTGCGTTTGCTTTCCCCATCTTCCACATGATCACATGACAAAGGGAAAGTAAGAGAGTCTAGGAAGCCAAATTCACTTGTACAGCAACCAGCTATCCCAATCTCTGGTAACTAACCCAGGAGGACTCACTCACTCCCACAGGAGGGCATTAATCTATTCATGAGGGATCCACCCCCATGACAAAAACACCTCCTACTAGGCCCCAGGTCCCAACTCTGCCACACTGGGAAACAAATTTCAACTTGAGTTTTGGTGGGGACAAACCATATCCAGCTCTCATGGGGGATCCTTGTATGAAACTGGTCTGGATAATGATAATGATAATGATAATAAATGTAGGGCACTCTAAAGAATGAGGTGACGTATCCAGAGTCAACTAGTATGGGGACTCCTGCTGCACCAGACCCTACCCAGCTGCCTCAAAGAATAAGAAGTCAATAACTCAGTCTCCTGTAACCCAACAGCAGCACATCTGTTAGAAGTGTGCCTTGGATCATATAGATGTATTTAAAAGAGGAAGGTCAGAAGCCCAAAACCTCCCCTTTCTATCCTTTTTACAAAGTTGTTCCACAGTGGATAATTGTAATTTCTGGAGAGAAGACAGCATTCCAGACAAAATTAGAAAAATGTCTTTTAAAATTTCATTAAACTTCGATTAATCATGTATTCAGAAAAAAATACACAGGAAATATGCAGCTACTTAATAACTCATGAATATAAATCAGAGACATTAAATTGCTCTTTAAACAAATATTTGGACACTCATAGTTATCAATAATTATATAGCTTATCTGACACAAAGGAAAATTAAAGGAAGCAGTTTGGGCTTGAGATTCATTTAACTTTCAGTGGGCTTTTTTCTTTAAAAGATGAGCCCAAAAAAATGGCTGCCTAAATGACTATATCTGGAGAGTTTCCCTATGATCCTGCTTGGCAAAAGATAGTTCCTGCCTTGACCTTCTGCGGTTTCTGAAATTCTACTTGTCACTTCTTTGGGTGAATTCAAAGATGTTCTTGTTTATTAGGACTCAGTAACTGTCATAAATTCAAATTAACACTTTTGGGTAGTTCATTTTTCAGAAACCTGAGTATTGAGAAAATGAGACACATGGTAATCCGAGTAAGAGCTACATTGCTAACCTCGATAGAGGTCTCAGGTTATTTTCTGTGACCCCATCTTGATCCATTTTGGATCAAGAACAAAAACACTGAAGAGCTTTAGAAGACAGACTGGATGGAGGGGTTAGGTGGGGAGAGGTCTGAAGGGAGATCTTAGTAACACATAATGTTGGAGCAAAAGTCATTGTGGTTTTTGCTATAATGGCAAAACCACAATTACTTTTGCACCAACTTAATAGAAGCCCTGTTTCTTCTTGAAGAAAGTCATTTTTGAATTTTTTTTTTTGTCCAGGAGAGGTTATTTTTCTATTGTACTTCTTCTCTCTTTGATCTTCTTTTGGGAAATCTCATTCTTTCTCTTACTCTATTCTTCACTTCAGTCTTCCTTTTTTTTTTTTTTTTCCTCTTAGTGTTCAACTACCAAGAAGTAGGTATGGAGCATAGGGTCTGGGGTCTCCTCAGGCATGAGAGAAGGGAATGAGAGTAGGTGAGGTCAAGGACTACCATGAGTTTGCACCCCAGCACCCACTCCACCTTCTCCTCTCTGAATCCAACATGGTTAGAGTGAGGTTAATCATATTCCTCTGCCCAGTCCTGCTAAATCAGAATATATCCATCCCACTGGCCAAAAAGACATGCTCAGAAATGAACTCTATGGCAATGAAGCTGAATCCCAAGACTTCTCTGGGATTGTTAAACTGTGGGGTATGAGTGATGGCCTGCCTGAAGCTACTGCAAGGAAAGAGATGCTTGATAAAAAGTATCCATGAAGGAAAACAGAACAGAGATCTTTGGATACTAAAACTAAAGTCATGATTTGGTACCCTGGATCCAGCCACGCCTGAAGCCAGAAAGAACTACCTCAGTAATTTATGTGTTTCTGAAAATACTCATTTTAAAGAACACAAAATGTTTAAGCATTCTGACATTTGGAGCCAGGAACCTCAAGTGATAAAACTATCAGTGTCCCTTCTACAAAAGATGGTCTGTAATTCAGATCAGGGAAATGAATATTGACTCATCTGGCCCAGACCACAAGGGATGAAAGCCATGCACAAATTTAGGGTAAAAAAAGAAAGAACCAGCTCCCACGAAGGATTCTTGCATAAAACTGGTATGGATCTTAACTATTGCAGTGGTTGCATAAACATGCACTTGTGATAAAATTGCATAGAACCAAATCAACACACAAATATGCAAAAGTACATAAAACTAGTGAAATCTGAATAGGGTCAGTGAATTACAAGAATGTCAATTTCCTGGTTGTGATATCATACCATAGTTAAGCAAGATGTTACCTTATGGGGGAAACTAAATGAAGGGTACACAGGATCTCTCTATATTATTTCTTACAAGGAGTTGTAAGAAACATGATGTGTGAATCTACAATTATTTGAAATTTTTTTTAAATGTTAAGAAAATACTTATAAAATGGAGTTGACATTCTCCTAGATCTGCTTCATGTGTATGTTATCCCAGAACATCACAGGAGTGACAATGACCAACATGATAAGAGGTACAGAGTGGGAGAAGTTTAGATCTTAACCACACGCATCATGATTAATAATTTAGAAAAACATATTAAATCTCTATCATTTATAATAGTCCTGTATTAGTTTTCAACGATTCATAAGAAATTGCCACAAACTAGGTGATTGAAACAGCACATATTTTTTATGTGACAGTCTGTGGTTCAGGGGTTCCTTGTGAGACCCTCACCTTAATCTCTGCCTCTGATGGAGCTTGTGGTGTTCAAAGATGCCAACACTAGTTCATATAAGTCCATCACATGACATATGACAACATATTTTGATAATTGCTTATGTGTAGGTTTTCCCCCCAATAAATGGTGATTCTTGAGAGCAGGGGCTATGTCCTACAACTTTCTGTATCCCAGGGTCTAATGTGGAGCATGGCTCACAGTTGGTGCTCAATAAATGCTATTAAATGCCACCGATTAAGCTTTCTGCAGATCTCAACTAGGAGAAGGAGTGAATAGAGGAAGCTTGCACACGTTGCAATACATCGCTCCTCCCAGTTCTCTTATCCTGTTTTCGGGAAAACTTTATTCCTATCTCCCAGGGAGGCTAAGTAATTAGGAAACTGCCTTCAGCCACTGCCTGGAGCCTTGGGCCTTCCCACTAAGTTTAGCTCACTTTCCTTCACTGTCTCATTCTTTTCCTTCCCTCTCAGCAGAAGCCAGCCAACAGGACTGGCAAAACCCAATGGCATGTACATTTTCAGAACTGACTGAAATAGAGGACAGTGAAAGCCCAATATCCCTTTGGGAAAGGAATTTCCTCACTTTTCAAAGCTCACATCATTTCCACCACCTATAAATGCCCCAGTTTCCAGTTCCCTCAGTTGAAATCTTTAGATGTCAATTGTAATGCACCTTATAACTCAGTTACATCTTTTTCTCCCTCTTTCACCAAAGTCAAAATTAAAGAACCTCCCTAGTACCTGAGATTTCACCTCTAGATGTTAATAATTCTGTACATATTTATTGAGTATTGCATGCAAAGTGGAGTGTTACAGGCTGTGGGAGAGGCCAGAATAAATAACATTTATGGAAGCAGAGAATGTCATATTTGGAAGGGGCTTTGGGAAGCATCAAAACTCCTATTCCAGAGAAGAAAACCGAGACCCCCGAGGAGCAGAATTTTGTACCTAGGCTGGTTTCTGCGGCGAAGGAGCTTATAGTCCTTCGGGGAGACAAAGGATATATACAGAGAAAATTAGGGAGCAACATCATAAAGGTTCTGGGTCTCTATAGGCTAGTGAATAATTCAAAGAACAAACGTGGACTTCAGATGACTGTTCATCAGCATCAGCAGCAGTAGCACCAACTTCACTAAAAGCTATTGCATGCTACTAAATGCCAGATACTCTAAGTGCTTTACAGGTATTCTTCTATTTAATCTTCTCCCTAAATGTAAAAAAAGGTTATGGTTAACTCATCTCAAAGATAAGAAGTTGAGGTTCTGAAGGTTACGTTTTAAGGCTCTGGAGTCAAAATTTGTTTGCATCTTTTTTTACACTGCGAGCATTTCTTAGCCTAAGATTCTATTTACTGATCTGTTCAGTGGGGAGACAGAAGCCATTAAGTTGCTGTTAGAGTAACCTGAGTTAGTGAGTGAGAAGTGCTTAATAGCAAGCCTGGCCCGCTGTTGGTGCTCCTTTGAAGTCAGCTATTAGCATTCTTGTCGTTATGTTGTTGTCATCACTATTGTAGTTTGTTTTTGTCAATGACTGGAGTGGGCTTTGAGCTGTACCATTAGGAAATAGCAAAATGCAACTTGGAAGAACATAAAGACGGTGCATTTTTAAAAAGGTTGATATGATTAATAACGCTAATGTTATGATAACAGCAAACACTTCTATGCATTCACTATGTGTCTAGCAATGTATATTTAGGAGACAGTGATTAGAGTTGGGTGTCTGGAATAAAAAGTTTATTGTGAAGGAGATCTAAGCAAGAAGGTGGAAACTCATTATAGAAAACATTGATTCCCAGCAAGGAACTCTGAACTTAAAGTTGCAAAGTGTGTGGTTCAGAGGCAGTGCCCCCTCCTCACCTGAAGGGGAGAGACAGCTTAGCCCCTGGGGCTATCCCAGCAAGGTAATGGGGATGTCTTTAAACAGGAGGAAGTGAGGTAGAAAGTACATCAGAATCGTCTTAGGAGAGTGTCAGAGACAGCCAGAGTGGCATCTGCAAAACAGGCCCCAGAGCAGTGGGCCCATGGGAAAAGTGTCAGAGCCCAGGAATGCTTTAGGCAGGGCTGAATGTCAGTAGAGAAGGCAGATGGGGAAGTTACGAGTTGACATGAGAGGTGTCAGGGTGCACTCTGCATGTTTTCTGAGATGGGCAATTGTCCAATGCCTGCAGTATGCATTATGTGGATCATCTAGTCTATTTAAAAGATTAAAGTAGGATAAAAGAGGAAGAACAAGGGCTGTGATGCCAACATTTATTCATTCATTTATTATTTTATTCACTTATTCTCTTGACATTTAATGAGCACCTACTAGGTGGTTGGCCCAAGGTGGCTGGAAAATTAATGAGAAACAAGAACAACATGGTAATCAACAAGAGGCCTGGCACTGTATCAGGCCTGTTAGACAAGCTAATTATTCCTAGTTCCATAAACAATCCTACTGTTTGGGCTCTATTGTTACCATTTGTTGAGAGAAATTACTTTCAACAATGGGGTGATGACTAGGGCTCAGAGTAGTGATATAACTTCTCCAAGAGTAGTAAGAAATAGTTCATCCAGGATTTAACTCAGCCAGTTGATTCAAACATTAGAAGAAAAATTAAAGAAAGAGAAGAAGAAAGAATCTCCCCAGTTTACATTCTCAGAATCTCCCAGCAGCTCATTTCTAAAGTGGCTGTGGTTAAATTTAGCAGCTGACAATTGCTTCCCAGTCTAGTGTGCAAGGCTGACTGCGAGATTTTAAGATGCTGCTCTTTGATTAGGAGAATCAAAACAGGCTGCTGAGCCACCCTAGCCCAGCACGATGGGGGCTGGATTGAGGAGTGAGTCAGTCAGGAAGCCATTGTCAATGTCAAGCACAAACATCCCAGAATAGCTGCCCACTGGGCATGAGACTTCAGTGGCTGCCCCATGACTGCCAGCCTGTGAATTGGAGATGGCAGTGAGCTTGACAAGAAGGGTCTGAACCAAAAATAATCCCTGTTGGCTCCAGAAGGCTCCTGGAGAAATGAGAGCTTCAGGTAGGAGCAAATTGGAAGTACTGGAACCGATGAATTCAGTGTGGATTGAAAGGAGCTCCATCCTGTGTGCTACCCATGACCAAGGCACAGGACATGTTTGACCTGATATTGTCTCGGGAATTGCAAGGGGCTTTTTTAGAAAATTTAATCTGCCAACATAAGGTCCTAGGCAAAAAAGAATATGAGACTGATCAGATTCAGGAACTAAAATGCTCATTAATCATGAGAAACAAAGTAGATTTACATTTAAAATAAAAAAGAGAGAGATAGGCTTTCTGACACTGAATACTTAAAGAGGATTTACAAAGTGTTAGGCAAAGGATTTGGTGCTGGAGATACAATGATAAACAATGCATCATTAAATACTGAGTTTCCACAAATTCCAAGCTCCTTAACTATATACTAAGGGGTTCTACTTTTGGGAGGATGCATAGTGTTTTAGTTAGGATTCCTTGGGTCAAAAGAAAAGAAACACAACTCCAACTGGATTAGGGGAAACAAAAGAGGATGTTTTACACTCATGTAATGAAAGTCCAGAGTTAGGATGTCTTCAGGTATGGCCTGATCTAGGGGACCTAGGATTCCAGCACTCACTGAGGTGGCTACTATCTTGAAAATATATAAACAGGCAAAAATAGAACAAATTGAAATAAAAATGTTACTGGCCTTCACTTACTATACCTTGCACAGGTGGGAGTTATGGATGGCAGATCAGAAAGCAGCCACTCATCTGTAAAATGTGAATAACATTAGCTCTTAGCCCAAAGAGTTATGAATATTAAATAAAATGATGCTTTTTGAGCACCAGATTCTAAGGAAATTTCTTGTAAATGTAAGCTAGTTATTATTATTGTTATATTTCAGGGTTCTAGGTTCAAATTTTTGTGTGACTCAATGCTATTACATAGACAGATAAATCTACTTTTCTCTGCAAAATTTTCAATAGCCACATGCTGGGCTTGGCCACTCTTTCTCTGGGTTGGAAGATTTTTCTTTCTTTTTTATGTTTGTCTCACAGCTATTGATATTCAGTTTTATATCCCATACTCCTAAAGCATTATATATACCTGTTTCCACACTAGTACTCATTACCTTGAATTGCAGTTAATTATCTTCCCATTAAGATTCTGAACAACTCAAGGGCAAGGGCTCAGTCTCATTCATCTTTGTATTATCATGTTTCACAGAATGTCTAGTATGTCATTGGTATTTAATATTTGGAAAGCTAATTAAAAAGAATGAATATTAATTAATCCATCTCTTGTTTAATACAGTAACTAACACAAGGAAGCAAAAGCAACACCTAATGAATTTCCATAGTGTGCCAGGCATTGTGGTCTGCAAGTTATGACTGTTATGTTGTTCATTCTCTTTTTCAGTAAGGATTGAATGCATTTGGTACATGTATATGCCAACTGAGAATGGCTTACACAAATAGAATTTATTGTTCTTCTATTTTATAGGTGAGAAATTGCTGGCTTTACTTCTACAAGGAGTAGTGTGCTATCTTTCTGGTCTGCTAGCCTTGGCTTTGTCCCCAAGATTGTAAGATGGCTACTAGCTCCAGACAACACTTCCACATTCAAAGCAAAAAGATAATGCACCATTCCTTTCAGCACCCCTTTTTCCCCCTAGGAAATAAAAAGTTACCCCTAGGGACTCACAATAGAACACTATCTATTTCCCATCTGCCACCCCTACTGCATAGGAGGCTGAGGAAGCATGAGTATTTAGTTGGATGCATTGTTGCTCCGAACAAATAGGCAAATTTCTCAATTGGAAAAAAAGCAGAATGGATATTAGGAAGTCTTAAGAGTGTCTGCCACACTTCATGAAAACCTAATGGAATTGGCATTATTGCCTCAATTTCCCAAATGCAGAAACCAAAGTGGAGGAGTATATCAACATATGCACTTCAAGTAGCAAGTTCATGGAAAGCTGCCATTCAGGACTAGGTTCATCGACCCAGAATTCACGGTCTTTGTTGTAAGCCACACTCAAAATGGACATTTCTCAAAAGAAGACATACAGGCCAACATGTATATGGAAAAAAAAGATGCTTAACTAACTAGAAGGGAAATGCAAATTAAAATCTCACTCCACCTAAAATGGCTTTTATCAAAAAGACAAAAAATAATGGATGCTGGTAAGGATGCCAAGAAAGGGGAACCCTCATACATTTTTGTTGGGAATGTAAATTAGTACATCCACTATGGAAAACAGTAGAGAGATCCCTTTAAAAAAAAATAGTACTACGGCATAATCCAGCAATCCCACTGCTGAATATATGTCCAAAAGAAAGTAAATCAATATATTAAAGTGATATACCTGCATTCCCATGTTTATTACAGCACTATTCACAATAGCCAAGCTATGGAATCAACCTAAGCACCATTAATAGAAAAACTAAAAAGGAAATGTGGTATAAACACACAATGGAATATTATTCAGCCATTAAAAAATAATAAAATATTGTCATTTGCAGCAACATGGATGGAATTGGAGGACATTATGTTAAGTGAAATAAGCCAGGCATGGAAAGGTAAATAATGCATGTTCTCACTTACACGCGGGAGCTAAAAAAGTGGATCTCATCGATACAGAGGGTTGATTGGTGGATATCAGAGGCTGGGAAGGGGAGTAGGGAAGGGAGAGGGAAAAAGTTAATTAATGGGTACAAAAATTGTTATATAGAAAGAATAAAATCTAGTTTTGATAGTACAGTAGGGTGACTATAGTTAACAAGAATCTATTATATAGTTAAAGTAGTTAGAAGAGAAGAATTGCCATTTTTGCAACATAGAGAAAAGATAAATGTTTGAGGTAATGATATCCCAACTACCCTGATCTAATCATTATATATTACATCCTTGTATCAAAATATCACATGTACCCCCAGAATATGTACAACTATTATGTATCAATGAAAACGAGGAAAAGAAACATACATCTAAATGTTTGTTTATATATGTTTAAAACAAGCAAGATTTCAGCTTACAATTTTCTTATTTTGTAGGAAGAGGTTGTTTACCAAAGGAGGCAAACCCTTGACCTTCCTGCAATAGGCATCGAACGTGGACAAAATTAGCTGCTGCCCTTGTTTCCTGCATGTGTTGTAAACCAGTCTCATCAAATGTTTAACTAAATGTCAATCCAGTCTACCTCACTGCAGTATATGTTCAGCCTAAATTTTGCGAGTTGAAATGGATGACAATGAGGCTGTAAGAATTGTGCAGAGCAAATAAACCATCCAGTTTGACAAAAATAAAAGCTTAATCCTGCTCATTTGAAGAAAACTTTGGATGAGTCTATTCAGCTGGAACCTCCTAAGAGCTTAGAGAACTAAAATGCCTTTGTGGCCTTTCTAATCCATTTTTAGTTTTTGAGTAAAATTAATAACATAAATACCTTGGAGTTATAAGCTGCTTTCCTTCCTATGGTTATGAGATTCTTTCTCATATATATTCCCCATCTGTCTTCCCCAAAGCCTGGTGTACTTTATGAAGATAAGAATAATTGTATCTATTTTGCAGATCAAGGAATTAAGACACAGAGATGTGCAGTTACTTGGGAAAGGACATCTATCAAGATTAATGTCGCTTTCTCACTTGTAAATTCTTATTAGGCTTTGTCCCAAACAAAGAAAAAACTCTTGATTTATTTACTCCAGAGCTTCTGGTTCTTAGAAACATACTTGCTGTTGTTTCTGTAAGAATTAACAGGAGGAGTCGTGTTGTGGTCTGGCAGCACCTGGCCAAGACCCGTATGTAAAAGTTTGCTCAGGAAATTTCCTTCCCTCCAGTCCAACTCTCTCCCACCTGAGACAAATTTTGTGGACTCAATCTCCTCAAGATTTTACTCTCTGAGAGTTTCATACTCTTTAAGGAATGTTGAGAAGGGTAGAAACACCCTCTACCAGCCCTTTCCTGAGAAGGCAGAGTGTTGAGAGAAGGTCCTACTCATGCAATAGGAGTAGGAACATTGAGGAAAAGGAGAAGAGTTCTGCCCACCCTGCCCACTTGTCACCTGGTGAAGATAAATGTATTTCCTACAGCATAGTGGAAAGAGCATATGCTTTTAGAAAGGGCAAGACTGAGTTCAGATCCTAGTCCTGATTCTTGCTAGCTGTGGGTCCCCTACCTAAGCCGCTTATCACTTTTCTTGGTGTCACTTGTCACATCTGTGAAAGGGTGGGTCATAAGACGAGGCTTACAGACAGGTATTGCAAAGATTGCCTGAGATCATAGATAAAAAGCCCAGTAGGTACTGATTGCTTTTACCAGTGTTCCATGAAAAAAGGGAGATGTAGCTGCTATCATCTGCTGAACTTGTCCTTAGAGGCTGAAAGAGGGTCAGGCTCCAGACTGAGGATCTCCAGGTTGGATGGCTGGAAGTTGATACTGATCAAAATAAATCATCCTATGGGAGGATGGAGAATCAGCCTTGATGGAAATAAGGGATGAGCACACCGTGAACACAGACCTGGAAGAAGGAGGTGGTCAGGCTCAACAGAAATGGCTGGAAATTAAGCCTGTTCAAAGCACCCCTCTCTCGTTCCCTCCACTTTCCTCCTCTAATCCCTCCTATACTGATACTGCCCTCCTCCTGTTTTCCTAAACATTGCCCCACGCTTCTTCCACTTAAAACAACTCCATCAAGAATATCTGCCAGATGGAGCAGAACTGGCTCCTAGGGAAATACAAATGACTGAAAAGCATTAAAAGCAATTTCAATATTCCTAGGAACCTGGGAAATGGGAATTTAAACAATAAGATATCTCAAGAGAGCTTAAAGTGGGGAGGGAGGTGGCCAAAATGCTTTCTAAACAAATAAACATTTGTTTGTTTACAGTTTTAATGTCGAATATAGGTAGCTCTCTCTGAGTGTGTCTCAAGATATAGATAATTCAAATTGCTGGTTTTCTTTTCTTTAAATACTGAAATCATGTAGTATACCAACAAACATGCAGATATTTCTTTCCCTAAAAACAGCATACCAAAACCACAAGCAAGAATCCAATTCCTCATGTGGGAGGCAAAAGGGTAAGGGGTAAAGAGGTGAAGAGGCTCACTCGAGGTCTTTCCCGGTTAATGAGCAGTGAAACTAGATTGAATTGCAAAGGACCTGCCTCCTCTCTCAGGTTCCTTACTGAGAGCCAATGTATGGAAACATATTGCAAAGTACTAGATTGTTTTCCTCCTTCCTTACTCCCTCGACAGAGTCAAATGACTCCAAATAAAAATGTCATCTAGATCAAAATATTAGACATGTATTAAGACATCTAAAATTGCACAGAGAACAAAGTATATCAAGTAATGTATTTTCTGGCTCCCTCTCAGGACTGTCATCAAAACAGTGGAGAAGCCGTTTCCCACCTCCCACATTAATTCCACCATCATCAGAACATAGTTTTAAATGTGCCTTTGCCAAATTGGAATTTGTGGAATTATGAGCAGAAATGAGTGTGCTGTCAGCTGCTGGGGTTTCAGAGTAAGAGGTGTGTGTCATTTTGGCAAGACAGCCTAGGGATCCCTGGGTTTCCACCTAACTGGAAAATGGCCAAAGGCTAAAATTTTTCCTTTGCCTTCTACACCCAGTTAGCATCATAGGAAAGTCTTTCCAATTCTCTCAGCCAAAACAAACAAACGAACAAAATATCAACTCTTCCCTACTCCAGACATATACAGTGCCTACTACTAGTGTCTTCCAAAGGCCTTTTAACAGCAGGAGATGGTTTAGAATAATGAAAAGGAAATGTGCATTGAAATCAGAACTAGGTGTACATTCATGGCCCATTGCTCATTCATATGAACTTGGCAGTCTTACTGTCTCTGATAGGCATAGCATAGAAGTCACTAGCTGTGAATGTTTACACTTGCTGGTTAATTCTGGGTGATGTAATTAGACAAACACAACCCCTCCACATTTTAGTCAAAAAGTCATTTGATGACAATTTGAGAAAGGAACATGATTTCTGGCTGTTGTCTGAAAGCTTTTTGCCTCTTGGTAAATGATAAAACTGAGTCAAGTACAATCAAAGAAGAACCAAGGAATTGAGTCCCACGATAGAAGTGTCCATGTTCATGGAGGAAGCTGCAAATTGCAGAGGTGACAGTGGATTCCACCTGGGAATGGACAGTCCAGAGCAACTGCTCAATAACTTCAGCAATCCCACCATAGGGAGGTGATTCTACCTTGCAGAAAGACTCAGAATTGGTGCCTGGTATGGGGCAATATAGAAAGGTGTCTAAGGACCTTGCTTTTTTCAAGGTCTCTCACAGCCAAAGGTTCTTTCAGACCATGGAGGAAATGGCCAGTGTCTCAGCCCCAGTGATGCCAAATCTGCCAAGGCTTTTATAGAACAGTCTAGATCCTTTGATGATCACTGAGATATTGAAGAGGAAGAATGTACAAGAACATTTTCCATAATATTGAAGTCCTACACAGTACTGCTAGAAAACAAAGCCACCAAAAAAGCAAATATTTGGGATATTTTTGTTCTTAAAACCATCACAAATTTCCCAAGTGATAGAAAACTGTGATAGAGAGTTTAAAATGATCTTGGCTGGACCTAAAATAAAGAATCCCAACTCTCTAAACAAGAATATTAAGTTGCATAAGTCAGAAGACACTAGGACGTAAATCTATAAACATGGTTCTCTTTGAACAACAATCCAACTTTATAAGTTTTAAAATAAATTATGCAGGACTTCAGGAAACTTTCTCCAAACACTGATCAGTTGTATTACAAATCCCTTTCACTAAAAATCAGCTCTGCAACAATATGGGCAATGTATGCTTCCCCCTCCCCCCTTAAACTCTAAAATCAATATATTAAGCTACTAGCTTACTATGAAAATTACATGTACTTCAGAGATAATACATTTAATTTCCATAAGCTAGCCAGATGCAAAGTCAAATAACACATTCTGGGGAACAAGCAATCACATCAAGAAACTTTTTATGCAGTGGAATGTTGAATTGCATTGAATAAAACCCTTATGTATTCCTATTCATAATATCCTCATATCCTTATACAAGAAGAAATAATTCTGGGACCAAGTCTCCGTCTCCTCTGATCAGGGTTTGGCTGGGAAATTCCTATAGCTCCTTCCTTAGTTTTTCCTTTGCTATGCTTTGGGTAGCTGAACAACTATGTTTCTGAGACATATTATCTCTTTAATGTTATATTAATGCTTTAAATTAGGTTAGAGTCAAGATCTTTTGGCCTAATAGACATCGTGTCCATGTAAAAGAGCATTGCATTGTTTTCTCTCATTAATTACATATTGATTTCCCAGTTAAACTCTCAGAGGCAATCTTAGGTTTCTTTTTCCAGATCATGGGGACCCAAAGCTACTTTAGGATTGACCGTGGGATCATGGAAGACTGAAACAAGAGGCAAGAGCATAGTGCTGCTGGCCATGTTCCTATTTTTCACACTAAGATGTAAAAGACTCCCAGGAAAATTGGAACAATTGAATAGAAAGTAAAGTCAAGGGGAAGGAAAAAAAAGGACAAAAAGAGAGAGAGAGAGAAAGAGAAAAGAAGGGAAAAGGAGGGGAGGGGAGGGAAGGGGAGGTACAATCACCTATAAGGTACTTACTCCCACTTATTGCCATTTTCTTTATGAGAAAACTGAGGCTTAGAGAACTTAAATAATTTTTCCATAGGTTATGAAGTTAAGAGGCAAAGTTAAGGTTCAGACCTAAGGAGTCTTATTCCAAACTTTCTCTCTTACCATGATAGAAGTTATACCATCCCCCCATCAGCTCCAACTAGTGTGAGAGGACGCCTTCCTCTTTCCCCCAGTGATGCTATACTTTTACTGGTATCATTACTCTCTGACTAAACCCTGATTTTCCTTTATTTTTATCTTGGTTGTACAAAAACATTTTCCCCAAATAAGTTATTAAGCAATTTCTTCAATAAATAAAAACAATAAAAATTGATCACATTCTTCCCTGACCAGTTAAAGGGATTTCATGTGTAACCATCCACGTCCCCATTATTCCTGCAGAAATCAGTTTTCAGCAACCCTTTCAAGGTATCTTTATGCTCCACAAGTCTTCAAACAAGGTTTGCTAAAGTTGATAATACTTTATCAGCTTCTATATGGAAAAGACAAATCCAGCTCCTAAACATATGGGACACACCCCTGTTCTTATCTTAAATAAAAGCTATCTCAAGCATATCTGATTTTATATTCCTTCTGGTTAATGGGAAAAAATGAAGCATATCATTTAAATAATTCACCAAAATATAAAAGAGGTTACGTGCAGTCCAGGGATACTCACAGGCACTTGGATTAATAGGACTATTAGAAGAGAATTGCCATGATGCCAGGCAAAACTTGAGTTGAGTCCCAGCTCCACTACTAGCTGACTTTGTGGCCTAAGGATAAGGACCAACCTCTTTGAATTGCTACTTTGTACAGATAAAGAAAGTGAAATTATTTTGGTCTCTACTTGCCTGGATATCACATCTGCCCTTTCACACAAGCAGGTTATTCTCTGAATTTTCAAGCACAAACTCCTGAGAACCTGATCAGCTTACCTAGATACTATGATCTCCACTGTAGTCATGGAAAAAGGAAAGATGGTTCAGAAGACAGTCCCTCTTGCTCAAGGAACAAATAAGCATCAATTTCTTTATCAAGAAGTGTGAATGTTGCAGGAATCATGATCTGTCTTCTGAGTATACCAGTGGATAGGCTGTTATAATGGAGCACATAAAATGCATGGATCATAGTAGGTGATCTATAAAAAGTAAATTGTACTGTTTTGAGGGGACTCAAAAATGAATTCCAACTCACAAAAAAATGAATAATAATGTAATTGGTAGCTAACATGTAATTGAGTCCACATTGTATGCCACAGTTCTTTACTCGGGTCTCATTTCATTTTCACAATAACTTGAAAATATTACTATCCTTATTTTATAGAAAAGGAAATTCAGGTTTAGATGATTTATATAACCCACTTAAGGACACACAGCTAATAATCTTGAACCCAGAGCATTTGATTAAAGGGCCCACATCTATGAATCTGCCTGGAAGAAATGAGAGACACTGTCCTGGTTGGGAACTTAGGTTCCATCCCTTTGGCCTTGCCTAAGTCACTTAAACTCTGTGTTCCTTTATATACCCAGAAATGGTCCCCTTCGATGACAGAAGACATTTGATTTACAATGAAAGAATCTGACTTCCAGTCCAAGCAGGCCTCACTACTTCCTGATTGCATGGCTTACCCAAATCTCAAAGGTTCCAAGCCCTAGTTTCTTGAGCTGCAGGTTGGCAGGAATATTACTGTCTATGAGCCTCACTGTTTGGTAGGAGAGTCAGAATCAAAATAAAATACTACATGAGGAACATTGCCTGGGAACCGTTTAAGCTTCATATGAAAATGAGTTATCAAAAATCCATTAGAACTAACATTTTATCTTTTGAAATCCTGCAGCAGTATTCTGTTTAATGATGTTTCTCAGTGAACTTTAAATTATTCATTCTCTCTCATATAAGCCTATTGACTGCCTACAGTGGCCAAGGTTCGTGAGAGGAATAGGAACATAAAGATGAATAAGGCAAGGTTTCTATTCTCAAAATTTTCACAGTATATAGGGAGAAGTGGACAGTAAACAGGCACATTCTGAGGCAATTTGGAAAACGATACATTTGGGGTAGAAACAAATGGGGCAGGTAGGTCTGCGTGGTTACAGAAAGATTCATGGAAAAGGTACATATACGCCATGGAATACTATGTGGCCATATAAAGGAACAAGATCATGTCCTTTGCAGAGACTTGGATGCAACTGGAAGCCATTATTCTCATCTAACTAACACAGGAACAGAAAACCAAACAACGCATGATGTCACTCATGAGTGAGAGCTGAACAATGAAAACACGTGGACACGAGAAAGGGAACAATAGACACTAGGATCTGTTGGGGGTGGGGGGAGGGAGAGCATCAGGATAAATCCCTAATGCATGTAGAACTTAATACCTAAGGTGATGGGTTGATAGGTGCAGCAAACCACCATGGCACACATTTCCCTATGTAACAAACCTACACATCCTGCACATGTATCCTGGAACTTAATATTTTTTAAGTGACATCTCAGTGGGATGGATAACACGTAAAAAAGATGGAAGGAGACAATTTTTCTGTGGGACATTCTCCCAAATATCCTCCAGTGTCCAATCTCTTTTTCTTCCTTTTAGTGGTAGAACCCCCTGGTTTTAGCTGGAAATGTGGCTGCCCAGCAGAATCCATATTTCCCACCTCTTTGCAACTAGGTGTGACCATATGATAATGAGATGTGAGCTCAAGCAATTAGCCCAATGTCCTATTTATCCCCTTAACAAACCAACTGAGTTGGAATGTGGGTATAGAGGAGCCAGCATCAACCTTCAGCAAGGACAACAGCTTGGAAATGGCAGAGCAAGAAGATGGAACAACTCTAGGATCTGATGTCCTTGTGAAAGACAGTTGCCCCTCTAGCTCAGAACCACTTATGTCTGTTTCATAACTGAAAAATAAATTTCTACCTCATATTAGTCTGTTTTCACACTGCTAATAAAGACATACCTGAGACTAGGTAATTTGTAAAGGGAAGAGATTTAATTAACTCACAGTTCCATATGGCTGGGGAGGACTCACAATCATGGCAGAAGATGAATGAGGAGAAAAGTCACATCTTACATGGCAGCAGAAAGAGAGCATGTGTAGGTGAACTATCCTTTATAAAACTATCATATCTCATGAGCCTTATTCACTATCAGAAGAACAGCACAGGAAAGACGTGTGCCCATGATTCTATTACCTCCCACTGTGCCCTTCCCATCAACACATGGGAATTATAGGAGCTACAATTCAAGATGAGATTTGGGTGGGGGACACAGCCAAACCATATCATGCATTATTTAAATAAATTTATTTTTAAATTATTTTTTAAGTTGCATAACATGTCACTCAACTAATGAATCCCAGAAGGGGGAAAATATATAGGAAGGCCTGGAATCAGGAAGACATAAGCCAAGTCTGTTTAGAGAATCATAAAAGAAATTTAGTTTGGTAGCCACATTGAGACTCACAAGCATATGTCCCCATGAGGGTATGAGATGAAGCACCAGTCCTGGTCTAGGGCTAAGTGTTAAGGACAATTGTCTGTCAAACCTGGGACCTTCAGCTTAGTTCCTTGAGCACCTTGGAACCAAAGAGTGCTCTAAGAACTTCTAAAAAGACTTCTCTTAATAATAAAACACTAGAGTAAGGGTAGCATCGTGAAATGGGGAAAAGAAGGGAAGAAAGAAGAGCAGAAAGAAGATGGGAGGGAGGGAGAGAAGGTGTCAGAAAGAGACTACAAAATCTTGGGTATATGAACTCGGGTAAATTTCCCTGCACTTTCTCTTTTTTCAAAATTTTAAGTTCAGGGGTACATGTGCAGGATGTGCAGGTTTGTTACATAGGTAAGCGTGTGCCATGGTGGTTTGCTGCATAGCCTGTCCCATCACCTAGGTAGTAAGCCCAGTATTTATTAGTTATTCTTCCTAATATTCTCCCTCCTCCCCCAAGAGGCTTAATTTTTCAACATTTCAACTTTTTATGTTACTAAATATGTTTATTTTAAGAAACATATTTTGCAGAGTTACTTTAAAACAGAGTGAGATTATGTAAATAAAGTGTGTGGCAAATGTTAGAAACCCAATAAATTTTAATACTGATAACCCATGTCCTCTGTTTTGGGAAGTTTTTCCTATTGTCCCACTGAGCTTTCCCTGTCTTAAGTCCAGCCTCGCAGCTGCTGTCAATCTCACTTTGTATCACACACTCTCTCTCAGAGTTTTCATCATTCTGAGTTTACTGACAACTCTCCATGACCACCTCAACCACTGTGACTGCTCAGTCAACCTTTGCATCATTTGTTGTTTTACTCTTTTCTCAGTCCTGTAATCATTCTGTTTTCTATCCCCAGGTGAATTCTAGGTTGACTCCTTCAGGTTGGTTCTGTAACATGCACATAATGGGATGTGAGAGCCCAGAGGTTACCTCTCAAGGACACTGTAAGATGAACATTCCTCACAGCCATCTAAACACTCCTGGCTCTGACTCTCAGTAGGAGACTTCTCTGGATGGGGAAGTGTGGATGCTTGGCCCCATCCTGCTGCAGCCTGAGTGGGAGTGGCAGAATTCTGGGTAACAAAGAGTATTCTTAATATACATGGTTGACTTGAATTCTGGGGTTTCAGAATTCAAGAATAGGAATAGGAATTTCAGAATAGGAGATACCTGTTAGCAAGGGGTGCCTATATCCTGCTTCAAATGACAATGAAGGCCCTGGAGCAGCAGATCAGGTCTTTGAAACACAGTCATTGCAGGCACCAAATTAAGAGAGACAAAGACCAACCAATATGCTAGGCAAAGGTAGGGATGCCACAAAATGGCAAGAGGTGGTGATGCCCTAAGGTAAGAGAGGACCCAAAGTTCAATATCCCCCGCTGGAAACTTGGTGAATGAAGACTGTCTCTGCAGAAGCCCTGCCAGTGTTCCTAGATGCACCAAGACCTGCTGCTGGAGAATTTCATTTAACTTCCTATATGGAAAGAAGAGTAAAGCTAAAAGACTCAGCTATTTTGAGAACCTGGAGAATTTTAGTAATTTTTGAGAGGACAGGCAGTAGGAAGCTAACTGAGAAAACTATAATCCCAGTGAGAATAAAACACTAGACAGAAAAAAGATATGACCCAGATCTTCTGGCTCTCAGCCCATACCCCTCTCACTTTACAGCTGGATAAATCAGAGAATTCTCATTCCTCTTTTTCTGGAGGTGTTCAGGTTTTCTTTACGGTAGGAGGATACAGGTCTCTGGCACAAAACCAGGTATTTACCTCAACACTAAACGCACATTTCCAGAGCATGAGATGGTTCTGTGAGGCAATGGGGAGGGGAAGAAAGTGCACACACCTGAGCACTAGGTATTACCGGTTTGTTCTGAATACTGACTGTAGTACTTACTAGCTGTGGGCCCATTCCTGTGGCAGTGACCACTTATAGCAGAATCATTATGGGGATTCATGGGAGTAATTTGGAAAGCAAGAAGAGTAGACTGATAATAAGGAGAAATAACTCTCATAGTGGGATTTGTTTCTATCATGAGTATCAGCTGAGGCTGTTTCTCCACATTCTTCCATCCCACTACAGAGATGAAAATGCAAAGAATACTTTTTGTGTCTACCAACTGTTCATCACCAGTTACTTGTTTGTTCATTAATCTACTTGTTTTCTTGTTTCTTTATACTTTTTTCTTAAATCATGAATAGGCCTTGATTAGAATATAGAACATCAAGATTATGAGCAGAACTATGAATTGTGAAATGAAGTAGGATGCTGGGGAATTCGTGAGGAGAAATATAGCTGGAGGGTGAGGCAGGGGCCATGATGCTGAGCACTTTGGTGCCATGCTTTGGAAAAGTTCAGCGAAGGAAAGCCACAGAAAGATTTTTAGGGGATAGTGATGCAGGTTTGCATTTCCAATACAGCACTTCAAAGATTTATTTCAGGAGAAAAAGGCTGGAGTCAGAGATATTACTCCAGGGCTGGGATATGGCCAGGAAGAGCCAGCCCTGGCACAGCTGTAAACTTAATTGGTCTCTGGCATTATTTCATCTCCCTGGGGACCCCTTCCCCTGTGATAATACCAACCTCACTGCCAGGTGCATGTTCTCTGTGGGGAGCATGACATATGGGTCAGCCAATAAACTCTCAAGATACCACCTTTCCCAAGGGTGTCAACCTTAAAAATTCCCATACTTGTGTCCTTAATAGTTTGAGAATAAGAAACCTCCAGAACCAAAAGGTAAGTCTCGAATGGTGAAGTTTCAGACTCTATGACAAGCAGAGGGAGAGAGAAAACAAAGGGCATGTTATGAAGTGAATTGTATGAAATTATCTTCAAATACTACTAAACAGCTTCTAGTCCTGCACATACCCACATTCTTTCATGCTCTGTGTCTTTGCCCATTCTCTTTCCTCTGCCTCAAATGCACTTTTCACTTTTAGTGTGGCTGGTTAAATTTTATCTAAGCTCCAAAACACGATTTGACATCATGTCTTCCAGAAAGCCTTCCCTCAACTTATCTTCACTCCCACATTCTACACATAACTCTCTCATACTACAGCAATCATCTGTGTAAGCGTCAGTCTCCCTCAATAGTGTGAGTGCTCTATGAAGGCAGAGGCTGTGTTTTACCATTTGTTTTATCACATTATCACGAAGAATGCCCAATACAGAATGGAAATTGAATAAATGCGTGGTGAATGGACCACAGTCTCTCAGCACAGAAGCAAGAGCAGGACAAGCCCCAGTTCCAGAGGGGTGAGTTTAGGGTGACTATTCAAGGTGATAATTCAGGCACACCTGAATTATCACTGAATGGGGATGAGTCTTGAATGGGGATGAGAAGCTCCAGAAATCAGAAACGATACCTGTCTTAGTCCACTTTATGTTGCTATAAAGGAATACCTGAGTCTGGGTAGTTTTTAAAGAAAAAAAGCCTTCTTTGGCTTACAGTTCTGCAGGCTGCACAAGAAGCATGGCACTGGCATCTGTTTGGCTTCTGATGAGAGCTTTTGTGTTGTGTCAAAGCATGGCAGAGGTCGAAAGGGAAGTGGATAGTGAAAAGAGGGGCCAAACAGGAAGGGCATCCCGGCTTTATAACAACCCCCTCTTGGGGGAACTAATCAATTTCCCCAAGAACCAATCCAGTCTCATGAGAATGAGAACTCACTACCACAAAAATGGCACCAAGCCATTCATGATGGATCTGCCCCTATGACCCAAATACCTCCCAACACAGGCACATTGAGGATCAAATTTCAGTATAAGATTTGGTGGGAAGAAGCAAACCATATCCAAGCCATAGCAATACCTAAGGTCAAAGCAAGATGCAAAGCCAGAGGCATATGATCCTGAGCCCCATAATTTGGCCTTGAGCTTCCCCACCTGTGAATCCCTTAGACTACAGATAGAAGCCAAATAGACTCAGCTACTTGAGAGAGAGAGGGAGGGAGAACAAGGAAAGTAGATAAGGACACACTCACCTATGGCTGTTTCCCTCCTCTTTTTGCATCATGGCTTTAATCATTAGTGTCTGGAGGCTTGAGGTAGATACTCAGAGGGAACTTAAGGAGTTATTATGGGCTGCCTGGTAAAGTGAAAGAGATTTGGTAGAGACAAGCAAACTATATCCAAACCATAGTCTGGTAAAGAGATAATGAAAATTTCCTAGATTCTGTCAATCAGAAGTGCTCTACTTTAGCTCACAGCAACAAAAGGCCACACATTCTAAAGAAGGCCACGTCCAGTGAGGAATGCCAGAGCCAGGACATCTCATTTGGCTGATAAAACATGCATTTCAGATATTCCCTCACCCCAGCCATTCCTAGCAAGGCTTCCACTTCCCCATCTGCTGGCTTAAATGCCTTCTAATATCAATAGTGCTAAAGTTTTCTTCACAAATATAGGTTTTTATGAAAGCCAAATAGGGAGTGGGAAATAAAAGGGGTGTTAATTTAAATTCTCTGTTGGCTGCTGTAAGATTTTCACCACACTCCTGACCAACATCTTCCATGTCTGAGCACAGAGGCACTGTGCTGATTTGGGGGACTATGGTCTACTCTGAAAGTAACTGCTCATTTCTTCCTTTGTTTCTTCCAGTACTTTTCCATTGCTTCATCATACTGGAGACCAGCCTGCGGTTCCTGTTACACGGAAGAATTTACCTAGTTCAGATCACCATAAAGCATTCTGATTTCTTTGGAGAACTTAAAAGAACTTGTTATTTTCTGGGTTTTTTTAATGGTTATCGTGCTGATGATTTTGCTAATAAAAATGGTGGTAATGAATCAATTATTAAATAATGATTACTTGGTTGATTCGCTGGACAGCACCAATGTGGCATGAACTGTGCTAGAGAGTGAATGCTGACCTAGCCTAGTGGCGAGGTGGTGAGTTAAGGATAACAGTCAGAGGACATAAGAAATGATGGAACTTGATAGAGATGTTGACACTGGTGGTGATGGTGGGGCTAGTGGTGGAGATGGAGTCGATAATGGCTGTGGTAATGGTAACAGTATCAATTGTGATAATGGAGGTGGGAATAGTTGTCAAAGAGACTGTGTGAGGAAGGTGGATATGATGGTGGTGACAATGAGACCCAAATGTTGATGATGGAGCTAGTTTGCTGGTGAAGGTGATGATGGCAAATGTAGAGGCGCGGTGAGCAGAGTAGTTGGGAGATGATAGAAAATAGATAGATGAATAGATAGATAGAAGACAAGTAGATAGATGATAGAGAAATAGATAATAGATAAACAAAGGGTTGATGGTTACATAATATTTCTTAAATAATTTTGTTCACCAAAATGTTTTCAGATTTGTCCTCTCAGCCAGACTAAAGCCAGAAACAAACAGAAGCTTATCTTTCCTCAAAAATAAACATTCCTTGCATTAGATCAGAAAAAAAATAATGAAATAACCAAGTCCTGGATACACCATTTGCTAGAAAAAATAACAAACCAGTGATTGTCAGACACTACCTGTAGTAATGGAATTCCAGCCTGAGCCTCCTCCTCAAAGATCTTCTAGAAAGAGCATTGGAGAGGGACAGGAATAAGAGGACTCTCTCTGATGTCAGGAGAGGGTCTGGGGATAGAAGGACCTTGTATTGGGTCCCAAGGCTACCTCCAAATTTAGAAATTAGCTAGAAGGACTCACAAGACTTAGCATACAGTTGTTCTCATAACTAAGATTTATTGTAGCAAAAGGATACAAAGCAAAATTGGCAAAAAGAAAATGTGCATGGGTAAAGTTCAGAGGAAATCAGCAGCAAAGGTCCAAGAGTCTTCTCCCAGTGGAATCACACAGAACATGCTTAATTTCTCCAGGAACAGGTTGTGATAACACATATTAAATATTGTATACCAGAGAAGCTCATTAGACTCAGCACCCAAGGTTTTTATTGAGAGATAGTCATGTAGGCACTCTGCGTAGCATGTACCAAAATTCCAGACTCCCTGAAAGGAAGCAGGTGTTCAGCTAAACTACACTGTTGGTACAAACAAAAGACCCATTCTTATCATTATGGAAAGTTTTATATCAATGTAGGAAAGGGAACTGTTTACTATCCAAGTTCCAAGATGTCAACCAAGGGCCAACTTTGCAAGCAGGTCTTTCTAAGGATAGTAGGCTCATCTTCTCTGCACAGGCCTCCATGCAGGAGAGATGCTGAGAGCCCTGACTGAGAACAAGTATTCCCCAGACATAGAATACTTAAGTAGAAAACTTCACAGTGCTTTTTCAAGCAAAAGTGCAGTTGCAGCAGCACTGTCCTTGACCTCCTTAAGTTAGTGGATAATTATATAGCCTTGGGGATCTGCTTCCACTGATTAAGAAAAGTCCAGCTGCATCACAAGCAGATGTGCTGCAAAATCTTTGTTTATCAGGGTGGCTACAAAGTGATGAGGCCTCCAGCAAAAACCAATGTAATTACCTGAAAATTGCATCTCATGAAAGAAATATCTGCAAATCAAATCTGGGTTTGTCATTGATTTGTATTTGAATTCCAGCACTTTCTGTGACAAAATAAGACTGGTATAAAAGTTTTAGAGCAAAATCTAATCTCACTACTTATTACTTAGTCAACTTAAATAAGCCACTCTGAGTCTCAGAATGTTGTTTGGTTTATTCGGGGAGTGAATCCAAAGACCACAGAGTTGAGGTAATCATAGTCTTTGGGTCTTGCCCCACTCTTGTTAGTTCATACAGGGACCCTGTCTATGTCATTTTATAATTGTTACCTCCGATTTTATCTCCTCTCTCATTCTCACATTGTCTACCAACAGCTGCACACATAAATGTGCTTGGTAGGTGTCTATAATAAATCTCTATCTAAACTTCTTCATCTGTAAAACGGACATAGTAATATCTGCCTTATTGGTCTCATTGTGTTTTTGTAAAGGTCAAAAAAAGCCTAAAATCACTCATAAAAAACATCATGTAAATATCAGGCATCTTATTATATTAATTGTGACTGCCTTTCAGCCAAATATAACTCCTAACATTTTCATTTTCGTCAGACATAAATACTGGACCAGAAGTGTTGGGTTGGTTCTTTTCTTCTGTGCCTCAAATTGTGTTGTCCAAAACAGATATGTGTAAGTCCTAACCTCTGGTACCTGTGAATGTAGCCTTATTTGGAAATAGGGTCTTCGCAGATGTAATCCAGTTAAGATAAGGTCATACTGGATTAGGGTGTGTCCTAAATCCAATGGCTGGTGTTCTTATAGGAGAAGGAAATTTGGAAACGGAGACTTAGAAAAGACACACAAAAACAATGCCATATGGTAACAGAGGCAGAGACTGGAGTGATGCATCTACAAGCTGAGGAGTGGCAAGAATTTCCAGCAACATCCAAAGCTAAGAAAAGACAAGGAAGGAAACCTGGAGCCTTCAGAGAGAATAAAGTTCTCTCAACATTTTGATTTTAAATTTCCAGCTTCCAGAACTGTGAAAGAATAAATTTCTGTTGTGTTAAGCCACCCAGTTTGTGGTCATTTATGACATTTGCCCTAGGAAACTAATTCTTCATCCTAGCCCCACTACCGTATCACTTAATAGTTTTGGCCAAATCACTTCATCAGGCCCAGGTATGCATACTGTGCTCCAGAGATGAGATAGAACATGGATTAGCCTTGAGTTCATGGGTTTTGGAAATAGTACAGTAGGGCTGGAGACATGCCTTAGGAACAGCCAAAAGAAGAATGTGCTCTGTAGTGCACAGAAAATGTGGTTGCAATGCCATCCTCTCAGTGTCACGGATAAGAGAATAAAGACTGAAGGGATGAAATTCCTCAGCTCTGGTTACACAGTAAGTTAGTGGCAGAGCCAGAGGAGAGCTGGCCTCCCAAGTCTGGGCCTTCTCCACTGAATGCAGGATGCTTGTTTCTGTCTGGCCCACAACATCAGGAAGATACAAAGAATGAAGAGAGAAAAACAACCTGTTAAGTTAACTAGAGCAAAGGAGCTTGCTGAAGGGTCATGAGGTGTGGGGCCTTTGTAATAGTGATAAGTCATCTGCCCAAGTCAGTGTCAGAGATAAAAGGTGGGAGGCTTTTTCAGTAGTCTCATTGGTTGGTTCACTATGATTTAAGACCAGACCCTGCTCTCCCATTAATTTTAACGCCAACTCAGTTTGAAGGGATTTACGACCAAGCAGTACAAAGAGTGATTTGAGTTACAACTTGGCCTGGCTGTGTTCAGGAGACAAGGGCAGAATGTTTCATTTTCCAGACTGCTGACTTTCTTTCTAACTCTCCTTCCCTGAAAACATAAATAAAGGTGAGACATTGAAAAATGATCTTGAGTTTTTTGGTGGTTGAATCCTATTTAGAATTAAAAGAATAAAACCTGAGCAATTTGAGAAAATAAGGAAAATAACCTGAGCCAACCTGCATGATGTCAAGGAGAGAGCTATGGCCCAGGGCACCAGAAACTGTGCTCTGCCTCCAACTCACTAAAGTGTTCTGGAAGCCATTTCCCCAACCCAGGGCCCTACTTCCTAATCAATACAACAAGAGCAGCACAGTGTAGTGGTCTCTCACCCAGGCTCTGGAGCCACAATGTCTTTGATTCCAAGTCCTGACTACAGTGTTTATCAACTCCATGAGGTTAAGAAAATCACTCAGCCTCTCCATGCCTCAGTTTTTAAATCTGTATCATGAGACCAATAATAAAACCTAGTCCATGAGGTTATTAAAGAACAAAAGTTAGCATTTTGATGTGCTGAGAACAGTTCCTAGCATAGTGCAAGTACTGTATATGCTTGTTTGATGAAACAAAGGTGTTGAGCAAGAGGCACTCCGATGATTCTTTTCTGCTTCCACACTCAAAGTTGGCTTCAGAGAAAATACAAGGGGAGGAGAAGGGAGGCGACAGGGCATGGAGACTGCTGAGGTCAGGCATCTTGAGTGGGCCAGATAACTTGAGAGAAAGAGCACCAAATTTGAGTTGGAAGGCCTGTAACCTGATTCCTGCTTTGCCAAGAACATACTGGTATGGTCCTAAGCACATATCCATGTCTGATAAAATTGGAAAGATTTAATGAGCTATATTCAAGCTTGCTTCCAACACTGGAGTTATATGATTTGAAAACTGGCAACAGAAAACCAAACTGTATAAGCACCAAAGTACACCAACCAATTTTCCAAGAGTATTAGGGGGACAGGTTGTGATTTGGATGCCTAAGACCTACCACTCACTTCCTTTCTCCAGGGTTCTGTTTTGTGGGAGTACACATACAACCATCTAGAGTCAAATGGAAAAGTAAGTATTCCATACATATTATTACTGGTCATGTGAATGCCCAGAACTCTAACACAAGGTTTTGGCAAAAGCTGAATTGGAGACAAATGCAAACCTATGGCAGAAGAAGGAATTCCTACTCCTTCTTCATAGTCCAAATTTTGGGTCCCATGTGCTCATTTGTGCCTTCAGGAGAGGAAGATGGAGATAGCAAGGTCTGCAGAGCCTATATGAACTTACTTGGCCAAATGTTAGGTAAAGATGACTGAATAATGTCCCCCAGTGGATTGTGGACAGATGGACAGTGACTTCACTCATTAGTGAAATGCATCTCAATGATTGGCAGACACTGACCATGCAGATAAGCCAGATGCCCTACCATTGGAAGAAACAAATTGAGGGTTGGTAAGAGGGTGACATAAGGACCCCAGGTTTCTTCCAACATTCTTTACTTAAGGGAGAGGAAGTTTGGACCTTACTTCCTGGCTCTCCTGTACAGGAACAGCTTGGTTCCTTGTGACAAAATAATGAATATTCATATCATTACATGTAGTTTAAGGCAAGTTAACTTGATTGTAGGCTTTATCTGATTACAGCAGTAATCTGTTTTTTGATGAGCTTGTGGGCACTCGAGCTATGGCTTTAGACTTAATCAGATTTGAATTCTAATCCAAATTTCCTTACAGGGAAAGCTACTCAACCTCTTTGTGCTACTGTTTACTCATCAATTAAAAAAATGGAAATAATAATACTCTCTGCTTTATATGCATTTTGTGAGAGTTAAATTAAATAGGAATAGTCTTTATTATAAAAACCACTTAACACAGTGCCTGAAACATGTAAGTGACAATAAGTTATAGTCATCATTATTTTACCAGGCAATCTCTCAGAGACTCTAAAACTGCATCTGATTCACCTCCCTTTTTCATACATAAGAATGATTGATGATCCCATATTTCATTATTTTACCTCTCTAGGGATCTCTAGTTATAAATCTAGTATTTTATTTTCTATAGATTTAAACCCATATTTCTCTTTTCTAAAAAGAGATGCCTAATGCTTTAATTTAAAGCCTTTAAGAAAATTCTTAAATCCAGCAAGGGCAAGCAGATTCTCAGGGTTCTGCATATAAATCTTCATGTCTTTGAAGTCAGTGACTGTGGCCCCTGTGGGCCAGCCCTTGCTTAGAGACAAAGATCCAAATGTCTGTGGAAAAATGGGCCAATCTCTTATGATAAAAGCTGTAGTTTGTGTAGCAAGAGATGGAAATTGTTCTGGAATTACCAGCTGGAGTATTTCACCCTAGAGATTTATACCAAAGAGGAAGTGAAAAAGAAAAATATTTGAATGCAGTACAAAGATTCCCCTATTTCTCTGTGCGATATGAGTAGGAACTTGGAAACAATTCAAATGTCTAGCAATAATATATCAATGTGGCTACATGTTCATTAATAGCCAAGTCGCCTGCAACATAGCTAACTCTCTAAATTCTCCAAAGTGTTTCCACTGCTGCCAGCCCAATTCATGCATTTATTCGTTTAGCCTTTCCATCATCCAGGTTTTTTTTAATGCTTACTACATGACAGGTACGATGCTTGACATTGGGAATGCGATGGTAAATAAGACATGGTCCCTACCCTAAAGATCTTTGTTTCTAATGAAGTACCTAGAAAATTAATTAAATATGGAATTACAAGAAAGAATGGCAAGTGCTTTAATCCAGTAAATCATGATAAATGAGTGGTTATGAGATTTTAACCTTGGCAATTTAGCTTCAGGTTTTGTCATTATGCTGCTGGTCACTTAGCCTGTGGTCAAGCAGCAAGGGAGGGAGCTGGAGTTCAACTCTGTGCAACGTGAAGCTTCCAGGATCTTCATGCTTGATAACTATGCTCAGTGTGCACATGCTTTGTTTTAGAGGCTTGTGGAACAGCATTTGGAGATGTGTAGTCAGCACTTGGAGACACACATCTGGTAGCCAGGGGGTGGATATACCTGGAGACACGAACTTAGGAGTCAACAATAAGAAGAAGCTCACTCAGTAAAGAAGAAGAGAACCCAAAGCAGAATTCCAGCACATCAATCTTCAACTAATAAGGAGATGGAATGGGGGTGGGAGGAGAGAAACAAAAACAAACAAACAAAAAAAAAAAAAACAGAAGAAGAAGGAGAAGGTCCCTCCTCCTCTTTACAATTACCACGTGAAAAGAAATTTTGGACAGAGGTGAAGGTATCTGAAATAATTGTTATTAATAGCAAGAAAATTTCTGGAAATTTAATTATATTTCTCCACTTTTCCACTATCCTCTGGTAAAAATATAAGACCAGTTGCAAATAACTATGAAGGATCTAAGATTTATTCTATTTACAAGGGAACAAGTCAGCCTGGCACAGCTTCATTGATGCTGACAAAAGACATGAGTCCCTTGGGTCAAAGACCAAGGACTTTATTACTCACGGTAATAGCAATACCCAAACTGTAAGAATTTCCTTGGGTCAAATTCCTTAAGTCCCAATTCCCACTGCGTGGCAAAAGTAGAGTCCAAGTGACACTTGTACCTGTGGTGAGTTGGGGGAGGAGCCCTGAACTAAAGGACCCGAGTCTTTATTAATCGGTACTAAGCATGCCTAACTTTTGCTCTGGAAAAAGATAATCATTTTTTCCCAAAGCTGTAATCAAACCGTCTCTTGGCTTCCGAAGGAGACACCATCTCCATCTTCTAAAGCTGTTTGCTATGGAGACATTCTATGGAAAATAATAGAGACTTCTGCTTTCTGGTCTGAAATGTAATGGGCTAATAAGTTGTCATTTAGTCCACGCAATGGAAAATAAGTGAAAAATAAAACTGAAAATCAACAACTATTCTTAGATCCACCAGAAAATTGAGATCTCATGGCAAACTATAGCACCCAAAATTCAAGAGACAGACAGATACAGAGAATCACAAAGTACTAGAGCTGAAAGCCAGGAGCAGAAGCCCTCTGCTAGAGCAGGATCATGGTAGGAAAACATAAACTGTAAGTGATCAATTGCTGGAGGCTCAAAGTGGGCAAGCTTGAGAATTAAAACATTAAGTGGGGCCAGTATCAGGATGACCCCCCACAGTTTCCTGAGTTTTCACTCCCAGAGAAAAATGCCCTATACTTCTTGCATAGGGAGGGGGAAAAAGTAACCATTTTGAAATATATCTAGAACATTCTGTTCTCCAAAAGAAAACAAAACAAACAACAACAACAAAAAAAACTCCTTAAGAGAAACTATTTCAGCAGAGTCTGAGAACCTTGGATTTTACCAGAGCCTAACTGACATGAGAGAAGGAAAATATCCAATTTTAGCTTCCTCCAGGCTTCCTGTATCACATAGAAGGAGGGGGACGGAGAAGCGCTTGTGAAGGTCATAGCCCAGGGGGCAAAGCTCGAAAGATCTGATAATAGGACTATACAATGCTTCCTCTCCCCTTCACTCTACCTCCCATCAACAGGGCTCCTATGTAACAGGGAATTCTAACTGAAAGAACCACAAGTCTCAGATCTTATTTAAGAAGCCTTTAGGGAAAGCCAAATATCATAGGAGAGAGAAAATGAGGCCAGCAGAGACTTTATTGCCTGACACTTGTAGCTATAGCAAATGGTAAACACAGCCTAATTCCTAGCCAGATAAGTATAACTTTAGACTAAAGGCCTATTTACCTCAGTGTCTTTTACCTAGTATATCATGTCCAACTTTTGACCAAACATTCAAGGCATACTGAAAGGCAAAGTACACAGTTTGAAGAGACAGAGAAAGAATCAGAAATAGGATCAAATATAGCAGAGGGGGTGGAATTATTAGACCAGAAATTTAAAATAACTATGATTAATACACTAAGAGATATAACAGAAAAAGTGGACACCATGCAATAAGAGATGAGTAATGTAAGGAGAGAGATGGAAACTCTAAGAAAAAAATAACAACTGAATTCCACAAATCAGAAACTCAAAAACATAAATGAAGAATACTCTTAATGGATTTATCAATAAATAGGACAGAAGCAATAAAAGAATCAGTGGGCTTGAAAAATGTCAGGACAAACTTTCCAATCTGAAAAGCAAGGGGAAAAGAATTTTTTAAACATATCAGAACCTTCAAGAACTGTGGGACAATTAAAAAAGATGTAACTAATATATGTATAATGGGAATGCCAAGAGTAGATAAAACACAGAAAGAAATAGAAGAAATATTTGAATTATTCAAATATGAGAATTTTTCAAAGTTAATGACAGATATCAAACCACAGATTCAAGAAGCTCAGAGAACACCAAGAAAGATAAATATCCCCTCCAAAAAAAACTACACTTAGACATAAAATATTCAGACTGCTAAGAATCAAATACAAAGAGGAAATTCTGAAAGAAACAGGTGGCTAAATACCTCACTTGAGAACAATGATAAAAATTGCATTGGAATTCTCATCAGAAGCCATTTAAGTATAAAGAGAATATAGTGAAATATTAAAGTGGTGAAAGAAAAAAACCTACCAACATAGAAATTCTGTATCCAGTAAATTATCCTTCAAAAGTAAAATAGAAATACTCTCTCGGACAACAGTCGAATGTGTTGCCAGTAGACACAACTTGCTAGAAATGTCGAAAGATCTTCAGGAAGAAGGAAAATTACATAGGTCAGAAATTCAGATCTACATAAAGAAAGGGAGAGTATTAGAGAAGGAATAAGTGAAGGTAAAATAAAAACTTAATTTTCATACTCTTAGTAGATCTAACAGATAAAGTTTGTTCAGAATAATAACAGCAGCAATGTTTTCAGAGTTTATACTTTATGAATAAGTAAAATGAATGACACCAATGTTATAAGGAACAGGGAGAAGACATTGAGAATATGCTGTTATGAGGCACTTGTACTACCCATGAAGCAGTATAGTGTTATTTGAAAGTAGACTTGCATTTGCTGTAAATGTTATTATTGCAAACTCTAGGGCAAGCACTAAAAAGAAGCTTGAAAGAAGCATAATTGATATTCTAAGAAAGAAGAGAAAATTGAATCATATAAAATGCTCAAGTAAAACCAAAGAAGGCAGCAAAATAGTGAAAGAAAGAAAGAGAAAGAAAGAAAGAAAGAAAGAAAGAAAGAAAGAAAGAAAGAAAGAAAGAAGGAAAGAAAGAAAGAAAGAAAGAAAGAAAGAAAGAAAGAAAGAAAGAAACCAAAGCAAATAGATAACAGTAACAGATCCAAGTAGATATTATTCCAACTGTATCAGTACTCACTTTATGTGTTAATGATCTAAATATGCCATTAAAATACAGACTGTCAGAGAGGATTGAAAAATAAGACCCAACTATGTGTTGTCTAGAAGAAACCCAATTTAAATACAAAGACAGAGATGGAGTAAGATATATTATGCTAACACTAATAAAAAGAAAACTAAAGAAGCTATATTAATTTCGGACAAACCTGACATCAGAGCAAGGAAAATTGCCATAGATAAAGAGGAGCATTACATGATAAAGGAGTCAGTCTTCAAGAAGACAACAATCCTTAACGTGTGTCTAGCTACAGATCATCAAAATACATGAGGCAAAACTGAAAGAACTTCAAGGAGAAATAGATAAATCCACTATTATAGCTGGAGACTTTAACAGCCTTCTACCATTAATGGACAGATACAGCAGCCAAAAAAATCAGAAAGGCCATAGTTTAACTGAACAGCAACATCAATCAACAGGATCTTATCGACATTTACAAAATGCTTCATGAAACAACAGCAGAATACACATTCTTCTCAAGCTCACACAGAGCATTCACCAGATCGGCTACATTCAGAGCCACAAAATACAGATTAACAATTTAAAAGAATAGAAATCACACAATTTCTGCCTCAGACAAAAATGGAATTAACAGACATCAGTAACAGAAAGATAGCTAAAAACTCCCCCAAATACTTGAAGATAAAACACACTTCTATATGACATAAGAGTCAAAAATAAGTCTTCAGATTAATTTTAAAGTATTTTGATCTAATGCAAACGAAAATGCAATTTCTTGTAATATGTGGGATGCAGTGAGAACAGTGCCCAGAGGGAAATATATAGCATTGAATGCATGTATTTAAAAAGAAGAGAGACCTAAAATCAATAACCTAAGCATCCACCTAAGAAATCAGAAAAAAAAAAAAAAAAAAAAAAAAAAAGAGCAAATTAAATCCAAAGTATAAAGAAGGGGCCAGGCCTGGTGGCTCATGCCTGTAATCCTAGCAATTTGGGAGGTTGTGGAAGGAAGATTGCTTGAGGCCCCAGAGTTCAAGACCAACCTGGGTGAGACGCTATCTCTACAAAAAAAATTAAAAATAAAAAGGGATAAAATAAATATTAAAAATTATAGCAGAAATCAATAAAATTGAAAACAGGAAATCAAATGAGAAAATTTTAAAAACCAAGAGCTGATTCTCTGAAAAGATCAATAAAATTGATAAACCACTAGCAAGCAAGCTAAGGAAATAAAAGAAGATACAAATTATTAATATCAGAAATGAAAGAGGGATCTCTCTATGACATTGCAGAAATTAAACAAATAATAAGGAAATTATAAAAAAACTCCATACCCAAATTTGATAACTTACATAAAATGGACCTATTCTTTGAAAGACAAAATCTACCAAAACTCAAAGAGAAATAGAGAATCTGAATAGGCCTATATCTATTAAAGAAATTGAGTCAATAATTAATAATCTTTCATAAGAGAAAGCACCAGGTCCAAATGGGTTCACTGCCAAATTTTATCAAACCTATAAGGAAGAAATTGGGCCAATTTTTGCAATCTCTTCCAGAAGATAGAAGCAGAGAGAACACTTCCTAACTCATTTTGTGAGGCCAGCATTACTCTAATACCGAATCCAGATAAAGACATTACAAGAAAAGAAAACTACAGACTCATGAGCATAGATGTAAAAGTCCTCAACAATACGTTGGCAAATAAAATCCAACTATCTATCTATCTATGCATTTATCTATCTTCTATCTATATTTAAGAATTATACACTATGGCTAAGTAAAATTTATTCCAGATACACAAGACTGATTTAAACATCAAAAAATCAATTAATGTAATCCATCATATCAATAGATTAAAGAAGAAAATTCACAGGATCCTACCAAGAGATGCAGAAAAAGCATTTGACAAAATCTGACACCCATCCATAAGAAAAACTGTTGGCAAATGAGAAATAAAGGGGAATTTCCTCAACTTGATAAAGAGCATCTACAAAAAACCTACATCTAACATTATACTTAAGGGTGAGAAACTAGATGCTTTCCACTAAGATCGGTAAGAAGGTAAAGATGTTCCTTCTCATCACTGGTATTCAATATCATATTGGAAGTAATAGATAGCATAGTAAAATAAGAAAATGAGATTTTAAAGTATACAGATTAGGAAAGAAGACATAAAATTGTCTTCGTGTATTTATGACATGATGGCTTATTTAGGAAATCTCAAAGAATCAATAACAATAAAAAATGTCTGGAACTAATAAGCAACTATAAAGTGGTTCCAGGATATAAGGTTAATATACCAAAGTCAATTTTTTCCTATATGCCAGCAAAGAACAGTAGAAGTTTAAAATTAAAAACCAATATCATTTATGTTAGCATTAAAAAATAAAATACTTAGGTACAAATCTAACAAAATACATACGAGAACATTATCAGGAAAACCACAAGCCTCTGACAAAAGAAACCAATGATCTAAATAAATGGAGAGTTATTTCATGTTAATGGATAGGAAGATTCAATACTGTTAAGATGTCTGTTTCTCCCAGGTTGATTTATAAATGTAATGCAATCTCAATTAAAATCTCAGCCAGTTATTTTGTGAATATTGACAAACCGACTCTCATGTTTATATGGAAATATAAACAATCCCAAATAGCCAGCATCATATTGAAGGAGATAAACTAAGTCAGAGGATAGATACTGCTCAACTTCAAAACGTACTATAAAGCTAGAGCAATCAAAAGAGTGTGCTATTGGCAAAAGAACAAACAAGTAGATCAGTGGAACAGAATAGAGATCTCAAAAATAGACCCAAAGAAATATAATTAACTGATCTCGCCAAAGAAACAAAGGTGATTCAATGGAGAAAGGCAAGTCTTTTCACAAAATGCTGCTGAAACAAATGCACATGTACATGTAAAAAATATTAAGTCTAGACACTGACCTTATACCTTTCACAAAAATTAATTCCAAATGGCTCATAATTCTAAATGTAAAATATGATACTATAAAATTCCTTGAAGAAAACAGGTGAAACGTATGTGACCTTCAATTTGGCAATGACTTTTTAGATGAAGCCCCTAAAGGCATGATTTCTGAAAGAAATAATTGATAAGTGGGGCCTCATTGAAATTAAATAATTTTGCTTGTGAGGCAGACATTGTCGATGCAAAGACAAATCATATGCTGGTAAAATATGTTTGCAAGACACATATCTGATAAAGGACTGATATCCAAAATAAACAACTCCTAAATGTCAACAGTAAGAAAACCCAATAGAAATACGGGCAAAAGATCTGAACAGACACCTCACCAAATGAAATACTAATGGCGAATAAGCATATGAAAAGATGCTCACTGTCATGTGCCATTAGGGAATTACAAATTAAAACAACAATAAGATACCGCTGCAAACCTAACAGAATGGCCCAATTTGAAACTATACCAGACATTATTGCAAAAGAGGAAAGAAACTACCTATATTAGGACTATTTAGTCTCTATTGACAGAAACCCATTTCAGACAGGTAAAGTGCAATTAAAATATACTGGTTGAAATAGCTGGAAAGAATACCTAGGTAGCTGGTGAAGTACAAGAGTGATTCTCAGAAACAAGAGCCTTATTTTGAAGACATTCTTTTTCTTCCTTCATTGTCTTATTTCTATTTGCCCCAGCATAACCTTTTACTTCTGAAGTCTCTGATGAGTACTCCCAAATAACGGCAACTTTCTTCCTAAGAATCTGAACAAACAAAGAATCAAAACGAACAAACAAAAAAATGCCCTAAGGTTGACCCAAATACCATTTTTGTTATTGAGAAAGGCTAGGCGAGAGGATGTTGCTTCAAGTGGAAGGCAAATGGGACTGTGAATTTCAGAATTAGGTAGATTTACTCACCCAGACAACGCTGGGTGGGCTATTTTGTCTTCTGCATGGCATGCAGCTGGTTTCCAAGAGGACGAAGAGCAGAAAAGGAGAAAGCAGCTTGCCTTTCTGTCCTGCCCCTGGAGGAGCAAAGCTCAATGTAGGGTTTCATTTACCTAGGTTGTCTTCCCACACCTACCAGGTCAGATGTAGTTCAGCTTCCCTGAGTCTGAGTGCATGAGGGTAAAAGGCCAAAAGTGTTTATGGGAAATTCCTTCCTCATGGTAACCATAGGGGTAGAGACAAGAACCTTCCCCTCTATCACATCTACAGTCCCACTTTCTGTATGTGGTGAAAGTATGGTACCAGCAGCTTTAGACTTCTTTCCTCATACCTTTGCACCTCCAGAACAATGAAAACATCTTTATCTCAATGTCCTTATAACAATCCCACAAAATTGATCTGATTGAGCTTGCATGGGCCACCTGCCAATCCCTACTACAATTACTACATCCAAGAGAATAGGACCTAGTGGTTGGCTATGCCCGGATCGGCACCCATTCCTGAATACGGATGAGCAGGGACTATCTCTAGAAGAAAAGAGATATGAAAATTTGCTGAAGAATCTGCAATGCTCACCATTTTGAATAGTGGATTCAGAAATATGCAATTATTGTTACATCTAACCTCTAAAATCACCCTGCAGTAGGTTAAAGGAAAAGGCAATAATGGCCTGGCACATTGTAGGTGCTCAACAGATGTTTCATGGATGCATACACAAATGGAACAAAACATCCAATCCTGTGAGATTGACACTACTATGCCCACTTTACAAAGGAAAACAGGATCAAAAGAGGTTTAGAAACTTGTTCAAATTTATAAAAATAGAAAATGGAGGACCCCAGGATTCAAACCCAGGCCTCATAGCAAGGCACACTGTCTGGGGTATTACTATTAGTCAGTACCAAAATTTGGGTAGTCAGTGCTCATTCATAGTCTCCATGTTATCCCTGAGTTGCCTTTTCTCCCTCACTCCATATACTGAAGTTCCTAACAAGACAACTTCTACTCTGGATACTAACTGGCCCCTTCCAAGCGATTTCTCAAATCTTAAGATTCTGATATAATAGGAGTTGAGTGGGACTCAGAAATCTGCAGTTTGGCCTCAGCTATGATGTGGGAACTCATAAAGAGGTCTGCAAAGCCACCGTCTGGTCACCACAACTTTCAATGGCCTCGTCTTTAATTATGCCATCTTCCAAATCTTGCCCAAGTTCATCTCATTGACAAAGTCTACCCAGAACAACCCAAGAAAAACAGCTGGGGTGGTGCATTGACTACAGATAATCCAATCCCTTCCCACACACGCACACAAACACCTCCATATCCACTTTCAGGGGACATTTGGGTGGTCTGCACCCATTCACGGATGATCACTGATTAGGAATCTTCAACATTAGGTAGAAATTGCCATACAAAAGAAAACATTCCAAATATAGAGACAAGGCATGGAGAGAGCCATTGCCTTCGTTGCATATGAATGCTTCAATTCCAGCTATAACATTCCTGCAAACTGGTAGTTCAGATGTTTCTTACAAACCTTCAGGTATGAGCAATGTGCTTCCCTGATTGTGTAGACCATTTATATTGGCCCTAAAGCCATCTAACTCTTGCTCCTACCTACCGGTCCTGGTTTAATCCTAAACCATAAATATATTAAATCTAAGCATTATTCCAAATGGTAGCCCTGCAAATATTTGAAGGCACTGGTCATATTCTCTGGAGGCTTCTCTTTTCCAGGCTGTTACCAACTTCAAGCATGGCTTATTTGACATGGTTGGAGTCCCTTGATGAGTTCAGCCTCCATGTATTTACCCAATAAATATTTATCAGATATCTTTGATTGCAGGAAACCAAATACTTTCCAGAGAAAGAATTAGACACTCTGATTTCCAGTACTCGCTCTGTGCCTTAGCTCTAGATGACCTTGGGGAAATTTATCTCATTAACATCATCAGAGGGTCTCATTAGAATCTCTAAATTCCATTCTATGGCACCATGCATCTCTTCCATCTAGAGCTCTTTCTTCTTTTCCCCTTGTCATTAAATCATTCTGTTTTCTTCCCGGTCTTTCTGATCCCTCTGTCTATTCCCTCTTGCATGTTGTTTATGTTTCATAGATTCAGTATGGTTTTGGTTTTTTTGTCTCCTTATATCTCTCTGTCTCCCTTTCTGTCTCCCTGTGTCTCTCTCACCTTGGAGAACAGTGAATAAACAAAAGTTTGAGGGAGGGAAAAAATCAAAATCAGGACAGGTCATCTCTGGCTGAAATTCTCAGCAGCCAATGGCAAGTTTTCTGCCAACCAAATTCAGCCCTATTAATTTGCTGTATCCATCCAGATTCCCAGACCATAGTCTTTTCCTCCTAACTAGCAGGCAACATAAGACCTGCGAGGGCAGGGATACTGGAAAAGTTACTGTGCCAAAAGCTAATGGCCTATGAAATGAAAATGCTCAGCCCACCTGCTCCACATGATCACCTCACAGTGGGAACCTGCAGCTGGCCTAGGCCAATGCTGGGGAAAGCAGGAGGAGACTTGTCCCAGATCTGAGTCAACATAGAAGACCAGGAAAGTCTGCCAAATGCAAATAGCTCAGGCCAATATTCTTTCCTCACTTGTGTCATCCAACCCTCCATATATGTCCACAGTATGAGATTCAAAGGTCCCCAAAGAGTCAACAGATGTGAGTTTGATTCACAGCTTTGCCACTAATTGACTATGACCTTGGGTAGGTCACTTCCCCTCTCTGGGTCATCATGTTTTCATCTATAAAGGGAGAAGCGCAAACTCATCATCTATTTCTAGAGTTGCTTTAATTGCTAGGTTGTTGTAAAGGGATTTGGCCAATTTTGTTTTCATGTAATTTTGATATCTGTTGCCTATCCATCAACATTTATAGTGCTTTTCCATAGGATTAAAAAGCCAAGAAAAAATGAAAAAAATCAGGGAAAGTAAAGTTACAAGAAAAAATATGTATTCCCCCATTCTTACAAAGAAATCTAAGTAGTTACAAAGGAGTCAGAGACTTTACACTCCCTCTTTGAGCTATGCAGATATCTGATCTGCAGGGGCTGTCCCCAAAACCCTATGTTTTCTCAACATACTAAATGCTCAGTATACTAAATGTACCACTCACGGTACTCATCCCTTCTGCCTCAAACTACGGGCCCATGTGCAATTCACTCCTCAGGGAAGGAGCACTACCAGTCTTTGCTCAGAGGAGAGTAATTGAACCAAGAAGGAAATCTGACCCAAAATGTCCCATCAATAGCCTGGTCAGTGATCCCTGAAGTAGCCTGGAGCAAAAACCTGAAGGAGGGAAGGAGTAATCAGCAAAGCCACTTATACAAGTCTCCTCTGCAATTTGCTATGGAGGTGACTGAGAATACTGGCTAGCAAGTGAAAGAATTGGGCAGAGACACAGAAAGAAATAGAGGTGCCTGGAGACTATCTAATTAATGAGAAAGACAGACAATAGCCATCCCTGCATCCAGGGTGCTCCTGGCAGTGTCTCAGGTCAGCAGCATTCCAATATGCATTAATCCTTACCATACCGCTCTTTCTTAAGGCATCCCGAAGAAAGCAGACCACCTGTGAGTGACAGTGAAAATACCCTTTTGGTAGAATTTGACTTGATGCTAATAATTCAAGGCCTTATAGCATCACACCTGTGTGACTTAAATGGACTACCAAGATTCCAGGATAGGTGACACAAAAAACACTGACTTCTCATCTACTTAAGCTAGTTGGAGCTGAGGTTCTGTTGTATGTAAATAATGTTCTTTGACTGCCAGCACCTCCGTTTTCCAGATTTGTAATCTGAAACAAATGAAGTCAGCTACTCATCTGTATCAGGGAAATGATAGTAGTTGAGAGAGCTCTTGTGAAGAATGAGTATTGTACACATCTCAGCTTGCAGTCCACAACACATGCGCATGCTATTATGCATCCCAAATTTTTTATTGATACAGAAGGTAGGCAAGTAAGTGCTCAGAAGGGAAGGGTGCAGTCCCTGGTGAGGACTCCACCACTGGTCTGTGCACAGGGACCCAGATGAGGACAGGCACTCCTGCCTTGGCACCCAAATGTTGCATTTCCCAAGACCACCCTGGCCTACCACACCCCCATCCTGTGCCTGTAAAAACCCCAAGACCCCAGCAGGCAGACACACAAGCAGCTGGACGTCAAAAGAAACACATCAACCGAGGAACACACAAGCTGCTGGACATCGAGAGGATGTGGAGAGCACACTGGCAGATGCCGGTAGGCCAGCAGGCCATCAACTGGGGGAACGATGTAGAGTTTCACCTGGAAAGTCAGAGGAGAGCCCAGGAGGCTGAGGGGTCCAACTCCAGGGGAAAACCATCTCCCTTCTGGCTCTCCCATCTGCTGAGAGCTACTTCCACTCAGTAAAACCTTGCACTCATTCTCCAAGCCAACGTGTGATCTGATTCTTCCAGTACATCAAGACGAGAACTTGGGATACAGAAAGTCCTCTGTCTTTGCAATAAGGCAGGGGTCTAATTAAGCTGACTAACACAAGCTGCCTACACACGGCTTAACTAAAATAGCACCCTGTAACACACGCCCACTGGGGCTTCAGCTGTAAACATTCACCCCTAGACATTGCCATGGGATCGAAGCCCCACAGCCTGCCCATCTGTGTGTTCTCCTAGAGGTTTGAGCAGCAGGATACTGAAGAAGTGAGCCACATACCCATCGCACGCCCTGAGAGGGGGACAAGGGAACCTTTCCAATTTCACTATTGCATATAATATTGATATAAATTGAGGGACAAAGAGCTATTTTCCATTCTTTTATATTATTGAACATTTAGGGTTTTTTTTCCATTTTTGCATAAAGCTATAAAACTACAGAATCAAGTCATATGAAAAACAATGGTATCCTCAATCAAGACAAGGATTACCACTTCTATTTAAATATGAATGCAAATATGTTGCAAAGGGTAGGATATTTTAGTGGGTTATGTAGTGGTTATTGTCAGGCCTCTGAGCCCAAGCTAAGACATCATATCCCCTGTGACCTGCACATACACATCCACATGGCCGGTTCCTGCCTTAACTGATGACATTCCACCACAAAAGAAGTGAAAATGGCCTGTTCCTGCCTTTACTGATGACATTGTCGTGAAATTCCTTCTCCTGGCTCATCCTGGCTCAAAAGCTCCCCCACTGAGTACCTTGTGACCCCCCACTCCTGCCCGCCAGAGAACAACCCCCCTTTCTCCTTTACCTACCCAAATCCTATAAAACGGCCCCACCCCTATCTCCCTTCGCTGACTCTTTTCAGACTCAGCCTGCCTGCACCCAGTTGATTAAAAGCTTTATTACTCACACAAAGCCTGTTTAGTGGTCTCTTCACACGGACACACATGAAATTTGGTGCTGTGACTCAGATCAGGGGACCTCCCTTGGGAGATCAATCCCCTGTCCTCTGGCTCTTTGCTCCATGAAAAAGGTCCACCTATGACCTCAGGTCCTCAGACCGACCAGCCCAAGAAACATCTCACCAATTTCAAATCTGGTAAGCGGCCTCTTTTTACTCTCTTCTCCAACCTCCCTCACTATCCCTCAACCTCTTTCTCCTTTCAATCTTGGCGCCACACTTCAATCTCCCCCTTCTCTTAATTTCAGTTCCTTTCATTTTCTGGTAGAGACAAAGGAGACACGTTTTATCCATGGACCCAAAACTCCGGCACTGGTCATGAACTAGGGAAGGCAGCCTTCCCTTGGTGTTTAATCATCACAGGGATGCCTCTGATTATTCACCCAGGTTCCAGTGGTGTCAGACCACGCAGGGACGCCTGCCTTGGTCCTTCACCCCTTAGTGGCAAGTCCCGCTTTTCTGGGGGAGGGGCAAGTACCCCAACCCCTTCTCTCCGTGTCTCTACCCCTTCTCTGCTTTTCTGGCGGAAGGGCAAGAACCCCTCAACTCCTTCACCTATAACCTTACTGGCAAGTCCCACTTTTCTAGGGGGCAAGAACACCCAATCCCTTATTTCCATGCCCCGACCTCTTATCTCTGCACCCTGACCCTCTATTTCTGTGCCCTGACATCTTATCTCTGTGCCCCAACCCCTTATTTCCACACCCTGACCCCTTTCCTGCTTTTCTGGAGGGTAAGAACCCCCAAACCCCTTCCCTCCACATCTCTACTCTCTCTTTTCTCTGGGCTTGCTTCCTTCACTACAGGCAACCTTCCACCCTCCATTCCTCCTCCTTCTCCCTTAGCCTGTGTTCTCAGGAACTTAAAACCTCTTCAACTCACACGTGACCTAAAACCTAAATGCCTTATTTTCTTCTACAATGCTGCTTGATGCCAATACAAACTCGACAGTAGTTCCAAATAGCCAGAAAATGGCACTTCCATTTTTTCCATCCTACAAGGTCTAAATAATTCTTGTCGTAAAATAGGCAAATAGTCTGAGGTGCCTGATATTCAGGCACTCTTTTACACAGCAGCCCCTCTCTAGTCTCTGTTCCCAATGCAACTAGTCCCAAATCTTCCTTCTTTCCCTGCTGCCTGTCCTTTCTGTCCCAACCCCAAGCATTGCTGAGTCTTTCTAATCTTCCTTTTCTACAGACCCATCTGAGCTCTCACCTCCTCACCAGGCTGAGCTAGGTCCCAATTCTTCCTCAGCCTCCACTCCTCCACCCTATAATCCTTTTATCACCTCCCCTCCTCACACCCGGTCTGACTTACAGTTTCTTTCCATGACCAGCCCTCCCCCACCTGCCCAGCAATTTACTCTTAAAAATGTGGCTGGAGCTAAAGGCATAGTCAAGGTTAATGCTCCTTTTTCTTTATCCCAAATCAGATAGCATTTAGGCTCTTTTTCATCAAATATAAAAATCCAGCCCAGTTCATGGCTCATTTGGCAGCAACCCTGAGACGCTTTACAGCCCTAGACCCTAAAAGGTCAAAAGTCCATCTCATTCTCAATATACATTTTATTACCCAATCTGCTCCCGACATTAAATAAAACTCCAAAAATTAAATTCCAGCCCTCAAACCCCACAACAGGACTTAATTAACCTCGCCTTCAAGGTGTACAATAATAGAGGCAGCCAAGCAGCAACATATTTCTGAGTTGCAATTCCTTGTCTCCACTGTGAGACAAACCCCAGCCACATCTCCAGCACACAAGAACTTCCAAACACCTAAACCGCAGTGGCCAGGGGTTCCCCCAGAAGCACCTTCCCCAGGAGCTTGCTACAAGTGCCAGAAATCTGGCCACCAGGCCAAGGAATGCCCGCAGTCCTGGATTCCTCCTAAGCTGTGTCCTATCTGTGTAGGACCCCACTAGAAATCAGACTGTTCAACTCACCTGGCAGCCACTCCCAGAGCCCCTGGAACTCTGGCCCAAGGCTCTCTGACTGACTCCTTTCCAGATCTTCTCAGCTTAGCGGCTGAAGACTGATGCTGCCCCGATCACCTCAGAAGCCCCGTAGACCATCACGGATGCCGAGCTTTAGGTAACTCTCACAGTGGAAAGTAAGTCCGTCCCCTTCTTAATCAATACGGAGGCTACCCACTCACATTACCTTCTTTTCAAGGGCCTGTTTCCCTTGCCTCCATAACTGTTGTAGGTATTAACAGCCAGGTTTCTAAAGCTCCTAAAACTCCCCAACTCTGTTGCCAACTTAGACAATACTCTTTTAAGCACTCCTTTTAATTATTCCCACCTGCCCAGTTCCCTTATTAGGCCGAGACACTTTAACTAAATTATCTGCTTCCCTGACTATTCCTAGATTACAGCTACATCTCATTGCCACCCTTCTTCCCAGTCCGAAGCCTCCTTTGCGTCCTCCTCTTGTATTCCCCCACCTTAACCCACAAGTATAAGACACATCTACTCCCTCCTTGGTGACCGATCATGCACCCCTTACCATCCCATTAAAACCTAATCACCCTTACCCCGCTCAATGCCAGTATCCCTTCCCACAGCACGCTTTAAAAGGATTAAAGCCTGTTATCACTCACCTGCTACATCATGGGCTTCTAAAACCTATAAACTCTCCTTCGAATTCCCCCATTTTACCTGTCCAAAAACCAGACAAGTCTTACAGATTAGTTCAGGATCTGCGCCTTATCAACCAAATTGTTTTGCCTATCCACACCGTGGTGCCAAACCCATATACTCTCCTATCCTCAATACCTCCCTCCACAACCCGTTATTCTGTTCTAGATCTCAAACATGCTTTCTTTACTATTCCTTTACACCCTTCATCCCAGCCTCTCTTCGCTTTCACTTGGACTGACCCTTACACCCATCAGGCTCAGCAAATTACCTGGGCTGTACTACCACAAAGCTTGACAGACAGCCCCCATTACTTCAGTCAAGCCCAAATTTCTTCCTCATCTGTTACCTATCTTGGCGTAATTCTCATAAAAACACACGTGCTCTCCCTGCCGATCATGTGCAGCTGATCTCTCAAACCCCAACACTTTCTACAAAACAACAACTCCTTTCCTTCCTAGGCATGGGTAGATACTTTCGCCTTTAGATACCTGGTTTTGTCATCCTAACAAAACCATTATATAAACTCACAAAAGGAAACCTAGCTGACCCCATGGATCCTAAATCCTTTCCCCACTCCTCTTTCCATTTCTTGAAGACAGCTTTAGAGACTGCTCCCACTGTAGCTCTCCCTGACTCATCCCAACCCTTTTCATTACACACAGCCAAAGTGCAGGGCTGTGCAGTCAGAATTCTTACACAAGGACCAGGATCCCATCCTATAGCCTTTTTGTCCAAACAACTTGACCTTACTGTTTTAAGCTGGCCATTATGTCTCTGTGCAGTGGCTGCTGCCACCCTAATACTTTTAGAGGCCCTTAAAATCACAAACTAGGCTCAACTCACTCTCTACAGTTCTCATAATTTCCAAAATATATTTTCTTCCTCACACCTGATGCATATACTTTCTGCTCCCCAGCTCCTTTAGCTGTACTCACTCTTTGTTAATTCTCCCACATTGATCCTGGCCCGGACTTCAATCTGGCTTCCCACATTATTCCTGATACCACACCTGAGCCTCATGACTGCATCTCTCTGATCCACCTGACATTCATCCCACTTCCCCACATTTCCTTCTTCCCTGTTTCTCACCCTGATCACACTTAGTTTATTGATGGCAGTTCCACCAGGCCCAATTGCCACACACCAGCAAAGGCAGGTTATGCTATAGTACAAGCCACTAGCCCACCTCTTAAAACCTCTCATTTCCTTTCCATTGTAGAAATCTATCCTCAAGGAAATAACTTCTTAGTGTTCCATCTGCTATTCTACTACTCCTCAAGGATTATTCAGGCCCCCTCCCTTCCCTACACATCAAGCTCCAGGATTTGCCCCTGCCCAGGACTGGCAAATTAGCTTTACTCAACATGCCCCGAGTCACAAAAACTAAAATACCTCTTAGTCTAAGTAGACACTTTCACTAGATAAGTAGAGGCCTTTCCTACAAGGTCTGAGAAGGCCACCGCAGTCATTTCTTCCCTTCTATCAGACATAATTCCTCAGTTCAGCCTTCCCACCTCTATACAGTCTGATAACAGACCAGCCTTTATTAGTCAAATCAGCCAAGCAGTTTTTCAGGCTCTTAGTATTCAGTGAAACCTTTGTATCCCTTATAGTCCTCAGTCTTCAGGAAAAGTAGAACAGACTAAAGGTCTTTTAAAAACACCCCTCACCAAGCTCAGCCACCAACTTAAAAAAGAATAGACAATACTTTCACCACTTTCCCTTCTCAGAATTCAGGCCTGTCCTCAGAATGCTACAAAGTACAGCCCATTTAAGCTCCCGTATAGATGCTCCTTTTTATTAGGCCCCAGTCTCATTCCAGACACCAGACCAACTTGGAGTGTGCCCCAAAAAACTTGTCATCCCTACTGTCTTCTGTCTAGTCATACTCCTATTCACCATTCTCAACTACTCATACATGCCCTGCTCTTGTTTACACTGCCAGTTTACACTGTTTCTCCAAGCCAGCACAGCTGATATCTCCTGGTGCTATCCCCAAACTGCCACTCTTAACTCTTAAAGTAAATAAATAATCTTTGCTGGCAAGGCTATGCTGAACCTCCTTAGGCACTCTCTAATTAGATGACCTAGGGCCTCCCAATTCTTAGTCCTTTAATACCTGTTTTTCTCCTTCTTTTATTCCGTTTAGTTTTTCAATTCATACAAAACTGTATCCAGGCCATCACCAATAATTCTACATGACAAATGTTTCTTCTAACAACCCCACAATATCACCCCTTACCACAAAATCTTCCTTCAGCTTAATCTCTCCCACTCTAGGTTCCCACACCGCCCCAATCCCGCTCAAAGCAGCCCTGAGAAACATCGCCCATTATCTTTCCATACCATCCCCCAAAATTTTCGCCTTCCAAACACTTTACCACTATTTTGTTTTATTTTTCTTATTAATATAAGAAGACAGGAATGTCAGGCCTCTGAGCCCAAGCTAAGCCATCATATCCCCTGTGACCTGCATGTACACATCCAGATGGCTGGTTCCTGCCTTTACTGATGACATTCCACCACAAAAGAAGTGAAAATGGCCTGTTCCTGCCTTAACTGATGACATTGTCTTGTGAAATTCCTTCTCCTGGCTCATCCTGGCTCAAAAGCTCCCCCACTGAGTACCTTGTGACCCTGACTCCTGCTCGCCAGAGAACAACCCCCCTTTTTCCTTTACCTACCCAAATCCTATAAAACGGCCCCACCCTTATCTCCCTTCGCTGACTCTTTTCGGACTCAGCCCGCCTGCACCCAAGTGATTAAAAGCTTTATTGCTCACACAAAGCCTGTTTAGTAGTCTCTTCACACGGACGCTCATGAAAGTTATGTTGTGTAAGTGCTCAGTTGCCTTTCTCTTGGTTCTCTTGGCAGTGATATCCTTATTTTCCTATAAAGAACTATCCCCTTCCCAAACCTCAGTTTCTGTCTTTGGTACCCATGGTGGGGATATGACTTAGGCCTGGCCAGTCAGAACATTAGATGCACCTGCCTCAGTCATCAGTCTAGAAATAATTATGTGACCTATACAGAGTCAATCAGTCAGACAATCAATGCTGGGATTGATGAGAGAGAGGCTACATCTCTCTCATTTACATATACATATTCCATGGTGTATAAGTAAACGATGTACATATTCACCATGGAATACTACGTGGTCATAAAAAAGAATGAGATTGTGTCCTTTGCAGAAACAGGGATGCAGATCGAGGCCATAATCCTAAGGAAACTAACACAGGAAGAAAAAAAACAAATAGTGAATATTCTCACATGGGAGCTAAACGTTGACTACACATGGACACAAAGATAGGAACCACAGACACTGGGGACTGCTTGAGCAGGGAGGGTGGGAGGGGAGCATGGGTTGGAAGGCTACCTATTAAATACTATGCTCACCACCTGGGTGATGAAATCATTCATACACCAAGCCTCAGCAGCACACAATTTACCCATGTAACAAACTTTCACATGTACCTCCTCAACCAAAAATGAATGTAGAATAAAAAAAGTTTCTCCATTTATAAAATACAGACAAGTGAATCTACTTCTTCTAGATTATAACAAGAAGCAAATGATATAATGTATGTGAACATACATAGTAAACCCTAACACCACTGCATAGATGAAAGTGATTGAAATGGTGATAATTTCTCTAGTCCAGATTTTTCCAAGGCCCTAAAGGTGGCTCTTCACATCCCCAAATTAGTCCCCGTGTGCCCTTTAGGCAGCAAAGGACACAATACAAGATGTGGGATGTGGCTCCAGACCAGGCAGCCTAGTCTCAGAGAGAGTCTCCACTGCTGCCTGTGCCAGCTCAGCAAATCAGCTCCAGGACTTGGCCCAGATTCCAAGATTCTTGCCTCTCAGCCCTCATTGGAGCTTCATGCACACTCAGACTTTGGTCCTGTGACTGCTGCAGCTGCTCCCCAAAGAACATCTTAAAATACAGTCTAGGCTAAGCAGGGGGGCAGCTTTGCATCTGCTTTCTGCCTCAACTAAGGGTCAAGGACAGTTAAATTTGAAAAGACCTTAGATTCTCTGATCTTGCCCAAACCTCAGCGTGCCCTTTCTCAGCAGTTATTCAGTTACTGAAGCTGAAAATCTGACATTCCTGTCTCTTTCCTTACCTGTCTACCTCTTGCCCATTGGCAAATTCTGTTGGCATTACCTACAAATTGCCTCTTAATACAATTGCTTATTTCAGACTCATTGTTGTCCCCTACCACCAGCCAAGTTATCATCTTGCTTGGGTTGTTGCAATGCCTCTTAACTAGCCTCTGTGTTTGTAGTTTGTATTCTGTTCTCCAAAAGAAGCTAGAGAGTAGTCTTAAAACAAAATCAGCTCAGAGCTGCCTTCTGCGTAGAACACTGCAATAACATTCTATTGTAATTAGATTGAAGTCCACAACATTTGCTATGGTGGCCCCTGCCTCCCTCTCTGGTATCCCTCTATTTCCCTACCGTCTAACTACATTGGTCTCCTTTCTGGTCCTCAAACAGACCAAGCTTGTAACAACCTCATGCCTTTATACTCTACACTTTTCATTGCTCCAGCTTTCATAGGATGGGCACTCAGTGAGTGTTCATTATGGATGGATGGGTGGATGGTTGGATGGTTGGATGGATGGATGGATGGATGGATGGATGGATGGGTGTGTGGATGAACAGACAGAAAATAAAGTGGCTCCTATAACCTCTAAGATTTTCTTTTCAGAAATACCACTTTCTGTGGATGGGGAGTTTTTAGGAAATTGGATCAATAAAGTCAAGGGAAGTCAGAGGATTGAGAAATCCTATTTTTTAAATTAATTTATTATTTTTTATAATTCTTTTATTTGTTTTATGTTCCAGGGTACATGTGCAGAATATGCAGGTTTGTTACATAGGGAAACGTGTGCCACTGGTGGTTTGCTGCACTTATCAACCCATCACCTAAGTATTAAGCCCAACATGCATTAGCTCTTTTCCCTAATGCTCTCCCCCGCACCCTCCTCTGACAGGCCCCAGTAAGTGTTGTTCCCCTCCCTGTGTCCACGTGTTCTCATTGTTCAGCTCCCACTTATAAGTGAGAACATGCAGTGTTTGGTTTTCTGTTCGAGAAATCCAATTTTTAATAATGCTGAGAATGAGAGTCTAGATGTCAGGCAGCCCCTCAACTAGGCCTGGTAGTTTGGGGGAAAATACTGAGATCTTCCAAAGGAAAAATCAGAGACTATTCGAAAGAATGTTAAAGTTTAGGTAGGTCGAGATGGACTCAGGGACACAGATGCTGTCCCCAAACAGCACTTCTATTCCCCCTTAATAAACTATTAGGCTGCAACCTTGACAATGACAAGAGCTTCAGCACTTCTAAGAAGCCACTTCTTACTTCCCAATAAAACAAGTAGAAAATGCTGATCTCATTCTCATTGTCAGTTGCAGAAAGCAGCTCAAAATGAAGAATTATCTTGAGTTTGAGCTTCTACACTTTATTATTTCTTTCTCTTTTCTTAAGTCTAACTTATTTTAAGTTGGAACATTTAACTGCCTTCTAGAAAAACCTTGGCTTAGGTCATAGACCACAGAGAGTAGTCCAGGATCACTAATACGGGCTCAGTAATTACTGGCTTCTGATAAATCTAGCAAAGATTTCACAAGCTCTCCCCACCCCTACCTAGCCTCTCACTATCTCTCCCCAAGTCCCAGAGAAGCTAGGAGAAGTTGCTAGATCTTCAGGATTGGATATTAAAGGAGTCCTTCAAATGGCAAAGCACCAGAGTTCTAAATTACCAAGTTAACTTCCTTTTTTCCCTTTGGAGATGGATGTTCACCTTTAACTCCCTAGAGTGGAATGAAATACTAAGTCCAAGGGCAGATAGAGTGGGCTTTGAATTCTAACTCCACCCCTGTCTAGCTGAGTGGGCTTGAAAGAGTTAATTTCCTTCCCAGGGATCATTTGTGAGAGAATGATAATGGTAGGACATAAAGGAAGAAATAGGAGAAACCACTTGTAAAGGCACTCAACATAGTCCCTGGCACATAGCATGTACTTTATTAATGTGCCTTCCTTCACCTCCAGTCCCAGTATCAAGTCCTCCTTTCAAAACCCAAGCATAAGCCCACCAGATACGTGGTCAGGTATAATAGAACAGCTCTTCCATTCCTAAGACATCCTTACTATCATTGTGGTTGGGACTTACTGTCATTTCTTATCTATGGATATTAATTAGTAACGTGAGAACCATATAGTTCAGAAACCAGACTGCTTGGATTCTAGGTTCATTTTGGCATTTATTTGCTATATAACCTGTGACAAGTTACATAACCTCTCTGTACCTCAGTCAGCCCATCAGTAATAATGATACAACCATCGACATACAATTATTGTGAGGAACCCAATGAGTTATGTGCAAGAGGCTTAGAATGGTGCCCAGAACGTAGTAAGACCCATACATGAGTGAGTTAAGATATGGGACACCTTTGCTCCATGAAAGTCTGCTTTGCTGAAATGCTCTCCCCTGTTCGTGTTTTCTGTCTTTTACTGAGAAGGTAACTATCCTTCCACAGCCCAGGGATATCAGTACACACTTGGGGTGAGGTAAGTTCTCCCCAGGGGTGGGGTTTAATGATGCAAAAGACATCTCTAGAATTGAAAGTCAACCCTTCAAAAGATAGAAGAAGGAATGCCTTGGGCTTTCTTGAACGTCGATTTCAAGGCTTCCAGAAGTCTCAGCTGTGCTCATAGATTCTGTGCTTAGCTCAAGCTTGTCCAGCTCCCAGCCCACAGGCTGCATGCAGCCCAGGATGGCTTTGAATGCAGCCCAACACAAATTCTTAAACTTTCTTAAAACATTGTGAGGTCTGTGTGTGTGTGTGTGTTGTTTTTTTGTTTTTGCTCATCAGCTATTGTTAGTGTATTTTATGTGTGGCCCAAGGCAACTCTTCTTCTTCCAAACTGGTTCAGGGAGGTCAAAAGATTGGACACCCCTGGCTTAGCTGGTACCTGCCACAAAAAATAGATGTGGGGCAAGAAGGAGTTGGGGCCTCCAAATCTCAGAGAGCATGCCACATTTTGTAATTCAGGTTACCTAGCTTTGTGCTGATCTATGCTCATATCGCTCTCATTATTTTTAAGTTAGTCATAGTAAGTGGATTTTGTCTTCTATGCAAATTTTACTCTGCAGTAAAAGCTGCTTTATTAGCAGAAGACTGAGAAGCCTGAGGCAGCATCTGGATTCACCAGAAAATGTGGCCATGATTGATGAGCTTCATCTGCCACATATTAAAGATTGGAGAGTGGAGACACGTGGGCCCACAGGCCTTGTACTCCCTTGATCTGTCCATTCCTGTTTCAGTTCTGACTTGACTCAGATGCCTCATCAGAAGCAAAGGAGTAGCCAGACATAAATAACCCACAGGACCCAACAAAACGATAGGGACCTGTCTCCATAAAATAATGGTCTTATCTTACCATGCTTTTCAAATTAATCTTCTCAAAATATTTATGATGTATAAATTCTCAAAATATTTATGATGTATAAAGTCACTAGATATATTGAGTCATTGACGGCTTTTCTCCACCTCAGCTTCCACATGTACCTTGTATTCCATGATCTGCACCATTCAAACAAAAATACATGGGGAGGTCAGGCACGCTGGCTCATGCCTGTAATCCCAGTATGTTGGGAGGCTGATGTTGGTGGATCACCTGAGTCCAGAGTTCAACACCAGCATGGTCAACATGATGAAACCCTGTATCTACTAAAAATACAAAAATTAGCTGGATGTGGTGCCCATACCTATAATCCCAGCTACTTGTGGGGCTGAGACAGGAGAATCGCTTGAATCCGGGAGGCAAAAGTTGCAGCGAGCCGAGATTACACCACTGCACTCCAGCCTGGGCAACAGAGTGAGACTCTTTCTCAAAAAATAAAAATAAAAAAATAAAAAGTACATGGCAAAATTATTACAGGAAGAACTCGGGATATCAAATTCTTAGCTTCTAAGATTTAAGGAGCCACAGTGTAAGACTGAAACAAAAAGATAGAGAGCTCATTAAGAGCACACACTTTGCAGTTAGACTGCCTGACTTCCAATGCTGCCTCCACCCCTCACCTGGCACATAGGCAGGTTACTTAACCTCTCTGTACCTCAATCTTCTCATATGTCGGATGTGTAATAATAAGAGTACTTCCCTCAGAAGGATCATACAAAACATGTAAAACACTTGGAATAGTGCCTAGTACACAGTAAGTATACCATGAATGTTGTCTGCTGTGATGGTGGGAAAGAACACTGCACAAAACAGGGGACCTTGACCCTCAAGTCATGGACTGGCACCAGTCCATGGCCCTTAGGAACCTGGCCGCATAGCAGGAGGTGAGTAGAAGGCAAGCTAGCATTACGGCCTAAGCTCAACCACCTGTCAGATCAATAGCAACACTAGATTTTCACAGGAGTGCAAATCCTATTGTGAACTGCACATGCGAGAGATCTAGGTTGCATGCTCCTTGTCAGAATATAACTAATGCCTGATGATCTGAGCTGGACTAGTTTCATCCCAAAACCATCCCCCAAACTGTCCGTGGAAAAACTGTCTTTCACAAAACCCATCTCTGGTGCCAAAAAGGTTGGGGACCGCTGAGATAAAAGGGTTTTTTTTTGTTTTGTTTTGTTTGTTTGTTTGTTTGTACTGTCATGACTTTGTTAAAAAAAAAAAGACTGAAAAAGAACAAAAGTATTAGAAAGGTTGTAACAGAGTTTGATGCTGGCGGAATCTTTAAGAACAGCTCCATCACCCTGTCTCCCTCCTACCTCTCAAGTGAGCACCACCATCCCACATCTGGAGTTAGCACCAAGAATGTATAAGGGGATCTACAATAGACACAGAAATAGAAAACAGGGGAAAGGTATCAGAGACACTTTTGCTCCCTTCCAGGCACTGTGTTCACTCCCCAAGTGAGCACCCCAGAAACAAAGTGCATCCCCAAAGTGAACTCCTCACTGAGCCAGAGTGGGGAAGGAGTAGGCTGGGAAAGGGCCTGAGAGACCCCCCACTGGTTTCCTGTAGCCCCTGAGAAGTGGAGGGAGCATCCAGTCCTAATCTTGCCCAGGAGTCCAAGAAGGGCACAGTGAGGAGGGAGGAGAGAGCCCTCTGACCTGAACATGCCTCACACTAAAGGCAAAGAAAATAAAGTTGGCCATAATCAGGCTGTTGGCAACTCCACAAAGTTGTTTTGTGTGTGAGTTGTGGGTCTCTGGGAGGTTGGGGGTTTGAATGAGGGTTGGGGGAGTTTGGAGAATTGAGAGATTTAGAGTGTTTGAGGGAGACTGGGGGGAGGTTGGAGTTTGAGGGGCTGTTCTGTTTGCTTTCGTTTGCTGTAGTTCAATGCCTAGTTTGGAAAGCATTGAGTTTAGGCATAAGAGATATCAAGGTGGTAACGCCTGTTGCTGGTGGAACTGTGCTTCTCTATATTTTTCTTCTTGCTGCTCAACAGCTGCTTCATTCAGGCTCGCCCACCCCTTTGTGCACAGCCTTCCTTCTTCATGGGCTAGTTTCTCAAAGGCAAAAACCTTGTTCGTTTCTGGGATCCAGAGACTATGTGTCCATTTGGTCACTCAGAAGGCAGCCAGGCAGAAAGAAATCTCACTGTGAATGGACTGGTCCAGAGCCTCACTTTGTGACTACTCACCTCCCACTGCTCCACTTGGGAGTCAGGACACAGCAGCTACAGAAAAGTAAGCATGGTGCTAACTATGGTGTTCTCACCTCCAGCTGCATGCTCCTGAGCATGTCAGGCCACTGTGCTGACCCCAGTTCCTTTACCTGTGATACGTGAATATTAGTGAACATTAGTGAACATCAGATTACATGAGAGCAAATCTTCTCGAGAGCTCTAATAGTCCGTGATGTACTGGTTCATCCATTCAACTTACCACTCTGCTTTCCTCTTGCTGCTTCCTTTTCTCTTCCCCCTTTGACTCCTGCTCTTCCACGCAGCTGGGACTGGCAGTGATTCATGGCCCATCCCAGACAAAGCATTTTTCCAAACTGGACTTAGGAGAGGAGCTCCTGCTGGCTGCCCATGTCCCCTGTTGTCCATGGTGCCAATCATCACCATCACCATCATCATCATCATCATCATCATCATCAGTAGCAGCACCAGCAGCATTTGCAGAAGTACACTTTTAGAATGAGCCCTGGGCAGAGGAATAGGATTGCATAATTGCTGCGTTTTAATGAAGAAGAGAAGGGGAAGGAAGCAAAGGAGATGTTGGCACTGATGCATAGTTTTAATGAATTGTTGAAGTAAGAATTAGCCAGGCTAATTTCTCATTTGCCACAGAAATATATGCAGGAGCACTGATACTCAAAAAAGATGCATTACTTTGAATGAATCAAATGGTTGGTTAAGTTAGAAGGCTGGTCAATTCAGTTAACAGGTGTGTGTGTGTATGTGTGTGTGAGAGAGAGAGAGAGTGAGAGAATCTAACTCATTTTTCTACAAATAGCTGATTTTTTTCTTCATTGACCAAATAAACAAATAATATACACAACCTTTAAAATTCTGTTCAAATGTTATTGACACCCCTGTTCAACAAGCTACCAGTGATGTCTTCCCCAAGAAAACTCCCATAATATTGTCTAAGTACCTTTCTCCTCATTTATTATTTCACTCTTGGAATAGAGGCATTTATAACATGGTTTAGCTCCCTTATTGCCCTACAAGCTCCTGGAGGTCAGGGTCCATGCCCAGTTCATGTCTGTCCCCTCCACGGAGACATGGCATAATGCCAAGAACATGGTAAACACAGCATGCATGTTTTTGAATGAATGAGTGAGTGGATGGGAAGCACAATGTGTATTCCTTTAGAAAATTGTTGAGTGCCTATTTAACTATTCATTTGTTCAACTAGTAGATACTGAAAACTTATCATGCACCAGCTATTGCTCCAGGGACTAGTAATACAAGAAATAAATAAAAGAGAGAAGACTCCTGCCCAATAGGACTTACATTCTGGTCAACTGTAATTTTTCTTTAATGTCAAAATCTCAAAATGAAAAGTCAGTATGTTGCTTAGAAGACAGAGCATATAACATGTGGCATCAGTTTATGACTCCAGCAAATGCAACAGCTGTCTTCGACCTTCTTAAGAAAAGCAAAGCTTGTCCAAACTGGTTTCATAGCCTGTCAGTTTTGTGAATGAGCCACTCACTTCCAATTCCATTCAACTAACAATGTTCACCATCAACTAGGTGCAGATTCTTAAGCTTGGATGGCAATGAAGGTGGCTACTAAAGAGCAATTCTGTGGCAGGCAATTTCCATGCAGTCCTTTATTTCATCCTCATGCCAGCCATGAGCAAAGCAGGAGACTGAGTCTCAGATAAATTGCATAACTTGGCCAGGCACAGTGGCTCAAGCCTGTAATCTGAGCACTTTGGGAGGCCGAAGTAGGCAGATCACCAGACCTCAGGAGTTAGAGACCAGCCTGGCCAACATGGTGAAACGCTATCTCTACTAAAACTACAAAAATTAGCCAGGTTTGGTGGCATGCACCTACAATCCCAGCTACTCAGGGAGGCTGAAGCAGGAGAATCGCTTGAACTCAGGAGGCGGAGGTTGCTGTGAGCCAAAGTCATGTCACTGCACTCCAGCCTGGGTGACAGAGCGAGATTCTGTCTCACAAAAGAATAAAATAAAATAAAATAAAATAAAATAAAATAAAATAAAATAAAATAAAATAAAATAAATTACATAACTTGTCTATGGGTACAAATTATAGATGAACAAGTCAGAATTCAGATGTCCTGGTTCAAAAATGGTTTAACTATAAACATTAGAAAAGAAAACACCTGGTATTACTGTGGTGGTTAATAGGAATGTGGACAATTTCATCTTTAAATTTTAAAAAAGCCAAATTATCTTTAAGGAGCATATCTTAATTTAAAATTTTTAAAATATGAACATTAAAGAGAAGTTTTAGTTATAATGCAGTGATGCTTCTGATGATGCTCACACCTAGAAAGCAATGTCTAAGGAAAGTCTTGGAAATGTTATAACAGCACCATTGATTGTGTGAGTTAGTACCTATCCATGGGACACTAGTCCTCTGGATGTTAAACAAACATTAGTCCGTTTCTTTAAAGTCATACCTTGAAGACTTTTCCCCAGGTCTACCAAGAACAAGGAAATGGTGGGCCACTGGCTCAGGGTGACAGAATAGATGCAGAAATATGGTTTAGGTAGAGAAGAAGGAAAAATGAGGATTGTACCTAATTGCTGGTGCAATACTCCAGAGGAAACACGTGGTGCCTTAGAAAGAGTACGAGTCGTGGCATCATAAACTAAATGGTCCTGGTGCTCAATTTCCTCACCTGTATAATAAGAACGGAAATATCCTATTTTTTATGATCCTTTAAAAAGTGACTAAACTGTCTGGCACATTCTGGATACTCTTTATGTATTTTCCTCCAAGCCAGTGTTGTCAGCTCTTTGGGGAAGAACAGGGATATGCACGTCCCACTCCTCACATCTTCCTGATCCTTTTGTAGAAATTCCTATTTTCCACAACCTCTGTGGGAAAAAGAAATGCTTCCCAGGAGAAAATGACCCAGCACTGCACTCACAACATCAGAAGTACTTGTTTCTTAAAACAAAAGGGGGGTGGGGGCAGCACTTTCTCTTCCAAAGAAAAAACACAATTGCCCTTGGTGTGACACATCCAGCATGCCAGACCTTGCAAAGTGGCTTTTGTGAACAATTTCTGGAAAAAATGAAGTCACTCACTCCTTTGACCCTGAAAGATGAAACTTAACTGTGTTTTACAGGTTCAAAAGATTCCCATTTCTACTCTGACATTTTGCCTATCTCTTTAGAAAATGTAAGTGTCTATGAAGAGTTTCAAGTAACAACTCTCACTCAACCACCCTGTGAATTGACATGATGCTTTGTAAAAGAGTAAGCCACGTCTGTCCCATGTTGAAGAAGCCAGGACCCCAGCTCTGGTAGCTCACCTGAGAGCAGCGGGACCATCAGAGGGTCAATTTCCTTCATCAGCAAGAGAACTTTCTCCAAAGACCCAACTTCTTGTCCCTGCCAGGATAATGCCTGGGAGATGCCCTCATCCTTGGCCATCCTTTGTCCCAAATATACACTTTTCCTTGCCCTTTATCTAATTAGAAGATTCCCACTCCCCAACTTACCCACATATTCTATATTCAAGACACAGTGGACATTCTCCCAAAAAAGGTGAACTCCTCCCTCCTCCACCACCACAGTTTGCACCTACCATCTTTCTACAGATAATGCATTCTTTCTCTTCCTAGTAAACACCAACTTCTTTTTCAAGATCCACCTCATCCATCCATCACCTCTTATGTCAAACCTTTCTCCAAACTCTCAGGTCAAATTAACTCTTCCTACCCTGGGCCCTCACAACTATTTGTTCCCTTATTTGAATTTTCATCCTCACTTTACACTATTCAATTTATAGAAAAGAAGGGCAGTTGAAAGAATGCCCTTCAGCTAACATATCTAAAAAAGCTGGAGGTAGTCTATCAAGAGCCATGAACTTCAATGATTTGGTCTCTCTTTCCATCACTGCTTGGATGAGTGGGAAGCAGAAACCTCAGTAAGTGCTTCCTCTGAACACTCAAATTTTCCCTTGTTGTATGAATTCTCCCAACGCTGAGGCTGGAGGAACTAGTAAGCTCATTTTGGCTCTTAAACTAGGCAATATCCTCCAACCTGATGTTCATCATGAATAAAGGGGTGTTTTGTTTCTCCATCTGCTGCCTGTTTTGTCTCATTTCTCAATTGGTTAAGAATTCAAGTGGGGAATGAGGAATGCTATATTTTGGAGTGCCTGAAGGAAATCTGACAATTGCATAGAGCTATTGGGGGTACCTGGTGTGTGAATTGCCTTAGCAGAGGTTTCTGCTTTGTTTCTCGATCTAGCATTTACTCCATTCTGCTTTATCTGCCTGTTACAGGGAACAAAGAAGAAAGGGTGACTAGGAGTAAAAATGATGAACCAGTTTGGAACAGGATGTGCCTGCATAAGCAGATCTAGAGCTTGTGGGATAGGTTGGTGCTGTGGACATAGGAGACATTGAGACATTGGTGCACGGGTGATAGTGAAAGCCATGAGGAGGAAATGGCATTCCCCACACAAAAGATATCCCAGACCTTTCCTCCAGTTCTGAGAGCCTCAAGGTTTCAACCTGGCTTCCTGGGGTGGCTGCCGTTTTTCCGTGACTTTTCATAATACTGACCTTGCTTCAGAATCCTATAGGTGATGAGCCTGCTGCTCTGTACTGTCACGGAAGACACATTTTCCCCATGCTCCTTCCTCATCTCTTTCTGTGATAAACCCCAATGAGATTCAAGGCCACATCCAGGACATTTCTGCAAACCTCCTGCAAGTCACTGATTAATTTTCAAGGCTCTTGCCAGCCTGTGCATACAAGAGCCATCTCCCCATGCCACTCCCTCCTCCCAATCAGAGACATACCCAAAAGCTTATGTTCCTACAACAGTACCAGTGGTATAATTGTATTTTTCAAAGTTACGTAAGCCTCAGTCAGTAATAGTAGGCTGGCATATGGACAATGGTTTAGGAAGAAGAAATTATGGGAAAGGAAGTCAGAGAACTTTGGTAGAGATATAGAGAAAATAAACTGAAAGGATGAAATTGGTGGGGAATAACACAGGTTTAAAACTCAAGTCAACCAAAATTGAATGTCTTCTTTGTGACCTCAGAATGTTCCTGACACTACTCCAACCCAGAAAACATTACCGTAAAATGGGGATGGGGAAAAAGGCAACCTCTGCCTCCTGGGTTCAAGCAATTCTCCTGCCTCAGACCCCCTAGTAGCTGGAATTAGAGGTGACCACCATCACATCCAGCTAACTTTTGTATTTTAGTAGAGATGAAGTTTCACCATGTTGGCCAGGCTAGTCTCAAACTCCTCACCTCAAGTGATCTGCCTGTCTCAGCCTCCCAAAGTGCTGGGATTACAGGAGTGAGTCAGGTAGTTCTTCATAGCAGTGTGAGAATGGACTAATACAGAAAATTATTATCAGAGAAGTGGGACATTGCTATGAAAATATCTGAAAATCTGGAAGTGACTTTGGATCTGGGTAATAGGCAGAAGTTGGAACAGTTTGGAAGGAACAGAAAAAGACCAGAAGATGAGGAAAAGTTTGGAACTTCCTAGAATTGTTGAATGGTTGTAACCAAAATACTGACAGTAATATGGACAATGAAGTCTAGTTTGCGGTGGTCTCAGATGGAGATTAGAAACTTATTGGGAATTGGAGTAAAGGTTACTCTTTCTATGCTTTAACAAAGAGACTGGTGGCATTGTGCCCCTGCCTTAGAGATCTCTGGAACTTTTAACTTGAGAGAGATGATTTAGGGTATCTGGCAGAAGAAATTTCTAAGCAGCAAAGTGTTCAAGATCTGGCCTGGCTGCTTCTAAAAGCCTGCACTCATTTTATAAACAAAGAAATGACCTGTAACTAGAATTTATATTTAAAAGGGAAGCAGAGCATAAAAGTTTAGAAAATTTGCAGCCCAACCATGAAATAGAAAAGAAGAAAACATTTCTGGGGAGGAATTCAAGGTAGCAGAGAAATTTGCATAAGCAGAGAAATTTGCATAAGTAGAGAAGAGCTGAATGTTAATAGCCTAGACAATGGGGAAAATGCCTCCAGGGCATTTCAGAGACCTTTATGGCAGCACCTCCCATCACAGGCCCTGAGGCCTAGGAGCAAAAAAATGGCTTCATGAGCCAGACCCAGGGCCCTGCTGCTCTGTGCAGCCTCAGGACATGGCACGCTGCTCCCCAGCCACTCCAGCTCCAGCCATGGTCAAAAGAAGCCAACATACAGCTCAGGCCATTGCTTCAGAGGGCACAGGTTCCAAACTTTGGCAGCTTCCATGTGGTGTTGGGCCTGTGGGTGCACAGAAATCAAGAGTTGAGTTTCGGAGTCCTCTGCCTAGATATTAGATGATGTATGGAAATGCCTGGATGTTCAGGCAGAGGTCTGCTCCAGGGGTGAAGCCCTCATGGAAAACCTCTTCTAGGTCAGTTGAAGGGGAAATGTCAGGTTGGAGCTCTCACACAGAGTCCCCATTGGGGCACTTCCTAGTGGTGCTGTGAGAAGAGAGCCACCGTCCTCCAGACCCCAGAATGGTAGATCCACTGACAGCTTGCACCATACACCTGGAAAAGCTGCAGGCACTCAAAACCAGTTCATGAAAGCAGCCTAGGGGGCTGTACCCTGCAGAGCCACAGGGCTGGGGTGCCCCAAGGCTTTGGTAACCCACCCCTTCCATCAGTGTGGCCTGGATGTGAGACAGGGAGTCAAAGGAGATTATTTTGGAGCTATAAGATTTAATGACGACCCTGCTGGGTTTCAGACTTGCATGGGGCCTGTAGCCCCTGGTTTGGGCCAATTTCTCCCTTTTGGAATGGGAGTATTTACCCAGTGCCTGTACCCCCATTGTATCTTGGAAGTCACTAACTTGCTTTTGATTTTACAGGCTCATAGGAGGAAGGGACACACCTTGTTTCAGATGAGACTTTGGACTTCGACTTTTGAGTTAATGCTGAAATGAGCAAAGACTTGGGGAACTTTTGGAAAAGCACGATTGTGTTTTGAAATGTGAGAAGGACATGAGATTTTGGAGGGGCCAGCGTTGGAATGATACAGTTTGGCTCTGTGTCCCCACCCAAATCTCAGGTTGAACTGTAATCCTCAGTGTTGGGAGAGGGACATGGTGGGAGGTGATTAGATCATGAGGGTGAATATCCCCCTTGCTCTCCTCATGATTATGAGTTCTCCTGAGATCTGGTTGTTTGAAAATGTGTAGAATTTCCCCCTTTTCACTCTCTCCTGTTCCACCATGGTAAGATGTGCTTGCTTCCCTTTCACCTTTCTGCCATGATTGTAAGTTTCCTGAGACCTCCTACACAAGCTTCCTATATAGCCTGTGGAACTGTGAATCAATTAAACTTCTTTTCTTCATAAATTATGCAGTCTCAGGTAGTTCTTTATAGCAGTGTGTAATGTGTATAGACTAATAAAGGATGTAAGAAGGGGACCTCCTTTACTTCCAGTCTCCTGGGGTAAGCTGATCTGCTCAAGTCTTCCTTTGGATGGACAGTAAAGGCCTGAAATTTCCTGTACTGCTGAGTTTATAAAGTAGTTCAGCATTACTGCATGTAGCAGGCTGGGAGTTTCCTGAATTAGAAGACCCACCTCTCTGCATAGGCAGGCTCCAAGGTATGGATGTGGAGAAAAAGTAGATACCCTACTTTGGCCTCAAGACCACATTCTCCAGCACGGTTTACTATGAAGCCAGTAGTATGAGGCTGAATAACATTTTCTTATCTTCTTATTATTGTTTTCCTTTGATCCTGATTCAGCCACCATGGATTTCTACTTGATTAGGTTAAAATAGTGGTTCTCAAACTTGAGCATGCATCAAGATCATCATCTGGAGGGCTTATCAAAACACTGATTGCTTAGCCCCACTCTGACAGTTTCTGAATTAGGATGTTGCAGGTGGGAGTCTGAGAATGTATATTTCTAACAAGTCCCTAGGTGAGGCTGATGCTGCTGGTCCAGAGAACACATTTTGAGAACCATTGGATTAAACACAGAAAAGGGAAAAAGGAATGGCAATAACTTTCATTAAGAGTCACCATACTTATAATTTTTTGTTGAATGGTATATTCCTCCTACGTTCCAGGAGGGCAGTGATCTTGTCTATATTACTCACAATTTTGTCCCCAGTGCCAAGAGCAAAGTAGGAGCTCAATGATTATGTACTAATGAGCTAGAACACCTGTCCTTACTAATAAGACAATCTTTTACACAGAATACTGACCCTGCCACATGGCAGTGAGGTGTTATTACATGGTATTTTACTGTGAGGTGCAGAGGCTACAGGTTGTAAAACTTAGAGTGCCCTCTCCTCAGAGTCGCAACCTGTTCTCATGGGCACTATTGTCCCAGTGTGTTTATTTTCATTAAGACCTGCCCTGGGTGAAAACTGGGAGAGGGGCAGAGGGACAGAAAATGTTTACTTGCTTAACCAGTCAGGGAGGAGGATCTGAGCAGTCCTTTCTTCTTCCAGCCCTAGGTGGGAAAACAGTGCTCTGTGGTAATTGCTATTAAAGCCCGAGGCAATGATGTGCCTTGTAAATTATCTACAAGGTTGCTAACAACTAGGAATGCCCTGATTGCTCATTGGCTTGTTCAGAATACATTGGAATGCAGCTCAAGCTCTGATGAAGGAGTGATCTCAGAAATAAATCAAATTTGGTGCAGGAAGCCACATCTATATTTCATATGCCTGCCTCTGCAGGGATGCCTCAGTAATTGGTTTAAAAATATCTCTGACATCTGTTGATTCTTCTGCTTTTAAGGTTGAATCTTTGTCTTTTTTGCAAAGGACTACGATGCAAAAGCAAGAAAGGGAAAGAAGATGTTCCTGCAGCTATGTGACAAAGGCCTTCATCCCTGCCAGCACTCACAGCTCAAACAAATTTGCTGGTCAGTCTAGCCTCATACAATCATCTCTCCCTCAGACCCTTGTGAAAAGGAAACAGTCTATGAATAAGTACATGGCATGCCTACACACGCACATTTGCTGGGTACACATGTCAATCATTTCACAGCATTGAAATGTGAGTGTTTGGTAACTCCGAATTTTGACATAAGTATCCCAGAAGTGATGGCTCCCATAAAACACACAAACAAAGCCACATCTGTATTTAGCATTTTCAGCTGGGAAAGTCTTCCTGGAACACATACTATTGCAGCCTTGGCTCAGTAAAGTCAGTTGTAAAAAGAAGATAGTAACAGAATCTACCCTACAAATATTGTTATGAGAATTAAGGGAGAAACATATAAAATATATAGATGTATAAATAAAGACTCTATAAATATGACCTGTTATTGTTGTTATTCATATCACTGCCCATGTGATAAAAGGACATACAAGGCCCACAGTATCAGTGAGATATATCAGGGAAGTAAGTTTGGGTACCTAAGGTGCAGCTCCTTCCTGACACACACTTCATGCTGCAGCTTCTCTTTGTATTTTATTACTTCTGCCTGGAATGCCTTCTTCCCTTTCCAGGATTCACCTATGTTCTCTTTGTTCAAAATAAAATGTAGGGGTCACCATCTCATTAACCTCCCATCACCCCATCCCTATCCAGAGCGGATGCTCTGCTTTGAGCCCCATCAAAGTCCCAGAACACCATCAGAGCATTTCCACACTGGATGATCTTTGTCTGTTTGCTGGTTTGTCTCTTCCTCTAGACTGTGAGCATCCTCAAGTATAAACCTAGTATTATTGCCTATCTAATTTTGAACAAAGTAGACATCCAAGCAAGATGTGACTAGTGAGTAAACAGGAATTAGCAGGATCAGCCACTTGTCTCTTTTGCTAATTTCTCAAAAAAGGATTTAAAGGAAAATTAAATGCCATACAGGTAGAATTCACATTGACAAAGGGGGATTGCATTTTGGTGTAAATATGGGTGAGAATTGTGGATAGGTTGATAAGTATACAGGGCTTTGAGGTCAGCTCTGGATTCTATATCTGGCTGTGTCACTTGGGCTGCATGACCTTGGTCATGTTACTTAACTTCTCTAGGCCTGTTTTCTCATCAAAATGAGTGCATAACTCTCAGAGTGAGTAAAAATAAATAAAATTGGTGCTATGGGCTGAATTATTTGCCTCAAAATTTCATATATTGAAGTTCTAACCCGTGATGTAACTGTATTTGAAGATAGAGCTTTTGGGGGTAAAATGAGGTCATAGGGTGGGCATCTGTATTAGTCAGTTTTCATGCTGCTGATAAAGACATACCCAAGACTGGGCAATTTACAAAAGAAAGAGGTTTAATTGGACTTAAAGTTCCACATGGCTGGGGAAGCCTCACAATCATGGTAGAAGGCAAGGAGGAGCAAGTCACATTTTACATGGATGGCAGCAGGCAAATAGAGAGAGCTTGTGCAGAGAAACTCCTGTTTTTAAAACTATCAAATCTCAGGAGACCCATTCACTATCACAAGAACAGCACAGGAAAGTCCTGCCCCAATGATTCAGTCATCTCCCACTGGGTCCCTCCCACAACATGTGGGAATTATAAGAGCCACAAGATGAGATTTGGATGGGGACACAGAGTCCTAATCCAATATGACTGGTGGCCTTACAAGAAGAGGAAAGAAGAGCAGAGCTCTCTCTCTCCAGCTACACTTACCTGTGAATGGCCATAGCAAGAAGATTGCCATGTACAAGCCAGGAAGAAAGGCCTCACCAGAAACCAAACTGGTCTGAAATTTGGACTTCTAGCCTCTAGAACTGTAAGAAAATAAATTTCTGTTGTTTAAACCACCCTCCTTGTAGTATTTTGTTATGGCGGCCAAAGCTGACTAATATAATTGGCATATGTAAAGGGATTCACACATAATCAATACCATATTGAACAAAGTAACCTCCAACAAATGTTGGTCTTTCATATCATTTTAAATTGTGTTTGACTTGTTGATGCAACTATGTAACTCCAATGTTTATAACAGAGTGTAGTTGGAAACTAGTGTAAAATATAAAATATTACTTACTTGGCCCAGTATAGAAATTGATCTACTTTTTTGAGCAAGGTCAACATGTACAGTCAATGTATGATATTCACATCAGTGCATAAAACTACATAAAAAGAAACTGATCAATCACTTAAGATATAACTTCTCCCACTGATAACAAATGCTTCCTTCACTAACATTTGCAAGCATGGTAGTTGAGCAATGTAACTGACTAACGGTTTGCTTTCCTTTCTCTTTCCCTACCATTGGCCACCATCTAACAGGCTGGCCTGGGCAGCCAGAGTGCAAGTCCTCAAACTTGTCTTCATAGTGAATTTTCTGGAGGAACTTTAAAATACCATGGCTTTGGGAGGCTGAGGCAGGTGGATCACTTGAGGTCAGGAGTTTGAGACTAGCCTGGCCAAACTGGTGGTCTCTGTCTCTACTAAAATTAGCCAGGTGTGGTGGCATGTGCCTGTAGCCCCAGCTACTCCAGAGGCTGAGGTTTCACTGGTGGCGAAACCCTGTCTCTACTAAAAATAAAAAAATTAGCCAGGTGTGATGGCACATGGCTGTAGTCCCAGCTACTCAGGAGGTGAGGCAGGAGAATTGATTGAACCCGGGAGATGGAGGTTGCAGTGAGCAGAGCTCATGCCACTGCACTCCGGCCTGTCCAACAGCGTGAGACTCCATCTCAAAAACAAACAAACAAACAACCATGGCCTGGATGTCACCCCCCAGAAATGCTAATTTAATTGGTTAGTGGTAGATCTGAACATTGGGAGGTTCTAAGACCCTCCCCAGGTGATACAAATATGCAGCCACATTTGGGAACCACTGAGCAGGGGGTTGGCAAGGTCAATAGTCTATATTCTCTGTTAATTGACCAGTCTGTTGCCTGGCCAATGTCAACCATTGGAAAATTGGGGCTTTTTTTCTTGGTCTAAAGAAAGATCTGAATATTCTCAGTGAGAAGCACTCAATGTGCCATCTTTGTAAGCTTAAGTTACTCAAGTTCTCTGAGTTGTGCCTTCTTTATCTGTAAATTGAGGTTAGCAGTACTCATGTCCTCAAGTTGTTGTCACTAACAGCAATAGAGTAACTAAAGAGTCAGGCTCAATATTTGTTTCAGCCACAAGTCTGAGTTCTCTATGCATTTTATCTCATTTGATCTTCACTACAACCCTAAGGAGTAGGCATCATTGTTATCCCCATTTTGCAGGTAAGGAAGATAAATTGCAGCTAGAGCAGGAATCACAGTCTAAGTATTTCACAGCAAGTATGTGATAGAGATGGCACTGGGACACAAGATGGCCTGGCGCCCAAATCTCCATTCTTAACCCTTATTCTCCACTGCCCTGGGTCATTAGGAAAGCCTCAGGAGATGACATCCCTTAAGTTCTGAGCACAGGGCCAGGAACACAGGAGAACGTGAATACTTACGGTTCCCTTTCCACTCCTTAGAGCTTATTAAGGCAAGGCAACACCAAGTCATACCCTTGGTCCGTGCTTAATGTCCAAGCCATACTCCAGAAAGCATTAGACCCTAACAAAAACAGGTACAGGACCATCAGCAAGAGAACAACACAGAAGAGGTGACTAACCCAGTATGGGATTAGTACCACCTTAACCAAGAGCTCTCTTGAGTAGGCATCAACACCAGGCCCCAGTCCTTGGCAGCTGTGGCCAGGGACAGCCTGGTACATCCACACCTGCCAGTACCTCAATGGTTACAAGGAAGGGCACAAGGGACCCAGACACATCCACGTGTTCTCAAGTCACTTTACTTTCTCATGCAGAGACAGAGGATGCACTGTGAAGCAACAGGGAAAAAGCTTTGACTATACAGGTGGCTAAAAGAAAACAGAAAATTGTGTTCATGTTATAAGAACATTGCTATAGGAACAAATACTGCATGCATATGGATTAGAACAGGCAGGGAACAGGGATAAAAGGAAGCTGACTTACTAGGGTGGCAGATTGTCAGAGAAGGTTTTCATTTTTGTTAATGTGCCCCTAACGTTGTTTGTATAATAAATAATAAAATAATCATGATTTCTAGTTATAAAAGAGTCATCAAGAGAACACTGAGATAGCAGAATCTCTTGTCACAGACTGCAATTGTATCAGAAACCAGAAAGAGAATGGAAAGTGGTAGAAAGAGGCAGCTGCCCAAACTCAAAAACACAGATTAGTTTTATTCTCCCATCCCTTTTGCTCCAGCCCTCCTTTTACAGAAGCTTAGAAAGCACATATGTCATAACTGCATTTTTCACAAATATACATCTATGCGTACACATACATGCATATATAAATACATATGTAACCATAGATATATATGTATAGATAGATGCATGCATATGTATAAATATGTGTATATAGATATAGATGCACACATATGTGTTTATAAAACTAAGAGAATGCTATATACACTGTTTTATAATCTTTTTCACTTAATACTATGCCATGATTATTTCCAGATGAAATCAAATATTCAGATGCTAAGGCATTTTTTAATGGAAACATAACATTCTGTGTACTGCAACTATTTCATAAATCTCCTGTTTTGGAACCTGGAGGAAGTCATAACTTTTCACTATCATAAGTAATACTGAAATGGATAACTCATTTGTCCCCTTGAAAGAAGTGCTTAGATATAAGATTTCTGGGTTAAACCATATGGCTTTGATATATATCACAAAATTTATCTCCCCAAATATATGAATTTGTATACCCACTAGCAGTATATGGCAGTATTTTTAACTCATCACACACACTGAGTATTCACTTTTTTTTTTTTTTTATGTCTTAGGTTAAAATTTTCTTTGATTTTTTTTTTTTTTTTTAGATGGAGTCTTACTCCGTCACCCAGGCTGGAGTGTGGTGGTGTGATCTCAGCTCACAGCAACCTGACCTCAGGTGATTCACCCGCCTCTGTCTCCCAAAGTGCTGGGATTACAGGCGTGAGCCACTGCGCCCGGCGTCTTTGAATTTTTTAAACTGAAGTTTAATTGCCTTTGAGTTTGATCATTCACTATTTGTCATTTGTATTTCTTTTGTTAATTATCTGCTCAAGCTCTAATTTCATAATGGAAATTTAATGGATTAACATATAACACCCACTATCACCTGCCTGAGTTTGGAATCAATTGCATTGAACAAGAGTCAAGTATTCTGGGGTCAAAATGTGAGCTTCATTAGTGACAAAGCTGTTTAGAGCACATGGCTTAGCTATGTAGGCAGGTGGGCTTGCTAAAACTTTGCCTATACAGGAGACAGATATTTATTCACCGAGTTCCTTCATAGCTGGGCCATTGCTGGCCACCCTGGACAGGGGCAGGGCCTTTAGACTAAGATAACTGCCTGGCCCCAGAGAACAGGAGAATGCACCCTCACTGGTGTTGAGCATAACTCAAGGAAGAAACCCTAAGGAGCTGAGCCAAGCTCATTATTAAATATCACACACCTTTTCTCATGGACAACCATAAGTAAAGAATGGAAACAGTGGCCAGGAGTGTTTCCCTGGGAAAGTAGCTCCCCAAGAAAACATGAGTGTTGAGAAAAACATGGTTTCCCAGTGATTAAAATAGTGGATTGGCACTCCACTTCCTTTGGAGTGTCTTCCTGGGGTGCAGGATGTAGATATCTAAATACTACATGGTACAAACAATTGTACAGCTGGGGCCCTGGATATGATTTGGGTTAGATGCACTTGTCTGCAATGTGGAAGGTGGCAATGGAGTGGAGCCCATTTCTGCTGCTGCTTCTCTTTCTGTGGGCACCATTCTGGGCAGGTCTGATTTTTTTTTCCAGTTGCTTCTTGACCATACATGGGTGGCATAGGCCTCAAGCCCGTATCCGTACGGACAGTTTCCTGATTTAATAGATGCCTTCCTTGTCTTTCTGGCTTCCTATTTATGGAAGAGCAAGTGCAGACCCTGCAGGTGGAGCACCAGCTTCTCAATTCATCAGGAGGTTTTCAGGTCAAAAATGAGGCAGTGGCTCCTGGGTGACCAAGTTCTCTGAGGTAGTCCTGAGAGTTCAACCAAGAGGCAGCTTCCTCAGCCTCTCTATTGATCCCAAAAGCCATTTAGTAAATAGCATTTGATTCATATCTGCTTAGAGAACCTAGACTGAATTCTGATATCTGCAAAACTGAGCCCTAATTTTTGAACTCTCAACATTAGTTATTATCAATAATGATTTAAAATAAGCATAATAATATCAGGACCACTACAAAATTTTCACTATGTGCTAAATATAATGCAATATATATTATTTCGTGCAATTCTCAGAAGAATCCTATGAGATTAATAACTCTTGTTATTCCTATTAGTAAGACGTAGATTATGTCAGATGCTCAGGGTCTGCTAGGTAGTGAAGAGCAAAACCAGACCTAGATTTCAGATCTGTCCGCACCTGCAGTCTGGGTCTTGATCCACTGCTAGGTGTTTGGCTCTTTCTAGTGACACACAAACATGTCCAGATTTCTTTTAAAAAAGATTTTGCTTGTTTGCAAATATCTGGAAAGGCCTTTCCCCCCATCAAATGCATGCTGTTGTTCAAGGCAAATCTCTATCATTCTACACCAGCCAGGCCTCAGCACAAACAGACAACAGTCCCCTGAGTCCCTCACCAAATATTCTGGAAAGGAAGAAAAGAGGAAACGAAATACAGAGTGATGGAAGAAAGGGTGGAAAGAATTTAGTAGAACTGTTGTGTTAGAAATTCTGTTACCAGTTTAGCACCATTTCTACTCCTTTTTATTCTCTATTTCACAAGGGGCTGGAAGCCTGGGAGCTACATTTCCCAGAATTCTTTGTCACCAGAGTTATGCTATAGATTTTGCCAGTAGATGCTGGAAAAGGTGAGAGACAGGAGCCATATTATTGTTTCTCTTTGTCAGTCAAATATATGCACAGATGTTAGCACATGAGAGATTTTACAGAAATCTCCTTTCTCCTACAGATCACTTGCTTTATTGCTGCAAGCAGATATAATCATTGGTGACAGTTTCCTACAGTTTCAAATTATTTGATAGCTGTGATTAAAACTGAGTGTCAGCAGCTTTTCCTGACCTTTGCTCCTCCAGTACTTTCAGTCACTTTATATGTGACTAATTCTCTGTTTTAAGCTACTTTACATGTGAAATACCTGGAGACATCTCTGTTTTCATGAAGGATGGATCAGTGTTATCTTCCCAGGTTTATCACCAGACTTACCACTGCAATGGGGATCAGGGCTTCAACATATGAATTTGAGAGATGACACAAACATTCGGTCCATGACCCTTGCTTTCTGTGTTCCTAGCTCTGCCCTGGAGCTGGGCATTTCCTCCCTCTGGGCCTCAGTTTCCTCACATATTAGATGAGGGGGTGGACTTAGCTGAATCTGAAGTCCTTTCCAGCTCTCACATGCTTTGAGCCTATAAAACACCATTCACACTAGAAAAGTGTCTTCATGCCTCTCTCTCTCTCTGTCTCTCTCTCCTAACATCCCAAGGCCAAAGGGGTTTCATTTATCTGGCAATAGCAGGTTCCACACTGAGGAACAATTTTTACTGGTGAAATTGTATCGAGAACCGTGAAAAAGAAGTGAACATCACATACACTCAAAGGTGCCAGTTCATCCCGATTCCATTTCCCCCAGAAATTGACCTAATGTCCAAAACCATTTCAGTTAATGGCTACATGTCTATTGCTTGCTCTCCAGCGAAAGCAAATAACGATCCCTGGATTTGTTCTTAACTGAGTCCTGAAAGGTCTGAACAGGCCCAGGCAAAACATCGGAGTAACTGTGGAAAACTGCATTGCTAATAACTTACTTTCATTGCAGGAAGAATGCAGCATGAGAGAGGAAACAGAGCCCTGTGGCTTTCCTGGACTAGATTCAAGTCCTGCTATCGTAGTCACCTCAGGCTGCCATAAAAAAATATCAAAGACTGGGAGCCTTAAACAGCAGATACTTATTTCTCACAGTGTTGGAGTCTTCAAAGTTCAAGATCAAGGTATAGGCAGCTTTGGTTCCTGGTGAGGGTCCACTTCCTGGCTTACAGATGGTTGCCTTCTTGCTGTGTCCTCGATACGGTGGAAAGAGAGGGAGCCCAGGTCTCTTGTCCTCTTCCTGTAAGAATACCAAGCCCATCGTGAGGCCCCCACAATCACGACCTCATCTAAATCTAGTTACCTCCCAAAGGCCTCGCCTCTAAATACCACTGCTTTGGGGATTAGAGCTTCATGTGAATTTGGGAGGTGATGCAAACAATGGGTCCATGGCACTTGCTTCTCTCCTCCTAACTGTGCCTCAGTTTACATGTCACTTCTTCAAGGAGTCTTTCTAGAACATCTCCTTCATTCTAATCTCAAAACCCTTGTATTTTCCTTATGTTATTTCTTACAACATAACTGTTTCCTGGGTGATAGTATTTATGTAGCTCCCTCAACAGGACGTAAGCTCCATGAAGGCAAGAGCATGTACATCTCATGAAGATTGTCACCCAGAACCCGATACAATGGGGCACAGTGGTGTTTATTAAATCTAAGATAAAGAGTTAATAGCCCAGCGTGACCGACGCAGAAGACGGGTGATTTCTGCATTTCCATCTGAGGTACCGGGTTCATCTCACTAGGGAGTGCCAGACAGTGGGCGCAGGCCAGTGGGTGTGCACACGGTGAGCGAGCCGAAGCAGGGCGAGGCATTGCCTCACCTGGGAAGCACAAGGGGTCAGGGAGTTCCCTTTCCGAGTCAAAGAAAGGGGTGACGGACGCACCTGGAAAATCGGGTCACTCCCACCCGAGTATTGCGCTTTTCAGACCACCTTAAAAAACGGCGCACCACGAGACTATATCCCACACCTGGCTCGGAGGGTCCTACGCCCACGGAATCTCGCTGATTGCTAGCACAGCAGTCTGAGATCAAACTGCAAGGCGGCAGCGAGGCTGGGGGAGGGGCGCCCGCCATTGCCCAGGCTTGCTTATGTAAACAAAGCAGCCAGGAAGCTCGAACTGGGTGGAGCCCACCACAGCTCAAGGAGGCCTGCCTGCCTCTGTAGCCTCCACCTCTGGGGGCAGGGCACAGACAAACAAAAAGACAGCAGTAACCTCTGCAGACTTAAATGTCCCTGTCTGACAGCTTTGAAGGGAGTAGTGGTTCTCCCAGCATGCAGCTGGAGATCTGAGAACGGGCAGACTGCCTCCTCAAGTGGGTCCCTGATCCCTGACCCCCGAGCAGCCTAACTGGGAGGCACCCCCCAGCAGGGGTACACTGACACCTCACACGGCAGGGTATTCCAACAGACCAGCAGCTGAGGGTCCTGTCTGTTAGAAGGAAAACTAACAAACAGAAAGGACATCCTCACCAAAAACCCATCTGTACATCACCATCATCAAAGACCAAAAGTAGATAAAACCACAAAGATGGGGAAAAAACAGAACAGAAAAACTGGAAGCTCTAAAAATCAGAGCGCCTCTCCTCCTCCAAAGGAATGCAGCTCCTCACCAGCAACAGAACAAAGCTGGATGGAGAATGACTTTGACGAGCTGAGAGAAGAAGGCTTCAGACAATCAAATTACTCTGAGCTATGGGAGGACATTCAAACCAAAGGCAAAGAAGTTGAAAACTTTGAAAAAAATTTAGAAGAATGTATAACTAGAATAACCAATACAGAGAAGTGCTTAAAGGAGCTGATGGAGCTGAAAACCAAGGCTCGAGAACTACGTGAAGAATGCAGAAGCCTCAGGAGCCGATGTGATCAGCTGGAAGAAAGGGTATCAGCAATGGAAGATGAAATGAATGAAATGAAGCGAGAAGGGAAGTTTAGAGAAAAAAGAATAAGAAGAAATGAGCAAAGCCTCCAAGAAATATGGGACTATGTGAAAAGACCAAATCTACGTCTGATTGGTGTACCTGAAAGTGATGGGGAGAATGGAACCAAGTTGGAAAACACTCTGCAGGATATTATCCAGGAGAACTTCCCCAATCTAGCAAGGCAGGCCAACGTTCAGATTCAGGAAATACAGAGAACGCCACAAAGATACTCCTCGAGAAGAGCAACTCCAAGACACATAATTGTCAGATTCACCAAAGTTGAAATGAAGGAAAAAATGTTAAGGGCAGCCAGAGAGAAAGGTCGGGTTACCCTCAAAGGGAAGCCCATCAGACTAACAGCAGATCTCTCGGCAGAAACCCTACAAGCCAGAAGAGAGTGGGGGCCAATATTCAACATTCTTAAAGAAAAGAATTTTCAACCCAGAATTTCATATCCAGCCAAGCTAAGCTTCATAAGTGAAGGAGAAATAAAATACTTTACAGACAAGCAAATGCTGAGAGATTTTGTCAACACCAGACCTCCCCTAAAAGAGCTCCTGAAGGAAGCGCTAAACATGGAAAGGAACAACCAGTAGCAGCCGCTGCAAAATCATGCCAAAATGTAAAGACCATCGAGACTAGGAAGAAACTGCATTAACTAACGAGCAAAATCACCAGCTAACATCATAATGACAGGATCAAATTCACACATAACAATATTAACTTTAAATGTAAATGGACTAAATTCTCCAATTAAAAGACACAGACTGGCAAATTGGATAAAGAGTCAAGACCCATCAGTGTGCTGTATCCAGGAAACCCATCTCACGTGCAGAGACACACATAGGCTCAAAATAAAAGGATGGAGGAAGATCTACCAAGCAAATGGAAAACAAAAAACGGCAGGTGTTGCAATCCTAGTCTCTGATAAAACAGACTTTAAACCAACAAAGATCAAAAGAGACAAAGGCCATTACATAATGGTAAAGGGATCAATTCAACAAGAAGAGCTAACTATCCTAAATATATATGCACCCAATACAGGAGCACCCAGATTCATAAAGCAAGTCCTGAGTGACCTACAAAGAGACTTAGACTCCCACACAATAATAATGGGAGACTTTAACACCCCACTGTCAACATTAGACAGATCAACGAGACAGAAAATCAACAAGGATACCCAGGAATTGAACTCAGCTCTGCACCAAGCGGACCTAATAGACATCTACAGAACTCTCCACCCCAAATCAACAGAATATACATTTTTTTCAGCACCACACCACACCTATTCCAAAATTGACCACATACTTGGAAGTAAAGCTCTCCTCAGCAAATGTAAAAGAACAGAAATTATAACAAACTATCTCTCAGACCACAGTGCAATCAAACTAGAACTCAGGATTAAGAATCTCACTCAAAGCCGCTCAACTACATGGAAGCTGAACAACCTGCTCCTGAATGACTACTGGGTACATAACGAAATGAAGGCAGAAATAAAGATGTTCTTTGAAACCAACGAGAACAAAGACACAACATACCAGAATCTCTGGGACGCATTCAAAGCAGTGTGTAGAGGGAAATTTATAGCACTAAATGCCCACAAGAGAAAGCAGGAAAGATCCAAAATTGACACCCTAACATCACAATTAAAAGAACTAGAAAAGCAAGAGCAAACACATTCAAAAGCTAGCAGAAGGCAAGAAATAACTAAAATCAGAGCAGAACTCAAGGAAATAGAGACACAAAAAACCCTTCAAAAAATCAATGAATCCAGGAGCTGGTTTTTTGAAAGGATCAACAAAATTGATAGACTGCTAGCAAGACTAATAAAGAAAAAAAGAGAGAAGAATCAAATAGACACAATAAAAAATGATAAAGGGGATATCACCACCGATCCCACAGAAATACAAACTACCATCGGAGAATACTACAAACACCTCTACGCAAATAAATTAGAAAATCTAGAAGAAATGGATAAATTCCTCGACACATACACTCTCCCAAGACTAAACCAGGAAGAAGTTGAATCTCTTAATAGACCAATAACAGGAGCTGAAATTGTGGCAATAATCAATAGCTTACCAACCAAAAAGAGTCCAGGACCAGATGGATTCATAGCCGAATTCTACAAGAGGTACAAGGAGGAACTGGTACCATTCCTTCTGAAAGTATTCCAATCAGTAGAAAAAGAGGGAATCCTCCCTAACTCATTTTATGAGGCCAGCATCATTCTGATACCAAAGCCGGGCAGAGACACAACCAAAAAAGAGAATTTTAGACCAATATCCTTGATGAACATTGATGCAAAAATCCTCAATAAAATACTGGCAAACCAAATCCAGCAGCACATCAAAAAGCTTATCCACCATGATCAAGTGGCCTTCATCCCTGGGATGCAAGGCTGGTTCAATATATGCAAATCAATAAATGTAATCCAGCATATAAACAGAACCAACGACAAAAACCACATGATTATCTCAATAGATGCAGAAAAAGCCTTTGACAAAATTCAACAACCCTTCATGCTAAAAACTCTCAATAAATTAGGTATTGATGGGACGTATTTCAAAATAATAAGAGCTATCTATGACAAACCCACAGCCAATATCATACTGAATGGGCAAAAACTGGAAGCATTCCCTTTGAAAACTGGCACAAAACAGGGATGCCCTCTCTCACCACTCCTATTCAACATAGTGTTGGAAGTTCTGGCCAGGGCAATTAGGCAGGAGAAGGAAATAAAGGGTATTCAATTAGGAAAAGAGGAAGTCAAATTGTCCCTGTTTGCAGATGACATGATTGTATATCTAGAAAACCCCATTTTCTCAGCCCAAAATCTCCTTAAGCTGATAAGCAACTTCAGCAAAGTCTCAGGATACAAAATCAATGTACAAAAATCACAAGCATTCTTATACACCAACAACAGACAAACAGAGAGCCAAATCATGAGTGAACTCCCATTCACAATTGCTTCAAAGAGAATAAAATACCTAGGAATCCAACTTACAAGGGACATGAAGGACCTCTTCAAGGAGAACTACAAACCACTGCTCAATGAAATAAAAGAGGATACAAACAAATGGAAGAACATTCCATGCTCATGGGTAGGAAGAATCAATATCGTGAAAATGGCCATACTGCCCAAGGTAATTTACAGATTCAATGCCATCCCCATCAAGCTACCAATGACTTTCTTCACAGAATTGGAAAAAACTACTTTAAAGTTCATATGGAACCAAAAAAGAGCCTGCATCGCCAAGTCAATCCTAAGCCAAAAGAACAAAGCTGGAGGCATCATGCTACCTGACTTCAAACTATACTACAAGGCTACAGTAACCAAAACAGCATGGTACTGGTACCAAAACAGAGATATAGATCAATGGAACAGAACAGAGCCCTCAGAAATAATGCCGCATATCTACAACTCTCTGATCTTTGGAAAACCTGAGAAAAACAAGCAATGGGGAAAGGATTCCCTATTTACTAAATGGTGCTGGGAAAACTGGCTAGCCATATGTAGAAAGCTGAAACTGGATCCCTTCCTTACACCTTATACAAAAATCAATTCAAGATGGATTAAAGATTTAAACATTAGACCTAAAACCATAAAAACCCTAGAAGAAAACCTAGGCATTACCATTCAGGACATAGGCATGGGCAAGGACTTCATGTCCAAAACACCAAAAGCAATGGCAACAAAAGACAAAATTGACAAATGGGATCTAATTAAACTAAAGAGCTTCTGCACAGCAAAAGAAACTACCATCAGAGTGAACAGGCAACCTACAAAATGGGAGACAATTTTCGCAACCTACTCATCTGACAAAGGGCTAATATCCAGAATCTACAATGAACTCCAACAAATTTACAAGAAAAAAACAAACAACCCCATCAACAAGTGGGCGAAGGACATGAACAGACACTTCTCAAAAGAAGACATTTATGCAGCCAAAAAACACGTGAAAAAATGCTCATCATCACTGGCCATCAGAGAAATGCAAATCAAAACCACTATGAGATACCATCTCACACCAGTTAGAATGGCAATCATTAAAAAGTCAGGAAACAACAGGTGCTGGAGAGGATGTGGAGAAATAGGAACACTTTTACACTGTTGGTGGGACTGTAAACTAGTTCAACCATTGTGGAAGTCAGTGTGGCGATTCCTCAGGGATCTGGAACTAGAAATACCATTTGACCCAGCCATCCCATTACTGGGTATATACCCAAAGGACTATAAATCATGCTGCTATAAAGACACATGCACACTTATGTTTATTGCAGCATTATTCACAATAGCAAAGACTTGGAACCAACCCAAATGTCCAACAATGATAGACTGGATTAAGAAAATGTGGCACATATACACCATGGAATACTATGCAGCCATAAAAAATGATGAGTTCATGTCCTTTGTAGGGACATGGATGAAATTGGAAATCATCATTCTCAGTAAACTATCGCAAGAACGAAAAACCAAACACCGCATATTCTCACTCATAGGTGGGAATTGAACAATGAGATCACATGGACACAGGAAGGGGAATATCACACTCTGGGGACTGTGGTGGGGTGGGGGGAGGGGGGAGGGATAGCATTGGGAGATATACCTAATGCTAGATGACGAGTTAGTGGGTGCAGCGCACCAGCATGGCACATGTATACATATGTAACTAACCTGCACAATGTGCACATGTACCCTAAAACTTAAAGTATAAAAAAAAAAGAGTTAATAAATCTAAGATAAAGAGATAAAGAGTCAAATAAAGCTTTGAATAATGTGGTTAACCTTTATGAGCCTCATTTTCCTTTACAATAGCTACCTCACACTGCTGTGATGAAGGTTACATGCAGAAATGTACGTGGAAAGGATTAATTAGCAATTCGAAGGGCAGCCTGCGGTAGGTGAAGGTCTAGTTCTTTGAAGACAAGTAGACTTGGTTTTAATTCCTGCTGCTCACTGACAGCAGTGTGACCTCAGTAAGTGCGTTTAATATCTCTGAGGCACTGCTTATTTTGTCTATAAAATGGGAACATTAGTGCGTAATTCACAGCATCACTGTCAGGGCACAATGTAATACCTAGCCCTGCACCTGGTTCATAGAGGTGCTCTGTGAACATTTGCTCTTGCTGGTAGAGGCAAGCCACACACATGTGCAAGCATTAATCTCATCTCAGAAGGGAGCACCGGGCTTGTTATTAGACTCAGAAGGTGCAGGTCTTTCCTCAGCTTCCCACATAAATGGAAACACCCTCCAGCATCCCAGCTGTCCCCATTTGCTGGCAATGTTGTGGCTTCCTTAGGAAAAAAAACAAGGCAGGATTGTCGCGTTGCCTCCATTAATCTGCTTTGGCAGTCGGAGTACCGTGGTGTTCCCAGGACCAGCACAGTGATTCATGTGTCAGCACTAGCAAGGGGGCTAAACCTGGCAGTAATAAAAATGTGACAAGCTCTCACCCCTGCAGCGAGGGGTGTTTAAAAACAAAACTCCTACATATCTTCTTGAGGTGCAGGCGCTGCTATTTCATCATTTATGTGACAAAAAGAAAAGCTCTCTTGCAGAGGATGAAAGGAATGTGCCAAGACTTCAATATTCCCTCATCTGACCGCTAAGATCCCCTCAATCTTGAAATTCCCTAAGTCCAATAACTCCGTGCCAGGTCGTTTTAGGGGTCCATTGCTTGCCCTTTCTCACTCCTGCTGTCTTTGTTTCCTCTCCCACAGTAGAAACCCACCTGCTCCAGAAACCATGGTCCTACTACTGACCATATGCTGAACTCACAGTCGTGCTTTTCTTTGCAACACTCTGTCATTGGCATTAACTTCAATTTGCAAGTCAAGATATAGGAGCCTAGAGATGCGAAGCAACATGCCAGGGTTCAGAGCCACTAGGTAGTGCAGCCAGGCTTGAACCAAGGACTGTCAGTTCCATACTCTAGTAACCATTATGCTAAATTCCTGCCTATAGTAGTTGACCCAGTCATGGGACCCATGCCTTAGGATCATTCACTGGGTTTTCTGGCATTGTTCAAAGCATGGAACTGGAGTCATACTGCCTGGATTCACTTCCTGATTCTGCTACATACAAGCTGGGCAAACTTAGTGAGCTTCTTAAACTCTCTAAGCTTCATTTTCCTCCAATTCAAAAACCCAACTTCACCAAGATAAAATGCAGATTAAATAAGATAGTGCATATGAATGGCTCAACACAGTGCCTGCCATATAGTACTTATAGTACTATAGTAAGTGCCAGCTGTTTTACTCAGCTTTATTTTACTTGACTTAAGTACTTAGTAAGTGCCAGATATTTTATTATGTCACTGTATTATTGTGTCATCATTATTTAATCTTCTCCCTTTTCCAAATTCCAATTAATTAACCCATCCAAGCTTTTTTCCCCTCTCAGCTGTCATAATGCAGAGAACTTAGTTTAGGAATGCCCCATTCAAATGCAGTTTATTTCTGGAATGGAAGAATTGCCCACTCACCCAGTCATTGTAGAGGTTTGTCAGGCTCCCCTGGAGGCCACACAGTGGATTAGAACATTATGGAGTTTGCAGCTGGACAGAGCTAGTTTTGACTCTGACTCTGCATTCAGCAGGGAGGAAGCCTTTAGCCTTTCTGAACCACAGTTACTCCATTTATAAAATTTACTCATTTAACAGATTTTATTCTTATTGGGAACAACATTAAATGCAAAATGCTGAACAACATAGAGATCCCTTCCTCAAGAACTGTACAGTCTGACAGGAAATGCCTCCTTTGAATGCTGGCTGAGAGGATCAGGAAACACGTCCACCTCACCCATAGCAGGTTCTCAAAGCAGAGTAGTTACACTTTTTAACTGTTTAAATCATCTACACCCACAGAGCCAGGGTCGTCCTGGAATTAGCTCACTGTGCCACTATGGTTTTCCACCATGCCATCTCTGACCTCACCTCCATACTATCATGCATCACATTATATATTTAATTATATGTATAGCTGTCACTAGTTTTTCAATGTTTGCCATATGTCAGAAGTTGTCCTAAACAACATGGCACAAATCAATTCTCTCTTCCCCTTTTTTTCTTTTTTTGGGGGGAAGAAGCATTTGGAAGTTTATTGCCAAATAGCTTCAGTAGCTCAGGCTTTTTGTAGCAATTATCTTTTTTTTTCTTTAAACACTTATTATGGTAAAAACACATAACATTACATTTATCATCTTAACAATGTTTAATGTACAGTTCAATAGTATTTAAGTATATTCTCATCGTTGTACAACAGATCTCTGGCACTTTTCATCTTGCAAAACTGAACTCTATATTCATTAAGCACTAATTTCTATTCCTCCCTCTCAGTCCTTGACAAACACCTCTCTACTTCTGTTGCTATTATTTTGACTACTTTGGGTACTCCATATGAGTGGGATCCTATGGTATCTGTTCTTTTGTGACTAGTTTATTTTACTTTGCGTAATGTCCTTAAGGTTCATCCCTGTTGTTAGCATGTGGCAGGATTGCCTTCTTTTCAAAGCCTGCATCGTATTCCATTATAGGTATAAACCATATTTTCTTTTTCTAACTTTTTTATTTGCATAAATTTAGCGGTTACAAGTGCAATTTTGTTACCTGGATATAATCGTGGTGGTGAAATGTGGGCTCTTAGTGTAACTATCACCTGCACATTGTACCCTTTAAGTAACTGCTCATTCCTCACCCTCCTCCCACCTGCCTTCCCTTTTGAGTCCTCAATGTCTGTCAGTCCACACTCTATTTCTATGTGTGCACACTATTTAGCTGCCACTTATAAGTGAGAATATGAGGTATTTGGCTTTCTGTTTGACTTATTTCACGTAAGTTAATGGCTTCGGTTTCATCCACGTTGCTGTAAAAGACATAATTTCATTCATTCCATGGCTGAGTTGTACTCCATTGTGTGTGTATCATACTCCATTTATCTAATCATCTCTTGATGGACACAGATTGATTCCATATCTTTACTATTGTGAATAGTGTTGCTATAAACATACAAGTGCGGGTATATTTTGCTATAATGATTTCTTCCCCTTTGGGAAGATACCCAGTAGTGAGATTGCTGGATTGAACGGGAATTCTATTTTTGTTTTTTTGAGAAATCCCCATATTGTTTTCCATAGAGGTTGTGCCATAGAGGCATACTAACTTACCTTCCCACCAACCATGTATCCTTGCCAATATCTGTAATTTTTTTCACTTTTTAGTAACAGCCATCCTGACTGCTATAAGATGATATTTTCCCACTGTGATTTTAATTTGCATTTCTCTGATGATTAATGATGTTGACCATTTTTTAAATATGCTTGTTCACCATTTGTATGTCTTCTTTTGAAAAAGTTTTGTTCATGTTCTTTGCCCACTTTTGATGCGGTTATTTGTATTGTTGTTGAGATCTCTGAATTTCTTGTAGATGCTAGATGTAAGTCCCTTGTCAGATGCATAGTTTCAAATATTTTCACCTATCCTGCAAGTTGTCCATTTGCTATGCAGAAGCTTTTTAGTTTAGTTAAGTCCCATTTGTCTATTTTTGTTTTGTTGCATTTGCCTTTGAGGTCTTAGTAATGAATTCTTTGCCTAGGCCAATGTATCCAAAAGAATTTTTCCTAGAGTTCCTTCCACTATTTTTATAGTTTCAGGTCATACAAATGTATGGATTAAGTCTTAAATCCATCTTGAGTTAATTTTTGTATATGGCAAGAGATAGGAGTCCAGCTTTATTCTTCTGCATATGGCAATCCAATTTTCTCAGCACCATTTATTGAATGGGGTGTCCTTTTGCCAGTGTTTGTTTTTGTCAAATTTGTCAAAGATCAGTTGGCTGTAGGTATGTAGGTGTATTTCTGGTTTCTCTATTCTGTTCCATTGATCTATGTATCTATTTTTATAAAAGTACCCTGCTGTTTTGATTACTATAGCCTTGTGGTATAATTTGAAGTCAGGTGATGGGATGCTTAGAGCTTTGGTCTCTTTGCTTAGGGTTGCTTTGGACATTCAGGCTCTTTTTTTGTTCCATCCAAGGTTTTGGATTCTATTTTCTAATTCTGTGACAAATGACATTGGAATTTTGATAGAAATTGGATTGAATGTGTAGATTCCTTTAGGCAGTATGGTCATTTTAATGATATTGACTCTTCCAATGTATTAATATGGGATGCTTTTCCATTTGTTTGTGTTATCTATGATTTCTTTCAACATATACCACATTTTCTTTATCCATTCATCCATTAGTGAACATTTGGATTGTTTTCCTATCTTGGCTATTAAATTCACTTATTCTTTTTGACCATTTTACAAATGAGTAAATTGAGGCATTAAAGGAGAATTCACTTGTTCAAAGTTACATACAAGTAGCAGAAACAGGCATTCTGGCCTCAGAGCCTATGATTTTAACTGCTATGCTATAAGGTATCAAAAATACAAAAAAAACTATTGAGGGTTTTCTATTCGGAAGAGGCACTGCTCTAAGTGTGTTACTTCTATTGATTCATTCATTTTCCATCACTAAGACTGAGGCCAACATATAACCTCCTTATCTAGCACAGTGCTCTGTGTATAGTGTTCAATACACATGCATGTGATGCATTAATGAATAAATGGATAAATATTTCACTAGAGCATGACGAAAGTATGGGATTAGCCAGGAAATAATGAATAATTTTATCTACAGAGATCAGGTAAAACTTTAAAGGGGCATATTATTTGCAATGGACTTTGAAGGGCGAATAAGAGCTCACTGATCAGAGATGAGAGGATGGAACTTCCAGACAGAAGGAATAAAATGAGCAAAGTTATCTGCCAAGAACATTATGGGTCAATCTGCCTGCTGCACTCAATTTTTCCTTCTAGCTTGTGGTCTCATCCTCATAGCCCCTAGAAGGGGAAATCATATGACTGCGTAAATCTGGCCCTATGAGCAAAAGTGTCTGAAATCCATAGACCCATGCCTAACCCAATAGGCTGAGTGCAATCAATTGATATCCTCTTGAAAATTTTGACTAAAAGACTCTGAAATTGAATCAGAATGTGGAAAATGCAAAAACTAACAGGTAACATACGCTTGGCACTGGACAGTTAGCCACTGGCATACTAATGAGTTGGCAGAGAAAGATGCACAAAAAGAGAAGTTGGAGAATGCTGGGGTTGGGGGTGGGGGCGGAATGCAGAGATACAAAAATGTGGAAACATGTGATCCTGGAGAGAGGCAGAAATATCTGTGTCTACCTTTTCAGTTCCCAAGACCATGTGGTCAAATGTATGTTGCTTTCTGCCTTTGACATTCATGAGCTTGCTATCCTCCTAATATCCCCCGACCCTTGACTTAGGATAGCTTTAAAGATTTTTGGTTGCCAAGAACACCAACCAGAATCACAGGGAATGGAGCACAAAAATCATATAAATACTGTGCTCTGGGAATCATGAGTCATTTGGTTTGGCTAAAGTGATGGATAGGTTCAGTAGTATTCAGTTTAACAAACATTCATTGCATAGCCACTATGGATCAGATACTTAATTAGTTACTAGGCCAGCAATAAGTCTATCAGAGAACCTGGATGTCCTGTTGTAAAGAAGCATAAATTTATTGCATTCTCCTATTTGTACTTCTTGCTCCAGCAGCAAAACCTTGGAACTCATTGTTTCAGCGCTGCCTGTCCCCATCTGTGCAGGATCCCTCAACCTGAGTTGTCCACACCAGACCTGCTGACTCAGGCAATGTCCCATGGCAAACTCTATTTATCTAAACAACTTCTGTGTGTTGATGGAATTATTAAGCTATATGAAGTTCAGAGCTAGAACAGACCTTAGGGACACTCATTCATCTTCCTCATGTGCAGATAAGGAAGTTGAAGTCAAGTCAGGTAGAGTTACCTTCCCAAGGTCTACCATTTATGAGTGCCCAGCTGCATAATGGACCTGGGTCTTCAATGGGGTGGATTTTTAATGGTAGAAATTTCACAAGAACAGGTAACTTCTGAAAGCTTCTGAACATATGTCACAAAATAAAGCATTTACATTGTTCTTGCTAGTCATGGAAATTGCAACTCTCTGCTCTCATGAGGACATGATGTTAGATTCATTGTTCCATGATCCTCTAAGCTCATCTCAGAAATAAGTCATGAGTTTTGATTGCCCTCTACTTTGGAAGGAGACAGGATGAATGTCAAATCCCATGATTTTCTAGTTTCCAAGAAACTTTGAAACTGGTCATTTTTTATACACAGTAAGGTTTTCCTCCACAGCATCCCTAACAGGTACATATCCAGCCTCTGCTTGGATGTCTTTAAAAATGAAGAGTTTACTACTTCTTGAGACCTCCGGCTTAAACAACACCCAGGCATAATTTCCCCATTCTGTATGCCCCAACCTTATATGCCCATTACAACATTCAGATGATTAGAAATCACCTCCTGGCATAGAGCTGTGATTTCTCTCCCTGAAAAATCATAGGGCAGGCCTGCTTCCTCCTCCAGGTTGGTAATATTGGTAATATTCCTTCAGCTCTCTGAAGACCTCTAACTCTTACCCTTACATTTCCTCAGGCCACATTCCACTCATTGATCAGTTCCTCTGCATGGAACATACCTGCTCGTTTCAGCCTCCTTATCAACTCAGCTTATTCTTTCCAGGAAAATAAAACAGACATTGGAGAATTAGCTTTGGATTGCTAGTTAGTGCACCTAGAGTTGTAGAAAGAGCACAGTTTATGATTTTTTATTCTCAAGGTAAATTAGTAACATTTACTCCCCTAGATTTGCATCCTTTACCCAGATCTTCCTAATTAGTTACATGTGCAATCCTGGTTGTTAATGAAACCTACCTTAACCTGGGCCTTGCCCAGGAGGTGAGGATGGCCTAGGAGGGATTTTCCAGAGAGTTTGGATATTAGAAAACAAGTTAGGGTTTTCTACATGGTCACTGTTCTGAAATGGAGAGAAGAGGGGGATGAGAATAGCTTAGGTCATGAGCCAAGAGGTTACGGATGTGTCATGACTCAAAATAACGGGAAGAGAATGACTTGGTAGATGGAAGAGCATGACTGGTCACCAGGGTGGTCATGAAAGTAGACCAGGGATTGTGGTGGTCATCATTGTTTGTGCCCATCTAGCGTCACCTCCATTTTTACCTGGCAACTTCCTCTGGGGTCCCCCCATCTAAGTGACCAGGTGATCCAAGCTGACCAGGCAGAAATGGGCTCCATCAGCCAAATGACGCAGGAGACTTTACTGAGATTTCATTAGGACCACTGAAAAAAATTACAAATAAGTACTCCACAGGAATATTGGGCTAAATACTTATTTATAAGTATTAAGTATTTGCAAGTAATAAGTATTTCTCAGGAATAATGGGCTAATTCTCAGGAATAATAGGATAATAAGTATTTCTCAGGAATACTGGGCTAAAATGACCACATAGTCTAAAACCAATTGTCGGTGATTTGTTTTTCCTGCCATGCTAAAAAAAGAAAAAAAAAAATCACCTAAAGAATGAAGTCAACACATGGAGAAAATTTGAGCTAAGATATGATAGGAGAGACAAATACAAGATGATTTCATTTGAGCCCCTAGATCCAACTATTACTGAATCCCCAGTCCCTAGACATTCCATGTATAGACAACTATAAATTTTTATTTTATCCAAGCCCTGATGCAACGATGAGTCCTGACTAATCCATGAATTGAGAGAAAGATCAGACTTTGAAATGTCCAGGAGCTATGTCCACAAACAACTGATACATAATTAGTGCAGAATTTGTTGCACAATGTCAAGGTCAAGATGGTTCCTTGAAGGTACTATACTGGGGTTTAAAAGTTTGAACTTTGCAATTACCCAGTGAGAATCGTTGAGTAGTCTGTCAGAAAGAAACATTTTAAGCCAAAGATGGGAAACTTAGCCAAGCGTCAGGGACTCCTAAAAAGGTGAGCAGTATCTTACCACAGTTATTCAGATCCCAAGTTGATATGACAGCCGTATTTTTTGGGTTGATAGAAAGAAACAAAGTATTCTACAAAATGGCAACATTGACAGTGTCCTACTGAGGTCTGGAGCATCATCACAGCCCCTCTCTGTGGAACTCTGCTTCCTTATTTAACGAACATTCATTCGTGCCTTCTGTGTTCAGGCAGTGTGCTTGGCATTGGGAAATGCAACCACGAGCAACCCCAGCACTGTGGCTACTCTAAGAGAACTCTCAATCTAGTGGGAGAGGTAATGTAATAAGCCCTTACAATGTAACTGCGAGAACAGGAAGATCACAGAATGACAAGGGATCACAGAGCAAAGATACTAGTTTTCTAATACTATGAACCAAATTACCACAAGTTTAGTGGCTTAAACCAGCGGTCCTCAACCTTTTGGACACCAGGGACCTGCTTCATGGAGACAATTTTAACACGGACAGGGGAGGGGGGATGGTTTCAGGATGTAACTATTCCACCTCAGATCATCAGGCATTTGATTTTCATAAGGAGCACACAACCTAGAGCCCTGACACGCTCAGTTCACAATAGGATTTGTGCTCCTGTAAGAATCTAATGCAGCCACCGATCTGACAGGAGGTGGAGTTCAGGCAGTAATACTCGCTTGCCTGTCACTCACCTCCTGCTGTGCGGCCCAGTTCCTTACAGGCCACGGGCAGGACCAGTACCGTCTGCAGTCAGGGGTTGGGGACCTCCAGCTTAAACAACAACCAGGCATAATTTCCCCATTCTGTAGGTCAGAAGTCTGGGTATTTCAGCTAGATTATTTGTTCATGGCCTCACAAGGCCAAAATTAAGGTGTTAGCCAGGCAAGGCTCTTACCTGGAGGCTTGCAGAAAGAATTTACTTCAAAGATTATTCAGACCATGGGCAGAATTCAGTTCCATGGGAAGGTAAGACTGAGTTTCCCGTTTTCTTGTGGGGGACTCTTTGCTCCTTCTAGTGACTGCTAGTCTCTCCAGTTCTTTCTCAGATGGCTCTACACATCTTCAAACCAGAAATAGCACTCTGAATCTTTGACTCTCTCTGACTTTCCTTTTGCCTTCCTCTTCTGCCACTAGCCAAAGAAAATTCTACGCTTTTAAGGGCAAGTGTGATTAGTTTAGGTCAACCCAGATAACGTCCTCTTTTTATAACCACCTCACTTGGGATTTTAATCATATCTGCAATATCTCTTCACAGCAGTATCTGTATTAGTATTTGATTGAATAACCAGGAAATGGAACCCTAGCAGCATGTTTTGAATTCTACTAAGCTAGACTGTGGGAATCACAGAAGGCTGCCTGTAGGAAGTGGTCTGTAAGCTAAGTTATAAAGAAGTAGTAGGAGTTAGCCAGGAAATTATAGAGTGAACAAAGATCTTAGCATAGGATCAAGGGAGTTCTAGGCAAATAGTAAGAGGTGAAACCAGCCTGGCTTCTGGGTCAGGTGGGGACTTGGAGAACTTTTGGTCTAGCTAAAGGATTGTAAATGCCCCAATCAGTGCTCTGTGTCTAGCTAAAGGATTGTAAACACACCAATCAGCTGTCTGTAAAAATGCACCAATCAGCACTCTGTAAAGTAGACCAATCAGCACTCTGTAAAATAGACCAGTCACCAGGACGTGGGTGGGGCCAAATAAGGGAATAAAAGCTGGCCACTCTGCACCAGCAGCAGCAACCTGCTGGGGTCCCCTTTCACCGTGCGGTGGCTTTGTTCTTTTGCTATTCGCAATAAATCTTGCTGCTGGTCACTCTTTGGGTCCACACTACCTTTATGAGCTGTAACACTCACCGTGAAGGTCTGCAGCTTCACTCCTGTGAAGCCAGTGAGACCACGAACACACTGGGAGGAATGAACAACTCCGGACGCGCCACCTTTAAGAGCTGTAACACTCACTGCAAAGGTCTGCGGCTTCACTCCTGAAGTCAGCAAGACCACGAACCCACCAGAAGGAAGAAACGCTGGACACACCATCTTTAAGAACTGTGACACTCACTGCGAGGGTCTACGGCTTCATTCTTGAAGTCAGCAAGACCAAGAACCCACCGGAAGGAACCGATTCTGGACACAATAGGACAATGGAAAAAAAATCAGGATAACTGGAGTGAAGCCTAAAAGGCAAAAGAGGATTATTAGATGAGGCTAGAAGAGGAAGTAAAGGCCCCATGATAAAGGGACTGGTAAACCCTGCCCCACTTCCCAAGTCTCACTGAAGTGCATCTGGTTGAACGAACCTATGTTAGCACCGGGTATGTCTGAAATGGAAGCTTTCAGCTTTTTAGTCTCCGCAGGAGAGGAAGGTCTCCTAGAATGAGGCTCTATGCTGTAAATAAAATGCCTCAAACTTCAACACACATTAGGCACTCAATAACATATTCTCCACCCTTTCCCTTCATTTTTTTTGTATTCTCTTTTCTCTTGAGCCCTAATTCACAAATTCATTCTTTCAAAATGCTTGAATCCTAATTCACAAATTGATTCTTTCAAAATACACAAATTCATTCTTTCGAAATTCAAAATACATATTATTTTGAAATAACCCTTTTTCTGCCTGGAGCCACTGTGCACAAAAGGTACCATAATAAATACATTCATGTATCTGAGGAGCTCACAGTCCAGAGTGAGAAACTGATAGGTAATGTCAACAAATAAATCATAGAGCACGTGGGTAATAGATAATAAAGGCCATGAGGTTTTGAATGCCTTCTTTCATAATTTTAAAATCCAAACCTGCCCCTTGGTTCTCGGGCCAGTTATTGAGCCTCCTCATCCCTAAAAAGAGGTAATAATAGCACCTCCCTCTGAGAGTTGCCACAGGGCTGCTAGATGTAACAAAGAAGTATTTAACCCAAGGCTTGGCACGCAGTCCGGGCTTTAGAGAGTGTTTGTTGGTATTATTCACAGGACCAAAGGATTTACTCAATATATATTTAGGAAGATGCATTATGTGTAAGAAACTGCAAAATTATTAAAAAGATTATGTATTCTACAGAAATCGTTCACTCAATACCCCTATCATCTCTTCATCTTACCCCTATATAAATGTCTTCTTTAGTTACTGTTCTTCATATTAAACAATACCTGCTTCTCTACCACTTGTAAACATCGATCCTAATCAAAAAATGTCTTTGAGGAAACCAAGAGTTTGTGACACTTTATTTATCAAAAACTCTTCAAACATGAGAAGACAGCACCTTTGCCTCATTTGTCCTTCCATTTTATCATCTTTCTCCACCCATCCTTATTGTTATCCTTTCATTTTCCTTTTCTTTTCTCTTTATTTTTATTTATTTATTTATTTATTTTTATTTTATTTTATTTTTTGACGGAGTCTTTCTCTGTCACCAGGCTGGGTACAGTGGTGCGATCTTAGCTCACTGCAACCTCCGCCTCCCAGGTTCAAGTGATTCTCCTGCCTCAGCCTCCCAAGTAGCTGGGATTACAGGCGTGTGCCACCATGCCCAGCTAATTTTGGTATTTTTAGTAGAGATGGGGTTTCACCATGTTGATCAGGCCAGTCTCGAACTCCTGGCCTCAAGTGATCTGCCCACCTTGGCCTCCCAAAGTGCTGGGATTACGGGTGTAAGCCATTGTACCTGGCCCTTTAGCATTTCTTTTATTCATTCTGGCTCTTGTTTCATCTTTTTCTTCCTAGTAATAACTGCTATTACTGATAAAGAGCTGGTTACATGTTGTATGCACTTTACATAGAAAATGTCAATGCTTTCCTTATGACAACTATAAATGGATATTATAATCATTAAATGGATATTATAATCATTTTTTGTTCACTTATTGGTGATTGATCATGAAAAAGAAGCTCAGAGAAGGGGAGATATAGCCCCAGGGTCACGCAGCTAGCGAAGGACACATCTGGAATTTACACACTGACTCCAAAGAATGTTTTTAATCACACCTTTTTTTCTGATTCCTAATCCTATATATTTGAAAACAACGAGGCAATAATCTTATATTAAGTGATTTAGATCACTTCCCACAGCCTGCATATCCAGAAATGACTTTTACTTATAAAAAATCAATGAACACATAATTCCACCAAGAGAGTTCACAAAACCCCCTGACCTAGAAGTGGTTGAATTATCATTCTCTATCTGGCTTGGTCTCAGAACAGGCCCATCTACCTTGGCAGACAAGGGTCAAGTTGTGATGAGCAGTGAATGTTTTATTAAGTGCTCTTTTCAGGGCTGAGCTACTGCTCCAGTTTCTTTAAAGAAGAGTCACCCCTGCACGCTCATCACCCACGCTGCTGGCTTTTACACCTTTCTAGGACACACAGATGCATGGGCACCTCCCATGTGCCAGGCACAGGGCTGGGTATATTGCCAGAGGCTGTTTGGTAACAACAAAAAAAATGAGTCCTTTGGTCCAAGTTTCAGATCAGCACAGTGAGGCCTCAACAGCTTAAGGGCCTTCCCTACAGCTGTGTAGCTCGAGCTACACACAGGGGCGCACATGTCTATTTAGGCAGCAGCTCACTCTTGGCAGAGACTGTATCTGAGTCTTCCCTGAACCCCCAGAGCCTATCATGGCACACAGCAGGTGCTCAATACATGTGCACTGATAATGAAATCAGGCACACTTCTCTAAAGATACTCTTACAACTTCCTTAAGGCAGAGACAGAAATAACAAACCAGTTTCATTTATAACATCTCAGAAGATTACTGTATCAGATATTCACCCTTCCTGCAGCATAACATTGCATCCAAAAGAGACCAGCCATTCATCACGTGGGTCAGCTCAGTTCCTAAACAGCAGGCTCAGGTGGGGTGAGTTATTCTGCTCAGTGTGTGTATCAATTCTGGAGATTTATGGGGTGCACTCATAAATGCACACAGCAGAAGGATACAGCCCTGTTAAACTGTTCTGTGGCTGATTGGGGAAATGGGTGGGGGGCGACACAGTCAAAGTTAGAAGTTAATGGAGCCCATTCCTGAAACCCAAAGCCCTGCTGACACATCCTTAGAGTCCCTAGGATGAACCCAGAGCAGGTGCAGGGCCTGGCTGAACGGGATTGCCTGAATGGAACCAAAGGATAGGCAAATGGGGCTTTACTCCTTTTAGAAACAATCCTTACCTAGAGAGCAAATGGTCAAACTTTGCACCCAACAGATCTAAGTTTAAAGTCCAGCTCTACTAAATGACACCAAAGGATGGGCAAATAAGGCTTTACTCCTTTTAGAATCAATCCTTACCTAGAGAGCAAATGCTCAAACTTTGCACCCAACAGATCTAAGTTTAAATTCCAGCTCTACTAAATGACTTCAGGCAACTCATTGGCGCCATCTGAGCCTCAATAATTGTTCATCTTTAAAATGGGGATAAAAATTTCTTTTTTTTGTAGTGTCATGATGAAGTGGGAAGACGTATTTAAGGCACTCAGTCTGTTTTCATTCAGTAAATATCTGTTCTTCACCTACAGTGTGTCTGCTGGGGAGCCAAAAGCACAAATTTACTTCAGCTGCCAGCTTTGTCAGCTAGGGCTGTCATAATAAATAAAATACCACACACTGGTGGCTTAAACAACAAAAGGTTATTTTCTCACAGCTCTGGGAGGTCCAAGATTAAGGAGTTGGCCAACTTATTTTCTGATGAAGAATCTCTTCCTGGCGTGTAAACTGCCACCTTCTTGATGTGTCTTCGCATGGTGAAGAAAGAGATTTCTGGTGCCTCTTCCTCTTCTTATAAGAGCACCAACCCTATCAGATTAGGGGCCTACCCTCAGGACCTCATTTAACCTTAATTATCTCCTTATAAGCACACTGTCCAAATGCAGTCACAGTGGAGGTTAGGATGCCAACATCTGAATTTAGAGAAGAACTCAATCCAGTAGATAGCAGCTACTCTCTGGGAGAGTTGAGAATTGGAAGGAACCACTCTGGAATTGGAAGACACCCGGTTTCAGGCTTGACAAGCAGCTGGCAGGAGTAATGCCCTTCCTTATCCACTTGCCAATCTCCTACTTAGTCTCTAACTCCAGCCCCAGCATCATCCCCTCTGTGAAGGCTCCTCTAGCTTCTCACCTCAAAATTAACCACCTCCTCTTCTGAGGTCCCATTGGCCTTCTTTTAAATATTAATTGAATTATGTTTCACACTGTATTGTATAACTATCTGTTTACTTATTTGTGTTATTCATTGGAGTGTGAGTTTCATGAGAGCCAGGACTATATTTTATTCATCTCTGTCAGCCGGGGCTATGATAGGGGCTCAATAAACAGTGGATGGATAGATGGATGAATGTTTTGTCCCAACAGAAAGACCAAACACAACTACAGGCGAATCTGAGGCTTGAGCTGGTATCAGGGAGCATTATCAGTGAGGAATCACTCCTCCCTCCTGAACTGGGTTTTAAGACAAGATCCTAATTTCTGGGGATAAAGCTGGCAAGAGTGTGGCAAGTGATTACATATAAGACTGAGGCATCGCGTAGTTTGTCAGACTTGGAAAGAAGCAGAAACAAAGGGCAATCTCAGAACAAGGCAGAAGGCTGGGGTATGATGGGGCCCACGCTGCCACAGGCCAAGCAGCAAGGGATCTCAGGCTGGACAGTGGGTGGACGCAGGAGGCCTTGGGCTGGTTAAATATCTCATGATTTCTAGTCCTGGGAACTAGAGTTGGAGCCGAAGGTATCACGTTCTCTGTTACTGGAAAGAGAACTTGACCTCTGATGTGTGGAGAAGGGCTAAGCCCGTCTTGATCTCCTTGAGGTTAAAAATATTCGCCTGCCTGCATGCCTGCAGGTAACCAGCCAATGCCCCTGTAGGACTTAGCGCCTCTGTGCTAGACTAACTAAGGGCAAGAGAGAATTGGGTCTGAGATGGCTCTTTCTGTGAAAAACAAAAAGAAAAAAATAAGTTAGAGAGTGTATATAAATTTGGAACGACAAAACTAGAGCAAATGAAACAAAATAGCTACCATTTACTAAGAGCCTGCTGTGTTCTTGGAACTATATTAACTGTTTCCCATATATTTCATGTAACCGAATTCTCAAAGCAACCCAATGAGGTGGGTAATGTCACGCTCATTGGGCATTTGAGGAAACAGGCTCAGAGAGGTTAAGTGACTTTCCCAAGGCCACAAAGCTAACAATTAAGACAATTAGGGAAAGATTCTGTTCTTGACATTTTCCACTTTCCTTTTGGATGCTATATGGTAGGCTGAAAAACGCCCCCTACCCCAAATATCCATATTGTACCCCAAAACTTGAAAACACTACCATATATGGCAAAGTGGACTTGAAGATGTGATTAAGTTAAGGATTTGGAGTTGGAGCTACTATCCTGTATTATCCAGGTAAACCCTAAGTCATTACAGAGGTCCTGCAAGGTAAGAATGTCAAAGGAGGAAATAGGAGATGTGACAACAGGAGTGATTTAAGGAAGGCGGCATGAGACAAGGAAGGCGGCATGAGACAAGGAAGGCAGGCAGCCTTCTGAAGCTAGAAAAAAAAAAACAACAGATCCTCTCCAAGAGCCACCAGAAGGAATCAGCCCTGCCACCACCTTGATTTTGGCCTAGTGGGGCTAATATTGCACTTCTGGCCTCCAGAATTGTTAGTAAATAAATTTGTATTGCTTTAAGCCACCAAGGTTATAGTAATTTGTTACAGTAGCCATAGGAAACTAATACAAAGAATAAGATTTAAAAATTAAAAGACAAATGCTATAATGTGTTTGAGATAACATTACCTAAAGAGAATTTTTAAAAAGCAGGAAAAATCTCAACTGATTTAGTGATATTATAGAAGATGTAGAGTAGATGACCTCTGACTTTAGTTGACAAAGGAAGGGCACACTTGCTACCTCCCTCTCCTCCTAAATCCATAGTACAACTGCTTCAACTCAATCAAGGTGCTCTTCCCACTGAATTTTCACATATTCTTACAACCTACCTCATCTCAACATTCCAAAATATCATGACAGATTATTCCAACATGGCACAAGAAGTGAAATCAAATCACCATCCTGGTTTACATGGTGGCTAGCTGAAAAGTCATAAGACCATTTATTTTTTGGCCACTTAGCCTGGGTGAGAGGCATATAACAGAACTCTTCACAGACTTGATCCAGTTTCACTCTCACCAGCAACCTTGTGTAATTTGCAGAAAAATGACTATTACTAACACGTTTTTCAGAAGGGAAAAACTGAAACTCAGAGAAATCTAGTGATTTGCTTAATGTTATGCAAGGAGGCAGGATGTAAATCCTAGGTCCGTGTCTTAGTTTGCTAGGGCTGCCATAGCAACATACCACAAACTGGGTGGCTTAAACAACAGAAATTTATTTTCTCACAATTCTGGAGGCTGGAAGTCCAAGATCAAGGTGTTGGCAGGTTTGATTTATTCTAAGGCCTTCCTCCTTGGTTTGCAGATGGCTGTCTTCTCCCTATATCTTCACGTGGTATTATTCCCTCTGTACATCTGTGTCCCAATTTCCTCTTTTTATGAGCACGCCAGTCATATTGGGTTAGGGCCGCCCTAATAACCTCATTTTTAACTTAATTACCTCCTTGAAGATTCTATCTCCAAATATAGTCACTTCCTGAGTTACTGAGGGTTAAGACTTTAACATATGAATTTGGGAGAACAAGAGGACACAATGCAGCCCATAAGAATATTTAAGATTCTAGACTTATGTTCCTTTTTGTCTCTATCCATCTCACAGAATGGCACAATTATTCCTCTGCAAACACCACCAACTAACATGAGCCTTCCCAATGTTATTATCCCAGGGTTCTGGGTTTCTGCTGGAGGAAATGCTATGACCTATTTACATAGATTAGCTTCAAGAAGGAGATGGGAGGGAAGAGTCTGGGCTACCAGGGCCAGAGTCTCTCAACCAAAATCAAGAAGTTCTTACATAACCAGTGACACAGCACGAGCCCTCTTCGAAAGCAGTGAAACCTCAATTGTCTAACAAACAATTCAAACTCTGAAAGCAGGAAATCTGCAATGAAATCAAAAGGGACCTATTTTGTTGCTTTCCCAGTTAGAGCTTGCTCTCTGTTTCTCTGACTGGTGACCTTTCAGCAATACAGAGCAGCTAGATTGAGGGGGCTCCCTCAGAGCAGGGACATTGAATGATGGGACAATGGCACCAGACCCTGTCGTGGTTGAGGGATAAACAGACAGCTCTTTATGAATGTGACCCCAGCTGGTCAAGCAATTTCTCAGTTTGATTACGTTTTCAATTAAGTTTTATTCTGAACACTATTTGGAATGGATAACTGTATTCCTTGTATATGAAAAATGAAATTGCTTTGGCAGATTCAGATATTTCCTTTGCAGGCAAAAAAACGAAGGAAAATGAAACAAGATTCAAGCTCTGGATGTCATAACCATTATGGCCCTGGGCAAAGACATTTTATCGTTCTTCCCACACCTTCTCCACACTCTTATTCCCCACACATGCTGACACACAAACATCTTTTTGTGAACTTAAAGTTATGTTTCTGATAATGGCAAACAATTATTTTTTTCTTGAAAAATTGGTCCAAGTTTTTTAAATTGAAAAAAGAGTCATAGTAGGCCAATTCATCCCAAAGACAGTGTCTAGACTTTTATTAGAAGAATAAAACCAGTAGAATGGAAAGCCATTCTTTAACTCTCTATTTGGCCTCTATCCCCATGTAAGCTAAAGAGGGGATTACTACACAGGAACTCATCATCATCATCATCCTATCTATAATTTAATGAGCACTTACTATGTCCCACCAATTGTGCTAAATACTTCATAAGTGTTTCCACATTTAATCTTCACAACAATTCTATGATTGTGATGCTATTATAAGGCCCGTTTTGCAAATGGGAAAACTTGGGCTTAGTAACTTCTGCAAGAGAGCACAGATGGTGATAATGCCTGTGGGAGGCAGAGTAGTAGCTCTCCAAAGATACCCACGTCATAATCCTCAGAACCTGTGAATGCATCAACTGAGAATATATTAATTTATAGGGCAAAAAATACTTTACAGATGTGATTAAGAATCTTAAAATAGGAAGATTATCCTGGATTACCAAGGTAGACTTGATGTACCTCAAGGGGCCTTAAAAAGGAAAGAGGAAATAGACAAAGTAGATGAGTCAGAAAAGAAAATGTGACAATAAACGCAGAGGTCAAAGGAATGCAATTGTTGACTTCAGAGGTGGAGGAAGAGGCCACAACAGAAGCTCTATGGGCAGACTCTAGAAGCTAGAAACACAAGGAAATCGATATTTCTCAGATGTCTTCCCAAGGAACATAGCCCTGCCAACACCTTGATGTTAGTCTTGTCAGAGCTATTTTGTACTTTTTACCTCCAATTGCAGGATAATAAAGTTGTGGTCTTTTTAAGCAACTAAATTTGTGGTAATTTATTGTAGAAACAATAAGAAACTAATACAGTGCCTGCTCCATTCTCTCCTTTCACAGTTCTGAAAGTTGAGCAAAGAACAACCTTCTGGGTTTGCTTAGAGCCTTATGGTACTGAAGATTTTCCACATCTTTTATCTCATTTTATCCCCATAACAAGCCTGAGTGTCAGTGGGAGAACTTGCTAAGTCTTCAAACCAGCAGTGACCTCATAACTTAGTTGGCATGGAAGAAGATGAAGGTTTCTTAGGGGTAAGGAGCAAAAAAGTCCAAAATTTCCTAGACTGTGGTCTACCTAGACCAGGGCTTGACACAGAAGACACATTCAAGTAATGATGAATGGTTGGATGGATAGATAGGTGATAGAAGATAGATAGATAGATAGATAGATAGATAGATAGATAGATAGATAGTTGATAGTTGATAGATAATAGATAGATAAGAAGGTCAGATGGATGGACTGGAAGGTCGGATGGATGGATGGAAGGATGGATGGATGGACACAGATAGATGGATGATGCATCTATGTTTACTTTGATAGATGAATAAATAAAATAATATATGTAAAGCACTTAGTACATGCCTAACATGCAGAAGATACTTAATGATAATAGCTACTGTCGGGCATTCTAGGTAAGGGTTGATGGCATTAAGGTCAAGGCATTAGGAATGATATATATACTGCCCTTCCTATCATTTTGACCTCCCCTTAGAGTTCTGAAGGCCATAAATACACACCCAAGTAAGAGGAAGTGTGAATTTAAGTACTATTTCATTGTGGGCTGCACAAGTGCCTGAAGCCCATTTCAGGGCTCTCTGTAGCAGAGACACATGACTTACATTCCTACAGGACTTATTACTCTAGTTATTCTTCCCTTAACACCACCACTGCCACTACCACCACCATTTTCTTACCTCAGAAAGTAAGCCTTAGAACCACTCACTCAGGGATGATAATGCAAGTGAGTCTATGACCTAAACAATTAGACTCTGTGTTCCACTACTCATACAGCTACCAGTGAGATGGATGGAACCATAAGGGGGCTTGGCTAAGCCTGCAACTGAGGCAAGGCCTGGAGCTGAGAGGCTGTTCCAAAGAGTGACTCAGCCCAGTAGAACTATAGACCATCAGTGTCATGAAGAACCCTAACCTACCTAATCAAATCCTCAACTTTTCCTATATTAAAGAAAAAAATCAAAAGGCTTGGGAAGAGACAGGCCAGGCAGAAGAAAGGGCAGAATTATTGCCCTTTTTATAATTATTATTCGTTATAATAGATGGATGCATGGATAGATGGATGCATGGATAGATGGATGCATGGATAGATGGATGGATCTTCTGATATCACTAATGTGATAACAAAGAGAAAGCATGGGCAAAATTGATGAAAATAGTTTCTCTGGGGTAGCCCAAGTACATACATGGTGTAACAAGCTCAAGTATGGGTCAGAAAGGAAGAGAGAACTGACATAAACTGAATAACTGCTATGTGCCAGGACCCATAGATGGTACAATTTAAATCTCAAAACAAATACTGGGAAGAAAGCATTATCATTCCCACTTTAAGAAGAGAAGTTTAAGGCTCATGGATGTTAAGCAACTTACCCAAGATCACTCAGCCAGGAACTGGGAAAGCAAAGATTCAAACAGGTTTGCTAACTACAAAGCCGTATTCCTTTCACTGTTTTCCACTGGGGTAAGTTTAGGGTTAAATTTAAGTAGGAGGGACCAGTCAAAAGCAGGTCATGCAATACACAGATATTCTTTTAGTATCCTCAGATGCAGAATTTCCTTTTCTTATATAAGCCCTGATTTTCCAATGGGAGATTCCATCTCCTCATCTCTGGCCATGTGATTTACCTGGGGCTGACCTCTGCCTCTGGCTCCAGAGATAATCATATCCCACAGGCCTGCTCCATCATCCTGTGCTCCATCTCCTTGGTCACAGCGACTGATTCAAGAATAGACATGCAATTCACACCAGCACGATGGATGTCGATCACGAAACATGTGTGGGAATGATTGGGAAATCTTTCTCTCTCACCTGGAGCTGCTGAGAAGACAGGGAATAAGGCTGGTAGAGCAGGGTCCACCATTAGGGCTCACAGAGAAGGCAACACAGAAGAGAATTAGCCAAGAGATGGAGAGATATTCCAGTGATGAAAGTATGAACACCTGGATGCAGCCAAGCTCAAAGCCAGTAACCCCTAGACTTCCTTAAGTTGTGTGAGCTTATAGTATAATTTATTTTCTTTAAGTGGATCTGAACTCAGTTTTTACTGCATATGACAAAAAGAGTCCTGACCAATACACTGCACTGGTACCATAATCTGGTGTTATTTTGTACATTTACTTTGGCTTCTAGGTGGTAACTTATGTCATGAAAAGAAGGGTCTAGACCTCTGGAATAGGGGACTGGCTGTGCGGGACATAAGTTTCCAGAAGGTATCCAGTTTGAGCCAGAAACTGGATTGCCAGACTTTAAGAGAGAGGCAGATACCAGGGCTTGTAGACGGTACCACATGCTAAAGGCAGCGAACACTGCATCCCAAAGTTTAGTCTTTCCATAGGTGTACTGTGTTCAATAGCAGAAAGACTTATTTCAACAGATAGTTGGACTGAGGCAGTTGATATACCTTCTCCCCCTGTTGGGTTTGGCTCAAGAACTCAAGCAACCTAAGATGGCAGATGGTGCTCAACCACAAGCCTCATGGTGGAAAGACAGAGGCAGAAGGAGATGGATGCTGGCACTGAGACAGCCAAACAACACAAGTAAGGAAGGAACAAAAGGTGACTTTAGGACCAACATACCCTCAACACCCCCTGCCAGCCATAAATGACATAGTGGTAACAGGAAGTGACAAGTGAGATTTTAATGGAAAGCTGAGATCGCCTTCAGGTAAATTAGCAAGATATGGTGGTGATGTTGATAATGATGATGACGGTGGTTATTGTAGCAGTGGTGGTTATGATGGTGATGGTGGTACTGATTGTAATAATGATGGTGACTGTGCCAGTAGTAGTAGCAATGATGGTGGTGGAGGTGGTGGTGGTGGTAATGGACTGACAGTCACCATTTATCAAATGCTTACTATGATTCAGCATTGTACTAGACGATTATTTTAATTAATCCTTGCAAGAATGCTATGAAATAGGTATTAGAAGCCCTATATTACAAATGAGACAACATACTAAGAAAGATTACGTAATTTGCTTAAGAGCACACAGATAGTAAGTGGGAAAGGAGAAATTTAAACCCAAGAGTGACCGACCTCAAAACCAGTGCTCTTAACCATTATGTTTAAACTCAACTTAAGCAGCCCCCAGAAGCCTATATTCCCTTTCTCTGTCTACTACAATGTGCTTCTAACTCATCCTGGGCATTACAAACAATTTAGCACTTGTGTTTTCCTAAGTTCACAGCAGTTTTCAACACATCATCTATCCATGTGGTTTCCAGTCTTGCAAATAAGATAACTCTTTTTTAAAATCAAAATCTTTTGCATCTGCCTATATGACTATACTTGTTTTTTTAAATATAAGTGACCAAGAAAATAAATGAAAAAGAGCTGTTCTAACAACACACAGTTTATTATACTATAAGTGAATAATTACAACAGCTTCTACTTGTCCTCAAAAGCAGTAAATTATGCACTTAAGTCAGAAACATTACTTATTTGGGCCATAATTGAGACTCCATGCATATGGGAATTGACTAACAACTCAGGGCTGGGAGGAATCCATCATGGGGCACCATCTCATAGTTCCTTGGGAAATTTTTATGAAGAATATAAAAGCAAATTGTCTTGAACATCAGAGAACACCAGTGGATGGATGCTTGACCAGCTCAGCAACATTCACAGACCTGGAAGCTTTTTCTTCTCCATTCTCACCCTTGGTGCTTTTTGGAGGGGCTCTAATATTCAGCAAATGTTTGGCTGACATGGCCAGGCATCAGGATTTTTATCCTAGCCTATTTATTGTTGGTGCATGACCACGGTCTAGACACTAACCCTCCCAGGAGCTCAGTTTCCTCACTTTAAAATGAGAACCTTGATCTAGACATCTATGGGCCTTTTCAAGGACAATGTCTGATGCTATTTATGTTTTCACATCCAGCGTATTTCCCCAACACTGCTTCTTTATAAGTTCCTGCTATTTGTCATCAGAAAATGACCAGTATGTTAAAGTGCAACCAAAAAAGAACTCAAAATAAGATTTTTCAAAATATAATGTTCTACCGGAGAACTTGTCAAAAATGCCACTGTCTTGGTGAATAAGTCAAACAGTTCATCATTTCTTTCCAAAAGCCAATTTGAGCATGAAAGAGCAATATATTCTTTTTAAATAGTAGTTTTAACTATTTTAAGTCCTGGCCTAATTTTCCTCTCCAACTGCAGGAAGACATCTTCAAATGGCATCAATGATGCAAATTTTGCTCCCCCACCCCCCGCCCCATCTCACCCCACGCTCTCTACTTCAGTCCTGTGTACAGAACCACCCTCTGGTGGATGAAATTCTTCCTTTCGCACAGAAGGCCAAACAGGGATCTACCCCATGGTAAAAATTCATAAGGTTTGCAGCTTTCCATTCTTCTTCATTAAAAACCCTCAGTCAAATAATCCAGATCCATTCTGCAATTCATCTTCAACACATGTCTATTCCGAGCTGGCAGAGCAATGCTGTACAAAGATGGTCCACAATGCATTAAGGACAGAAACTGAGAGTAAATATTTGGAAACATTGAAAGCAATTCAATATAGTCACAGTATCTGAGTGCATGATTGTTTTTCTAGTAATTCAGTTTTCATTGTATTGTACAAAAGTATTTGTCCACAAAAGATGGAAGCTTAACAACACCCAAGTCCTTCACTACAAGTAGTTTAAAAAGCACTGAGTAGATGATATGCATGCACAACTATAATATGATGGAAGAATTTTTGTAATGCTCAATCCAGTCACTCAGCATAAGCCTATTAGCCATTACAATGGAGGGTATGCAGGATGGTAAGGGCACTGACTCAGGAGTCAGACGGCATGAGTTCAAATCCTGGCTCTGACACTTACCAGGCAACCTTGAACGAGGTCTTTACCTGCTCTCAGGCTCAGTTTCTACATCTGTAAAATGAATACACTAATGAGAGTTATATAATTGCTGTGAAGATTAGATGAGATAAGATACACAAACTTGACCTGATGTCTGGTCTGTGGTAAGCACTCAGTGGCTGATGATAAGGAGGAGGAGCTGAGTGACTGAATAGATTGTAGTCCCTATTCTCTGGAGGCAGACAATGTATGCAAATAAATGCTCGTAGTAGGGAGAGAGCTGAGACAGCAGTAAGTGGGTGTATGGAGGTGGGACGGAGGAAAGAGAAGGGTGACTCTGCCTGGGGCATTCTGGGTGGGCTTTGTAGAAAACATGCCACCTGGTTAGGGATGGGAAAATTAAGTATAGTCTTCTAGGGAGACAACTGGGAAAAAAAATTCAAGCAGGGGGAAGAGCGTCTTCAAAGATACAGGAGTTGGATCATAATAGTGAGTTCTGAGATCCTCAGCAATTCAGCATGGCAGTATTATAAGGAAGGGGCAGAAAGAGTGGGTCTCTTTAGAAAAGGGATTGTAGTTCTTTCTTCTAGTCTTTCCATTACTCAACACAATCCTGGCAAGAGTACTTAATCAATGCCTACAAAATGAATGAGGCTGTATGTCATGTGCATGATACAGGAGGTTTAGACTCTATCTTGAGGTCAACAAGAAGCCATTAAACAGTGGAGAAGGAGTAAAAGAAATGACCCCTCTGCTCATTTGAAGTATGAATCAGGGGTGGGAGAAAGGGAGTCAGGGAACCCAACTGCACAAACTCTTTGAGATGGAGTTGTCCCTTTCTGGCTCCGATCTACAGGTGAGGAAATAAAGTTACAAAATTCAGTGACCTGCCCAGGGAAGGACTCATAGACTTCACAGGTGCCAGGTCTGCCTGACCCCAAATCCCATGTCCATCCTCACTTAGCCCACAAAGGCCATCAACTGTTCTAACTATTCCTAATGAAAATTATATTTGCACCTAATAGATTTAGATCTGGTGATTTAGTCTTCAATTCACTCTCAACAGAGGTAGCTAAAAATGCCAAAAAGGATAAAAGTGTGGTGATGCATTTTCAGTTACTAGAGTGTGTGTGTGCACGAGCACGTGTGTTTCTATGTTGCTTTGTGTTTGAACATTAGCTACATCCCCAACACACCCTGGCAAAGTGAATGGCACCTGGAGGCACACATTCCAGCATACATGCGGAGGAGACTTTGAAACTCAGAGACATGACTAAGGGCAGATGCATCTGAGCTGTTTGTTTCCCCTTGAGGATAGAAACTCCAGTGTTCCCAGAAGAAGCTGAGAAGAGGTGCAGATTTGGAAAAGGGTGAGAAGGAGACAGGTGAGGGCAAAATTCAGTGAAGAGAAAGTTGAGTAGGCGGTGACAAGGGTAATTACCAATATCTGGGGGCAACAGAAAATTGCTGAAATCTGGGGCCAATGGGGATTCTGGATTCTAAGCTCATCTCTGGTCCTAATTCACTGTGTGTGACCTTGGGGATGTGCCTTCACTTCTGTAAGATGCAGTGACCGTTCCAAGTGAATTAAGGAGACGGAATGAGACTCATGGTAAACTGATAAGCTGTCTGGTCATGACTATAAAATCAGTACAAGGATTTAAAGAAGGTAGAGATAATTTGGGGCAGAGGTTATCACTTCCTGGAGGTGGTGGCATTTGCAGGACTGAAAGGACTTTGCTATGCAGAATAGAGAAAGGATGTTCTACATGGAGATAACTGCATAAGGAAAGCCATGGAGAGTGAAGAAGTGTATGCAGAAGGCAGAGAAGATCTGAACCCTGTAGGAACAAAGGTGTGGGCTGGGAAAGATCCAAGAAAGAAAGGGATAGATGGGGTGGTACCAAATGACAGGCAACATCAAAAAGGGCAGACAGAGACATTTGGATTCAAAGAGAAGCAACACTCTTGTGAATGCGATGTGCATAAAGGAAATAGCGGAACCATTCTCCATAGTTGTGCAACAGAGGCCTAAATAGAATCCCTACAGAATCCCTGGGTTTCACTGACCACCCACTCTGCACAGTACTATAAGCTAGGCACCTGTTCCAGAACCTGCGCAACTTCTGGGCACCTGCTACTGCTACACTCATAGGGAAAATGCACCCTTAGTCCCACCCCTTTCCCACTCCTTTCACCTGGCTAATTCTCCTCCCTTCCTTCTTTGCTCTTAGATGTGGCTTATTTTCCTCCAGAAAGCTTTATCTGACTCCCAGGCTGGGTTTACTCACTCGATTATTTAATGTAGTTTCATTGTACCCCTTAGTACATGTACTTTTATTGTACAAGTACTTAGTACTATGTACTGTAATTGTACATATACTTAGTACTATATACTGTGTTCTTTGCTTTTTGTTTTTGAGACAGGGTCTCACCTGTCCCCCAGGCTGGAGCACAGTGGTGCAATCAGGATTCACTGTAGCCTCAACCTCCTGGGCTCAAGTGATCCTCCCACCTCAGTTTCCCAAGTAGCTGAAACTACAAGAGCATGCCATCATCCCCAGCTAATTTTTGTACTTTTTGCAGAGATGGTATTTTGCCATGTTGCCCAGGCTAGTCTTGGACTCCTGGGCTCAAACAGTCCACCCACCTCAGCTTCCCAAAGTGCTGGGATTACAGGTGTGAGCCACTACACCCGGCCAAGGGCCATATACTGTGTTGAGCACAAAAGAGCTGCCCTTCCTGGGGGCCCCGCAGCGCCACATGATCCCCTATATCATACCACTTATCACACTGTGATAAGTGGCAGATTGAATGGTCTGTCTCTTCCACTGGACTGTGAGCTCCTTGAGATCAGGGATTCTATTTTATTAAACTGTGCCTCTCTAGAACAGAGCTTGGCACATAGCATATGTTCATTAAATGTTAGCTGATGTGATTAATGAATGAAGGGCTGAATAAATAAATGGATAACAGATGAGCGTACAATCTACCTAAAGACAGACATGCACACTAATACTGGGAATGAGTGGAGCAGCAGAAGTGGGGGTAAAAGCGGAGGCACCATCTCCTCAGTCTCAAGAATCCAGATTTGAACACTTGTGGTGCTGTAGGGAGGGATCATTTTGACATCCTGTGTCTCAGTGCTCAGACTGTGATGTGGAAAAAAGGTCAGAAGTTCTTAGCTGAATATGGAGGAGGAGGGATTATGTTTGTAACTATGAACCTTAAAAATCAAACAACACAATGTAACAGAAAAGTGCAGTACTTTATGGTTGAGGAAGACTGAATTAGTCTCAAGTTTTTATTCTACCATTTATTACTCTTGAAAAATTGCATTATCCCTCCAAGGCTCAATTTCCTCATTTGCAAAAGGAGGACAACGATAGAACCCAACAAAGAAGCTTAGTGGAAAGATGAAATGAAATCGTGTATGAGAGGGGCTCGGGCTGGTGCCAGGCTCATAGTAAGTCCTCAGTCGATGGTGGCTTCAATGGTAATGAGGAAAATCAAGATGGCAGGAGGAGGGACTAGGAAAAGATGGAGGGAGAGGGGCAGGGTTGGAGGTGGAGGGGGACTGCAGAGTTGGGAGGACTGAATAAGATTTTGTATACTGAAGTGCCTTGCACACGCCTGGCACATACAAGCATCTCAACACCTGCTAGTCATCTTTCCCCTTCTTCATCCTTCCATAGGTTACGATTCTTCACTTCTGAGACTGAGGTCCCCAGAGCAGAAAAGAAACAAATTTGTCAAAGGGTTTGTCAACCTCACAAATTCTGAGACAGAGGCAAGGGCGCCACCTACTGTACAGCAGAGGCATTTTCCCAGCTCCTCAAAGGGTCATCTCTAAACAAGCCTTGCCTCTTTTATCAAACTGGCCTGACTTACCTGTCTTTATCTGTGGGGCAGCAGAAGGAACAACAGACTCAAGAGCAGGGGTGGAGTCAGTTGAGGATGGGAAGGTGCCAAACAAAACATCACCTTGGGAATATTCTGCCGTTTCCCTCTCTCACTCCCTCTTCTCTATCCCTAAAACATAAGTGAAGCTGACAATTGTCGCATAAATTTGGTTATCTCAGCAGAATCCCACTTTTCAGATCAATGCATACAAGAAGAGGGCTAGGGAAAGGACAGAAGCCATACCCAATGGCGTGCCTGAGCTAGGTGTCCAGTTTCATGTTTGTTTACTAACCCACAGTCACGGTAATCCACCAACGCTCTCTGGCGTTGGGGGGATTCCTGCACTGTTCTCCCAGGAATGCACTGCCTCACTCCCTCACTGTTTTCCCCTATCTTTTCCTGTTGGCAGCCTACTCATCTCTGCAGCTCTCACTGGCTTCCCCTTGCTGTTATGACAGTGCTCAATGTCTTTTGTTTTGTTTTGTTTTGTTTTGTTTTGTTTTGTTTTGTTTTTGAGACGGAGTCTAGCTCTGTCGCCCAGGCTGGATTGCAATGGCATGATCTCGGCTCACCGCAACCTCCACCTCCTGGGTTCAAGCGATTCTCCTGCCTCAGCCTCCTGAGTAGCTGGGATTACAGGAGTAACTCATGCCACCATACCCGGCTATTTTTTGTATTTTTAGTAGAGACGGGGTTTCACCATGTTGGCCAGACTGGTCTCAAACTCTTGGCCTCAAGCGATCTGCCCACCTCGGCCACCCAAAGTGCTTGGATTACAGGAGTGGGCCACACACTCAGCCTCAATGTCTTAATATGACCCACAGGGCCTAGGAGAACTTTGCACTTGATGCTGCCCAAGGCCCCCATCCTCACTCATTTGTTGACTCAGTCTCACTAATTTTGGGGGGTTCTTTGTAGATGTCACATCTTCTGAAAAGCCTTCCTTATGGGCCACCCTGCCCCCAGCTGACAGGGTGAGGTGTACTGTCCCTACTCTGCTTCCAGCATCACTCTGTTCTGGAATTATTTATGCATATTTACCTTCCATTAGACTGTGAGTTGTGTGTCATGGGGACTCTGTATCATTCATTCTTTGTCACAGAGCACAGAAGCCCTTCAATTAATATTTGTTGAAATAATAGGAAGAGTAATCAATAATTAAATGTTCAGCAAATCAATGAGTGAGTGGAATGCCTGCACTAATCATGTTTCTGCCACTTACTAATGCACAACTTTGGCCAGTGCTATATCTTTCTATCTCTTGCCTTCGTTTCTCACCTGTGAAATTAAAGTACAGTTGATCCTTGAACAATACAGGCTGAATCGCACAAGTCCACTTATACACAGAGATTTTTTTCAATAAAAGTTACAGCAAGCGTGCCTGCCTGTCCTGCTTCCCCTTCTGTCTACTCTACCTCCTTTACCTCTGCCACTCCTGAGACAGCAGGATGAACCCCTTCTCTTTCTCCTCCCCCTCAGCCCACTTCATGTGAAGATGATGAGGATGAAGACCTTTATTATGATCCACTTCCACTTAAGGAATAGGAAACAGATTTTCTCTTCCTTATGATTTTCTTAATAACATTGTCTTTTCTCTAGCTTACTCTATTGTAAGAACGCAATATACAATACATATAACATATAAAATGTGTGTTAAACAACTTTATGTTAGTGGTGAGGCTTCCAGTCAACAGTAGGCTTGTAGAAGTTAAGTTTGGGGACAGTAAAAATTTATATACAAATTTTCGACTGTGGGGAGGGTCAGCACTCCTAACTCCTGCATTGTTCTAGGGTCAATTGTAATGACAGATACTCCAAAGGATATAGCAGTGAAATATATCCTTTATAGAAGTAAAGTTCCTGCCCTTAAGAGCTCATAGTCTAGAGTGATGGGGAGGGACAGAAAATTAACAAGCATTTACAATACAGGATAAATTTGAAAGCACAGAGTAGGAGCTTCCAGACCATTCTAGAATAAGGGATATGACAAATAAATATATGGAATGACAAACAGTGAATAAATGTAGGGCAAGAAAGCAAAGCAGGGCAAAAGGCATGGGGAGTTTCATGTTGGAGAGGTTGGTTATGTCACATAAGATGGTCAGAAATAGTCTCTCATAAGGAAATGAGAATGCAATACTGCAATTAGTTGAGGAAAAGGAATCCAAGGCAGAAAGGACAGCAAGTGCAAAGTATGAAGCCAGCCCAGGTGAGGGTGTCTGAGGGAAACCCTTGTATTTTTATGCTTTTTCTCTTGCATTCACTTCCCCAGGGGAGGACCCCAGAAGCTCCTACCAAATGTACCCACTGCATCTGAAAGCAGCTTCTGCCTTCAGTATCTGAGGTCTTCCTACATGCCAGCTGAACTAAAAATCAGTTACCTGCAGGTCTTCTTTGCCTATTCTCATTTGACCTAGGAGCCTGGGCAGCAAGTTTCCCGCCTCTTCCCTTCTGGTCTTCGTGATCTTCATCACTGAAAATCCCTTAAGGTAATGATCTTCTAAGGACAGTGATCCCAAGGCAATGGGAGCCAATGGTGGAGACACATTATCAAATCTCCATTTTATAAAAATAAAACATATCAATTTGTCTGCAGTATGAACCACACATTGGAGAGAGCAAGATAGCTCTCTTCTAACTGGAAAACCAGTTAGAAGGCTGTTGCATCAGTCCAGTGAGCGATGATGGTGACCTAAATCTAAGTAACAGCAGTAAGGATAAAAGGTACTAGGATGGTAGAACTGATGGGGCTTGGCAACTGATTAAATGTGGGCCCACGTGGAAACGGGAGGGCTCCAGGGTGACTTCTGGCTGTTACTTTGGCAACCAGAGTTTGGGAGTGCCATGCACTGAGATAAAGAGAAGCAGAAGCAGGGTAGAGAAAGATGATGTTCTTAACCACATCCCGGACTATCTTAGGATTTGTTAAAGAGCAATCAACAAGGATATCACAGAATCCATATGTATGTAGTTGAACAGATGAAACTTACAAGTGTAAATAATTAGGGGATATTTTGAAGCAGGACATAATTAGTTGCAAAAATATATGCTTGGGACTACCAACCGGTGCAAAGGATGCAGGAAGGCTTGAGGTCATGGGGCAGTCATAAGGAAAGCACATGAGACCATGATTTGAGTTTTGAAGATTTAAATGAGTAGAGAGAAATAAGTGATGAGGAAATGGTGACCAGGCTCGTTACCTAAACAAAGCCACAGCTGCAAGAGTGAGGGAGCTGTGTTTGAGAAGCAGTGACTCAAAGAAATATATAAAAATTCTCCATAGCTATATCTGAAGTATAGCTATAGTCCAGGATGCACTGAAATTAATGAAGAGATCATAATACTGGTGAACAAATATTCTGGGAATATAAGTTGTACAAGGTGGGCACTGGTAGATCTCCTGTGGGGTTTAGTTGAAGGGCATGAGTTGTGAAGTTAGATATGATTCTGTTCACATCCTGGAATCATTGCTAATGAACTTTATGGTTTGGGCAAGTGAACTCATCTTTGCAAGTCTTAAGTCTCCTGTGTGAAAATGAGAACAGTAATACTTTGCTATACTCTAACGAATAAATGAGATGGTGTGGAGTACACACTCAACATATATTCATTCCTTTCTGCCACTCATTTTGAGTCCCGGCTCATCATGAGATATCTGAACAGGGTCCCCTGATATGCTGTATGGAATTGATCTCAGCATCAGTTGACACCAAAGAAGTTTAAGCTCATGGTCACATAAAGAAACCACTATAAACTAATTTGCTTATAGGGCGAGTTGTAACCGTAAGCCTGAACGTACTGAATATGCTCAATAAATTGCAAATAACTTACAGACATCAATGCCATGTGAATGTGGTATCAACTGGCTGCTGGTCTGCCCTCATGGGTTGATCAACCTATCTCCTTAGCCAGTAGGAGCAGGGCACAGCTGGGTCCATGTTCCCATTCATTTCTGCTGCTGCCCTGGCCCTCTTTCCCTGCTTCCATGTCCGGGCATCAGTGCTGAATTTAGCTCCCTCAGATTTAGTCCTGAAAGTTACAAGCTTTGTGCAATTGGAAGACTAAATGCTATTCTGTTGCTTTTGCTCATAAACTGCAATTTGAGTGAAATAGCTTGTTTTTCATTAATATATATATTTCTTTTTCTCGTTTTCTAAAAATTGCTTAATATATTTAATTATTCCCTTTATTTCCATACCTACTCATATTCCTCAGACCACCTTCCCAATGGGCAACTATTCTAAAATTCTTAAAGCACAGGCCGGGCACGGTGGCTCACATCTGTACTCCCAGCACTTTGGGAGGTGGAGGCAGGTGAATCACCCCAAGTTGGGAGTTCAAGACCAGCCTGGCCAACATGGTGAAACCCTGTCTTTACTACAAACACAAAAAGTAGCCAGGCATGGTGGCGCACGCCTGTAGTCCCAGCCAGTCGGGAGGCTCAGGCACAAGAATTGCTTGAGCCCAGGAAGTAGAGGCTACAATGAGCCAGGATCATGCCACTGCACTCTGGCCAGGGTGACAGAGTGAGACTTCATCTGAAAAATGAAATAAAATTCTTAAAACACATCATTTTGCATATATGTGTTTCATGAATGGATTAAATGATAATATACTTAGTCAATTTTTTTGTTGTTGTTTTTCTTCCTCCACCTCCTTGACTTCCTTTCCTGGGCTGTGAACATCTCCAGGATGGGTACCTGCCTGCTTAGTCTCTCCAGAGCCTAAGTCTCTCCAGAGTTTAGAACAGTCTCCATATAGTGATTCTCAAAAAAAACAACAAATGCATATGGGTCCAGGTTGAACCAAATTCTAAATGTTCCAGAGAACTAAAGGTTACACACATGAAATGTTTATAATGCAATTCAAAATATTTCATTATGCTTGCTGACACAATTTGTGGATGCAGTAGCTGAGCTCCCTACAAACTGTTAAGAACCAATCAGGTCTCTGAGAGAGAATTTGAGGAGTAAAACAGAGGGCTTCAGTTCAGTGCACTGATTGTGATTCTTATTACAAATGGTACCACTTAATTCTCTTGTTCCAGACTTTGCTCCACATTGAGATAACCATGGTTTTACAGAAAGAATCCTGGAGTCCCAAGACCCATGATTAAATCCCCCTTATAAGCTCTTATCATTTCAGGTTATTTATTTATTTATTTTACTTTTTAAGGTGGCCAGACTTTAAACACAGGGAATAAGCAGCATTTGATATATATAAATATAAGAATTTGCATGGGACACAACTGGGACTTTGAAGTAAAACATTATCAGGGATGGAAACAGCTCTAGAGATCAACTACTTTTTTACACTCTCTCTCGAGGGCCACACTGTGAAGTAGTATGCAGGGAGGGGAAGATGTTTATGGACCTGATATTCTGCCAGTGAAAACATACAAGCTGTTAAATATTGAAAAACTCTCAAACTAGTTGATAAATAAGTTCCATCCCACCTCAGGTTCTTAGCCCCAACTGCTCTATCTTTCTGCTGGGGTCTTCATTGACTTTCAGATTTTCCTACATAACAGCTGGAGTAATGTCAGGTGGCGCAGGTACTGAGGTCCTGCTCAGGTACCAGTCCTCCCATTTAGGAGCTCTGTTCTAGTTCATCATACCCTTGCTAAGCTGGCTGTTGGCTACTTTAGACAGGCTTGTGTGTGTGTATGCATATGTGACTATGTCTGTGTGTATCTCCGTGCCTCTCTTTCTCTGCTTCTTTCTGCACAAGGATTCCATTCTCCTCTCTCTGACATAAGGCTTCACGTGCCTATCCCTGGTTTCTCTTCCCTTATCACCTAAGCCTGCACAGAACTAACATGACCTCACTGCCCCTTCTTCATATCCTCACCCATACGTCTCAGCTTCTGTTTCTAGCTTCCAGTTTCAAATTCCTGGTGGCAGGAACGACATTGACCCAGTTAACTTTTCTATTCAAAGTCACATCACTGAGTCCTAGCTACCTTGATCTGACCTCCAAGAAAGCAGGGTGGGGGAAGACGATGGTTCAGCTTCCCTTGGAAGGGTTTGAGTATGGAATTGATCTCCACGGAACAAATAGTTTCTGTAGAAAGTAATTCTGAACTCGTTTGTAAAAATTCTTTTGAAAGAGCCTGGAACATAGTGGAGATTCAATAAATCCCTTCCAAAGCTGACTCTGTGAGAAGCTAGAAGTCAGTTCAAGATCAGTTCCATCACCTATCACCTGGGATGTTAAACTTGGTGAGCTCTCTGAGCTTCTGTATTTCACAATGCAAAGTGAAGATGAGTAGCATTTCTACTTTATGAGACTATTGTGAGATTGAAATAAGAAGTTCCCTGTGTGTGATAGTAAAGATTAAGAGCTTTGGGGTCTATGAAACTTCTTCTACTCATTAGCCAGAGGATTGGAGGCAAATCATTTAACACTGTATATCAAACAATTCCCGATAATTGGAGTTGAGGTTTTTGGAAAATTGAAGCAACTCACATAGTCTAAGGCAATCTCCTGTCCAGGTTGGAAAGGGAACTTTGGCTGGTGAAGCCTGTGAAACTTTCTTTCTAGGGCAATACCACGGGACATTTGTTCCACTCCAGTTTCACATTTCTACAAGGAAGCATCCGACTGGCTCAGCTTTGATTACTGTATGCAATAGACTGAATGTTTATGTCCCCACCCCAAATTCATCTGCTGAAATCGAATCCCCATTGTAATGGTATTTGGACACAGGGCCTTTGGGAGGTGACTGGGTCATGACGGTAGAGTCCTCATCAACAGCATTAGTGCCCTGATAAAAGAGTTCCCAGAGAATGCCTTTGCTCCTTCTACCATGTGAGGACACAGAAAAAAAAAAAAAAAAAAAAAAAAAAAAAACAGTTGCCTATAAATCAGGAATCAGGCCCTCACCAGATAACCCAAATCTGCCTGCACCTTGATCTTGGACTTCCAGCCTTCAAGACTGCAAGGAACAAATCTCTGTTGTTTGTAAGCCACCCAGTCTATAGTATTCTGTTCTAGCACTCCAAATGGATTAAGGCACTCTCTTTCCCTAAACGGGTCAGCCTTGGCTCAAGGACAGTTGGGTTGGGATGAGAAGAGTAAAAGGAACCTCCCCGCATGACAACGAGGGCAATCACTATGGGTGAAGAATGAATGACAGAAAGCACTTAGCTCACTGTCAGACACATAATAGGGCCTCAGTGCAGCGTTGCTGTGTGATAGCGTTTTGCAAAGTGTGAGATCCTTATTCTCCTACATGACTATCAGGTTGCTGACATTGTACTACATTCCAGAGGGCAGAGAGAAGTATAAGAAATGGCCCTGCCTTCTAGAATCTTACAGTCTAGATGAGAAAAATAACAATGCATACTTATAGGCTTGATTTTATAATACAGATTATAAGCACAAAAGGACAAAGCGGAGCACCTTAACAGAGGGAGGGGTGAGAGCAAATGAAAAAAAAAATTCCAAGAGACAAATAGAAGTGTTGTAAGAAAAATAATTTGGAAAAAATTGATTTTGAGGCTAGACTAGAAAGTAATTTTCTATTCCATTTCCTGGGCAGTCTCATACCCATAACAAAAACAGACTTATTTATAACACCATTGATTGTCTTGTATATAGAGTTAAGAATATAAAATAGGAGGGGGGCACATTCCATTTTGACAGATGCAGAAATAATAAGAAAAACGCAGTCATCATTCCTCCACTGCTCCCTCTGGATCTTTTCTGTTTTCTCTGACTCCCTGCCTTGCCAAGCAATTTAGTTTTATCCCTACGAATGAAGCAATTTACATGATTTGAGTTTGGCTTTGTTTGTGTATTACTGAGAAATGTCCTATACCTCCACCATCAATTACCTTGAACAATATCGTAAGGATTTATTAAAAAATAGATTTAAGCAAAACATATCTTTCACACACAGAGAGAATCAGACTATAGCATTAGAAGATAAATTAACATTTCCACTAATCTAATCCAGGCTGTCTGTGAAACATTTCTTAATAAGATAGACGAAAGGGCTGCATTCTGCTTATGCGCCAGCCTGTGGATTTTCACTGGGGCTCTGCCTCGCACCTCCACTTTATGTTCTTTCTCACACAGGCATTTCAATATTGCCGCATTCAGATTTCCTGCAGTGAGAGGCGATTTCATAATGAACGGTCCTGCCGCGCAGCAAGGCCAAGGATAGTTTGGACATGACACCTTCAAAGGAAATCTCTGTTCTAGAGCTTAGAGACTGGAGGGTGTGTGTGTGTGTGTGTGTGTGTGTGTGTGTGTGTGTGTGTGAGATGCTGAGGCTTCCTTCAAAGAGCTAGCTGGTCCAGGAAGGAAGAATAATTCTGATCTTATCTCTTCCTTATTCCACAAGAAAGTAAAAATACCCAACATTTTTCATGCTGTGTTCTGGGATTTTTATACCTATTAATACTCATTAAAGCTTCAAAATAACTGAGTAAGGCCCATAGGATTATTATCACCATTTTATAGATGAGGAAACTAAGGCACAGAGAGGTTAAGAAAGCTGGCCAGATGGACGAACTGGTGGTACACTCTGGAGGCAGGTTTTGAACAGAGGTAATTTGACCCTAGAGCTTATACTCCTTTTCACTGTTTACTAGATTTATGAGTTACATGTGCATGGTTGCTACATGGCTATATTGCATAATGGTGAGGTTTGGTCTTCTAGTGTACCCACCATCTGAATAGTGAGCATTGTACCCAAGCTCAGTATACAGAAATAATAATATTACAGTATACAGAAATATTATAATGTACAGAAATAATATTCTATATATTCTTTTTTCCCAACCTTCCCCCTTTTGGAGTTCCCAGTGACTACTATTTCCCTCTGTAGGCCCACGTGTACACATTGCTCAGCTCTCACTTATAAGTGGAAACATGTAGCATTTGATTTTCTGTTTCTGAGTTATTTCTCTTGGGATAATGGCCTCCGGTTCCACCCATGATGCTGCAAAATGATTTTATTCTTTTTTATGGCTGTATAGTATTCCACAGAGTTTATGCTCTTAATCCTTAATCATACTACCAGAAGACATTTTGAGGACCCTCCTACACATACACCAGCACCCAGAATATGATCCTGAAAAAAAAAACAATTTAAAATGTAGTCACTAATTGAAATAGTCAATTTCAGATCCTTGGCTCCAGACAAAATGGCTACACAGATCAACTTGATCTGGAAACATAACTCTGGTCTTTTATTTCCCCCTCTGCCCCACTTACTGTCAATTATTTTCCATTCCCATTCTCACCAATGAATACTACTATGCTGTACAGATAGGAGAGCTGCCATCCCCCTGCACTCTGCAGAAGTTACCCCATTTAGGGTATAATGGCCTGTTGTGGGTGCCATGGTTATTGTTATTATTATATAGTTATGAAGTGCTCATTATATTCTAGTACTCATATTCTAAGCACTTCATATGCATTATATTATTTAAACCACATCCCAACTCCATATGGGTTACTGCTGCTATCCCCATATTTTCAGAGTTTGAGAATGAAATGAGATTTTGCATTTAAAGCCCATTGCTTATTTCACTTAGCATAATGTCCTCTAGGTTCACCCATGTTGTCACAAGTCATAAGATTTCCTTCTTTTTGAAGGCTGTATAGTGTTTCATTGTGTTTTTATATCACATTTTCTTTATCAGTTGATCACTTGATGGACACTTATGTTGCTTCCCTATCTTGCCTGTTGTGAATAATGCTACAGTGTACATGGGACTATGGCTACCTCAATTATTATTTGTCAGTTAAAAATAACATATTTTTAAGCTCATTGATCAGTAACTAGTTCATAGAAAGCACCCAAAAATGTCAGCTGTTGTCATTACCATCATCTTTATCTGTTATTATTATTGTACTTTTTACTATTGCTTTAACACAGCTCATAGGGAATGTAGCACAGATTAGAACTTGGATCTGTGCGCCTCCAAAGCCTATCCCTTCGTCATCCCCATAAAGCCTCTGTGTAGAAATCGGCAACCAAAATGGTGAAAGAGCTATGAGCCAGCATATCTGGAGTGGTTAACAGACAGGATGTGTTCAGTGGGGTGTAGCTAAGACCCAGGGAAGTGGAAATAATATTCTGTATATTTTTTGCCACTGAAGGGCCTATGTGGGACCAACAGTCAAGACTTCAGAAAGGCAATGTTTAACTCTACTTGTGGAGCATTGTCACAATCTTTCCTTACTAACAATGAAATAGGATTTTCTGCATGGTAGCTGGTATTTTTATCCCTAGGAATACTAACTTAGAAGATATACAACTATCCGTCAGAGACCATGAAAAGAATTTCTTGAGGTAGTGTCATGAGTTAACTTCAACCACCCCCTACAAATGAAATTCTATGATTCATACAGAAGTCTGGCAGCCTAGGAAATTTCCCTTCCTTGTCCCAACGCAGACACAAGTTGCAAACCTTCTCCTTTGTTTACCTTCTATTCCATCCCTTTCAAATTTCAGGACCTCAAAACTTATCTGATAAAATAATGGTCTTAATGTATCTCATTTTCAGTGAATCAATATCTTACTCCTTCTAGTGAATTTGTTTTAAAACAACCAAAAATATTAATTACATAAATAAAATATGTATATTAAGGAAAATTAGAAAATATTTTTAAAAGACAATTATGAAACAAAATTACAAAATCTAAGAAAAAGAAAGAAGATAACTTATCTATAATCTCTATCAATATGTTGATACATATTTTCCCAACCCCTTTTTAACTTTTTGCAATTTGAAAGATGAATTCTGAAAACACAGATATGGCTCTAAATATAGAAATGTTCTGTAGAGTGGAAATTATACATATTTTCATTGCAGTAGACCAAATATTGAGCACTTAACTATATGCTAAACATTGTGTAAGTTACTAACAATACACAATCAAATAAGCCAGGATTCCTTCTTTCAAGACTCTCAAAGTCTAGGGCAGGAAACAGCACATAAATAAACATTAATAAAAGTATGCGTATAATAAGAGGTTCTGTAACAATAAGCATATATAGGTTTATTCGTGCTCCTAAAAATAATAATGGCCATAATCACAGTAACTAACAGTGATCAAAATTTTACATTTACTTTAGCTAGTTTTCACCTTAAGACAACCTTGGGAGTTGACACGCATTTTTATCTTAATTTCCATTTTAAGGTAAACAGAGAAATATAATGGAAAATCTGTGGGCTTCAGAACCAAGGAGATTTACATTCAACTCTAGATTCTGGTTCTGACTGGCCACATAGCCCTAAACTGTCACTTAATATATTCAACTACCTCTCACGGTTGCTTTCAGGTTTAGAATTGACATCTGTAATGTGCCTGACACGTGGCAGGTAGTCCCGAAAATGCAGCTTTTATTACTGAACAAAGCTCAGAATAAGTCAGTGATTTGTCCAAGTTCACACAAGTAGTGAACAGAGTAGGAACTCTAAAACAAAGTGTCTGATTCTAATCCTGTCTTCCTCCGCAGCACCACTTATAGCACTTAGGCAATCATCTATTGTAGGCAATGGGACGGTTCGAAAATAGAGCAGGTGCTACATAAATATCTCCACGTATCTATATATATACATTTTACATATTTTTCTCAGTTCTCTTTTCTTCTTAAGTGACCAGAAAAAAGAAAAGGTCAAATAAAAGTTGGTTTTTTTTTCCATTGAAAATCTGCTGCCCAAATTCCCAGTTCACAGTCCCCAACATCAATAGTACAGGCTGCAATTAAAAGAGGAAATGAGAGGGACTCATTATGCCTATGGAGAAATCCATCCTATAACTGCAAAACCTGCAAAGTAACTCTGTTCATAGGATATGGGCCATTTACCTTCTAGGCTATGACTCCACTGTCCTGTGGACTGGGCTGAAAAGCCCACCCGAGACCTCTCAAGATACCTGTTTAGTTTCCATTTTAATTTAATGGGTAATGAGTTCCCTTTATGGAAGATACTCACTTTCCTTAGCTCTCTGTAATAATGAAACAGGGCTGCTAAAGAAAACACAGAGCGGTGGTGAAGAGAAAACCCCAGTCAACCAGGCCACTGCCTGCTGACCATGAGTCAGCAGGTAGCACTGTTATGCAACATGAATGCTGAAATGAGCCGCACGATCTGAGAACAACCACAGAAGCTGGAGTTGCAAGAAACCTTAGAGCATTCTTTTTCAAAACAGATTTTTTAACTCATTCCACAATCAGAAGTACATTTTACAATTACAAGCTAACACACATGTATAAATACATAAACAAAAAACTTTCATAAAACAATTGTTATCCTTACCACAGGGGATGCAGTCCAATATTGCCTATTCTGATCCATTCTCTTCTTTACTACTTGACAGTAAGTTAATTTCTCAACATGCTATTAATCACCACATGTGGTTTGGTTGAAAAAAAAAAAGCTGCTTTGAAGAATATCTCATTCAATCCTCTATGCAATGTCCATGCAAGTTCTGATTCATGCCAGCATGGGGTACTCTTTAAGAATGTCAAAATCATTCAAGACATATGAGTTTACAGAAAATGATGAAAGAATAATAATCTTCACCTACCATTGTGAACACTTCCTAGGAACTAGGCTCCATGCTGGGGCTCCAAATCTATATACTATTTTATCGTTACAGCAAGCCATTTAGATGGTTCTGTTATCACCCCTGTTTTACAGATGAGGAAATTGAGGCCTCCACTGAAGGCTAGCTATTTCTTACAAAGGGTCACTTGGAGCTCAGTTATTTGCAGTTAATCCATTAATCATCATCTAGTCCATTTAATCATCTAATCCATTTGGTACTCTGTCATCGGCAGGAGAGATGATACTAGCGACTAAAGCTTTTGTTACATTTGCTTTTCCTCTTGGATGTCACTTGACCCTGGCACTTGAGCCCTTTTTGATCTTGCCCTACTTTCTGTAATAGGAAGTTCACTGGTGTGTACAGCCACAGTTAGCCCTGGAATGACAACATGGAACTCAACAAATCATCCCTGGAATTCTATCTGTATGCATTTCTTCTCTCTATCTTCAGCCTGTTCACTTTCATTATGAGGGCAAAAGGCTACAACAGTTCCAGGCATCACAGTCTCACTTGACTGCAGCCAAAGCGGAGAGAAAAGGGAGGAAAAGTGCTTTCTCCTATTTTTATTTTTGGTCGTTGTTGTTGGGTTTTGTTTTTGTTTTTGTTTTTTGTTTTAAGTTTTTGAGACAGAGTCTTGCTGTATCGCCCAGGCTGAAGTGCAGTGGTGCAATCTCGGCTCACTGCAACCTCCGCCTCCCGGGTTCAAGTGATTCTCCCTCCTCAACCTCCCGAGTAGCTGGGATTATAGGCACCTGCCATCAGGGAGGCTAATTTTTGTAGAGATGGGGTTTCACCATGTTGGCCAGGCTAGTCTTCAACTCCTGACCTCAGGTGATCCACCTGCCTCAGCCTCCCAAAGTGCTGGGATTACAGGCATGAGCCACCTTACCTGACTCTCCTATTTTTGGATTGGAAAACTTTTTTTTAAAGACCTCAAAATTCTTCCATTGGCCATATCCCAATCACTAGCTCACCTCAGACCAATCACTGATACATCTGCTGCCTTCCCTAAGGTGGGCATTTTGCCAGGTGTACAAAATCATGATTTTGTTATTGAGAAAGGGGGTTGTGACTGTTGGGTAGGCAACTAACGCTACGTGCTCCATTGGCCTTTTAGAATCTGCATCATGTTCACCTTCCCAACCATATCTCTCCCCACTTTCTCCCAACATTGAACTCCCACGCAAACTTTACTGACCTTTTTTTCTGTAGTTCTTTCAGTGTACAATGACTTACTAATCTTAGGACTTTTACTCTTGTCCTTTCCTTTGCCTGAAACATTCCTTACCCGACTTCCATCTTCTTCTACTTGTTAATTCCTATGCTTGCTTAAGGTCTTGAATTAAATGTACTCTCCTTCAGTAAACCATGTCTGAGTAAGGTCTGGGTTAGGTCCCTCTCATACCTACTCTCTACTTGGCTGAAATGAAATTTAGAGGCCATGTCTGTCATTACCTTTCTTGTACCCTCAGTCCCTATTAAGGTACCTTCAATGGTCTTTTGCTAAATATTTATTGAGTAAATGAGTAAAAGCTGCAGTTATTCAGTTGAAAGGGCATTGTATTTTAATATCATCTATTTTGAGTACACATCAGAGACATTATCAACTTTTTATAAACCACATAACAAAATTGCAGACTGTGTTCATCCCAATTTTACTCAATAGGAAATGAGACTCAAAGGGATCATGTTCAAGGCCACACAGCTTGTGGATGACAGAGACAAGATTCAAAACCTTGTCTGATTCTAGAGCCCAGGGATTTTCTGCTCCACCATGCTGCTGTCCAGTAAGAGACACATCAACTCAAAGTCCTCCACCAGCCCTAGTTTTTGATATGACCTAGACAAACATTTTCTGTAAAGGGACAGATAGTGAATATTTTAGGCTTTGAAGGACATATAGTTTCTGTTGCAACTAATCTACTCTGTTGTACTTTGAAAGCAGCCATGGATAATATGTAAACAAATGAGCTTTGTTGTATTCCAATAAAACTTTATTTGCAAAAACAAGTGACAAGCCAAATTTGGCTCATAGGCCATAGTTTGCAAACCCTCTAACCTAGAGCAATTCAATTCCCCAATGTTAGCTTTGTATTTTTCATCCATAAACTGGGTAGTTTGGATTTGATGCCTACTAAGGTGACTTTGTACTCTGAAACTCAAGTATTAATTACTGTTCTGAAGTCCCCCAAAATCCTGTTATGTTTATTGTATCAGTGATAAGAAAGGTACAATGTAAGTGTTATTCAATAAAAACATTAACATAAATGTGTGTTCAGAAAAAAAACTATTAAAAAGAAACACACAATGCATACAGTGAAAAATGTAGCCAATATAAACTAAAGCACAAAAAAGGAAAAACCTTAGCCACGTATTATCATACGAGAGTTTTTTGCTTTATCATTTCTACTATATAAAATAATCTAACACTTCTTTAAAACTAGGCTTTTAATTTTAGCTTGTGCTATCACTTAAAATGTAGGTGCCCTCATTCCCCTTCAAACATTTTAAATATTGATTCTTGCTTTTAGAAGGTTATAATTAACACATATGGAAATATAGACTTACCCATTATAAACCTTTAGAGATCCATAAATAAATATTTACTCTTATAGCATACAGTTGTTGTAAGCATTGAATAAGATTGTGTACCTGGCAAAAACCTGACCAAATGGAGGTGTTTCATCCATTTTAATTGTTGTTGTGGTTATCAGTTTTACTGACTTCTGTTTAATGTTGATGTCAGAAGCAATGTTTTATACATTAGATCTGTGATCCTCAACTGGGGGCAATTTTGACCCCCAGGAGATATTCAGTGATGTCAAAGATATTTTTGGTTGAGACGACTAGGTGCTGCTTCTAGCACCCAGTAAGTAGAGACCAGAGATGCTGCCAAACACCCTTCAATTCACAGACTAGCTCCTCACAGCAAAGAGTTATCCAGCCTAAATGTCAATAGTGTTAAGGTAGAGACACACTGCATCAGACCCAATAACCCCTATTCCTCGCATGGTTCCAAACAGAACACAAAGTATTGTCAATAAATGTTTGTGATTGAATAAATGAATAAGTGGATGAACAAAAGTAGTTACTGTTAGGCCTCTGAGCCCAAGCTAAGCCATCATATCTCCTGTGACCTGCACATACACATCCAGATGGCCAGTTCCTGCCTTAACTGATGACATTCCACCACAAAAGAAATGAAAATGGCCTGTTCCTGCCTTAACTTATGACATTATCTTGTGAAATTCCTTCTCCTGGCTCATCCTGGCTCAAAAGCTCCCCTGCTGAGCACCTTGTGACCCAACACCTGCCCACCAGAGAACAACTCCCTTTGACTGTAATTTTCCTTTACACTATGGGCAAGCTTCCGACCTCCATTCCCCCTTCTTCTCCCTTAGCTTGTGTTCTTAAAAACATAAAACCTCTTCAACTCACACCTGACCTAAAACCTAAATGCCTTATTTTCTTCTACAATGCCGCTTGACCCCAATACAAACTCGACAGTAGTTCCAAATAGCCAGAAAATGGCATTTTCAATTTTTCCATCCTACAAGATCTAAATAATTCTTGTCGTAAAATGGGCAAGTGGTCTGAGGTGCCTGACATCCAGGCATTCTTTTACACATTGGTCCCTCCCTAGTCTCTGTTCCCAATGCAACTAGTCCCAAATCTTCCATCTTTCCCTCCCGCCTGTCCCCTCAGTCCCAACCCCAAGCGTCGCTGAGTCTTTCTAATCTTCCTTTTCTACAGACCCATCTGACCTCTCCCCTCCTTGCCAGGCTGAGCTAGGTCCCGATTCTTCCTCAGCCTCTGCTCCTCCACCCTATAGTCCTTTTATCACCTCCCCTCCTCACACTTGGTCTGGCTTACAGTTTTGTTCCCTGACTAGCCCTCCCCCACCTGCCCAGCAATTTCCTCTTAAAAAGGTGGCTGGAGCTAAAGGCATAGTCAAGGTTAATGCTCCTTTTTCTTTATCCTAAATCAGATAGCGTTTAGGCTCTTTTTCATCAAATACAAAAATCCAGCCCAGTTCATGGCTCGTTTGGCAGCAACACTGAGATGCTTTACAGCCCTAGACCCTGAAAGGTCAGAAGGCCGTCTTATTCTCAATATGCATTTTATTTTATTACCCAATCTGCTCCCGACATGAAATAAAGCTCCAAAAATTAAATTCTGGCCCTCAAACCCCACAACAGGACTTAATGAACCTTGCCTTCAAGGTGTACAATAATAGAGTAGAGGCAGCCAAGTAGCAATGTATTTCTGAGTTGCAATTCTTTGCCTCCATTGAGACAAACCCCAGCCACGTCTCCAGCACACAAGAACTCCAAAAGCCTGAACCACAGCTGCCAGGGGTTCCTCCAGAACCTCCTCCCCCAGGAGCTTGCTACAAGTGCCAGAAATCTGGCCACTGGGCCAAGGAATGCCCACAGCCTGGGATTCCTCCTAAGCTGTATCCCAACTGCGTTGGACCCCACTGAAAATCGGACTGTCCAACTCACCTGGCAGCCACTCCCAGAGCCCCTAGAACTCTGGCCCCAGGCTCTGACTGACTCCTTCCCAGACCTTCTTGGCTTAGCAGCTGAAGACTGACACTGCCTGATCACCTCGAAAGCCTACAGGACCATCACAGATGATCTGGGTAACTCTCACAGTGGAAGGTAAGTCTGTCCTCTTCTTAATCAATACGGAGGCTACCCACTCCACATTACCTTCCTTTCAAGGGCCTGTTTCCATTGCCTCTATAACTGTTGTACGTATTGACAGCCAGGCTTCTAAACCTCTTAAAACTCTCCAACTCTGGTGCCAACTTAGACAACACTCTTTTAAGCACTCCTTTTTAATTATCACTCCTTTTTAATTATCAGCCCAGTTCCCTTATTAGGCGGAGACACTTTAACTAAATTATCTGCTTCCCTGACTATTCCTGGACTACAGCCACATCTCATTGCCACCCTTCTTCCCAATCCAAAGCCTCCTTTGCATCCTCCTCTTGTATCCCCCCACCTTAACCCACAAGTATCGGATACCTCTACTCCCTTCTTGGTGACAATGATGCACCCCTTACCATCTCATTAAAACCTAATCACCCTTACCCCGCTCAATGCCAATATCCCATCCCACAGCATGCTTTAAAAGGATTAAAGCCTGTTATCACTTGCCTCCTAGAGCATGGGCTTCTAAAACCTATAAACTCTCCTTCGAATTCCCCCATTTTACCTGTCCAAAAACCGGACAAGTCTTACAGATTAGTTTAGGATCTGCACCTTATCAACCAAATTGTTTTGCCTATCCACACCGTGGTGCCAAACCCATATACTCTCCTATCCTCGATACCTCCCTCCACAACCCTTTATTCTGTTCTAGATCTCAAACATGTTTTCTTTACTATTCCTTTACACCCGTCATCCCAGCCTCTCTTCGCTTTCACTTGGACTGACCCTGACACCCATCAGGCCCAGCAAATTACCTGGGCTGTACTGCCACAAAGCTTCACAGACAGCCCCTATTACTTCAGTCAAGCCCAAATTTCTTCCTCATCTGTTACCTATCTTGGCATAATTCTCATAAAAACACACGTGCTCTCCCTGCCGATCATGTCCAGCAGATCTCTCAAACCCCAACACCTTCTACAAAACAACAACTCCTTTCCTTCCTAGGCATAGTTAGATACTTTCACCTTTAGATACCTGGTTTTGCCATCCTAACAAAACCATTATATAAACTCACAAAAGGAAACCTAGCTGACCCCATGGATCCTAAATCCTTTCCCCACTCCTCTTTCCATTCCTTGAAGACAGCTTTAGAGACTGCCCCATCCTAGCTCTCCCTGACTCATCCCAACTCTTTTCATTACCCACAGCCGAAGTGCAGGGCTGTGCAGTCAGAATTCTTATACAAGAACCAGGACTGCATCCTGTAGCCTTTTTATCCAAACAACTTGACCTTACTGTTTTGCCTAGCCCTCAAGTCTGCGTGCGGGGGCCGCCACCGCCCTAATACTTTTAGAGGCCCTTAAAATCACAAACTATACTCAACTCGCTCTCTACATTTCTCATAACTTCCAAAATCTATTTTATTCCTCACACCTGACGTATATACTTTCTGCTTCCTGGCTCCTTCAGCTGTACTCACTCTTTGTTAAGTCTCCACAATTACCATTGTTCCTGGCCCGGACTTCAATCTGGCCTCCCACATTATTCCTGATACCACAACTGACCCCCATGACTGTATCTCTCTGACCCACCTGACATTCACCCCATTTCCCCATATTTCCTTCTTTCCTGTTCCTCACCCTGATCACACTTGGTTTATTGACGGCAGTTCCACCAGGCCTAATCGCCACACACCAGCAAAGGCAGGCTATGCTATAGTACAAGCCAGTAGCCCACCTCTTAGAACCTCTCACTTCCTTTCCATCGTGGAAATCTGTCCTCAAGGAAATAACTTCTCAGTGTTCCATCTGCTATTCTACTACTCCTCAGGGATTATTCAGGCCCCCTCCCTTCCCTACACATCAAGCTCGGAGATTTGCCCACACCCAGGACTGGCAAATTGACTTTACTCACATGCCCCGAGTCAGAAAACTAAAATATCTCCTAGTCTAGGTAGACACTTTTACTGGATGGGTAGAGGCCTTTCCTACAGGGTCTGAGAAGGCCACCGCAGTCATTTCTTCCCTTCTGTCAGATATAATTCCTCGGTTTGGCCTTCCCACCTCTATACAGTCTGATAACAGACCAGCCTTTATTAGTCAAATCAGCCAAGCATTTTTTCAGGCTCTTGATATTCAGTGAAACTTTTATATCCCTTAAGGTCCTCAGTCTTCAGGAAAGGTAGAATGGACTAATAGTCTTTTAAAAACACACCTCACCAAGCCCAGCCACCAACTTAAAAAGGACTGGACAATACTTTTACCACTTTCCCTTCTCAGAATTCAGGCCTGTCCTTGGAATGCTACAAGGTACAGCCCATTTGAGCTCCTGTATGGACACTCCTTTTTATTAAGCCCCAGTCTCATTCCAGACACCAGACCAACTTAGACTGTGCCCCAAAAAACTTGTCATCCCTACTATCTTCTGTCTAGTCATACTCCTATTCACCGTTCTCAACTACTCATATATGCCCTGCTCTTGTTTACACTGCCGGTTTACACTGTTTCTCCAAGCCATCACCGCTGATATCTCCTGGTGCTATCCCCAAACTGCCGCTCTTAACTCTTAAAGTAAATAAATAATCTTTGCGGGCAAGGCTATGCTGAACCTCCTTAGGCACTCTCTAATCAGATGTCCTAGGTCCTCCCAATTCTTAGTCCTTTAATACCGGTTTTTCTCCTTCTTTTATTCCGTTTAGTTTTTCAATTCATACAAAACCGTATCCAGGCCATCACTAATAATTCTACATGACAAACGTTTCTTCTAACAACCCCACAGTATCACCCCTTACCACAAAATCTTTCTTCAGCTTAATCTCTCCCACTCTAGGTTCCCACGCCACCCCTAATCCCGCTGGAAGCAGCCCTGAGAAACATTGCCCATTCTCTCTCCATACCACCCCCAAAAATTTTCACCACCCCAACACTTTACCACTATTTCGTTTTATTTTTCTTATTAATATAAGAAGACAGGAATGTCAGGCCTCTGAGCCCAAGCTAAGCCATCATATCCCCTGTGACCTGCATGTACACATCCAGATGGCTGGTTCCTGCCTTAACTGATGACATTCCACCACAAAAGAAGTGAAAATGGCCTGTTCCTGCCTTAACTGATGACATTATCTTGTGAAATTCCTTCTCCTGGCTCATACTGGCTCAAAAGCTCCCCTACTGAGCACCTTGTGACCCCCACTCCTGCCCGCCAGAGAACAGCCCCCCTTTGACTATAATTTTCCTTTACCTACCCAAATCCTATAAAATGGCCCCACCCCTATCTCCCTTCGCTGACTCTCTTTTGGGATTCAGCCCGCCTGCACCCAGGTGATTAAAAGCTTTATTGCTCACACAAAGACTGTTTGGTGGTCTCTTCACACGGACGCACATGAAAGTCACCATCATGACAGGGTTTTGCTTTTGCCATACACTTTGCTAAGGAAACTGAGTCTATTGACTTCATAGTATATAATTGATATATACATTAGATTATAAACTTCATGTCATCTGTGACCCTATATGTAATGTTCAAGGTTAAACCTCCAAAGTATGGCATAGCAGTGACATGTAATAGGTGCTCAATATATAGTGACTGAATAAGTAGGTCATCGAAGAATAATTGGGGGTATTTCCTTTTGCCTATTGTACTAAAATAATTCATTCAGCCATTATTATTATTATTGTGGAGTCTTGCTGCATCCTGCCTCTGTCCTTGGCAGAGGAATGACGCGGATTTCCCTCTCACCCTCCCTCTTACCCCCCAAAAGTAGGTTGGCATGTTTACATAAAATTTCATGTAACTCTCAGTTTTTCCACAAGGCAGGGTAAGAAATCTGTGCAGCAAACTCTGGCAGCAAAGCACAGCCCTGCTTGCTCAACACTGACAAGTTGTATGCATTTTGGTGGGGTAGAAATAATATATAGAGATAATTACACTGAAGGAGCTGAGGCAGAAAATGCAAGAATGGCTGCTGAACATGTAAGCACACAATAACTGGAGAATTCCACTGAGCCCCAGGCAGCAAAGGAGACTGCAGGTCCCCAAGGGATAAAATAAGTGTTTTTAGTTTGTTAGCTGATGGAAGAGCTTGTTATTGCAGAAGGTTTTTTGTTTTGTTTTGTGTTTTTGTTTTTGTTTTAAGCCATTGCCTTAAAGGAAGAAAAAGAAACATTTAGAGAATCATCAATTCTAAAATCTCCCATCTAGGAGAGTCTGTCCTTCACAAGAAATATTAACCTTGGCTTTATTAACCCTTGGACGCCCACACATGTCTGAATCCATAAGGCCTCAGAAGTTTATGTAAGATTATTTTTCAGATTTCTGTTTTCCTCTGGACATCTCTTAACAGATTCATGACCTCCCAAGAAAAGTAACCACTTAACCACTGCTCTTGAATCATTTAATTCTATCAATTAATGCTTTTTATTAGTACGTGCCAAGTACTATACTTAAGAATTGTATGCATATATTCTCCTTTAATTGTGAAAATAACCCTATGAACTGCATAAAGAAAATGTGGTACATACACACCATGGACTGCTATGCAGTCATAAAAAAGAATGAGATCATGTCATTCGCAGGGACATGGATGGAGCTGGAGTTGATTACCCTTAGCAACTAACACAGGAACAGAAAATCAAATACCACATGTTCTCATTTATAAGTGGGAGCTAATTGATGAGAACACATGGACACATAGAGGAGAACAACACACATGGGGCCTTTCAGAGAGTGGAGAGTGGAAGGAGAGAGAGGATCAGGAAAAATAACTAATGAGTACTGGGCTTAATACCTGGTGATGAAATAATCCCTACAACAAACCCCCATGAAACAAGTTTACCTATGTAACAAATCTGCACATGTACCCCTGAACTCAAAATAAAAGCTAAAAAAAAGAAAATGTAATTATTTTACTAAGTGATAATTTATCTGTGACACTTTTTAAATGGCCTATAATGATGTTTACTCCTGGCTCAAAAAGAACATTCTATCTAGTAAGTGTCTAAGTTGCCAAAAAATAATAATAATAATAATTCTATGAGGTGGGCACTTTTATTGTCCTCATTTTCTGGGTGAGACAGCTGAGGCTTAGAGAGGTTATGGTACTTGACTATGTGTGGAGGCCAAATTCTGACCTCAGTGGTTTCAACTGTAAATCCCACAACTCAGTGATAACAATGTTGGAGTGGGCGAATTCCATTCAGATAACTATATGTCTTGGGGTGATTATTTAACTCCTCTGATCCTCTAATTCTTAATCTATAAAATTGAGTTTTATAAATAATAATAATAACCATTTCATCAGGTTGTCATGAGGATTTAAATAAAAAGAGTTTAGCAGAATGTGTGTCTGGCACAAGCAATACATTGCAAAGCAGGCAATACATTGTCAGTAAGCACAATTACATAGCCCTAAGACTTAGTTTCTCGTGACTACATTTCAGATAAGGAAACCAAAGCCTCAAGAGGGCTGGTGACTTGCCACAAGGCCGGAGAGTGATCATTTAGGGAATAGATCTCAAGTCTCCCATTTAATAAACCAGGGTGATTTCTGCTGCGCCTAATCTCATCCAACATCAGGGAGAATCCCCATCTCCCCCAGCCAGACAAAAGCTACATAAAAGAAAGCAAATCCCAAGGCAGTAGGAAAAGGTGGTACTCAATTGACATCTTTTTGTAAACCACTTAAAGAGATATTTGTAAACTACTGAAAATGGCATTAAGCAGCTATGCTCCTTCTGTGTTTTCTTTAGCTTGTTCACTGAGATTGATCTGAGTGAAATGATAAAAGAAAAGGGAAGTTAGTAAGGCAGACATTGAATTGGAGTTCATCTCTCTATAAGAAAATCCTGATTGAATTCCTGCCTAAATCATTCTCTCTCCTCAGAAGAACTTGGAAGGATAGAGCAGTCACAGGTTCTGAAATCAGACAAATCCTAGCTCTGAATTGAGTAAGCAGTGTTCCAGCTGCTCTGACACTCGTGACACTCAAGTGTAAAATGAGAGGAAATGCCCACTTTCCAGTGTGGGCAGAAGAGTTCAATGACATCATAAGACAATTTGAAAATAAGGAAGTTCAGGTTCTAAAGTTCAACAGACATGAGTTCACTCTGACTCTAACACTTAAGAGCTGTATAACTGAGAAAGGTACTTCACCTCTGTAAACCTCATAGTCTTCATTTCCAAAATAGGAACAACAATAATAATATGTATCTTGTAGAGTTGTTGCGATTAAGTAAGCTGCTATGCATGTAAAGAAGCTGACAAAATACCTGGCAAAAAGTAAGGTTTTCAATAAATGCTAACTATTAACTATAATAAATTACTGTCCTTCATATTTTTGTACTGAATAGAAACTAGCGCTGATGGTCTCTGAATTGATCTGTGCATTCACTCATCAAACATACCTTGACTAATCACTATACACAATGTTTTGTGCAAGATTTTGCACACCACCTTTAGAAGATCAGAACTAAAACTCAAAAAAAAAAAACCCACAAAATTCAAGTGGACATAAAAAGTGTCCTAAATATTTGAAGGGGTATGACCAAAAAAGGGTTTAATTTTCATCTTAGCATATCCAGAGAGAAAAATGAGGCCCAAGTACTAAAAATTACAAGATGAAACATTTTCGTTTTGCATAAAAAAAGACTTCTCCTCCTTAGAGATATTTAACAATGAGATAATTAACCTTGAAAGGTATCGAGCTTCCTCTTATTCAAAACAATACAGTTTTACTTTCCTCCATTTCCCTGCCATATGAATGTCCTGGTTTTCCAAACATACCATGCCATTTCACATCTCTGTGACTCTGTGCATGCTGTTCCTTATGTCTGGAAAGATCGTCTCCCACCACATTGACATTTTCTAGTCAAGGTTGGAAGTTTTCAAGATCCTTCCCCAATGTTAGTCTATTCTCTGTGGTCCTATAGCAGGTTGTACACCCTCCATGAAAGCATTTCCATTGTTTTAATTTTGATAACGAATGCCATTCTCACTTGACTGCTTTGGGGATTAGGACTGTGTCTCTCTCAATTTTGTGTTCTCTTAGGGTCTGGGACTCTACCTGAACATAAAATCCCCAATCAATAAGAGCTGAATGATTATTTACTAATTGCTGTATCCTGAAAACATCCCAGAAGAAATGCTCTAACCTATGTTAAACACTTCCATAGGTGGTCTGTAAGAGCATAGGCTAGCCCTATGCTGAGAAATGCAAAGTTCAAAAACTTCAGGTGTTAACTCATTTAAGTTTATTTCTCATTCATGCTGTGACTCAGAAATCAAGCCTGCTTCATTTTGTGACATCATCATCTCAACCAAGACCTCTGACCTCTATAATCTACATGGAACAAAAGAAAACCTGGAAACTCTTAAAGGTAATTTTCCCTACCCAGTCAGAAGAGACACACTTCATTTCCACTCACACTTCTGGCCAGAAGCAGTTCCATGTCTTCACCTAACTTCAAGGGGAACTAGGAAGCGTAGCATTCCATAGGCCCAAAAGGGAGGAAAAAAAATTGAATTTTTCGAACTTATTCATAAGTATTATCTTCGTCACATGGTCATCGGGAGTTAGTATAAAATATTTTTAGAATGCAATTAATGTTTGCCATGCTACAAAAATAATGTTTCTGACCCATTTAAAAAATCTACTGAATTTTATTCCAATTACAATAGTATATCCATATACCTAAATATTACATAGAAATTAAAACTTACATTAGAGAAAAGTCATAAAATATTAATGCAAAATAGTATTAAATAACATGTATATCATGTCTTCAATTTGTTAAAAAGGAATATGTGCTTACATGTACATAAAAAAGACAAGAAGCATAGGAACAAATGAGTTAAGTCTGGTTGTTTCCAAAAGGTGATAATACATATATTTTTTCACTTTCTTCATGTGCTTTTTTAAATTTCCTTTTTCTTCAAGAAAGAACTATTACTTTTGTTATCAGAAAAAATAAAGTTTTTCTTCCTAATTTACCAAAACAATGTACCTGCTGAGCCAAGAAACTATTAAATCACTCAAGGGTGGAATTACCTTTTAGCGCTTTGTGTTCTGAATACTCCTGAGGATTTGTAAAATCTGCCCAACGAGAGCAGGGCTTTTGCCTTCTCCTAAAAGAATAGGCCTAAAATTAATACCCTGCAGATTTTAGACTTCACATGTGAGAAATGCCAACCCTAAATTTAAAAAGAAAACTCACCAGGTTGTAAAAACATAACAAGCACAGGCTGTGCCAGGTGTTGGGTGATGGGGGCAGGGACCCAGCAGACACACATGCCCTAGCTAGAGAGGGTGTCAAATTCATCCAAGAAATCACCCTGAGGGTCTTCCATGGGGTCAGGAGCTCAGGAGCATTTTGAGAAAAGGGTAAATAATTCAGAAGAAGGGGGGAGAGAAGTAGGAAGGGAGAAGAGGGAGGGAGTCTAAGGTAGAATGGCAAGACAGAATGAGTGACAGAATGTGGGGAAAGAAGGTGAAGGAAAGGGTGAAAAAAGAGAGAGGGGAACAAGAGGGAGGAGGAAGAGATGAATAGTTTTGGTTTTTCATACTCAAATAAAATATTCTCAAGGTTACAAAGGTGTTTGTCAAACCTGACAAAAGCCAGCAACCGGGAAAGGATTCCCTATTTAATAAATGATGCTGGGAAAACTGGCTAGCCATAGGCAGAAAACTGAAACTGGACCCCTTCCTTACATCTTATACAAAAATTAACTAAAGATGGATTACAGACTTAAATGTAAGACCTAAAACCATAAAAACCTGAGAAGAAAACCTAGGCAGTACCATTCAGGACATAGGCATAGGCAGAGACTTCATGACTAAAACACCAAAAGCAATGGCAACAAAAGCCAAAATTGACAAATGGGATCTAATTAAACTAAAGAGCTTCTGCACAGCAAAAGAAACTATTGTCAGACTGAACAGGCAACCTACACAATGGGAGAAAATCTTTGCAATCTACCCATCTGACAGAGGACTAATATCCAGAATCTAAAAGGAACTTAAACAAATTTACAAGAAAAAAACAAATAACCCCATCAAAAAGTGAGCAAAGGATATGAACAGACACTTCTCAAAAGAAGACAGTTATGTGGCCAACAAACATATGAAAAAAAGCTCATCATCACTGGTCATTAGAGAAATGCAAATCAAAACCACAATGAGATACCACTCACTCCAGTTAGAATGGCTATCATTAAAAAAGTCAGGAAACAACAGATGCTGGAGAGGTTGTGAAGAAATAGGAATGCTTTTACACTGTTGGTAGGAGTGTAAATTAGTTGAACCATTGTGGAAGACAGTGTGGTGATTCCTCAAGGACCTAGAACCAGAAATACCATTTGGCCCAGCAGTCCCATTACTGGTTATATACCCAAAGGATTATAAATCATTCTACTGTAAAGACACCTGCACACGTATGTTTATTGCAGCACTATTCACAATAGCAGAGACTTGGAAACAACCCAAATGCCCATCAATGATAGACTGGATAAAGAAAATGTGGCACATATACACCATGGAATACTATACACCCAAAAAAAAAGATGAGTTCATGTCCTTTGCAGGGACATGGATGAAGCTGAAAACCATCATTCTCAGCAAACTAACACAGGAACAGAAAACCAAACACCGCATGTTGTCACTCATAAGTGGGAGTTAAACTATGAGAACACATGGACACAGGGAGAGGAACATCACACACTAGGGCATCTCGAGGGGTGGGGGACTAGAGGAGGGATAACATTAGGAGAAATACCTAATGTAGATGACGGGATGATGGATGCAGGAAACCACCATGGCAGGTGTATACCTATGTAACAAACCTGCACATTCTGCACATGTATCCCAAACTTAAAGTATAATGATAAAAAAAAGAATAGAATCTTTTTATTTTCTAGCTATTTTTGGCTATTTGTTAGCATGTTCTTGATATAAATGGATTCAATTTTATTCACTTTTCATATTTATACCTTCGTTTTATGTTGTTTCAATTGATTTTCTTTGGTTTCCCAATAAATTATATTTTAAGTAAAAAATAAAAATAAAAAAAAGAAAACAAGAAAAAGAAAAAAAGAGACCTCAGAGAGCTGCCTTGCCTCTTCCACCCTGTGAGGCCACAGCAAGAAGGTACCATCTACCAGGAAGTAGGCCCTCACCAGACTTCAAATTTGCCAATGTCTTGATCTTGGACTTCCAGTCTTCAGAACTGTGGCAAATAAATTTCTGTTGTCTATAAGTCACCTAGTTTGTGGCATTTTGTTATAGCGGCCCAAAAGGATTAAGACTGAAGGGGAGAAAGGGAGGAAGGGACAGAGGGAGGAAGATCAGTAATTATTACTATAGGCATTCCTATTACTTTTTATTTCCCTCGGATAGATAATGCTAGTCTAGTCAAGGTGCTATCCATACCTGAAACAACCTGATTAATAGCACCATTACCTGGATATGCTGTAAGCCAAAGAGCTAAGTCAAAGTAGTGACATGCTGCTAAATTGAAACACTTCTTCATTGTTATAAAGTTAGTTCTTCATGACTTCTTGCCTCCTGCCACCCCTGTAGTATCCAGCTGATACACACCTTCTAGTGCTAGAAGAAAAGGCTCACTTTGCAAACTTTTGCTCTGAGTGTGTGATTGTCCAACACAAGCTTCCCAGGGGCTCTAGCAAATGATCACATTTCTCAGAAGATTCCTCAATCCTTGTAAACCACCCTCTTCTCATGGGGCCTTGCAGGAGCTCTGTTAAAGTCTGGTTCACTGAGTGAGGATTAGAATGTGGAATTATGCATTTCTTCACTTTGGTTCCTCTTTGACATAATCTCGCCAAATACTTAGGGTTGTATAACTTCCATTAGTCATCCTTTAATTTTTTTCTTCTGAATTCTAGTCCCAAATATTGTTCCATTAACTCTCTCTAATTTAACTTTCATGAATGTGCTTCATACAATTTGTCTTATTCTTGGTGAAATAATCTTTCACACATTTCTTTAGCAATATAGTTTAACAACATTTTAACACCATTATAGGTATATAAACACGGTCTATTTTAAGCAGTGTTAAAATACCATGTACAATTTATTTAAAGAGTATTATTTTATGAGCCAATAAATGTTTTTAGGCCCATGGCCACAAACCCGACAGTTAAAATGATTAGAATTGAGTTTCTAATTTAAGAACGTGTCAGTTTGACCCTCCAAGAAGCAAGGATGAGACAGAGTTAGGAGTGCAAGAAGTTTTCTGATGTTAATATTCATAAAAGAGTAAAGGGGTGGGGAAGACAGAATTGGGCAAGAAAAACATAAGATTCACGATGTAGATCTGAGAAAGTTTCAGCCAACTAGAAAAGACATTTCAGAACAAAGATTTTCCATTCCAGGAGGCCCTAGTACCCCTGCTTTGCTAGGTTATTCGCTGGAGCTGCCTGAGAAGAATGTAGACTAGACTCCAGAGCTGAGGCAGATCCTAATCAGGTTGACAGCTGGTGAGCATCTACATGCCAAGGAGAATACAAAGGTACATGTGTGTTTAAAGTATAATTTTAATACAATTAATTTATTAGGATTTTAAAACTATTTTTATAGTCCTAATAAGCCCTTTCTTATGTTGCCCTGATATGAAAACTTTGTACGTAAAATCCACTCTAATCAACCTCAGGGCTCACCTAGGAAACACAGTAACCTCAAATCACAGAAGAGAGAAAAAAAGAAAAACCCACCTGAAGTGGTTTTTATTGGATCAAGGTTTTCCTGACCTGAGGCTTGATCTCCAAAGAGTGGGTCACCTCCATCAGGCAGACCCAGATCCAGATAACAGGTGGCTTCCTGAGAGCAATCAAAGTTTCTTCCCTGGCCAGTGCACCATTCTCAAGATGTTTCTTTAGAGACTTTATACAACCTGCACCTTATCATATTTGCCTTTTTTTCTGATCAAAGAGTATCTAGTGGGTTTAATGGTTGCCCCCAAAATGAAATGTCCATGCCCCAGAAGCCTCCAGAAAATAGAAGAATTTTTGTTCTCCCTTGATAGTGCAATCAGTCAGTGAGTCATTGAGTCGATATTCATTGAGTATTTATTTAGCACTCCATTCGATATTAATTGAAAAGAATAAACTTACTCTTGGCATAACTTGGGAGTGTGACCTTATATGGAAAAAGAACCTTTGAAATGAAATTAAGCATCTTGAAATGAGATTATCCTGGATTATCCGGGTGGTCCCTAAATCCACCAAGATATGCATCCTTATAAGAGCTAAAAGAGGAGAAGACAGAGAGGAGAAGGCCACATAAAGACAGAAGCAGAAATCAGAATTATGCTGTCACAAGCTGTGCCAGGCCATTCCTGCATTGCTGTAAAGAAATACCTGAGAATGGTTAGCTTAAAAGATAGTAGGTTTAATTGGCTTACAATGCTGCAGACTGTCCAGGAAGCATGGCGCCAGCATCTGCTCAGTTTCTGGTGAGGTCTCAGGGAGCTTTTACTCATGGCAGAAGGCAAAAGGGGAAACAGGTGTCTCACACAGCAGGAAAAGGAGCAAGAGGTGTGGTGAGGAGGTGCCACAATTTTAAACAGATCTCGTGAGAACTCACCAACAGCACCAAGCCATGAAGGGTCCACCCTCATGACCCAAATACCTCCCAACAGTCCTCACCTTCAACAATGGGGATTTGTCAGGGACATAGATTCAAATTACATCTCAAGCCAAGGAACTCCCGGAGCCACAAAAAGCCAACAGAGGATTCTCTCCTAGAGCCGTCAGAGGGAGGATGGCTTGCTGACACCTTGATTTTCAACTTCTAGCCTCCAGAACCATGAGAGAACAAATTTCTGTTGTTTTAAGCCACCCAGATGATAATTTGTTATGGCAGTCACAAGAAACTAATGCAGATCTGGCAGAAAACAGGTTAGCAGATAAAGTCTTGTACCAGAGTTAGAAAAATAGACCTTGTCAGCTCCTCATTAAAGCTCCAAAGGGTGTTTCAATGCTTCTTGCCTCTGAGTCTGGCACCTGGGATTTGGCAGGGAGCATATGTCTCATGGTCCCATGAATGGACACAGTTACTCTGAGTCAAAGCACCAGTCTATGGTTTCTATCAGTGTGAAGTCTAAAAATTAGGCAGTAAGAAATGTCTGCTACCTCTCTGCCTGGGGAATAAGGGTCTTCTAGCAAGCAGGAGGTGCAGAGAGTAATATCACACGGGTCTCTGAAGTTCTCCAAGAAGGTACAATAAAGGTCTAGCTTTGGAACGAGCAGTCAAATGGACAGTTGTATTAAGGGAAACTAGGCTTTTTCCCTGGAATGTTAGAAAAATAAATCCCTTAGCAAGAGCCTCAGAAAAGCTTATTACTTTCATAAAATATTTTTCTTTCCTTTACAATGCTTAGTGAAGATTAAAAACAGAAGACAAATTGTACTCCGTTGCTTGTTTTTATGTGTGTGAACAAAAAAATCCTGTAAAGATTCAATTAAAAAAAATCAATAATGTTTCCGGAAGAATTGTATGATCTGAAGTTTCCCAGTATAGAACCATAGTTTGAAGGAAGGAGAAGCAACACAGAAGGCTTGCAGAATTATTAATTAAAGAAATTGGCTAAAGTGGGATCATATTTCCCTGTAATGGCTCTGAATCATCAAATCTGGGGGTTGGAGAAGGGACACTAAGATCACTCTGTCATCTCCTAGCTCAAACACTAAACTAGAAAAATCCTTATCTGTTATTTTCCACGAGCCTTCAGAAAATAAAAGAATTTTCGTTCTCCCTTGATAGTGCAGCCACTCAGTGAGTCACTGAGTCAATATTCATTGAGCATTTATTTAGCACCCAGTTCGATATTAATTTAAAAGAATTAACTTGTTCTTGGCATAACTTGGGCAGTCAGAAAAGAGGAGGCCTTCTGGGACTTTAGCCTAGCAGGTTCTCAGGCTTTGATCCTTGTTGTTCCCATCACTTATAGTTTTATTAGCCTCCATTCCTTCATCACTAACATGAGGATAAAATACTGCCTACTCCACATGATTGATGAGAGGATTACAAAAAAAGAATATGGGCCTTAAAGTCAGACAGGCTTGACCAAGATTTAGATCCTAGCTTTTCCCTTTTATTGGCTTTCTGATATTGTAAGTCTCTTAATACCTCTCGGATCAGTTTCCTCATCTAGAAAATGAATGAGCGAAATATCATAAAAGGTTGTTGTGGAAATCAGAGCTAATTTACACAATTTGGTGGGTACATGTCTAATAAATGAGTTACTGCTATTGTTGAAAGTACTTCATCAACTGTCAAGTACTGTATAAATTTTGGAAATCCCTGACTCCATCCAAAGCCTCTGTTGTAGTCCCCACGTAATTGGTGTATTGGACTGCCCCAACTTGGGCATAGACATGAAAGGGTTTTCTTTTTCTCTCATTGCTTCTTCTTCCCCCATTCACTGCTGTCACCACCAATGGAGCATCTCTAAGCCTCTTGCTGCACGTGTCCTCTTGCCTGACTGCTCAAGCCTGAGATGGGGCAGCTCCAGCCCAGTTATGATGTGACAAAAATTCACACATCTTTGTTGGCTAAACAGTGGAAGGATAAGGCTACTGCACCACCAACCCTCTGCTTGGCAGTTCTTTCCTGCTCTCTTTCCCCCTGCCTGGGTAGGCTTGTGCCAGATCCACAGATCCAGTGTCTAAGCAGACATCCAATTAGAGCACACTCTTCCTCTCTTGCCACTGCCTTTGCTTCAACAAGGATTCTCTGGAGTCCCATATCCCTTAGATTGGGACAAGGTAGTAGAGTGTAAGCATTCTAATCCCTTCTCCCCTGTTGGCATAGAGGCAGTACTTGTTTCACCTTCAATACACTTCTCCTAAAGATCCCAAAGACTCCTTCCTCTTGTAACCATCTTTATTTGTAAAGAGGGAAGATGACGGGGTTGCAAGGACAATGACTAGCATGGCAAATCCAGCTAAATTATTTCTTAATAAGCCTAAGAGGGATATCTGGACCCAATTTCTGTTGGCTCCTTTGTGTGCTGCTTTTTTTTTTTTTTTTTTTTTTTTTGGTGGTTGTTCTCAGATTTGGGTCTTGGATGCCAATCCACCCAGCATCCTATGATACTTGACTCACTATAATTACTCTCAAGAGATGTCAGATCTGTTGAATGGACCATGGAGCCTATACACTGTGGCAACATCAATAGTCTGTTTCTTTTGTTATTCTTTTCCTTCCAACTTTTAGTTTAGGTTCAGGAGGTACATGTGCAGGTTTATTACATAGGTAGGTTGCATGTCTCTGGGGTTTGGTGTAAAAATCATTTCATCCCCTAGGTAATTAGCACAGTATCTGAAAGGTAGGTTTCTGCTCCTCACCCTTCTCCCAACCTCCACCCTCAAGTAAACCCTGATGTCTATTGTTTCCCTCTTTGTGTCCCCATGTACTCAATGTTTAGCTCCCACTTATAAGTGAGAACATGTTTCTGTTCCTCCTTTAATCCACTTGTGATAATGACTGTCAGCTGCATCCATGTTGTTGCAAAGGACATGACTTTTTTTCCTGATTATGGCTGCATAGTATTCCATGGTGTATATGTACCACATTTTCTTTATCCAGTCCACTGCTGATGGGCATCTAGTTGATTCCATGTCTTTGATATTGTGAAAAGAACTGTGATGAACATAACGTGTACATGTGTCTTCATAGCAGAACAATTTCTATTCCTCTGGGTATATACCCAGTAATGGGATTGCTGCGTTGAATGGTAGTTCTGCTTTAAGTTCTTTGAGAAATCTCCAAACTGCTTTCCATAGTGGCCAAACTAACAACTCCCATCAGTAGTGTATAAGATTTCCCTTTTCTCCGCAACCTCACCAACGTCTGTTATTTTTTTACTTTTTCATTAGCCATTCTAACTGGTGTGAAACGGTATTTCACTGGGGTTTTGATTTGCATTTCTCTAATGATTAGTGATGTCGAGCATGTTTTCATATGATTGTTGGCCATGTGTATGTCTTCTTTTAAAAAGCATCTGTTCATGTCCTTTGCCTGTTTTTACTGGAGTTGTTTGTTTTTTGCTTGTGAATTTGTTTAAGCTCTTTATAGACCTTTGTTGGATGCACAGTTTGCAAATATTTTCTCCCATTCTGTAGGTTGTCTGTTTACTCCATTGGTAGTTTATTTTGATGTAACAAAGCTCTGTAGCTTAATTAGGTCTCCCTTGTCTATTTTTGTTTTTGTTGCAATTGTTTTTGGAGTCTTTGTCATGAAATCTTTTCCAAGGCCTACGTTCAGAATGGTATTTCCTAGGTTTTCATCTAGGGTTTTCATAGTTTTAGGTTTTAAATTTAAGTTTTTAATCCATGTTGAGTAGATTTTTGTGTATGGTAAAAGGAAAGGGTCCAGTTTCAATCTCCTGAATATGGCTGGCCGGTTATCCCTGCACCATTTATTGAAGAGGGAGTCCTTCCCATTGCTTGTTATTGTCAACTATCAAAAAACAGATGGTTGTAGGTGTGTGGCTTTATTTCTGGGTTCTCTAACCTGTTCCACTGGTCTATATGTCTGTTTTTGTGCCAGTACCATGTTGTTTTGGTTACTGTAGGCTTGAGGGATAAACATGAAGGGGAATTTATCCAAGCGTCCTTAGATAGACATTCTATTTTTTTTTTAACAGGGCCAGAATTATAAAGTCAAAAAATAATACACTCAGGGCTAACATACATTTAGCTCCAAATCCACAAAGACACTCAGATTCTTTCCCATCATCTACTTTATCTTTGATCAGCTTCTCTAATTCTGGCTTGAGAAGCCAATTACTGTTAGTCAATAGACTACATGCTTTATCAAATATTAGCTCATTTTTTCTTCACAATTATTCTGTGGAGTAGCCATTGTTATTGTTTCCTTCTTATGAATTAAAAAAACAGAGCCTCTGAAAAATTAGAAACCTAAGAGGTCACAAAACTTATGTGTGAAACAGAGCCTTTTCTGATTCCATCATTTATACTCCTTTCACTTAATGATAATATGACTACCTTAATTATACTTCCACATTATTCTCAAAATTTGCTTTCTTGAGACAACAAAATATAGGACAAGAGGCTAAGAATGGTCTTGGGTGGATTTTACTGCTAATACAGATTCTACTACCTACCAGCTCAGCCATGGAAAGCCACTGATCTCTCTGAAGCAGTTCCTTCATTTAAAAATGAATCAGGGGGATGTCTATGTTGAGAGTGGTAAATACTAAATAAAATAACACCTATGAAAAGTGCTCCATGTGAAAGCATTTTAACTTTATTGCATCGGGATATTGAGTCCTAGATAGGAGGTTTTTCCACTCTCAGGTTTCAAATAAATTAACCCATGATTTCTTTTAATACTAAAATGGGCTCATTATGTACATTCAGATACCTGATTCACTTGGAATGTATGGTATGGAATATGGATCTCCCTTTAGCTTTGTTTAAATGTCTATTCATTTCAAATCTTTTTAATTAAATTTTTTTTAATTCAAAAGAATGTATTAAAAACCCCTCCTGAAAAAAAGAAAAAAAGAAAACTGCTGTGTAAACAGCAAAGCAATTTTTGAAAGTTAGCTACTATTTTCATTGTCACTGCAGTGTCTCTCTAGTTTCTTCACCTTGCTCTCCCCACGTCGTATCTGGCTTTAGAGCTCTTGGATCCCTCCCCAGTCCTGGTCACTAACTGTTTGTATGTCTGTGCCTCTGACTAAACTGAAGGTTTTTTGAGGGTAGACACTTCATTCATTTTTTCTCCCACAGTTCCTGGAGTACCATCACACACAGAGTACGCACACAACAAATGTGCAATAAATTAACCAAAGAATGACTTCTCTCATACACTGCTCTTGGAACTGTAAAGTACACACCTATTTTGGAAAACAGTTTAGCAGGATTTACTGACATTAAATATACATGTATCCAATAACAAAGCAATTCCATTTCTAGGTGCACATGCAACAGAAATGCTTCCATATGTGCAGAAAAAAAAAAAGCTCTGTCAGTACTACTTACAATAGCCAAAAACTAAATGTGAATCAAATATCTATGTATAGTTGAAGAGGTAAATAAAATGCAGTATATTTACATAATGGAATCTTATACATCAGTGACAATACGTTAACTATAAATACATGCAACAATATGGATAAATCTCACAAATGTAATGTTGAGCAAAAGAAACCAGTCACAAAAGAAAAAATATTGTACACTTTCATTTGTATAAAGTTTATAAACAGGTAAAATCAACCTATGTTGTTAGAAGCCGGGATGGTACTTATCTTTGGGGGGAATTAGGAAGGTGCTATATGGAGTTTTTGGGTACCAATCATGTTCTGTTTCTTCATCTAGGTGCTGTTTACATAGATCTATTCAACCTGTGAAAACTTACTGAGTTTTGCAGTTTTCTACATGTATGTTTTGTATCAACAGAAACGTTTGAGAAAGAAAAAGTAGATTAATGAATCAATAAATGAGAAAAACGTGATGGGAAATAGTACGAGTTTTGATAGAGGTGAAGGATTTGAAAAGACCCAGAATAGTATACATGAGACCTTCCATAATCTGGTTGTTTTCCAATTTTCTAGCCCCTCACTTCTGCAATATGTTCCATACACTGTTTCTAGCAATACAAAAGTATTTGGGGGTACAACTGTATTGCATTCACTGCAAGTTCACTGCAAATTCTCCAATTATCTTGCATTCTCTGACCCTTTAGCATATGAATCCATTCAAGATAGTCCTACTAAGGACTTAGGTCCAAATCTTTGTTTTAACCTATTTTTTCCCTTTTAGAATGTGTGGATTTACTTTTCCTTTTATGGGTGAATCAAGAAACAAAAGAACTCCAACTTCCTACTACTTAAACTAAAGACAATGTATAATTTTTGTGTTGTAACTAATTATTGTTACAACAAAAATATTAAACATGTAGCAAAGATATGTACCAGTTGTCATGACCCAGGAGTCAATATTTATTTCCACCATTTATTCCCCAAACTGCAGCATGAAAGAAAATGCAGAGATCAGGGAAATGCAGATAATATATGCATTTGTGTCTCCTGACACCATTATCTCCAGTCAGTGACTTTATCCATATCTTTTGTGTCATTTCTGAAACCTGGATGGCTGTCATACCAAGTGACCCCTGGCCAGTTATTCCTTGATCAGCTGAAACATGTGATATCATTTTCTTTCATTTGCTAGCAAGCAAGGAAAGGATAGTCAATTAGACAGCAGAGAAATACTTGTATTGGCAGCTACCATCTGCAGAGTTGACTGATTGATTGTGGACTCATAAGATTATAATGGCAATCAAATGATCAGACAGGTCTAGGACTGTATCTTGGTGTGTGTGTTTCTTTGTTTTATCTTCTACTACTATTCCCACCTTAATTTTTTGAATTCAGAGCTATGTCCATGTTTCTAGATACAAAGATCAACTTTTTAGGTCCTGGAGGAGAATGACAATGCACTTTGGGGAGTTTGTGGCAGCTCTTGCATATTTTTGTGAGTGTGCAAGTAGTAGAGATAAATGCTTTTATCCTAACTCCCAAGACCTTATTTCCAGCTCTCTTGAGTAATAGCCAGATTCCTAGCTATTACTCAAGTTTTCCTTATTTAACGGAGGTTTCTGAGACCACCCCAGGGAGTTCTAGGGGCTCTACGTTTGTGCTACTTCTAGCACTTTGCACCTAATTAGGTTAAAGGCGGTTAGCCCTAATTTGTACTTACCAGCCCACATTTCTTTCCACTCTCACAAGATTCCCTATCTCTCACAGAAAGAGAATGATAATCACAGTATACCTGTTACGTAGCATATGCCCTTAGCATTCCAAAGATATCTGTTGAATTACCCTCTGTGTTGAAAAATTCTCACTGAGAAAAATCAAAAGCCTTAGCAAAGTCAAAATATAATGTGTTTCAATTTGTCTATCACTCTGTCACAGAAGGAAAACAGGCTAGTTTGATGTTATTGATTCTCTGCAAAGCCCTGCTATTTTTCACCCAAAACCCTGCGCTCTTACGGCTGCTTAGGAATTGATTTCTGGTAAGATATTCAGTTTGTTTGTTTGTTTCACAGTATGACACACTGATGGATCCATATCACAATGCACTATCATGTCTATGATTTCATGAGAATGGACTTCAAATTGCTCCTTTCATTGACTTTGATCACCTCTCCCAAGCTTCATGAATCATTTACAATCATTGCTAGTGGTTGTCATGTCCCTATTTGACCTTGGGTAAACTCGACTTTGTCAATTAAAACACATTCCACTTACTTAAAATGTAACCAAGATTCCCTCAGGACGAATCAGTATAGTGGTTAAAAATAGGATTTTCTTAACACTAATAAAAAGTATATTTCTCCTTCCTCCTTACATACTACTATGATTCCCATCTGATGCAAATTCTTCCCCATACAGTATCCCTGGGGGTCACTGAAAATGTCACAGATGTTTGTAAACAAATTCTCTTGGCTGCCATCCCACCATGTTCCTCCTCTCCCGCCCCTCTGCTTTGATGTGTTCTGTTGTTGCCAGCCACAAAAGCGTCATGAAGCTGCCTATGTCCCTGAGGCACTGTTAACACCCACCAAAAAGTGACATCTGCTACCACGTCTTCATGAGAGACACAGGCTAGCTCACCCTGCTCCCAATCCCTCTGTGCCACTCTCTTCCACAGCAGCCACAAAACAGCATTGCCTTAGGGACTTAGCATCTCGTGGTGCTTTTGCTGAAATACCTCCTTCAGATTTGACGCTCAGTCCTCTCTCTGTGCGATCAGACAAAAGTGTGGTATTTAAGCCATAAACAAACAGAGTGGCAGACAATAGGTGATTTTCCAGAATGACTCCAAACTCCTGTACAAACTATTTTTTTCTCTGTCCAAACTGTCTTCTCAGAATGATGTCTTCCCCAAGAGATTGATGGTCCATCATGACAACAGAGCACCTGTGGGTATGTGCAAGTGGCCTTTAGACATACCCCAATATATCTGCATCATAATGTGACCATAACTTAGGGTCAGACTAAGACTCTTTTCATATTAAATAATAGAAAACTAGTAGCTACAGCTCTATGTTGTGTCTTCCTATTCTCCCATGCTATGTGTTACCCTGTCCACAGATTATAAATGACATTTAACATTTTTCTGTTTTGGGGACTTCTGTTGCCTAGTCAGCTCAATTAAATTTCGTAAAAAGTTATTGAGCAATTCCAATATGCCAGATATTTGCCAGTCCATACAATATAACAATAAATAAAGCAGAAACTCTAGACTGTAGGGTTTTCTAGCTGATTGGAAAGACACGAAAAAGTATTTACCCTGTAGATTGATGAATTTCATAATAGGGTTAAATATAGATGGGAGCACAGAAGGGAGGAACTTTTGTTAGTTCAGGGATCAAAGAAAACTTCCTGAAGGACAGCATGCCCCAGTGAAGTGCTAAAGGACAAATAGACCTTATCAGATGGGTCAGGATAGAGAATGGTGTGGGCAGGAGAGCATCATGAGCCAAGATTCTGAGGCATGCAGATCTGAGGCAAACCGAGCTTTGGTGTTCTTGGGAGAACTCCAAGTAATTGGAGATCATGGGATCATAAGGTGAAGCATTAAAGAAGGGTAGCAGTAGGGGATTGCATCTATTTGTGGCTTCTAAGGCTTATGACCACGTCTTTATATTTAGCTTATTCCCAACTCCAAACCATAAGGATTTGCATCTTCTTTATGGGTTTTGCCAAAAAAAAATTTAACAATCCCAAGTAACCATTACTATTAGTAAAACATTTGTAACAGAGAAAAACTAAGAAATAAACAATTCAGTGGGTTAGTATAATAATCACTTTTGCTCGCTCACCTCAGAATCCAATACAGTAGACAGCGGGCTCTGTTCCACACAGGCATTCATGTATCCAGGATTCATCCATATTGTGGCACAACTATCTTCAATAATTGGTCTCTAAAGTTCCATGAAAGAGCAAGAGAAAGCATGGAGTATTCCAGGGAAAGGAAGATATTTGGTTAGGAATGGCATATCACTTTTGCACACATTCTGGTATTTAGAACTCAGTCACATATCCTCAACCTAATTGTAAGAGAAATTTGGAAACATGGTCTTTCCATGTGCCCTAGAAAAAAAATGAAACCATTTAGTTTAAATATATGGCATTGTCTCAGACATATTTAGGAGCAAGGAAAAACTAGAGTTGACCACTGCCTTTTGTAGTGTTGATCACTGACCCAAAGGATCATAGAAAAAACATGGGGTTACCCCACCATTATATCTTTGTATTGAACACTAAGCCATTTCCTTTTAATAAAATCAGGCTCAACACACCATCCTAGGCATTGAGAATGGCAGATGACTATGTTTTGTGCCTCTGTGTCTGGATCTATATGTGCGAGAGAGAGCTAAACATTTAAATGAGGCCTTGTAAGCTACTAGAGAGAATCAGAGAATGAAGTATGCAGCTTTCTAAGCAAGAAGAGTCTGTGAGTTTTATTAACGAATACTGTAGTCTGAGAACTAGCCCTTAACATTTTCCCTCTGAGTCTATACTTTTAAGGCCATTAGCAATTTTTTCCATATGACAAGACGTCACATTCATAAGAACACTTGGCAACACTGTCTCCTAAGACCATTTCTCATTGGCCATGGTTACAATAGAATCAAATTAAATTTGAGAGGATAAAAGGTACCTTTTTATCTTCCAGGAGCAAATATCTATCTAATAACACAGCCCATGTAACATTTATACATAGATCTAAAACGTTAGCTTCTTGGGAAAAATGATAGAAAATGAGGAAGGTCATTTTGGCTCATTATATAAGATTCTTGCAAAGCTCCACAGACTTTTGAGCTAATCCTACATTTTTTATGTGTATCATTTCAGTGCCTAGCTGTATTTGTAGGGTTGTTTTTTCTAAAGACCTCTCAAAATATCACAAAACATCTTTTTATCAAGATCTAGATGTTATATATGAATATAAAGCAATAGAATAGCTTGTGAAAGGGCATTACATCTCAAGAAATACCTTTATAATGTTGGTTTAGGAATGGTATTAGAATTCATTTTACAGTGGTTATCATTTTGTGTAAGATATTTGGGTTTCCAAACTTCCTTCACTTTCTACCCTCCTCCTTTCACCCTTTGGGTAATTGTAATCATCAGTATTTTCCTAATGAGGATAATGAAAGTCACCTTCTTATAGTGGTGGTATGGGGATCAAATGAGGTAATATGCACATAATCATTTTGTAATAAAATTTTGCATCTGTTATTATCACTTGGTCTTGTCCAGGCAGAAATGGCTCTCTCTCCCCTGCCCTGGGTGCATTTCTTCATGACAGTTTTATTCCCTTAAACTGGAATTCTTTATTATAAAGTCAGGACTCTGGGATAGGTGTAAGTTAGCTTAAGGATAAACTGAATGTATTAGCTCTCAAAATGAAAAGTCTGTGAGACTAGGCTTCAAGCAAAACTAAATTTGGGTGCTCAGATTATATGGTCTCTCTCTTTCACTCCCTCCCTCCTTACTTTTTTCCTTCTTTCCCTCTCTCCTTTTCTCAGTCTCCATCTCTAGTTATGTTTTCTTTAAGAGCTTGGGAGACTATTTCTGATCAAGAGAAAGCCCATCAAGTCTAAGCTTACATGGTCTTCTAGCTACTAATTTCAGAAGGAGAGAAACACACTCAATCAGTGTTTCTTTTGGTTTCCCCATAATAACTTTAATTGGTTTTCCTGGGTGAGTCACTGTGTCCCAGGGGAATGTGAACAGTTGATTAGCCAGCTTAGTCATCCACTCCAGCAGCAGTGGAGTTGGGGATCCCAAACTGACAACCCCAGCAGAATCACATAGACTGGCAAAAGGGTGATTTTCAAAAGGTATGAGGGGCAGACACAAAATGGCAGATATTGTATCATATTCTATTCCATATTAGACTGTGATCTTCTGAGGAGATGCAAGTTGGACAAAACTTAGTAGTGAGCAGATAATAATAACACTTAAAAATATTAGTGGAATAGAAGAATTGTCCATCTCACTTTTGACTAAATGCAAATTAGCATGGCTAATCAAGAAGATAAGTTTGTAAAGCATAAAATGTGTTGGTATTACACATAAGCAACTAAACCTAGATATTACCATAACCTGATAATAATCTCAGAACCTTTCAATTACCTTAGTAGTACAAAGCAAATTTAGTAAGTAAATTGAAAGTATGGAATTTGCATTGAATTCCAATGGAATAATAAATAAGAGGGGGAAAACAAGCAGATTCCTTAAAATCATATTAGATCTCAGCAGTTCAGTTTGTCTTTTTGATCTCAAAACCCAAGGCCAGGTGCACTGGCTCACACCTGCAATCCAGCACTTTAGGGGGCTGAGGTGGGCAGATCCCTTGAGGAGTCTGAGACCAGGCTGGGCACATGGCAAAATCCCATTTCAACAAAAAATACAAAAAAAAAAAAAAAAAAAAAAAGCTGGGCATGGTGGTGTGCACCTGTAGTCCCAGCTGGCCAGGAGGCTGAGGTGGGAGGATCATTTGAGTGCAGGTGGTTGAGGCTGCAGTGAACCTTGATCATGCCACTGTACTCCAGCCTGGGCGACTGAGTGAGATCCTGTCTCGAACAACAACAACAACAACAAAAAGCAATAGTTCTGCTTCTAGTATACAAATGACATCTTCAAGTTGAATTCATTTGAGGTGAACTTATTTGAAGAGGGAGACTAAGAGCAACTTCAGGAGGTCCACCTTTAAGTGGAAATGGACAATTCTGTAAAAGGTTGAGGGCAATATGTGCATTACAAAACACAGGCTTTAGGGGCAAAATGGGGTCACTAATAGAGAGGCATATCAGGTAGACCATGAAAATGAGTTGGACAGAATTAAAGTTAAGAAGAAATTGATGAGGATAAAACCCAATAGGAAGGATAGAAGCATAAGAACTCTCATTCCTAATTAGCAAATGAATACTTCAATTAGAGCCTTGGCTTTATTCTCCTCATCTGAAAGAGTCAAGAGAAATGAGAAGAACTGTAAGAAAATGTTGGACTACACCTTTGAATCTCTTCCTAGTGTTCAAACTTCTAGGACATTATAGTACTCTGTATTCCCCAGAAGTATTTTCAGATCTTTCCATTAAAGATGGATTAAGGTGGGCTAGTCTGTTTTAGATACAAAGCTCCTATTTTGCAGTCATCACTACATACCTTTCAATGGGAGGTTCATACTATCTTCTTATAACCTTATACCCTAGCATCTGTATCCCCATCACTATCATCCACCATCCTCCATGATTCATGTTGTTTACCACCCTGTCTCCGTCAGTAGTGTCAGGCAATTCACATCTACCCTGATGATCTATCTGCTGTGTTGACTTCATGGTCATCTCAATCTCTTCTCAAATAATGTCCTCCTCCTTACCCATTTCATCTAGCCAGTAATGTGCATTTTAATGGGGGTTATTTGTATGTGATACCTAACACCCAAAATAAATGAGTTTTCAGTTCAAACATACTCAATACTAAGGTAGAGACCAGCAGGAAAGATATGTTGAACTTAGGGCATCTTTTAGCATGATCAAATTTATCATCTTACTTTACCACCCTCAATCAGTCATCTATAAATGCTCACCTCATAGACCCAAACATGTAAGCTCTTTTTTACCTTTCTACTTGTCTGCTCATATTATACTTTCAGAATAAATTTAAGACTCATGGGCTCTATAAATTAATATTGTGTTGTTGTGTAACCTTGCCTTCATCTCCCTTTCCAAAACATGAGCTAAATTTAGTCCTAAGATCTATTCTTCATCTTCATTCCTTGCCAACCAGGTAAAAATGAATTGTCACAAGATAAATAAATATGAAAGCAAAATGTTACTTCACATATGGAAATTCAAGGAACCCAGAATAGTAAAACAATTTTGAAAAAAAAAAAAGTTGGAGGACTCACATTTCTCAATTTCAAAACTTATTACAAAGTTACAGTAATCAAGACATTCTGGGAAGGATAAACATATATATTAATAGAATTGGAATGAGAGCACAGGAAGAAATCGTCACATTTATAGTCAATTGATTTTTGACAAGGAAGCCAAGATGACAATTCAGTGGAAGAAAGAATAGTCTTTTTAACAAATGGTACTGGAAAACCTGAACATCACATTCAAAGGAATTAAGTTGAACCCCTACCTTACACCATATACAAAAATTAACTCAATGGATAAATACCTAAATGTAAGAGCTAAAACTATAAAACTCTTTGGAGAAAATAAAAGGTAAGGCTTTATAACCTTAGATTTGGCAGTGGTTTCTTAAATATGATGCTAAGTGAGCAAGCAACAAAACAAAAAATGGATACACTGGATTTCATCAAAAGTAAAAACTTTTGTCCTTCAAAGGACATCATCAAGAAAGTGAAAAGACAATTCACAGAATTAGAGAAATTATTTGCAAATTATACATCTGGTGAAAGGACTTGTATCCAGAATATATAAAGTGCTCTTACAACCCAATAATTAAAAGGCAAATAACCTAATTAAATATTGGAAAAGGAAAAAAGTAACAAAATAAATGGAAAAGGATCTGAACAGAACTTCTCCAAAAAGGATACACAAATGGCCAATAAAGACATGAAAAGATGGTCAGCATTATTTGCCATCAGGAAAATTCAAATCAAAACTACAATGAGATATCACTTCATATCCACTAGGATGGCTAGGATAAAAAAGACAAATAATAAAAAAATGTTGAAAAGGATGTGGAGAGATTAGAACCCTTATATACTGCTTGTGGGAATGTAAAATCATGCGGCCACATTGGAAAACAGTCTGGCAGTTCTTCAAAAGGTTAAACATAGTGTTACCTACCATATGGCCCAGGAATTCCACTCCTACCCAAGAGAAATGAAAATATATGCCCACATAAAAACATGTATATGAATGGTTATAGAAGCTTTACTCATAATAGGTAATAAGTGGGAATAATTCAAATGTCCATCAACTGATGAATAATGACACAAAATGTGGTATATCTATGCAATGGAAAATTATTGTGCCACAAAAAGGAATAAAGTACCGAGACATGCTACAGCATGAATGAATCTTGAAAACATTAGGCAAAGTGAAAGAAGACAATCACAAAGGCCCATATATGGTATAATTACATTTATAAGAATGCCAAGAATAAGCAAATCTATAGAGACACAAAGTAGGGTCAGTTGTTTTCTAGGGCTTGGAGGAAATGGGGAGCAACTGTTAATAGGTACAAGATTTCTTTTAGAAATGATAAAAATGTTCTAAAATTGATGGTGGCAGTTGCATAACTGTGTGACTAGACCAAAAACTATTCAATTATATACCTTAAATGGGTGAATTATATGGCATGTGAATTATATCTCAATAAAGCTGTTATGTAAGAAAAAAACAGTGTCCTGTCATTTTTATTAGCCCAGAGGAAATTGAAAACTATCACAAGTTTATCGAAAATTTGTCTTTTTGATCCTGGCTTAGTAGTCATTTCAGACTACATGGTTTCTTTTTATTGATATTCTATTGGTGAGGTTTGTTGATGCCATAATTATCAGGGTTTGAAATACTTTTAAAAAATCACCAAAATACCCCGGTTTGGGGGTCCTTTTTGCAAAGCTCTTACAAACCTGTCTGTATATGTCATACTGAGTACTCTCTCGATAGATCATTTCTATTACTTGAGAACAGATCTGTAAATTCATTTTCGTTGTAAAGATAACCACTTACTATGATAACACATGGTGGCTTCTTTATTACTTCAAGTATCAAGAGCTGTTTCTCTAGTTTCTACTACTTATATCACTGGACTCTCCCCCTGAAATTTTTATGTTATTTAAGAGCTATTTCTATCAGGGGAAGGTGATGAGAGAATAATGAGTTAAGCTTCCTGGTTCTTGAGTTAGTTGGGAAAGTACAGCTCTTTTCTCTAGAATTTGCCCATCTTGTCTTCCTCACTACTTGCCTTTTGGAAGGAGATTGCGATTCTTCATCCAAGACTTCAACCCTACACCAAATGACTAAGGCACTGTGGCCTAATGTCCAGAAAGCTCCTCCCCACAAATGCAGTCTAGAATAAATCTGATCTCCCTTCACCTCTGAAATTCCTGGAATAAGCCTCATGCTGCCATCTGTCTAGGTCAACAACTTTAACCACTGCCCTTTGATTACTCTTGAGGTGGTAGGTTTATTAAAAAGAAGCTCTGACTTCTCACTCTGACTGAAGGTGTCTAAACAAGAAGCTTGAAATTCTGACTACAATCTATTTAACCACATAACTAACTAGAAATTCTGACTAGATTATTTGACTACATAAACCACCAATGTGTTTGTGGTTGGTTGGGTTGGGGAGTGCTGTAATAACACTGTGGGCATGCATGGTAAGTGGGATAGGCACCAAGCATGTCATCAAGACCAATCCATATCCCATGTGAAAATAGAAAGTATACTTTCAATGTCTTCCATCCTTAGACAAGAGGACATTGAATACCTCTAAGCCCACTTTCTGGCCTCAGACTATGGACAAGGAGACTTTCACTTTCATCTCAGCTACAGAAATGTTGGAGAGAACACATCTAATCTGGTCTGTCTTTATCTTTTACTATGCCCCATAAGAGATTGTGAGATTAGAAAGAGTAAGATATGTTTAAGACCATAGCTATCTATATTCCAACTTTTTCTTTTACCCTCTTTGTTCTTTGTTCTGCCTAAAAATGGGTTGTGAGTCAAAATTAACAATTTTCCATGTACCTGAATACATAATAGGGCAGATGCAATCCAGAAGCAGATCTTAATTTCTCAATTTGTAGGAAAGGAGATAATAGGAGAACTTCACTTTAATCTCAGCTTCTAGCCACAGTATCTAACCCCTTATTAGGGAGTTATCAGCTATATAATTAAGGTTAATGGTGAGATTGTTTGGCTCCTCATATTTTCTCTTTATTGGTTAGAACCCAGAGAAGAGAATGGGTGAGGAATTGGTTCCAAGAAAAGCAGACCCTATGGTGGAGAGTGTCCATGATTACATATGTTCAGGGCTGGAAAAGGCAGGGGCTAATAAAACAAAACACAGTGCATTTCTGTCAACTCAACAAACATGCATCAAGTACCTAAATAAGTAGACAAACAACATAATAAGATTATATCTACCACATTTATTGTAAGATAAATAATTGTAAGAGACATGGCTACAGGGTAAGGAACTTAACTCTTGATACTTTTGGTATACCATCTAGATGACCCTTCCAACACATTGGCCTCTCAGTTCCTTGGAAAATCTCTCTTCCAATGATCTTGTTCCTCATCCTACCTCAGTTACTCAATCCCACGAGCTTATCCTAGACTTCATCATTACCAATAATGGCAACTCTAGTCATTTCATGCCTTCTAATCTCTGGCTACCACCTTCTAATTTCCACTCACTCTCTTAGTAACCTATGACCAAAAATCTCCACTTCATGGATCCTTCCATTGATCCACCCCCCTGATGCTTTCTCTCCTTCCTAAACCAGCTTAAGTGTCACGGTCAATTTGCATTGACCCTTGATGTCCTTGATTCCACTGCCAACTCCTTTACTTCATATTACTCACTAGATAATCCACAACTTAGTTCAAATCAACTCTCCACCCACCCATGCTTGGCATTGAGCAGCATGTCTAGATATAAACACCCAACCACTGCTGACTAATATCAATTTAAATCTATGACTGGGGACTCAAGAGGGCCCTTAACACAGCTCAGTAATTATCTTACACTTCCCTAGTCTATTCACTCTTCCATGTTCCTAAATCCCTATTGTGAAATGTCTCCTCTCTCATCAAATCTTCAATGTTGCCTTTCCTAAATTCATTTTCAATTAATAACTTTGCTTTCTATGTTGAGAAAATGGAAGTAGTCAGATGAGAATCACCACCCCCTCTGACCCATCTGCACTTTCTTATTTGTGCCCACAGATGGACTCTCCACAATCCTAACACCAATTCTTCCTATGTTCTAGATCCCATCTCTCTAACCTATTCAACAACATTGTTCCAACAATTCTCTTCTGTCTCCTACAGTTTCTCCCTCTGTCCTAGACGACTCCCATCAGCATACATACATGTTAATATCACTTTTATTTTTATTTACTTAAAAAAGAGTAAATAAACCTTTTCTAGATCCTATATCTCCTGACAGCTAGTGCTTTATTTGCTTGTTTTCTTTTGTAGAAACTCTCTTTTTTATAAGTTTTATACACTTGCTGCCTCCATTTTCTTTCCTTGCAGTCTCTTTAATCCACTTCCATCAAGTTTTCACATTTACTGCCCATTAGAGGTGTTGTTTTCAAGTTTACACAGAGACACCCACATTATTAAATGTAATGGCTCAGTCTTCAGTCCTCTTCTTACCTGACTCATCAGCTAAATGAACCAACTTTTTTTTTTTTTTTTTTTTTTTGAGATGGAGTCTCACTCTGTTACCCAGGCTGGAGTGCAGTGGCGCAATCTCAGCTTGCTGAAACCTCTGCCTCCCAAGTTCAAGCAATCCTCCTACCTCAGCCTCCCGAGTAGCTGGGACTACAGGCACGCACCACCACGCCCAGTTAATTTCTGTATTGTTAGTAGAGACAGGGTTTTGCCATGTTGGTCAGGCTGGTCTCGAACTCCTGACCTCAGGTGATCCACCCACCTCAGCCTCCCAAAGTACTGGGATGACAAGCGTGAGCCACTGCGCCCGGCCTGAACCAACTTTTGACACAACTGGTTTACTTCTTTCTTCTTGATCTTGATGCTTGCTTCTTTCTTCATTTGGCTTTCAGGATATCACACTCTGTGCTGATGAACAACTTCTTTACAGTCTTCTTTGCTTGTCGCTCCCAACTTCTTCTTACTGCAGTGTCCTTGTGCTTGGAGTTTGACATCCTTCTCTCCTCTATATAGACCCCTCCTATGGTGATCTCATCCTATCTCGTGGCTTTCGATGCCAGCTGTTTCCCAATAACTCACAAGTTCATGTACCCAGCCTAGACTTCTCTTCTAAACACTAGACTTACATATTCAACTTCAAATTTGCACTGACTTGTCTAATGCATTTATCAAACACATGTCCAAAACTCAATTCCTAATCTTTCCCACTCTCCCTAAATAGTTTGCTCCCACATAGTGTAAACTAGTTCAACCATTGTGGAAGACAGTGTGGTGATTCCTCAAGGATCTAGAACCAGAAATACCATTTGACCCAGCAATCCCATTACTGGTTATATACCCAAAGGATTATAAATCATTCTACTGTAAAGACACCTGCATACGTATGCTTATTGCAGCACTATTCACAGTAGCAAAGACTTGGAATCAACCGAAATGCCCATCAATGATATACTGGATAAAGAAAATGTGGCACATGGAATACTATGCAGCAATAAAAAGGATGAGTTCATGTCCTTTGCAGGGACATGGATGAAGCTGGAAACCATCATTCTCAGCAAACTAACACAGGAACAGAAAAACAAACACCACATGTTCTCACTCATAAGTGGGAGTTGAACAATGAGAACACATGGACACAGGAAGGGGAACATCACACACTGGGTCCTGTCGGGGGTTCAGGGACTAGGGGAGGGATAACATTATGAGAAATATCTGATGTAGACAACAGGTTGATGGGTAGAGCAAACCACCATGACACGTGTATACCTATGTAACAAACCTGCATGTTCTGCACAAGTATCCCAAAACTTAAAGTATAATTTTAAAAAAAGAAAAAAGTTTGCTCCCACATATAGCCCCTTTTATCTCAACCAATGGCAACTCCATTATTCCAGTTTCTCAGACAAATAACATTGAGGTTGCTCATGACACCTTTCTTTTGCTCTCATATGACATCCAATGTCAGTAAATCCTATTAACTCTGCCTTCAGAGTATATCTAATATCTTATCACTTCTCACCAACTTCACTGCTACCATTCTGGTCTGTGCCACCATTTTCACATATCTAGATGGCTGTAATAGCCTCCCGAAATGGTTTGGATATATGTCCCCGCCCAAATCTCATGTTGAACTATCAGAGATGGGGCCTGGTAGGGGGTGATTGGATCATGGAGGAGGATTTCTCATGAATAGCTTAGCACTATCCCCCTTAGAATTGTCTTCACAGTTGTGAGTGAGTTCTCCTAAGATCTGGTTGTTTAAGTTTTAGGGTACATGTGCACAATGTGCAGGTTTGTTACATATGTATACATGTGCCATGTTGGTGTGCTGCACCCATTAACTCATCATTTACATTAGGTATATCTCCTAATGCTATCCCTCCCCACTTCCCCCACCCCACAACAGGCCCCAGTGTGTGATGTTCCCCTTCCTGTGTCCATATGTTCTCATTGTCCATATGATCTCCCAAGATCTGGAGGTGTGTAGCTCCTCCACCCTCTCTCTCTTGCTTCTGCTCCTCCCACATAAGACATTTCTGCCCTGGCTTCACCTTCCACCATGATTGTCAGTGCATTCCGAGGCCTCTCCAGAAGCTGAGCAGATGCCAGCATTATGCCTCCTGAATAAACCTCTTTTCATTGTAAATTATCCAGTCTCAGGTATTTCTTTATAGCAACGTGATAATGGACTAATATATCTCCTAACTCATCTCCCTTTTTCTACACTTGATGCCCTAGAGTCTGTTCTCAACATGGGAAACAGAGGGATTTTGTAAAACATATTAAGTCAGATTTCAGATTAAATCTCTCCTATGCTCAAAAATCTCTTCTGGATCCCAATTTTAGAACTCCTAGTATTCTTTACTATAGCATTCTACAGGTCATACATGGTCTGGGCCTCTGTCACTTTCTTGATCTTGTTTCCTATTTACTCTCATTTTTATTCTTTCTATTCCAGTCCCCACAGACTTTTTGCCCCTCTTTAAATATGCCAGACCTACTCTCACCTTGGCCTTTGTACCAGCTGTTCCCTCTATCTGGATTTTTCACCTCCATACAACTGTGTGGCTCAGATTCTCATTTCCTGGATGTCTTCACTGCAATGCCTCCTTCTTTTTTTAAATTTCAACTTTTATCTTAGATACAGTAGGTACCTGTGCTGGTTAGTTACACGAGTATATTATACCCAGGTAATGAGTCTAATACCCAATAGATGGCTTTTCAAGCCCACTCTCTCTAGTAGTCCACAGTGTCCATTATTCCCATGTTTATGTGCATGTGTGCTCAATGTTTAGCTCCTATTTAAAAGTCAGAGCATAGAGTATTTGGTTTTCTATTATTATGTTAGTTTTCTTAGGATTATGGACTCCATCTGCATCCATGTTGCTGCAAAGGCTGTGGTTTCATTCTTTTTATGGCTGTGTAGTATTCCATGGTGTATATTTACCACATTATTTTAATACAATCTACCACTGATTGGCACTAGGTTGAATCTATGCCTGCTATTGTGAAGGGTGTGGCAATGAACATACAAGTGATATGTCTTTTTGGTATAATAATCTAGTTTCCTTTGGGTATATACCCAGTAATGGGATGGCTGCATCACATGGTAGCTCCATTTTAAGTTCTTTGAGAAATCTCCAAACTGCATTCAATAGTGGCTGAACTAAATTACATGCTCACCAACAGTCTATTAACATTCCCATTTCTCCACAGCCTCACCAGCCTCTGTTGTTTTTTAACTTTTTAATAATAGCCATTCCGACTGGTGTGAGATGATACCTACCTCATTGCAATGCCAGCTTCTTAATGAGGCCTACCCTGGCCACTGTTTAAAATGACACCCGATGTTTTTTTTTTTTTTTTGGTTTTTTGTCCTTGCGATAGTTTGCTGAGACTAAAAAACCAAACACCGCATGTTCTCACTCATAGGTGGGAATTGAACAATGAGAACACATGGACACAGAAAGGGGAACATCACACACCGGGGCCTGTTGTGGGGTGGGGGGAGGGGGGAGGGATAGCATTAGGAGATATACCTAATGTAAATGATGAGTTAATGGGTGCAGCACACCAACATGGCACATGTATACATATGTAACAAACCTGCACGTTGTGCACATGTACCCTAAAACTTAAAGTATAATAAAATAAATAAATAAATAAAATGACATCTGAGCCCTTCACATTTTCTATTCTCTCGCCGTGCTCTACATTTCCTTACTTTTCTGTAGCACTATCACCTTGTACTTTGTAAAATTTACTTATTATGCTTATTGTTTAATTTCTCTCTCACTGGAACATAAGCTCCAAAAAAAAAATAATAAATTTGGTATGTTTTGTTCACTGATGTATCCTAGGAACTTAAAACTGTGTGTGGCATACATTTGGTACTTAATAAACATTTGTTGAATGCAAGATTTGTGCATGCATTGTATTGTTGAATGCAAGAATGAAATCACAAGGGCATGAATGAAAAATAGATAGGAATTTATGTGTAATGAGAACAGCAGTGAGGCAGAAGCCTATGAAGAAAAGTGTCAAGTGAGAAATGCCTGCGAGTAGGAAAGCCAAAGGACTTTTAAAAATAAGGGTATGTAAAATAAAATGTGGTTTGGTTTGCATCACTACACTGTAGTTCTTTCTCTGGTGGTGTTTTTTAAAAACATCCACAAATTATTTAACACTTCTCTTATTGAGAGGTGGGAGCCTATGTTCCCTCTCCTTGAATAAATACTCCCCATCAATACAAATAGCAGAAGTGAGGCTGTGAGACTTTCGAGGCTGAGTGAAAAAAGATCGTTCAGTGGCCAGGCGCAGTGGCTCATGCCCGTAATCCAGCACTTTGGGAGGCCGAGGCAGGTGGATCACCTGTGGTCAGGAGTTCGAGACCAGCCTGGCCAACATGGCGAAACCCCTGTCTCTACCAAATACAAAGTATTAGCCGGGTGCAGTGGCACATGCCTATAATCCCAGCTACTTGGGAGGCTGAGGCTGGAGAATCACTTGAACTCAGGAGGCAGAGGTTGCAGCAAGCCGAGGTTGCGCCATTGCACTCCAGTGCAGACAACAAGAGCAAAACTCTGTCTCACCAAAAAAAAAAAAACAAAAAACATTGTGCAGCTTCTCACTGGTCGTCCCGAATGCTTGCTTGGGAGACACTGGCTCTTGGAATCCAGGCACCACGCTGTGAGAAGCACAAGTCACCCTGAGAGCCCATGGGTAGGCGTCCAGTTGGCAGTCCAAGCTGGGCGCAAGCCTCTGAGTCACACATGTGAGTGGAGACTCATCCAGATGATTCAGCCTTCTGCTGACTGAGTCATCTCCTGTGAAGGCCCCAGATAGCTAGTAGGAGAGCTGCCATGGCCTCAGTGCACTGTTTGAATTCTTGACCAAAAAACAAAATGAAAAAAAAGTGTGCTTAATAAAGTGATTGTCTTTTTATATCACTAATTTCCATGTGGAGTTTTTAAATGTGGTGATAATAACTGGAATAATAATCTCCATCCTCCAAAGTCACACATATGACCTGCGAGATGAAGTTATATGTTTGTGGAACTCTAGATCAGCATAGGGCAGACAGTAAAGGGCAAACACAGAAAGTGAAACTCTGATTTAGAGACCAGCCATCTGGCAGGAACAAAAACTCAGAGGTAGAAGCGGCTGAGCAAAAGGTCTCCAGAAAATCTAGGGAAAGCAGACAACTGACCACAGATTGTCAGATGGAGACTTGAGATAACTTATACCAGATGACTTAAACCTGAGTCTCGGGGGGGAAGTAGAGGACTTTGCATGTTAATTTGCCTGTTGATTACCAACTAGGATCTAAAATGTAGGATGTCAGCTGTAGGCATCAGTATCCTAGAATTGTATCTATCAGCTGACCTTGTGTCTTGAATTTGAAATCCGGATTTTTTTTCCCAACTCTTCTCTCTCCTTCAGCCCCACATCTAATACTGGAAGCCGGGAGATTAGACGTAATTAAGTGAGTGACTTTGGACCCAGCTCTCTGGTTTTGATTCACAACAACTCCACTTTCTAGCTGTGAATTCTTGGGAAATTTGTGTAACTTCTCCAACATTCTGCTTCCACATCTGTAAGTGGAGATTATAAAAGTGCTAACTTATGGGATATTCCAAGGATTATATAAACTAACATGAGGAAAGCACTTTAAGAAGTGTCTGGGACACAGTAATTCCTCAATAAATTCTAGCTATTCACCTTATCCGTGATCAAACTTCGTTAGCCACCCTTGTCAACAGTCTTTTAAATGTGCCTCCACTGTTCCGTCTACACCTTCTTATTTCCTTCTTTCTTCTCCTTCTCCATCCTACTCTCCAGAAATGCTCCTGTATTATCCGTCTATAAAACAGGTCACCAGCCAAGGTAAAAATAACCAATGACTCCTCATCACTTTAGAATACCACAAAGACCTTCCCAGTGTTACCACCCCAACCTCATCACTATGATGCCTGTAGCCTTTTTTCTTGTAACTGCCTTTTTTTCCCACAAATGTGTTACCTTCAGCAGCAATGACCTTTGCCTGCACTTTCCTCATTCTCTAATGTGGTCATTTATGAAGGAATGTTCTTGGCAAGGCACACTGAAATCTTTATGAGAACCCACTGACAGAGACCTTAATTCTAAGAATTTTTTTCTGCTTCATTCTGAAGTAAAAGGTGGGTAAAGGAATGTAAGTGAGCTCACATCAGGGAAACTCCTTTTAATAAATGATTTTCAGTTTCTTCTCTAAGAGCACTTTAGGTTAAACAGTTCCCTAACTACTGCAGGGCTGCGCTGGCCACTCTTTCCCTTCTACTTCCCAGCATACGGCCAGGAAAAACAAACGCCCATCTGAAGCTCAGCAATTGCACCCATTCCTCTAATTCTCTGGAGGGGAAGAGATAGGAAAGAGGGAAAAACAATTCAACAAAAGTAATCATGATAATGAGAAAACTTTTAATATTATAATTATTGGTGCACGTTTGTCTTTCTACCTGAACCTCCCTGCCACCCACCCAAATAGTGCAGGCACACACATGCACACCCATCGTGTGATATTATCACCCCCTGACACACTAAGTATTTGTGCTGCTGTTGTTTACTGTCTGTCCCCTCCTCCTCATGTCACAAAATGCAAAACCCCCTATAGGAGACTTAGGTTTTTGTTCACTGTTACATATCAGTACATAGTAGTAGCAGCACATAGTAGGTTCTCAACAAATATTTGATGAATGAATAAACGATGAGTGAGTGAATATTGGAAAGAACTCACTAAAATTATAATCAGTAAAAGTTTTGTTACTTCTTAACTTCACAGCCTTAAGTGGGGTGTTAAACCCAGATGGGTCTCAGTATTCTCATCTGTAAAAAGGCACAACAAGGATTTTAGAAGGAAAAGTCACAGAAGAAAGAAACCACTCTACCCATGTCTCAAGGATCAGTTACACACCATCACCCCTATGAAAGATTTGCCCGTCTCTCCAGATAGCATCTGGCATTCACTCTTCTAGATTCCCTCTACACTTTCTACATATGTTTACTGCAGTTGATTACTAAGGTCCAATAATGTGCTCTAGAGAAGAACAGAGTTTAAAGACATTGAGTAGAGACTCCGTCTGGAAAACTAACAAGGGCTAGAGGTAAAAACTGGAATTAAACCAGGGGCATTATAAGGACTCTGACAAAAATAAGAAACTTCACAAGAATAAAGGAAAATACAAAAGGCAATAAGAAGGAAACAATGATAAATGTGCCCTGACTTCTACAAAATCAGGAAATTATCAGCATGGAGTTAGCAGGTATTTTTAGAGCAAGGAGGTTATGTGCTCAGGGCAACCGACAGTTCCATAGACATTAGATCTCCCTGGAAAGGGCCATACCGACATCGTTCATTGTGTCGAGATAAGGAGGAGATGCCCATTTGTCAGTGAGTCACCTTCGTCCCAGCAGAAATGCTTACACTTACAAAGTGAACAAACTAGATGCGATATTGGAGGTAGATCTCAGGACTTAACACAGTGCTGAATAAGAGGGGCCAGATACATGGTCATTGATGTCATAGATGAAGAGGAACAGTGCCACCCAGTGTTCTGAAGATTGCTCCTGTCCACATTTAATGTTTTTCATGACTGAAAGAATTTTAGAATTTATTTCTGTTAAAACATGCTTTGAGCTAAAGTACAGCCGGTTGATTCATTCCCAAGTACAAATGTTGCAGTCACTCATTTCGTGCTTTGAGAGAGGGAGGATAAATTACGGAAGAAAAAAAAGGGGTTGTTGTGAGGTCCCAATAATGCATGAGGATACAGCCCTGCTGAAACTGCAAGAGAAGGCAATCAACACAGAGAACCGGTCTCAAAGATGTCTGCTTTGTAGAGGGCTGTCAATTGATGGGCAAGGACAAACAGAAGGTATGCACTAAAGTGATTATGCCAAAGCAAAGACAGCACAGGGGGAAGCTATGCCACAAATCCACAGTAGAAATGAATGTCACCATCTGTGGGAACAGAGAAGGGTGAAACTAATTTTCCATGTACAAGAGGAAGATTAAGATGCTGGACCACTGGGGTCCTAACCCCAGCTACCATTTCCTCACTGCAGGTCTTAAGAAAAGCTACCTTAAATCTCTCTGAATCTCGGCTTCCCCTGTGAAAATGGGGTTGGTAATAACGACCACACCACATTGCAAGAAAGATTATATAACTTAATGTATTTGAAAGAGCCTAACACAACACCTAGGACCTACAAATATTCACCAAATGTGGCTTACCGTTAAAGAAAAGACTTCAGGAAAGGTTTCATTGGAAAAGTAACTTCTGAACTAGATCCCAAAGAACTAGCACTTCCGTTTTCTTCACTGAAGAATTCTTACCCTCTTTAATTGAGGGAATAGTTCAAACCCCCGGGACTAAGATTTTTTGACAGATGTATATAGAGCAGTAAGGACTGAGGCAGCCTAGCCCTCCAGCCAGCCAGATCAAGTGACTCATTCCAAGGGGTCAGTGGGTGATGGCTGTCACAGACAGATCACCCAGACATCCCAAAGAATGTGCAAGTTATCAACGTAGAGAAAGACTGAAAATGGAACAAACTCCCTATTCCCGAACACCCTTTTCTGCAAAGCTGAGGCTCTTTCCCTGAAGGCTCATAAGCTGTGACTGAAAATTGCAGGTCAGGGAGGTATTTGTTAAAGATGGCAAGAAACGTTATTCTTGTAAACTTATGAGGGTGATCTGCTCCTTTTCAGCTTCTAATGAATTCAGAAGGCTTTGTCCTTGGAGAAGATTAGGCTCATTCTATTCTGAAAATACCAATTCCCAGAAATGCCTATGTTTTCCTGGTTGGTGAGCAACACATATTTAAATATTTCTCAGCCCTAACACTGAAATTTACAGATTCCTCCAAGTCCTGATCAACAATCACAGCAACACTTCAGGTGAGAGGAAACAGATATCTATTGTAAAAATGAAAAGGCTTCTTTCCCCACACATAGCTAAGTGGAAGCAAACGCTTCTGTGCATCCTGATGCTTTGCTTACAGCACCACCTAATGTTCTGGATCAAATCCTTTCCTATGCAGGAGAGATCTTTTAGGACTCAGAAAATTCATGCTCTTTTACCTTGCATTTGGCAATCACAATAAAGTGGAGATCAGCATTGCACAAGGCAACAGAAGTGAAAGTGACACACTCCAACCTAAGAGGCATTTTTTCTTCTATTTAGAAGGGCAGGAAGAGACATCAGAGCAGGGGAATAAAGTTGTGACTATGTGAAAATTAGATGTAATTCAATATGAAAATAATAATTGAATGCCTACTGTAGGCCTAGCATTGCGAGGTCTTGATGGTATTGTAGTGCTAAAGAGGGCACAATTTTTGCCTTCAAAGAGCTAATTTCAAAATAGGCAATTAAAATACAGAGTGATTAAGTATGTGACCAAGTTATAAAGAGGGTCGTAAGGATACTAAGGGGAAGACACGCCTATGAAAGTCTAGAATCGAGCCAGAGGAGCCCATGTTGAATCTTTAAACAGCTAGCCAGATAAAGGCAAAAAGAGGAAAGAGATGAATTGCTCAGGCTGTGGGGCTTAGAAGATATAAACAAGGGTGTCAACCAAATCTGGGGGTCACCCAAGAGCTGCTTACTTCACTGATGGGATGGCTCCCCAGTTGCATCGCTTGTATGACATCTCCCCAAGCCCTGCTCACGGCTGAATGGGCACACTTACCCAACCGGAGCTGGTAAATTTAGAACTGAGACAAGGCAGTCTCTCAGTGGGAAGAAAGTGACATGAAACCTAAGGAGCTGTATGCAGTAGACATGCAGATCTGATAAAGCAGCAGAGAGAAATAAATGCTGCAGGAGAAAAATATAGTTTACCTACTTTTCACCACTCTTCATTACCAGCATCTCTCTCCTGGATTATTGTAAGGGCATCCTAATAGGAGTCCCCGGCTTCTGCCCTTCACCCTCTCAGTCGGTTTTATAAGTACACATAGCAGTCGGGGTGATTCAGTTCCCACTTTAATCAGATCAGGCCACTCACTTCTCTCCTCATCTGTTAGCTTTTGATCTCAGAGTAGAAGCCAAAGCACTTATATTAGTCCACAAAAACCAATATGCTCCCCCTCGTGATCACCATTATTTCCCTGATCTAATCCCCTGTTAACTCATCTTCCTTGTCTTGCCCTGGGCTCCCATCTCCCTGGCCCCCTTGCATTTGTTGGGACTTGGACTTGCTGCCCCAGGACCTTTGCTTGGACTTGGACTTGCTGCCCTAGGACCTTTGCTCGGACTTGGACTGGCTGCCTCTGGACCTTTGCACTTGCTGTTCCCTTGGCCTGGACTCTCTCCCTCCAGACAGCCACATAACTCACTGCCTCCTTTAGGACGTGCTCAAATGTCAACTTTTTAGTGAGGTCTTTCTTGATGACCCAATTAAAAATTAAAACACTCGGCCGGGCGCGGTGGCTCATGCCTGTAATCCCAGTGCTTTGGGAGGCCAAGGTGGACAGATCACCTGATGTCGGGAGTTCAAGACCAGCCTGACCAACCTGGAGAAATCCCGTCTCTACTAAAAATACTGGGCATGGTGGCACATGCCTGTAATCCCAGCTACTCCGGAGGTTGAGGAGGGAGGATAGCTTGAACCTGGGAGGCGGAGGTTGTGGTGAGCTCAGATTGCGCCATTGCACTCCAGCCTGGGTAACAAGAGTGAAACTTTGTCTCAAAGAAAAAAATAAAAACACTCTACAACATTTCTTACCCCATTCCTGCTGTATCCTTCTCCATAGAATTTATCGTTATCCAACATACTGTATATTTTCATTATTTATTTCACTTATTGTCTGTCTTAGACCCTATTGTGACCCCCACTCTCATTAGAATATAGGAAAGATACTTTAATTAATTACCTAACTAACTAATTAATGAATGGAGTGGGTCCCTAGTGCCTTCCTACCTCCTGATCTTGATCTCTTTCCAACCCTACACATGCCCATCACTGAATTCAGGGAAATACTCCTGCATCCTTTTATGAAATTCTTCTCTTGTGGCTTAAGGCTTTAAAACATCTTTAGTGCATGTTTCTTACAGATTTTGAAGCTGAATGCTAACTGATACAATGGGAAGACAGCCCCTAAACTTGCTCTGTCTGTTGTTACATTCCCAGGTATCCTTAAGGCTTGCTTTGTTTCTTCCCTTAGGTCTCTGCATAAGTATCTCTGCATCATTGATCCCTTCTCGGACCACCTTATCTAAAATAGCACACTGCTCTCCCCATCACACTCTATGCCTATCCATACTTTATTTTCTTCATAGTACATACGTCTAGCCTAATATATATTGATTTATTCATGGTCTAGCCTTCTCACTGGAATGCAAACCCAGAACAGGAACTTCACACTTTTATCACTGTATCTTCGGTGTTTAGAATAGTCTAATATATAGTGGATACTCAGTAAATGTGTATTCATCTATTCCACAAACATGTGTTAAATGCCAATCACTATTCCAGTTGCTGGGGAAATTTGTGCCCTTTTGGAATCTACATTCTAATAGGAGATTTTTGTTAAGTATGAATTCAATGAACTCAAAGATGAGAAACAGTTGGAGCCTGTGCTGAAGGTGCTGCTGGACCTGAAGATTCATATGGGAGCTAAAATTAGAAATCACTTCAGGGGGCCTGGTGAGTTGCAGGCTTTGGTTGGTTGCTTCCAAATCATCTCCCTCCAACCCCTGACACAGGATCCAGATTTACGTTTCAAGAATTACCCTTCTTCCATTTTCAGCAAGAGTTTGGACATGAGTGACCTGACCTTCAGCTCTAGGGGGCCGGCCTTAGCTGTCCTAAGCAATCAGCATGTGACCCTTTGGACACTGACACTGGTTTTCAGAAAAGCCTATGACTCAGTTAAACCAGGAAGACAGGAGGAGACATTTGTTGGAGTTTAAGGGAAGGAAGTGTCTGTTTCCCACGGAAGGTGAAAGAAAAGACTTCTCTCCTGCTGTGGACAACTGTGTCTTCTACAAATGTTGCAGCTAATATTGTTACCATAAATTAAAGGGTTAACAGTATAAGGTGACATGTGGAGGTCAAAACAACATATAGAGAATGACAGAGTCCAGAGACTTGCCCTGATGAAAATCATGAACCGTGGAAGCACAATGTCTGACGGTATTACTCCATTTTCATACTGTTATAAAGATACTACTTGAGTCTGGGTAATTTATAAAGAAAGGAAATTTAATTGACTCACAGTTCCACATGGCTGGGAGGCCTCCAGAAACTTACAATCATTGCAGAAGGCAAAGAAGAAGCAAGTACCTTCTTCACAAAGCAGCAGGAGAGAAAGGGGGCAAGCAGGGAAGTGCCAACCACTTTTAAAGCATCAGATCTCATGAGAACTCACTCACTATGATGAGAACAGCAAGGGGGAAATCTGTCCTGAAGATCCAATTACCTGCCACCAAGTCTCTCCCTTGACACATGGGGATTACAATTGGAGATAAAATTTGGGTGGGGACACAGAACCAAACCATGTCACTGACATTTTCATCTGATGAGGCAATCAACTACCTTTATGGATTACATTCATTTTATAACTTCCAAGCTGTAAAAGCAATATATGTTTGTTGAAACATGACAGACAATAAAAAGACTTACAACACAAAGCTAGCCTTTTTTCCATATGGCTTCCCTTCCCACCCTCTGAAATATTTCATACTAACAGATGAATGTTGTTACTGGCTGAATTTCATTCCCCCAACCACCTAACAAAAATTCGTATGTTGAAGTGCTAACCCCTCATACCTTAGGATATGATTGTATTTGGAGGTAGGGACTTTAAAGAGGGAATTAGGTTAAAATAAGATCATTGGGGGTAGTGTTTAATCCCATGTGACTGGTATCGTTGCAAGAAGAGATTAGGGCACAAACACAGAGGGAAGACCACGTGAAGACACAGGGAGAAGACGGCCATTACAAATCAAGGAGAGAGGCCTGAGAAGAAACCAACCCTGCCAACACTAGGATTGAACTAGGATTAGATTTGGAGGCTAGAGCCTCAAACCTGTAAGAACATAAACTTCTGTTGTTCAAACCACTGCTATAGACTGAAGGTTTTCATCCTCCAAAATACGTATGTTGAAACCTAATCTCCAATATGATAGTATTTGGAGGTGGGCCTTTGGGTGATAATTAGGTTTATTTGAGGTCATGAAGGTAGGGCCCTCATGATGGGATTAGGGCCCTTCATATGGGATAATAGCCCAGAGTTCTCTCTTTCTCCACCATGTGAGGACGCATCCTGAAGACAGCTGTCTGCAAACCAGGAAGTGGAGCCTCACCAAGAACTTGAGCATGCTAGCACCCTGATCTGGGACTTCTAGCCTCCAGAATTATGAGAAATAAATTTCAGGTGTTAAGCCATCCAGTCCATGGTACTTTGTAATGGCAGCCCTAGAAAACTAAGCAGATTTGTATTTTTCTACCCCTTCCTCCTTGCTTTCCCCTATATCTACAATATAGCTACATATAATTAGAGCTCTATGCTTGTTTTTGTCAAAATAGAGTCACACTATACTCATTATTCTGCAATTTTCTCAAAAAGCATGGAAATTGGTAAAAACCAATTTAAGCCAATCTAATTATATCTGTTTTCTAATTTTATAATGCATATATATAAACATAATTTTACATAAATATAATCATATGTATGCTGAGATTTTGAAGGTATTTAGGTTTTTATGAGATTTGTGGGTTTTCTCTTTTGTTTGGGGGGTTTCTTTTGGTGCTTTTTTCTTTTCAGTTTATTTTTCTCTGGGCTTGTCCCATCTTCTCTTTCCTCACACCCAAGATAAATCAAATTAAAAACTTCAAGTGTGTCCTTTTAGCCATAGTTTTCTCTGTACCTTATTATTATTATTATTTTAGAGACAGGCTTTTATTCTATCACTCAGGACAAAGTACAGTGGCATGATTATAGCTTAGTATAACCTCAAACTCCTGAGCTCAAATGATCTTCCCACCTCAACCTCCAGAGTAACTGAGACTACAGGCCCGTGCCACCACACCTGGCTAATTTTTTATTTTCACTTTGGGTAGACGTGAACCTGATCGTCTTACTTTGCTTAAGGTGATCTATCTTCAGCAGGGCAAAGACAAAATAGATTAGAGAGACTCCAGATCCAGAGAAATGCTGTGAAGAAAGCAGTGGACTTTCACACAGGGTGGCATCCAGATCCCTGACGTTTAGGAAACAGCTCTGTGGTTGCTGAGTGCACACCGTTTCATGCCACACACCAGCCTGTCATCAGCATGTGTGTGCCCTACCATGCTGTTCTATTTTCCAGAGGCTCTGGTTTAACCTCTTCCTCTGGCTTAGGCACATGCTCAAGACTCAAACATGCTAGAAATATCATGGATCTAAGAAATGGATCATTTTACAAATCTGTGGGAAGAAGACAATCTCTTCAAAAAGAGATTATAAGTAAAGAATACACACAGGCTATGCCGGTGACCTGTAAACGGATGAAAAAATTAATGTTCAGCTTTAAAAGTAAGCAGTAAATGCAAATCAAAACCATAACTAAATATTTTTTGGCCAATCAAAAAGCGAAATAAAAAATATAGTGTTGGTAAGTATGTAGGGAAACTGGATTGTCATACACAGTTGATCAAAGTATAAATTACTACAAGCTTCCTGAAAGGCAATTTGGCAATTAATAAGCAAATAAAAATGTGACTACTTTTGACCCATAATTCTATCTCTATGAATATAAATTATGACATTTAAGTATTTTATTATCATAGAAAACTATTCACAATACATGAGGTTTTTAAAAAGTATGCATAGAGAAAAACGTATTCTCTCTGAGAAAAATGTCAGTATACTCATGTGCACACATACATAAAGAAAATTCTGGAAGAATGTACATAAATTTTAACAATGGTTACTTTGGGGCTATAGACTAATAGATAATTTAATTTTTCTTTTTGTTTATCTATATTTTTCTATGAGCATGTATTCATTACTTTTCGTTTAAGTTTTTAAAAGGTTAAAATTGCAAAACAGAAATGGAGAAATGGGGGGGTAGCATTCTATTAAACAACATACCTACGTTCAAGGAGGAAAGAAATAGACTAGCTTTCCCATATGCCTTACTCTTTTTCCAAATTTTCTACAAGAAATGTACATAGCAATTGTTTTTAACTAGGAAGGAAGGCTGGGAGGCAAAGCAGAGGAAATGTGGCACAGCCCTTACCACATTCTCAATAATGGTCTCTCCCCAGGTTTTCCTCCCCTCCTGGCTCACCACCTTCCTCCCTCCAAGCCCACAGCCCTCATAACTGGGACTATATGCAATGAACTGGATGGTTGTGTACCTCTAAAGTTCATATGTTGAAATCCTACCCTCTAGTGTGATGGTATTAGGAGGAGACCCCTTTTGGAGGTAATTAAATCATGAGAGTGGGGTCCTCATGAATGGTATAAAAGGGACCCTGGAGGGCTGTTTTGCTCTCTTTATACCTTATGAGGATACTACAAAAAGTCAGTACTCTGCAACCTGGAAGATGGCCCTCAGAGAACCCCACAATGCTGGCACCCTCATCAGGGATGTCTAGACTCCAGAAGTGTCTGAAATAAATTCCTGTTGTTTGTAGCCACCCTGTCTATGGTACTTTGTTATAGCAACCTGAATTGACTGACACCATGCTAGGGCTTTTGCCTCTGTTAACTCTGATTCCTGCCTTTGCATTCTGCCTTATATGTGAACTCTACTCTGACCTCCAAATTCTCCCTACAGCTCACCCCTTCTCCAGTCATGAGCATTTGGCTCTGATTCAAAATACCTGGTTGACTGAATACAAACAATACTTTTTTTTAAAGAGCTTAATATAAAAGAGTGACCATTCACCAAGCACCTGCTATATGGCTGATACTGTGATAGAACAGATCAGATCACATCACTCTTCCATCCTAATGTCCACACTAGCCTCCAATCTCATTCATAATCAACCTGTTATCACAGTGGCCTACCAGGCCTTGTGCCTCGTGGCCCTTGGTCACCCTCTAACTGCATCTCTTCCTACTCCTCCCTTTGCTCACTCTTCTCCAGCTACCCGGCCTCTCTGCCACTCCAGAGTATACATGGACACTCTGCCTTGAGGGTTTTCTATTGCAATTTCCTCTGCTCTGGAATTTTCCCACAGATATTCACTTGGCTCACACTCTCAGCTCCAAAGCTTTGCTTAAATGTCTCCTTCTTATGAGGCTTTCCCTCATCCTTCAAATTAAAACTGAAACCACCCCTGACCTCAGGACCTTGTCCCTTTCTTACTTTTTCTCCATAGCACTCCCCACCACCTAACTCACTATGCATTTCATTCATTCATTTATTAGCTGCCTTCCCCCTAGAACATTGGCTCCCTGAGGACAGAAATTTGTTTTCATTTTTGTATCCCAGCCCCTTGAAAAATGTCTGTCATATACTAGGTTCTGAATAGATATACAGAAAATGAAGAAATTGGTGATTTATGGACAATACTGTTCATTTTCATAGCCATTTCTGGAGGCAGGCATTCAAAATTCCATTTACAGAAAAGCAAACTGAACCTCAAATTAAGAGTGTGAAAATTTCACTCAGCAAGAAACAGTAAACTAGATTGCAAATCCACAGACATCAGGCTTCAAGGCCAATCTTCTTTCCACTACAACTGCCTTACAACCACCCTAATGAAACATGTTTTCCAAAGGTGTGGAGGGACTGGGATCATTCTAGTGCCTATTGTACCTTTCAAAATCCTGCTAGCCATATTGATAACCATATGCCAGGTTTAAGAAGCTTAAATCAATAAGATGATAAACATCTATTCCATTTGTAGGGCATTCAGGCATCTTGCCAGAGCCCGGTGCTCTTGCTCCAGATGTTCTTTTTGGCAGTGCTGTACCATTGGCCCTGGCAAAGCAACTGGCTTTGCAGTTAGACATACCCAGGCGCCAGCCCCAGACCCAGCGTGCACTATCTGAGTGGCCTGAAGCAATTTGCCTCCCTCTCCTGAGCCTCCAGATTCTCCTCTGTAAAAGAAGGTTAATATTCCAACCTCAGGAGATTCTTCCTAGGATTAACTAAAAGCATGCTCACAAAATGCCTAGCATAGTGCTTGGCACTTAGTAGTAAATGTGCTATAGAAGATCCCTGTCTTCCTCAGGTGGCGATAGACAAGGGTAACAGTGAATTTCTTGGGCCCATGGTCAAGGAGCTAAACACACAGGTGAGAACATATTGATGTCAAAGATGCCCTTAGGCCTTTGTACTCTACAAAGATGCTCCCATCGAGTTCAACGACTTTTAGCGAATCATTGAAAGACATTTGTTGTCTAACTTTTTGCAGTCCCCTCATGAGTGAAGAAAGTAATGAAGACAGCATTTTCATGCAGGGGGTCAATGGCTATTTCTGATGCTTCCATTTATTCTTTTGTAGCAGATTCTTAACAAATAAGAGTATTTGTATTTTGTCAGAAAAAGTGAATTGCACAAATGTTATACTTCATCCACTTTTTGCTTCAACCTCATGCTAAGGTAATTTGATTATTACAAAGTATGTGTGTGTGTGCATTGATGGCACATTCACTGTGTGTAATTAATTATTCATATACTATGTCTCAATGTTTCATATATATTACCTCACTTAAGAAGGTAGTGAAACAACCATTTACAGATGAGTACACCATGTGATTTTTTTTTTACTATGGCACTTAGTATTTGAAATTACCTTATTCTATTTTAGTATCTATTATCTTTCTCTTCTAAACTGTGAGCTCCTTGAGGGGAGAGACCATGTCTGTTTTTCTTTACTCCTGCAACTCCAGTGCCTAGATCAGTGTCTAGAACATATTAGATTGGTTAATTAAAGTTTACTTTTAATGGCAAAAACCTCAACTGCTTTTGCACCAAGTTATAATTGGTTTTGAATACATATTTGTCAAAGAGAAAATGTAAAATACATTTTGCTGAAAAGAACTGACCAGCCCGAACCAGAAGTAACCATCCATGAATTCCCAGCAATATGCTTTTCTGAAAAATTACTTGATTACTTGGTTATATTACTTGACATATTAAAATCCTGAACATATTTTCTGGAAAATTACTTAACTATTATGAATATTTAAAATCCTAACTTGTACTATAAGCAACTGATACCACTTCTGGATGATATACACCTTCTTCCCGCCAACTTTACCCCCACTACCCAGTCTTCCTTAGGAGAACAGAAAGAAACATTCTTAAAACCATCCCTGAAATCCCAACTATATACTCAGCAGATCCTCTTTATTCTTTTTACTAAATTCTTGGAGGTTTTTATTGTTAAACCATGGTGAAATTTCATTTGTGTTTTTTATAGTGTAATAATATTACAATGAGATCTACAAATATATAAACAGCCTAAAAATATTTTTGTGCATGGCTTGGAGACGCGTCTTCAAGAGTATCCTTTGAGGTATTCTTAAGAGTAAAAATGCTCTGGAGTTCTACCCTTATTGTTGTTGTTTTCTTCCTTATTATTCCCATATAGGAGAGAACATGTTGATGACAAAGATGCCCTTAGGCCTTTGTACTCTACAAAGATGCTCCCATTGAGTTCAGTGACTTTCAGTGAATCATTGAAAGATATTTTGTTGTCTAACTTTTTGCAGTACACTAGGGCAGTAAAAGATTTTCAACATCTTTTTAATAGTCTAACCAGATCTTATAAAATATGCAAGCTGTATTTTGAAGAATACAAAAAAAGCTGTAATATGTACTAAAAACTGCAAGAAGGAAAACAGTAACAAGCAAGAAAAAACAAAAATTGCTAAAGCCTTCCTTTATTTCCTGTAAGGATTTTTTAAAAGAATTTTACTGTATATATTTGAGGTTTCCAAAATGATGTTATGGGATACATAAAGATAGTAAAATGATGACAATAATGAAGCTGATTAACATATCTATCATCTCACATAGTTCTTTTTGTGTGACAAGAGCAGCTAAAATCTACTTATGAACTCCCATTCACAATTGCTTCAAAGAGAATAAAATACCTAGGAATCCAACTTACAAGGGACATGAAGGACCTCTTCAAGGAGAACTACAAACCACTGCTCAATGAAATAAAAGAGGATACAAAGAAATGGAAGAACATTCCATGCTCATGGGTAGGAAGAATCAATATCGTGAAAATGGCCATACTGCCCAAGGTAATTTGTAGATTCAATGCCATCCCCATCAAGCTACCAATGACTTTCTTCACAGAATTGGAAAAAACTACTTTAAAGTTCATATGGAACCAAAAAAGAGCCTGCATCGCCAAGTCAATCCTAAGCCAAAAGAACAAAGCTGGAGGTATCATGCTACCTGACTTCAAACTATACTACAAGGCTACAGTAACCAAAACAGCATGCTACTGGTACCAAAACACAGATATAGATCAATGGAACAGAACAGAGCCCTCAGAAATAACACCACATATCTACAACTATCTGATCTTTGACAAACCTGAGAAAAACAAGCAATGGGGAAAGGATTCCCTATTTAATAAATGGTGCTGGGAAAACTGGCTAGCCATATGTAGAAAGCTGAAACTGGATCCCTTCCTTACACCTTATACAAAAATCAATTCAAGATGGATTAAAGACTTAAACGTTAGACCTAAAACCATAAAAACCCTAGAAGAAAACCTAGGCATTACCATTCAGGACATAGGCATGGGCAAGGACTTCACGTCTAAAACACCAAAAGCAATGGCAACAAAAGCCAAAATTGACAAATGGGATCTAATTAAACTAAAGAGCTTCTGCACAGCAAAAGAAACTACCATCAGAGTGAACAGGCAACCTACAAAATGGGAGAAAATTTTCGCAACCTACTCATCTGACAAAGGGCTAATATCCAGAATCTACAATGAACTCAAACAAATTTACAAGAAAAAAACAAACAACCCCATCAACAAGTGGGCGAAGGACATGAACAGACACTTCTCAAAAGAAGACATTTATGCAGCCAAAAAACACATGAAAAAATGCTCACCATCACTGGCCATCAGAGAAATGCAAATCAAAACCACAATGAGATACCATCTCACACCAGTTAGAATGGCAATCATTAAAAAGTCAGGAAACAACAGGTGCTGGAGAGGATGTGGAGAAATAGGAACACTTTTACACTGTTGGTGGGACTGTAAGCTAGTTCTACCACTGTGGAAGTCAGTGTGGTGATTCCTCAGGGATCTAGAACTAGAAATACCATTTGACCCAGCCATCCCATTACTGAGTATATACCCAAAAGACTATAAATCATGCTGCTATAAAGACACATGCACACGTATGTTTATTGTGGCACTATTCACAATAGCAAAGACTTGGAACCAACCCAAATGTCCAACAATGATAGACTGGATTAAGAAAATGTGGCACATATACACCATGGAATACTATGCAGCCATAAAAAAGGATGAGTTCATGTCCTTTGTAGGGACATGGATGAAATTGGAAACCATCATTCTCAGCAAACTATCACAAGGACAAAAAAACCAAACACTGCATGTTCTCACTCATAGGTGGAAATTGAACGATGAGAACACACGGACACAGGAAGGGGAACATCACATTCTGGGGACTGTTGTGGGGTGGGGGGAGGGGGGAGGGATAGCATTAGGAGATATACCTAATGCTAAATGACGAGTTAATGGGTGCAGCACACCAGCATGGCACATGTATACATATGTAACTAACCTGCACATTGTGCACATGTACCCTAAAACTTAAAGTATAATAATAATAAAATAAAAAATAATAATAAAAAATTTTTTAAAAATCCCTAATACGGAGAGTCCTGTAAGGTTTTAATTAGACCCAACTTTGTTAAGCCTGGAATGGGAAGAGAATAATGAGCTTCTACTTTGGGAGGTTATGATAATCAGAAATTCTGACAATACTGATTTACTGCAAGGCACAAGAAAGGCCTGGTCTCAGATGGTGGAGTGGAAGGGCATGCAGTTGCAATCTCTGTGAAAAGGGATTAGGTGCTTGGTCAACACACTAAATCTGTGTGCAAGAGCTCAAGATCACTCCAGTCTATAGGAATGCAGACATTTTTTTTCCCATCTTCTTTGGTATTAAAAAATAAATAAATCCTCTCATTGATACAGTGGGAAAGAATTTCAGAGGACATGTGACCTACATCCCTTTTTCAACCAATGGGGTTGAAGCAAAGAAGGGTTTTCTAAAGTTCAGTAAATTAAATAGACCCACGAGAAGGCAAATAGCTTTTTTCTACTTTTAGTTGTTGAAAAAATAGAACAAATTAGCAAATTATGAAAAAAATTAAAAATCAAATTCTACCGTCTTAGTAGTTTCATTTCATCTATGTAGGCATAAAGATTTTTGAAGTTGGGATGAGAAAGATGGATGATTTCCAGAGATTTATTTTATTTTATTTATTTAATTTTATGTTTTATTTTTATGACTACATCAAAGCTTTTATTTTCAATAGAGTTGATATGATTTGATCATAAGACTGGATGTGGCAACAGAAGATAGGGATTGAAGATTCCCAAGAATCTGATGTGGGTAACTGGGCAAACACCTTACGTAAACACCATCAGCCCAAGGAACAAATCAGAATCTCATTTTCGCAAACTATTCTTAGTGAATACTTGGCTATGTGAGTCCACCAATAGGTTCTACCAATAGACGCACTGGTTCAAGATGTCTATTCAAAAGTGAACAATGGGAGGCAGCCACCAGGACATAGAATTCCTTTTCCCAGAGGTCTGGGAGTGAAGTAGCAGAGGTTCAAGCGTACAGAGGCTAGCATCCTGTGTCCATGTCCAGGCTTGACATCAATGAGGTCTACTGTATCAGCCTTGCATTGTGTTTTAGGGAATAATTCTTGAAAATGAAGCTTTCAAACCTGATTCTTTTGATTTCCTTGGGAGTTCCTAAGTTACTTGTTACTGTAATACATTTCTTTTCTGCTCAAGGATACTAGAAGGGTATGATAACTGATCTCCAAAGATGGCCCTCTGTGAGCCTTACCTCCCAGTATCCGCAACCTTGTGCTGAACCCTCCTCTTGAATCTGGGTTGGCCCTGGGATGCACTCACAGCTGAATGTAGTGCAGTGATGCTGTGCCTTTCGTGACTGAGTCATAGGTAATCTTAAGCTTCCGCCTGTGCTCCTTGAAATGACGGCTCTTTGGAAGCTCTCATTTGGAACCCAGCTGCCATGCTGTCAGAAACTCAAGCCACCATCCCACTCCCTCCTCCTAGGAGTTGGAATTTTTTAGATTCCATATGTAAGTGTGATCATAAAAGATATTTGTCTCTCTGTGCCTGGCTTATTTCACTAGTGTAATGTCCTCTAGGTTCATCTATGTTGTTAAAAAGGACATAATTTCTCATTTTAAAGGCTGAATAGTATGCTATTGTGCATACATATTACATTTAAAAAATCACTCGTCCATTGATGGACACTTACGTTGTTTCCATATCTTGACTATTGTGAATAATGCTGCAATGAACATGGATGCAGAAATATTTTCAACACACAGATTTCAATCCCTTTGGGTAGAGACCCAGAAATGGGATTGCTGGATCATGTGGTAGTTTTAGTTTTAGTTTTTTGAGGAACCTACATACTGTTTTCCAAAATAGCTGTACTAATTTGTAATATCATCAACATCCTACAAGGATTCCCTTTTCTCTACATCACTTGTTATCTTTCCTCTTTTTGATATCAAAAGCTGGGAAAGTGAGGTGAACAGGGAGAAAGGAGAAGTTACTCAACTAGTACAAAGTTTCAGATCAAAAGGAGGAATAAATTCTAGTGTTTCACTACACAGCATGGTGACTATAGTAATAATGTATAATTCAAAATAGCTAAAAGAGAGGATTTAAATGTTCTCACCACAAAGAAATGATAAATATTTGAGGTGATGGGCATGCTAATTTACTTGATGTAATCATTCCACAATTGATACATTTATCAAAACATCACATTGTACTCTATAAATACATAGAATTATTATGCATCAATTAAAATAAAATAAAACTAATGAAAAAGAGAAACAAGCCACATGGAGAAACTATGTATAATGTCAGGACAAATGCAAATTAAAAGTAAGAGGCTTAATTCTCCCTATTGAAAATAAGGGAATAAATTTCCCTCCCCATCTTTTCATAGCATTTCCTTTGGAAAAACCTGTCATTTTAAATACTTTCTCCTTCTTTGAGGGGATAAGTCCTTTTTTCTAGATAAATTGTTTTAAAGACTAGGTAGGCCTTTTCTCAGCAGTATGATCCAGTAATACCTTCCTCTAGGGACTGGGAGCCATCTCTTTGAAATGGAACATCAAGGGAGACAGCACCCCTACCTCCCAATTTCTGTGAGAGAATAGTAATCTAACTTTGGTGGGTATCTTGATCCAAGTTGCAAAACACCTCCTATTACAGAGATATAAGAAGTTAGCTACCACAAATGGTCGCCCGATTACCAGGTAAAGTCAGGATGAACTAAATATGACATATGGTACTGTCAAGTCGTCTTACTTGATGGCTAGTTATTGTTTATCTTGAAAACAAGCATGCAATGGGTGATATTTGCTTGGCTATATAAAAGGGTGAGATGTTTTTTCCGTCTTTGCAGTGTCTTAGTGGACTGCCTGTGATGTGCATTGTATTCTGGTTTAATGTTTATTCAATAATAAAACTTTTATTTATCTACTACTTTTGTGGACAGATTTTCTGTGTTGGGAAAATAAATTTGTTTTAAATTATGCTTCCCCAAAAGTAGATGCCCTGTGTCAGCCCCAGTGGAGGTCCCAGATGACAGCCAGTATCAACTGTCAGCCATGGAGTGAGCAGTCCTGACATCCAGTCCCGTGAGCCCTCAGATGACTGCAGCCCCAGCCCACATCTGACTGCAGCCCCAGCCCACATCTGACTGCAGCTATGTGAGACCCTGCAAGCCAGAAATGCCCAGCTGAACCCAGTCAATCATAGAACCATGAAAGATAACAACCAATTATTGTTTTAGGCCACTATGTTTTGAGGTCACTTATTACACAGCAAGAGATAACCAAAACAAATGACTCGTTCTTGCAATTAAGAACTCTGGCTGATACATATAAACTTTCCTCTCCTTGGTGAAAAGTATCCTGAGAAATGAGAGTGCTTTCCACCTCTGAATTCCCCCATTGAAACTGGTGTTATTTTCTTTACAGAGTAGTTGCTAATAATTTTTTTTTTTTTTGCTTACATCTCTTTTTGGACAGATTGGGATTTAAACAAAATAAAAACAAGTTGGATGCAATGCTTGTCAGTTGAACAGAATATTTTTATCTAACAACTGCCTCTACAAAGCATTTGCTTCTGTTTGTTTACACACTCTGCAAATAATTTTCCTACAGTTTAAAGCCAATACACAGGAAATTGTGTTTAGAAAGTGCCAAGGCATTTTCAAAACCATTTTCAAGCTCTTCCCTTGGTTCATTGGGCATTTCAACGCTTATGCTCATTTCAGGGGACACGATTTTGGGCTTCTGTGCCCACCTTTCTTCCATTTTAACGGTATAATGAAAAGCTCCCTATTTCTTCACCATAGGGACCTTTTTCATAAGCATCCACTGAACACTGTAAAGACTGAAATGAAATGAGTAGGCACAAAAAAAAATGCTATCTGGAGGGATTCATTGTTCCCTTTCTCTGGAGCGTCAGCTTGTGCATGTAACAATCATTGGATTATGTTTCTGCAGATGCATATTGTCTCCTGCAGTTTGACTTTCCCATTCCCCTGACAGATTACTGACTCCGAAGGTTTGAAGATGAAAGCAATTCAGACATAATCTTCATGCTTTTTCAGGATTGGCAGATGCCTTTTAGTTGAGATTTAAATTGAACTTTGGAAATTTAAAGCTGCTTTCCTTAGCTGATCTGGATCTTTCCTAATGTGATTACTCCTCAACTGAGATGCTCTGGAAGCATGGGCTCAAAGCATCAATTTCCCATCCTTCCTCACGACCATTTTTAAAAGCTGCACGTGACAGGAATCAGCCGACCAGCCATTTACAGAGAAAAGATTGTTGTAAAGGAAATATATTGAATGAAAACCAGACTGCAAAGTCTATTCCAGGCAACTACCTCATGTCTGGCTTGCTGCAATCTCTGACTTACCTCCGTTATCCATGCAGCTTCGGAAAATGACCTCATGACAGGGAGTAAAAAGTACTTGAGCAATTTAGAAAAGTAAGATGAGCAAGTGAGGTCAGGGAGAATTCATTCACAGTGTCAGCAACCTTATCTGAAACAAGACAAAATGTTAGTATGTATCTCCCAGAGTTGACAGAAAGCCTAAAAATGATAAGCACTTAGGTAATAGCCATAGCATTGTGTCTGGCTCCTTGTAAAGCACTGAATCAATTTTGCCTTTCAGTATTGCCATGTCCAGGATAACAAATGGGAGCAATGCATTCTGCATTGTGCACTATGCTTTTTTTTTTTAATTATACTTTAAGTTCCAGGGTACATGTGCACAACGTGCAGGCTCGTTACATAAGTATACATGTGCCATGCTGGCCCCTGCACCCATCAACCCGTCATTTACATTAGGTATTTCTCCCAGTGCTATCCCTCCCCCTGCCCCCCACACCAGGACAGGCCCCAGTGTGTGATGTTCCCCTCCCTGTGACCAAGTGTTCTAATTGTTCAATTCCCACGTATGAGTGAGAACATGTGGTGTTTTGTTTTCTGTGCTTGCAATAGTTTGCTCAGAATTATGGTTTCCAGCTTCATCCATGTCCCTGCAAAGGACATGAACTCATCCTTTTTAATGGCTGCATAGTATTCCATGGTGTATATGTGCCACATTTTATTAATCCAGTCTATCATTGATGGAAATTTGGGTTGGTTCCAAGTCTTTGCTATTGTGAATAGTGCCGCAATAAACATACGTGTGCATGTGTCTTTATAGTAGCATGATTTACAATCCTTTTGGTGTATACCCAGTAATGGGAGCGCTGGGTCAAATGGTATTTCTAGCTCTATATCCTTGAGGAATTGCCACACTGTCTTCCACAATGGTTAAACTAATTTACACTCCCACCAACAGTGTAAAAGTGTTCCTACTTCTCCACATCCTCTCCAGCATCAGTTGTTTCCTGACTTTTTAACAATTGCCATTCTAACTGGTGTGAGATTGTATCTCATTGTGGTTTTGATTTGCATTTTTCTGATGACCAGTGATAATGAGCATTTTTTCATGTGTTTTTTGGCTGCATAAATGTCTTCTTTTGAGAAGTGTCTGTTCATATCCTTTGCCCACTTTTTGATGGGGTTTTTTGTTTTTTTTTTTTCTTGTAAATTTGTTTAAGTTCTTTGTAGATTCTTGATATCAGCCCTTTGACAGATGGGTAGATTGAAAAAATTTTCTCCCATTCTGTAGGTTGCCTTTTCACTCTGATGGTAGTTGTCTTTGCTGTGCAGAAGCTCTTTAGTTTAATTAGATCCCATTTGTCTATTTTGGCTTTTGTTGCCATTGTTTTTGGTGTTTTAGTCATGAAGTCCTTGCCCATGCTTATGTCCTGAATGGTTTTGCCTAGGTTTTCTTCTAGAGTTTTTATGGTTTTAGGTCTAACATTTAAGTCTTTAATCCATCTTGAATTAATTTTTGTATAAGGTGTAAGGAAGGGATCCAGTTTCAGCTTTCTATATATGAGTAGCTAGTTTTCCCAGCACCATTTATTAAATAGGGAATCCTTTCCCCATTTCTTGTTTTTGTCAGGTTTGTCAAAGATCAGATAGTTGTAGATGTGTGGTGTTATTTCTGAGGCCTCTGTTCTGTTCCATTGGTCTATATCTCTGTTTTGGTACCAGTACCATACTGTTTTGGTTACTGTAGACTTGTAGTATAGTTTGAAGTCAGGTAGCATGACGCCTCCAGCTTTGTTCTTTTTCCTTAGGATTCACTTGGCAATGCAGGCTCTTTTCTGGTTCCATATGAACTTTAAAGTAGTTTTTTCCAATTCTATGAAGAAAGTCATTGGTAGCTTGATGGGGATGGCGTTGAATCTATAAATCACCTTAGGCAGTATGGCCATTTTCATGATACTGATTCTTCCTATCCATGACCATGGAATGTTCTTCCATATGTTTGTGTCCTCTTTTATTTCATTGAGCAGTGGTTTGTAGTTCTCCTTGAAGAGGTCCTTCACCTCCCTTGTAAGTTGGATTCCTGGGTATTTTATTCTCTTTGTAGGAATTGTGAATGGGAATTCACTCATGATTTGGCTCTCCGTTTGTCTGTTATTGGTGTATAGGAATGCTTGTGATTTTTGCACATTGATTTTGTATCCTGAGACTTTGCTGAAGTTGCTTATCAGCTTAAGGAGATTTTGGGCTGAGATGATGAGGTTTTCTAAATGTACAATCATGTCATCAGCAAAAAGGGACAATTTGACTTCTTCTTTTCCTAATTGAATACCCTTTATTTATTTCTCTTGCCTGATTGCCGTGGCCAGAACTTCCAACACTATGTTGAATAGGAGTGGTAAGAGAGGGCATCCCTGTCTTGTGGCAGTTTTCAAAAGGAATGCTTCCAGTTTTTGCCCATTCAGTATGATATTGGCTGTGGGTTTGTCATAAATAGCTCTTATTATTTTGAGATATGTTCCATCAATACCTAGTTTATTGAGAGTTTTTAGCATGAAGGGCTGTTGAATTTTGTCAAAGGCCTTTTCTGCATCTTTTGAAATAATCATGTGGTTTTTGTCGACAGTTCTGTGATGGATTACGTTTATTGATTTGCACATGTTGAACCAGCCTTGCATTCCAGGGATAAAGCAGACTTGATCGTGGTGGATAACCTTTTTGGTGTGCCGCTGGATTCGGTTTGCCAGTATTTTATTGAGGATTTTCGCATCAATGTTCATCAGGGATATTGGTCTAAAATTCTCTTTCCTTGTTGTGTCTGTGCCAGGCTTTGGTATTAGGATGATACTGGCCTCATAAAATGAGTTAGGGAGGATTCCCTCTTTTTCTGTTGACTGGAATAGTTTCAGAAGGAATGGTACCAACTCCTCTTTGTACCTCTTGTAGAATTCAGCTGTGAATCCGTCTGGTCCTAAACTTTTTTTGGTTGGTAAGCTATTAATTATTGCCTCAATTTCAGAGCCTGTTATTAGTCTATTCAGAGATTCAATTTATTCCTGGTTTAGTCTTGGGAGGGTGTACATGTCCAGGAATTTATCTATTTCTTCTAGATTTTCTAGTTTATTTGTGTAGAGGTGTTTATAGTATTCTCTGATGGTAGTTTATATTTCTGTGAGATTGGTGGTGATATCCCCTTTATCATTTTTTATTGCATCTATTTGATTCTTCTGTCTATTCTTCTTTATTAGTCTTGCTAGTGTTCTATCAATTGTGTTGATCTTTTCAAAAAACCAGCTCCTGGATTCACTGATTTTTTTGAAGGGTTTTTTGTGTCTCTATCTCCTTCAGTTCTGCTCTGATCTTAGTTATTTCTTGCCTTCTGCTACCTTTTGAATTTGTTTGCTCTTGCTTCTCTAGTTCTTTTAATTGTGATGTTAGGGTGTCGATTTTAGATCTTTCCTGCTTTCTCTTGTGGGCATTTAGTGCTATAAATTTCCCTCTATACACTGTTTTAAATGTGTCCCAGAGATTCTGGTACGTTGTGTCTTTGTTCTTGTTGGTTTCAAAGAACATCTTTATTTCTCCCTTCATTTTGCTATTTACCCAGTAGTCGTTCAGGAGCAGCTTGTTCAGTTTCCACGTAGTAGTGCAGTTTTGAGTGAGTTTCTTAATCCTGAATTCTAATTTGATTGCACTGTGGTCTAAAAAACAGTTTGTTGTGATTTCCATTATTTTACATTTGCTGAGCAGTGCTTTACTTCCAACTATGTGGTCAATTTTGGAATAAGTGCGATGTGGTGATGAGAAGAATGTATATTCTGTTGATTGGGGGTGGAGAGTTCTGCAGACGTCTATTAGGTCTGCTTGGTGCAGAGCTGAGTTCAAGTCCTGGATATCCTTGTTAACCTTCTGTCTCATTGATCTGTCTAATACTGACAGTGGGGTGTTAAAATCTCCCATTATTATTGTGTGGGAGTCTAAGTCTCTTTGTAGATCTCTAAGGACTTGCTTTATGAATCTGGGTGCTCCTGTATTGGGTGCATATATATTTAGGATAGTTAGTTCTTCTTGTTGACTTGATCCCTTTACCATTATGTAATGGCCTTCTTTGTCTCTTTTGATCTTTGTTGGTTTAAAGTTTGTTTATCAGAGACCAGGATTGCAATCCCTGCTTTTTTTGTTTTCCATTTGCTTGGTAGATCTTCCTCCATCCCTTTATTTTGAGCCTATGTGTGTCTCTGCATGTGAGATGGATCTCCTGAATACAGTACACTGATGGGTCTTGACTCTTTATCAAATTTGCCAGTCTGTGTCTTTTAATTGGGGCATTTAGCCCATTTACATTTAAGGTTAATATTGTTATGTGTGAATTTGATCCTGTCATTATGATGTTAGCTGGTTATTTTGCCCATTAGTTGATGCAGTTTCTTCCTAGCATCAATGGTGTTTACAATTTGGCATGTTTTTGCAGTGGCTGGTATCGGTTGTTCCTTTCCATGCTTAGTGCTTCCTTCAGGAGCTCTTGTAAGGCAGGCCTGGTGGTGACAAAATCCCTCAGCATTTATTTGTCTGTAAAGGATTTTATTTCTCCTTCACTATGAAGCTTAGTTTGGCTGGAATTGAAATTATAGGTTGAAAATTCTTTTCTTTAAGAATGTTGAATATTGGTCCCCACTCTCTTCTGGCTTGTAGAGTTTCTGCCAAGAGATCCGCTGTTAGTCTGATGGGCTTCCCTTTGTGGGTAACCCAACCTTTCTCTCTGGCTGCTCTTAACATTTTTTCCTTCATTTCAACCTTGGTGAATCTGAGAATTATGTGTCTTGGGGTTGCTCTTCTCCAGGAGTATCTTTGTGGTGTTCTCTGTATTTCCTAAATTTGAATGTTTGCCTGGCTTGCTAGGTTGGGGAAGTTCTCCTGGATAATCTCCTGGATAATATCCAAGTTTTCCAACTTCGTTCCATTCTCCTCGTCACTTTCGAATACACCAATCAAACGTAGATTTGGTCTTTTCACATAGTCCCATATTTCTTGGAGGCTTTGTTCATTCTTTTTACTCTTTTTTCTCTAAACTTATCTTCTTGCTTCATTTCATTAATTTGATCTTCATTCACAAATACGCTCTCTTCCACTTGATCAAATTGGCTATTGAAGCTTGTGCATGCATCAAGTAGTTCTCATGCCATGGTTTTCAGCTCCATCAGGCAATTTAAGAGAATAAACTTCTCTACACTGTTTATTCTAGTTAGCCATTTGTGTAATCTTTTTTCAAGGTTTTTAGCTTCCTCGCAGTGGGTTCAAACATCCTCCTTTAGCTCGGAGAAGTTTGTTATTACCAACCTTCTGAAGCCTACTTCTGTCAGCTTGTCAAAGTCATTGTCTGTCCAGCTTTGTTCCATTGCTGGCGAGGAGTGTGATCCTTTGGAAGAAAAGAGGCACTCTGGTTTTTAGAATTTTTAGGTTTTCTGCTCTGGTTTCTCCCCATCTTTGTGTTTTTATCTACCTTTGCTCTTTGATGTTGTTGACCTCCAGATGGGGTTTTGGTGTGGATGTCCTTTTTGTTGATGTTGATGCTATTCCTTTCTGTTTGTTAGTTTCCCTTTTAACAGTCAAGTCTCTCAGCTGCAGGTCTGTTGGGGTTCGCTGGAGGTCCAATCCAGACTTGTTTGCCTGGGTACCACCAGCAGATGCTGCAGGACAGCAAATATTGCAGGACAGCAAATATTGCAGAACAGCAAATATTGCTGCTGCCTGATCCTTCCTCTGGAAGCTTTGTCCCAGAGGGACACCTGCCTGTATGACGTGTCAATCAGCCCCTACTGGGAGGTGTCTCCCAGTTAGGCTACACAGGGGTCAGGAACCCACTTAAGTAGGCAGTCTGTCCATTCTCAAAGCTCAAACACCATACTGAGAGAACCACTGCTCTCTTCAGGGCTGTCAGATAGGGAAGTTTAAGTCTACAGAAGTTTCTGCTGCCTTTTGTTCAGCTATGCCCTGCCCCCAGAGGTGGAATGTACAGAGGCAACAGGCCTTGCTGAGCTGCGGTGGGCTCGGCCCAGTTCGAGGTTCCCTGGCCACTTTGTTTACCTACTTATGCCTCAGCAATGGCAGACAGCCCTCCCCCAGCCAGGCTGCCACCTCACAGTTCGATCTCAGACTGCTGCGCTAGCAATGACCAAGGCTCCATGGGCGTGGGACCTGCCAAGCCATGCACGGGATATAATCTCCTGGTGTGCTGTTTGCTAAGACCATTGGAAAAGCACAGTATTTGGGCAGGAGTGTCCCGATTTTCCAGGTGCAGTCTGTCACAGCTTCCCTTGTCTAGGAAAGGGAAATTCCCCGACCTTTTGCACTTTCCAGGTGAGGCAATGCCCCACCCTGTTTCAGCTCGCCCTCTGTGGGCCGCACCCACTGTCCAACCAGTCCTATTGAGATGAACCAGGTACCTCAGTTGGAAATGCAGAAATCACCCATCTTCTGTGTCAATCATGCTTGGAGCTACAGACCGGAGCTGTTCCTATTTGGCCATCTTGGAATGGAAGCTGGGCACTATGCTTTAAGGGGGACATTGCAAAGTGTAGTACTACAAGAGAGGGAGGAAAAGGGGAGGAGAGGGAGGAGGAAAAAGAGGTGCAGAGGAAGGATAAGGAGAAGACAGAAAAGGGAAAGGAAAAGAAGGGAGAGGAAGATAACCAGAAGGATGAAGGACCTTTCCATAAAGCCAAATAAGAATGTCTGCAGGAAACTAGATATCATTCCTGGAGCATATAAAACACAGAGATGATGAGACTTGAAATGCCTTATGGTTAAGGGAACAGACTTTGTTCATTTAGCAGTTACAAATGTAACGCTTACTTTGTGCCCAGTGTGCTATGAAGCAGTGAGGATACAAACATGGTCCCTGCCTTCACACAAGTGAGAGTACAGCAGAGGAGACAGGTAATTTAAAAGGTCACTACTATACCATGTGTTATGGTACTGGGACAGTAGAAGTACAGGTGGCTGTCCTGGAGCAGAGCATTTAAGTAATGTTTTGAGGGAAGGGGAAGGTGTGGGTTTTCCAAAAACGCTTCCACCTGGCACTCACTAGGACTAAAATACCTGGGAAATTACTTAACCATTTTAAGTATCAGACGTGCACCTGTCAAATGGGAATAATAACAGTTCCTGCTGCCTCACAGGGGTGTTGTGAAGAATCAATACAACACCTGTATAAAGTGTTTTGACCAGTGCCTGCCACAGGACAGAGACTCACATTGTAAATCTATTATTTTCATTTGGGAGGGAGAAGAAACAGAGTACTCCAGGTTCCTCTAGAGCCCTCCTTTCCTAAATGGTCACCTGTTCCCCGGAACATAGATGATAGGAACATTCATTTCTTCTTCCATTTGTTCAGCAAGAATTGGTCCAGCTCCTACAGCCCTGGAAAGTTGACAGTGTAGCAGAGGAAACAAAGAAGTGAACATTGTCATTCTGAGATATGTGTGATTATTATGAGAATATATGATTACATCTTATTATTATAAGGCAGAGAGTCAGATTTCTGCTCAATAATGTAAGTAGACTGGCCCCAAAATAAAATATAATTCACACTATATTTATTACATAGGCTGTGCTTTAGGATTTCTTGGGAGAGCTTTTTAAAATGCAAATACTCAATCCTCAGCCCAGACCAATAGAATTCAAATATTGGACCATTGTATGATTTAAAAGCTACCCCCACTTTCCGAAAAGGAAAGGCTATCCAGGTGAGCCCAACATGCATGCAGGGTTATGAACGATTTGTTTAGAATCACTGCCTGCCTTTCAAATGTCAGCATCCTTCAGAGCCGCCCACATTTTCCTCTTTCCTCCTATAACCTACTGCGTGTTCTCAGCCTCCTGCAGCTTCAGAAATCTTTCCTTCAGCTCCGGACATGCGTGCCTCACTGCATGATGGTCCATTCAGGGAGAAACAGGCAATTCCACCCTCTGCCTTTATCATCTTCTAACCTCAGTCCTCACCCCAGTGAACGGGGCCGCCATCCACCACATACACCTTTTCCATGCCTAGTCCATTAGCTGGACAAGTCCATGTCCCCCAGCAGCCTCTCCCTCCAGTCAATCTTCTCCATCCCCACTGCCCCTACCTTTGTTCCCTGAAGCCCTCATCATGACACCACATTTCCCCCAACTGCCTTCTGACCGGTCCCCTATCAGCCACACTGCCCAAATGTGCATCTGAACATGACTGACTCACTGGTAAAAATGCTTTCTCGGCTTCTCATGGTTTTCAAAGTAAAATCCAGCTCCTGGGACAACCTGCACAACATGCCATGGCCTGGGCAAGGCCCAGCCTGCAGCCTCATCTTTGCCATTCTCTCACCCGTGCCATGAATCCTGGCCCAGCTCAGCTTCCTCCCACATGCTCCTCTCTCTATCTGGAATGTCTTTTCCATAGTTGTCACTGGACAACTACTTTGTACCCTTTAAAACTTCTCCAGAACTCTCTTCCTGACAGGCAGGCCTCCTTCACAAGCCAGAGTTGAGGGGGAAGTCTCACTCCACTGTGTCCAGGAGCCCCTGTGCTCACCGCTGCCAGATTCATTCCACTTGGTTGAACTATGCCTAGCCCATTGTCTTAATACATCTGGGCTGCCTCACAAAATACCACAACTTAGGTGGCTTATAAACAACCAAAATTTCTCTCTCACAGTTCTGGATGCTGGGAGGTTCAAGATGAAGATACTGGAAGATTCAGAGTCTGGTAAGGGCCCACTTCCTGGTTCACGGATGGTCCTCTTCTCACTGTGTCTTCACCTGACAGAAGGGATGAGGAATCTCTCTGGGGTCTCCTTTAAAAGGACACACATTCTATTCGTGAGGGCTCCACCTTCATGTCTTAATCACTTCCCAAAGGTCTCACTTCCCAATACCATAACCTTGGGGGTTAGGGTTTCAACAAATAAATTTAGGAGAAGAGGGCAGAAGTATTCAATCTATAACACCCATAGTAGGTGTTCAGTAAAATTTTAAAGACGGCTGATTGATGTGAACTACAAAGATCTTTAAGAAACAGCTGAATGTGTTTCTGTTCCTGAACAAATGCAGGCAGACTTGGAGAGCATTCGGGACTCTAGGCCGCCCCATTTGATCATTCTGGAGTATCCACGCAGCATTGTGTGTCCAGGCATAAGATAGGGAAACCAACTAGAACAAAAAAAGAACTGGCCCCAGTCACCAATGCCAATGTAGCACAGTTACCTCTAGCATGAGTCAAGTGTGAATTCATACCCAAACAGTAATTCGGAGGTCTGTTACTAGAGTCAGACAGACCTGAGTTCAAATCTCAAGTCCATATTTAATAGCTAAAGGGCCTGGCGCAGGTTATTTAACATTTCTAAGCCTCAGTTTTTTGAGATATAAAATAGGGGTTAATAAATTAGACGCCTTTATTATAAGACTTTTGTGGGGATTTAATGAGATTACTTACCTAGTATCTAGCACATCACAGCCTTACAAACAATATTACAGGAGTGAGACAGCATCAGGCCACCAAGGCAGGAGATTTAGATTTATGAACTTTCTGAAGAAAACAATGCCAGGGTGCCATTTCTAATAAGAATGAAAACTGGGAACCAGGAATCAAGGACCAAGCACAAGGCCATTTCAGCTGATGGGCCACTGTAGAGTCTCTCCTCCTACTGATTCTAACCCCTTTGTTAAAATGACCCCAGCGCAATCAAGAAAGGACAGAAAATGCCTTAAGGACACTATACTGTCACAATTCCTGGTGTATTTGTTTGCAAGGGCTGCCACAACAAAGTACCATAGATAGGATGACTTAACAAACATATATTATCTCACAGTTCTGGAGGCCGGAAGTCCAAGATCAAGGTGTCAACAGGGTTGGTGTCTTTTACAACCTCTCTCCTGGGCTAAAAGACCACCACCTTCTTACTGTGTCTTCACATCTTCCTCCCTCTGCATATACCTGTGTCGTAACATCCTCTTTTGATAAGAACACCAGTCCTATTGGATTAGGGCTACCCCAATGACCTCATTTTAATTTAATGCCTTCTTCCCTTCCCCAAATACAGTTGCATTTTGAGGTACTGAGGGTTAGAGCTTTAACACGTGAATTTTGTGAGAACACAAATCAGCACATAACAGCTGCTTACCAAAATCGCTCCCAAAAGCCACGGATCCTGAATTTCACTCTATTCACACTGATAATTACACCAGGAGGCTGGTGGTAGAGGGGTACCATACCCAAGAACTTCTAGCTTTCTTAGGCTCAGAATAATCCCTTTTACATACACCCTAAGTCTTTTCCCTCATGGATTTATCCTTTGTCCACTGCCAACATCTATCCCAAATTCCTGCCTGCCTTTCTTCCCAGGTAGAAGTTGTTAGACTACTGTTGCTCCTTTCTAAATTATTACTTCCTTTATTATTAAGGAGTTTTCTCACTGTAAAGTCATTAATATGGGGAGCAGGTCTTACAACCAGAGCAAGCAGAATAGCAGGTCTCCAAACACTGCCCCTGCCAATGTCTCAGTCCTATCTCCCATTTTCTACTTTACCCTGTCTTCTCTGATCGCCCTGGGCCTTGGCTGCTACTCAAATGCACAAGTAAGTTCCCGTTACAAAGTCTTCAAACTTGTGTTTCCCTGTGTATCTAACACTCTTGCCCCAAATCGCCACTGAATTCAGTCTTCACTTCATTTGCTTCTCAGCTTAAATGTCACCTTCCCTGAGAGGAGCCTGACTACTCTGTTTAACTAGAAAACCACCCATCTCTCCGACAATACTTCCTGAATTTCTATTCTTGATCAGGCTGAGGCCAAGGAGCAGAAAATCCACAGAAGCATGAGGCATGACACCAGCCCTGCCCAGAGGATCTTACAGGCAGGTGCAAACATCCTGTTAGAATAGTATAATTATATATATATAATACTATAATGAATAAGTCCAGCCGGGTGCCTGATGGCTCACTCCTGTACTCCCAGCACTTTGAGAGGCTGAGGTGGGTGGATCACTTGAGGTCTGGAGTTTGAGACCAGCCTGGCCAACATGGTGAAACCGCATCTCTACTAAAAATACAAAAATTAGCTGGGCATGGCGGTGCACACCTGTAATCCCAGCTACTTGGGAGGCTGAGGTGGGAGAATCGCTTGAACCCAAGAGGCAGAGGTTGCAGTGAGCTGAGATCACACCATTGCACTCCAGCCTGGGCAACAAGAATTAAACTCCATCTCAAAAAAACAAATAAATAAATAAAAATCATAACTAAGTCCTAGTAACAGCCAACATTTGTTGAACACTTCATGTTGAGCTAGTTGCAAAATCATAAATGCCAACACACATCTTAGAGCAGAAAAGGAAAGAGAAGCAAAAAGGTGGAAAATAATAACCAATTCTCACACTTCCCAAAGATATCTGGCAAACATCCACATCCCCCCAGCTGGCAACATATAGGAAGGAGGAATACTGAGCACTAAGAATTAGTGATGCCTTGACAGACTCCCTTGCAGGACATTTCCTGTCTGGAAATGGGTCCAGGAACAGCCATATGTTGGGAGCAGTCATTTAACATAGTTTAATAATTAGATTTCTAGCATCCCAGGACCCCGTGTTAGCTTCCTATCATATGGGTCTCTGACACATCCTGGTAAATTGAGTGTGATGGTTAATTTTATGTGTCAACTTGACTGGGCCACAGGGTGCCCAGACATCCGGACAAATACTATTCTGGGTATGCCTGTGAAGATGTTTTTGGATGAGTTTAACATTTGAATCAGTAGATAAGTAAAGCAGATGGCCCTTTCCAGTTTGTGTGGGCCTCACCAATCAATTGAAGACCTGAATAGAGCAAAAAGGTTGAGTAAGAAAGAACATGTCCTGTCTGACTGCTTGAGCTGGGATATTGGTCTTCTCCTGCCCTTGGACATCATCAACTCTCCTGGGTCTCTAGCTTGCTGACTCTTTGCAGATTGTGGAGCTTCTCAGCCATGTGTGAGCCCATCAGTATGAATGAATGAATGAATGAATGAATGAATGAATCCTGTTTGTTCTCTTCTCTGGAGAAAGCTAATACAGCAAGCATGGAATCTGATCTGGTGGCTTCTGTGACCTATCCCCTGCAGGAGTAAGGGTGGCTGATGAGGGTGACTCCGTGAAGCCACATAGGGAGCTATGAGGCCTGCCAATGACAATAGCAGCTTCTGCTGTGGGCACAGTAAATCCCAGCCAGCCACTTCATGAGAGGACTACAGCCCACTTGGTGCAGGTACTCTTCCACAGTACTTCATACCCATAATAGCTTGGAGAAGGTGCCCCTAACCACATTTCACTGAGGAAGAAATCAGTCAGGTACTTGTCCAGGGTCTCGCAGACATATTCCTGGGACAAAGTAACACTGAATATCTTAAGTCAAAGTGCTTAATGATTTCCCATCGTCCAGCAAGGAGCTTGACCTGGTGGCCTGTTGGGCAGATTAACTGACATGCACTGACATGTGCAATCAGTGACTCAAAAGGAAATGAGGTGATAATGCTTAAAAATTGAGAAATTTCACATGAAATTTGTATTTCCAGCTTATCATGGAAAATAGGAAAATCTGGCAAATGCTCTCACAGTCTCCATTTAAGAGTCGGCTACAAACGAGTAACGGTTGATCTTCTGGGCACAGTTTTGGACCTTCAGTTTGCAATGGGCTCTAATTTCACTCTCATCTGTTACTGTCTGGCCCTGCAGGCTTTTTGTTTGTGTGTTTGTTTGTTTGTTTGCTTTGAGACAGACTGTCACTGTTGCCCAGGCCGGAGTACGCTGGCGCGATCTCAGCTCACTGCAACCTCCGCCTTCCAGGTTCAAGTGATTCTCCTGCCTCAGCCTCCCAAGTACAGGTGGGAGTACAGGTGTGCATCACTATGCACAGCTAATTTTTGTGTCTTTAGTAGAGACAGGGTTTCACCATGTTGCCAGGCTGGTCTCAAACTCCTGGCCTCAAGTGATCTGCTCATCTTGGCCTCCCAAAGTGCTGGGATTACAGGCGTGAGCCACCGTGCCTGGCCACCCTACAGGCTTTTGAATTGACTACTCTTTTTCTTGCCTTCTGCCTCTTCATTTTAGCAATGCTAATGTATTTCCCCCAAGATCTCTGAGAGCTTTTATGCTTTTTCTTGCTGTTCTTGTTGCCTGATGGAGGAAGAATAAATTAACTCTTGCTGAAGAGGACTCAAATCACATTTTCAAGTATGGAAGGATTTGTCTGGACAAAGCCGTAGGACAAATGACACATCATCCTCTGGATAGTTTTAGCCTATTAATTCAAAAGAAAACAAAGGGGGTGGTGGTGCTTACTGTTATTGTTAAAACAGGAACATTTCTGCTCTTTATCTGTTGTTTCCCTCCAGGTGGAAGGAGCACCATCACAGTAACACACCTGGGTTCTCCCAACTTTCACTTAACTCTCTTGGGGAAGAGTGCATTTGGGTGAGTTAAGAAGAAAGACTAGTAAATTCACAGCCTAGCCCCTTTGTCTCCCCTTTTCTGCTATGGGCTAATTTGCCTACAGAAAGCATATGTTTTGTTTTGTCTCTGTCACATGGTAAAAGGGACTTACCTCAGTAAAAAAACAACAACAACAAAAAAAAAACTGCAGGTTCCCAGCCCCAACTGTGTCTAGGAGGGCAAGGCTGTGTGGCAGATTATTTGCTAAAATGGCCACAATTACTCCTTGCCCTGTATGCAGCCCTGTTAAATGGTCCATACACCTTCTTGGGGCAGAGAACTGGGGGCAGAGTTGCAGGGAGCGAGGGAGAGATCGTGAGGTTTCTGGATATTACCTTTCAACTCCAACCTTATTTCTGCTTGGAGTGATTAGACTCTTCATTCTGAAGAGGACAATCTGTGGTCTTTACCCATCCAACATTTAAGCTCTCCACAGACAAAGAAGAATCCACCTTCCACTCTGGAATCTGAAATGCCAAAAATTTGCTTTTCCTTCCTTCCCTGGAGCAAGATGGCCCTCCCCACTCCAGAATCTGAAACAAAAGTCTTCCCTGCCCAGAAATGTTCTGCCAGCAGGTCCAAAGAATTTCTAAACGCCTATTCATCATCAAACCATTACACTCCACATTGCTTCTGAACAAGAATCGTATTTTACAGTGAAAAAAACAAAGACATTTAAGTCCATGGGATTCACTAATCTTGTCACATACCCTATTTCCTGGGCTCTCCTGACCTTCTTGGACTACCTTAAAAGACTGAGTTACAGTTATGCATATAAAATGTAGTATATGAATGTGAGCCAGATAGTAATACATCGGCTGTTTCTTCTATAGTCAGAGTATATTGCATTCCATTACCACAACTCTGGACATCAATGGTTTAGGAAATTTAGTGTCCAAGGGAAGAATGTTCCCTCTAGGACACGTAACACTATTTTCTTTAATGGGAAGCTGAGCTGCCACCTCCCTATGCAGGTTCCTTCACTGGAGGAGCAGGGGGAAATAAGAGTTAAGGTGTTGGTGGGGGTGATTAATTCTGTCAAGCTAAGCAAGGCGGCACTAATTACCCCACAATGGGAAATGGGAAGTCAAAAGCAATAGGAAATGTGTAGCAGAGAAGTCGTAAATGCATAAACACCAAGCACAACCTTATAAAGAGTTACAGTAAATAGTTCTCAGCATCTACTGACACTTTTTCCTCATTGTCTTGCATATACACAAATATATTGACTAATTTTCTTCTTTCTTCTCTGTCCTGCTATGTTTTATAAGGTGGATGAGTGATCGTTAACTTCAGCATTTGCTTCCACGGAAGGCAGAATATTGAGATGGGATTATGACTGGACTGGAATGAGAATAAAGAACCTTCAGACACCCTAGACTTGAAGTTGAATTCAGCAACTTAAATAGCATTGTGTTGGCTTTTTCATGGGAGGAGATGAGAATATTGTCAAGTTTATGAGGCATGTTTGCATTATATTAGGTGATATGTTTGTTGACCAGTTTATTTTGTGGTTTTCTTTTGTTGACAGTGAAAATGTGGAGAAAACAAAGTGGATATGGTGATGTTGAGCAGTCAAATGGGTGTGCATTTGTCATGATTTTCTGCTGTCCAGTGTGTAAAGCCTCCTTTGTATAGAAAATCTACCCTGGTAAAGCAGACCTCCTTTCCTGTTAGAATCTTAAAATACCATCTGTGTGCTTTCCCACCATTCTTACAGCTAGGTACTTGACCTCAACATTACCTACCAGGTTTAACCAAGCCAAACTTTGAATTAGAAGGTAGTGGCGCAAAAGAAAAAAAGGGCAGAGCCTCTCTGAATCTCTGTTTGTGGTGGGAGGCAGCAGCAATAGCAGCAGGCACCCTCAGTAGCCAGAGGCAATAGGAGCAATGTCCAGTGTCAGTGAACAGGGCTCGCGACAATCGTGTATCTATGTTACAAGCAGCAGCCCGGTGATGCTGCACAGGCCAGTCTCGTGTAACTTGTCTATAGCCACTGAGCTGAAACCTCAGGCTTTCCTGACTACTCCATGAGTTACCCAGTTATCATGTCCTGAATTCCTTTTTGGCTTAAATCAGTCAGACTTGCTTTCTATTGATTGAAATTTAGAACTCTGACTAACACATACCATGTATTTAATGAAGATTAATTGAACTTATATCATGTGCCCGGCACTAGGGGCTATCAGATGCTACGGAAACGATATTGAACAAATGAAGATGAGGTTGCTGCCTACATGGAACTTATAGGCTAGAGATGGAGATATTAATAGAATAATAATGAAAATACGTTTGATATTAATTCTGTTGTCTTTTCCACATTTACAGTTCCTTGAAGTTCATGACATTACTTTCTCCTGGCATTAAAGCAAGAGTATTTAAATCAGAAGGAAAGAGGCAAAATGTTATTCATGACTTAGGGGAGAGGTGAATTAGACATAATTAGTATTTTTTAAAATACTTTTCTGCATTTTACAGTTTCTCTATAATTGGCATGCATGTCTTCTTAAAACATTTCCATTAGACAGATTGGACTTTACTCTCCAGCTGGAATCATTGAAACCTGCAAAGATTTTTAGTTAATCCTATCAAAAACTGCTTTTCACTAGCCTGTGTCATTATAATAGCAGTTGGAAACTGTAGTTGGTCTATGTGAGATTATACTAAATTTGTTAACGTAATATGTCTTAATATGATTTAGAAGAAATGCTTTATTTTCTTGTTAGCACTGTTATAAAACAAGTAAAGCAGGCCAGACTATATTAAGAACAATTTTATTGAATATTGGAATAAATGACCATGGAGAGAAACTACTCTTAAAAGATTTGCAATTAAATTAGACAATTTTAGAACTGACTTATTAAATGTCTAAGCTCTGTCACCTGCTTAGTTATGTAAAATTGTGTTACTTTACCTCCATGGTGGGAGAACAGTCATATCAACAGAAATCAATGACATTTTTCTCTCTTCTCTTTCCCCACAGCTCATTCTTCATGCTGTGCTTGTTTATCTGAGTTGTCTAATGATCCCTTATGTTCAGAATTCTGCATCCTACCAAGCCTGGCTGTAGTGGTGCCATTTAAAAGTGTGCAAACTTCACTGTGGTTTTGGACAATTAGTTCAAAACTAAGTTTGAGAGCAAAGTGGGAAATTCCACTGGCCATATGTTATGAGTGCATAGGGTTTCCTTGGATCAACTACTCCCTTTGTTGGGAAACTACATTCCTTTCCACTTTGCTGCTAAACTTCTATTTCTATAGCCTTCTTTCCTTCCTACCTTGTTTCTGTTTCATTTATTTATTATGAGTTACTCAGTTAAAAAAGCTCACTCTGTGGTTACCAGTAATCTATCTTTCTTTCTTTCTTCCTTTCTTTTCTTTTTTTTTTTTTTTTTTTTTTTTGAGATGGAGACTCACTCTATTGCCCAGGCTGGAGTGCAGTGGCGCAGTCTCCACTCACTGAAACCTCCGCCTCCCAGGTTCAAGCGATTCTCATGCCTCAGCCTCCTGAGTAGCTGAAATTACAAGCACACACCACCAAGCCCAGCTAATTTTTGTATTATTAGTAGAGACACGGTTTCGCCATATTGGCTAGGCTGTTCTCAAACTCCTGGACCTCAAGTGATCTGCCTGCCTCGGCCTCCCAAAGTGCAGGAATTACAGGCATGAGTCACCACACCTGGCCTCTCAATACCAATTGGAAGTATTTAGCCATAGAACTCTGGGTGATGAATGATTGCTTGCTGCATCATTCAGTGACAACAACTCGCCTAGCTTTGAAAATTATCTATTATTATGCTCTATTACCTGTAATCTAAACAGAGCTGTGATTTAGAGAGAGCCATTTTTTACTGACTTTAGGCTCATTGCCTGCACACACAATAACTTTTTGTTTAAATGCTGCATTATAGTGTGGTATTTTTGAACCAATTTAAGGAACAATTAGATTTGATTGAATTCAAATTTACATTAAAATTCAATCACGTGTGATGACATTAGTGAAAATAACTGTTGGGACAATTGCCTGGATCTAGGTATGGTTGAGTCAGACAGTAACAGCTACAGTGCTAGGGAGCAGAAATTTATACCTTTCCTTCCATAGCTGGCAAGTTTCAGCTGACATCAAATGTCAGTTGTATTCTTATTCCAGAAACATTTAAATGAGAAAAAAAAATCATCTTAGAATTGGGCAAATCTGGTGTTTTGATTTTGCAACTTAACTCCTTGAGCTCTGAGCATCTCTTGTGCTCACATTAGATACCTCCACAGTAGGATACTGGCTCTCGGATGCTTCCATCACTTCCCTGTTACCTCAGTGCATGTTTCTGGATCTAGCAAGGCAGTTCGATTCATGCACTTGTCAAAAACATTGAGAATTTATTTTGCTGTGTTAGGCCTAATTCTTGCTCTTTTAAAACAAACACTTTGTTGAAAATCTAGGATACAAAGAGACTTATAGACCACTCAAAGTGGTCTATAACATAACAATGCCCCTGATTCTCTAATAAAAACAATAAGATACAACAACCAGAATTATCCACACTAGTTTCAGCAATCTGCTTGTGAGATGTATTTTTCCATATTTCCAAGCAGGTCTACCACCTCTCTCCCTTATTTCATTAGATATAAATAGGATTTGGTTGAACTGGGTTTCTGCTTTAAAGGTATAAAATGTTCTGGATTTACTTCTAACTACTTCCTGCTCCCACCCCCCAACTACCCCTGCCAGTTCAAGATTCAAGGTAAATATAATTAGTAGCAATAATAGCTAATCATAACTCTATTGCCTTATTTGAGGCAAATTTAATAACTATCCTCCACCCACTCATCATTTACTAGCTACATTAAAGACCAAGATGGAACAATGTATGGACAAAGATTTCTCATAGGAATGCACAAGTATTGAATGTACAAGTATTGCAATATTTTAAAGTTTATTTTCTGAGAAAGATGAAGGTTGATACAATTAGAACTTGCTTGAAACAACAGTTATAGTTTGAAACCAATAGTCAACAGTCCCAATTTCTTATTTCTATCTTTTTCCCAAATGAGAGAAAAACAAACAATTACATGGTGATTGTAATTCAGCTTCAAGCCTTTAAAAGGAGACTCAATACAAAACCTACTGGCATTTTTTTAAGGAATTAGAAACAGATGGAAAGCATGATTCTTCCTCTGGAGGGTTTGACATTCTTTCTGCAAAACAGATTGGAAAAAAGACAATAATTGCCTCTAAATCCACCCGTTGTAGGTATGCATCTCCTATTGGGCCTTCTAATTTGCTCTTCAGATGACTTTGCATACTGTCTGTGGTGAAGATCTTGGGTTTGCGGGGGGCAGACAGGCCTGATTTCAAATTCCTGGGTCATGACTGACTTGGGTGACTTTGGGGAAACTATTTAATCTCTCCATGCTTCAGTTTCCTCATACTAAAACAACAGGTATACTTAAGCGTATCCATTCAGTTTTGTGAGGATTATGTCAGAAAATGTACTTAAGGTACTTAGCATGGTATTTGGCACGTACTAAAAGCTTGATAAATTATACCACCCATGATTACTTGTATACGCTATTGATTATTAGCAACAGTTATAGTGAAAACTAGTAATAGTGATTAGGGGATACATAACTAACCACTCCCAAACTTAGTGGCTTAAAGTAACAGCTATTTCTTCAGCTCGTGCTCCTGTGTGTTGACAATTTGGGCTGGTCTCAGCTGGGTGGTGCTTATGTGGCTTTTGGCTAGGCTGACTTTTGAATTCTTGTTTAGCTGGGTGACCAGCAGGGGCTGACTGATATATGGTGGCCTCATCTGGGATGATTAGGAGGATTGGCGCCTCTCTCTTCAAATAGAAAGTTTGGGCTTCTTCACCCTTTTTAAGTCTCTGCTCACATAATGTTTGTCACTGCCTCTTTGGTCAAAGCAAGTTACAAGGACAATGCAGACTCAGAGATGAGGAAAAAATTATCTCTTCGGGGGAGGTATCCCCAAATCAACTGCAAGAGTGTAGATATAGCCAGAGGTAAAAAAAATCTAAGCGATTTTTCTAATCTACCACAAAGATCTCCTTTCAATACTTCAACTGACCTCTCTGTGATGCTTGCCCTTTATGTTTTTCCCCTTCCTCCCTCCCTCTCTTCCTCCAATTCCCACACTTCCTCAAATATTTATTAAATAAAATATTTCATGTGCAGGAGATACAGCAATAAATAAGATTTGATACCAATTGTCATAAAAGTCTTGTAAAAAACTCACTGCCTAGCATGAGACCATATTTAGAAGATTTTTTTCTCTCCTTTCAGCAGCTCCCCTACACTCTGTGTTAAATGCTAAAGCTAGCTAACATTTTAGTAAATAACAATGAGAGTTAATGCTTTCCTCTAATTGTTTAAAATGATAGTGTTTCTAAGGAAGGGTTTCCAGCTGTTTTGTCTGATTTAATCAAGAACTCTTAACCTGATTATCTCAAGATTTTGCTCCACCCATTTGCAATTCTCTTTATAAAGCAGAGATGACTGAGACATTTGGCTCATGACATGATCGGGAGTGTCTGCCTTGCACAGTGTCCTAGTTGGCACCGAAAAGTTTGGGCAATGACCTTCTGGATTAGAGGCTGTTAAAGGGTAAGCTGGCTGGGTGTGGTGGCTCATGCCTGTAATCCTAGTACTTTGGGAGGCCGAGGCGGGCAGATCACCTGAGGTCAGGAGTTCGAAACCAGACTGACCAACATGCTGAAACCCGGTCTCTACTAAAAATACAAGATTAGCTGGGTGTGGTGGCACATGCCTGTAATCCCAGCTAATTGGGAGGCTGAGGCAGGATAATTGCTTAGACCCGGGAGAGGTTGCAGTGAGCCCAGATCATGCCATTGTACTCCAGCCTGGGCAACAAGAGCGAAACTCCATCTCAAAAAAAAAAAAAGAAGAAGAAGAAAATGTAAACTGAGGCATAATAAAATTTTAAAGAGTTTATTTGCACAAATAGCGATGCATGAATCTTCGGAGGGAACACCAGGGGAAGGTTTCTATAGGATGGACATAGAAGTAAAGCAAATAAAATATTTGATTGATTATAATTATACAGTCCCCATACTTGGTTTATTCTGTTAGAAAGTCCCTAGTTATATAAATTTGTTGATAACTTCTGATTGGTTGAGCTTAAGTTCTGTTTTTTCTTGAATTTCAGCATTTACAAGAAATAGCTCAAGTTAAGTTTTACTTACATTTGCAAATCAAGCAAGGCTTAGTTCACTCACAAGGCCTAACTGGTTTTATCTGCTCAGGGGTTCTTTAGACCTGGTCTGCATCTTAATTTACTTTAGCAAGACTTATCTTTTTTGTATGTTTTCATAAGTGTTTCCAATTCCTTTGTGGGGAAAGCAGAATCCAAACTCAGGTTTTCTGTGTCTAAAGTCTGTGTTTTTTATGCCTCATAAGAACTGGAAAGCCTTAAGTTATGATTAATCAATGGTAAAATGAAATGGAATGAAATGAAAAAAAGGGCATATTATTGATATGTATTGTGAGAAAAAAACTAAGCAATGAGAGCATCAGATTGCATCATTATGACTTTTTTGGAATAAGCTTTTAGGAGGAGTGAATCTATAGCCTTATTAATTATTTCCTATAAACTGTAAATTTGCTGGCAATTACCTTTGAAGCACTAAAATGCATGCTAATTAAAAGTGAATTCTCTCAGTGCAGGATTTAGAAATTGGAACAAATACTACACTAAACTGGAAACAGAGCTATTTTGGACAATTTGAGCTAAAAGCCAATGCTCTAATAGGATATCAACAACGACCTTTCTAATATTATTTTGACCTCTTATTTTCTGAGAAGGAATAAAAGAAGGGACAAAGAACTTCTATTTTTAATGGCATGTATTCTGAAAATGTGCCAGAAAACATAAAAAAGAAAGTACTCTTCTATTTAAGTGCTAGTGAATGTCTTTCTTGATTTGAACTCAACATTGGCTTTTGAAGAGTTTAAACAAAATAAACAGGTACTATTAGTAATGATTAATATATAGGTAATGAGGTAACAAATGTCCCAGTCCTGACCAGCCTATATGTATAAATAAGGACAAGTTAATGCCCACATTACCTTGGTTCTTTATCCCACCTGCACATGCAGGCCTCAGCAGCCCTCCTTAGGATCCACCACAGTTACTGGGAGTCCCCAATATCTGCTATGTACCGCAAGAAGCACTAGGGCCCTTCAGAGACAGGATGGAGGTATGCAAATTAGCTCTGGAACTTGAAAGAAACACCTTAAAGCCAACTTAGAAGTCTTGGAAGGTCTTTTTGTACTTAGTGATATTTGAAAATAATTTGTTTCTTTTTTAAAAAAATCAGTTGCAAAGACTGCAGCAATCACATTCCTTTTTCATTGTACACTGTCGTCTTTCTGTTCAAAGCCCTTTTTTTGCTAATTTTATTTCCCTATTCTCACTCCCTTTCCCTTCACCTCCTTATATATCATTGTTGAGATCCATGTTTTCTACGTGCATGTTTTTTAAAAAATGACATAAATAGTACTGTGCTATAAATATTGATGCTTCTTAATTCTGCATTTTTTTTTTTTTCGAGACGGAGTTTTACTCTTGTTGCCCAGGCTGGAGTGCAGTGGCACGGTCTTGGCTCACTGCAACTTCTGCCTCCTGGGTTCAAGCGATTCTCCTGCCTCAGCCTCCCAAGTAGCCGGGATTACAGGTATCCACCACCATGTCTGGCTAATTTTTGTTATTTTAGTAGAGACGGAGTTTCACCATGTTGGCCAGGCTGGTTTCGAACTCCTGAGCTCCAGTGATCCACCCGCCTTGGCTTCCCAAAGTGCTGGGATTACAGGCGTGAGCCACTGAGCCTGGCCAATTCTGCATTTTTAAGATCAAGCCATGTTGCTGATGTGCATCCACAGTACGTATGAATCCACCATGTTCTGCAAGTGACAAACGCCTAGGTGGCCTCCAACTCCGCATTGCCATGAACAACACGTCAATTAACCTTTTTATCCATCTTCCTTGTGGACCCTGGTGAGAAATTTTCCAGGATATATTCCCAGAAGGATGATCTCCAGGTCATAGGGCATACTTAATTACACCAAACACTCACAAGGACTTTGGAAGTTAGCTAGAGCAGGGGACAGAAAAGCCCATTCCAGCAGGGCAAAGAGCATGGGCAAAAGAATGGAAGAGTGCTACAGCAGAGTGGTTTCTGAGAACTGTGCACTCATTAGGACCAGGGGAAGCAAAGCGTAAGTTGCAATGTAGGGGAACTGAAGAGCTCTCAATGTCAGGCCTTGAAAGGCTTCCTGTGCTAAGCTAAGGGCTTTGAACTGTAGACTGAACACTCTACTGAGCCATAGACAAGTGTTAGCAGGTGAGAGGTCATAGTCCATTTCCATTCCTATAAAGGAATACCTGAGGCTGGGTAATTTATAAAGAAAAGAACTTTATTTGGCCCACAGTTCTGCAGACTGTATAAGAAGCATGGTGCCAGTGTCTGCTTCTGGTGAGGGTTTCAGGGAGTTTCTACTCATGGTGGAAGGGGAAGGGAGGAGGCATCACATGGCATGAGAGAGGGAAAGGAGGTGCCAGACAATTTTTAGCAATCAGATACTGCAGGAACCAACAGAGAACTTATTCATTACCTTAAGGAAGGCACCAAATTGTTCATAAGGGATCCACCCCCATCACCCAAACACCTTCCACCTAGGCCCCACCTCCAATGTGGGGGATCAAATTTCAATATGAGATTTGGAGGGAACAAATATCCAAACCATATCAGAGGTATCATTAGATTTGCATGTTAGAAAGGGCACTCTGCCTGCCCTGCACCCTGACAAAAGCATCACCTCAAATACCAAGCTCAAACACTAAAGTGGCTCAAATGCCAAGGCAGTGTGTCTTCTCTTAAAGGGATCTGGTGACTCGTCTCCATGTCTACCACACATAGTGTCCAGGACAAGAGCTGGGCAGTGTGGGCACCAAGAGAGATGGCTAAATCCTCGTTCCTGTCAGCCCAGACTGGGCTCCAAGAGAGGAGCACTGACACAGAGGGGATAGAAAGGGGAAGGGTGTTTGCAAAAGGGGATACACCAAGAGGGGTAAGACCAAGTACCAAAGATGACGGCAGACTCTCTGCTCTCAGAAGTAGGGGGTAGGGGGCCGGGCGTGGTGGCTCACACCTGTCATCCCAGCACTTTGAGAGGCCGAGACAGGCAGATCACTTGAGGCTGGGAGTTTGAGACCAGCCTGGCCAACATGACAAAACCCCGTCTCTACTAAAATTACAAAAATTAGCCAGGCGTGGTGGCATGCACCTGTAGTTCCAGTTACTTGGGAGGCTGAGTTAGGAGAATTGTTTGAACCCAGGAGGTGGAGGCTGCAGTGAGGTGAGATTGCACCACTGCACTCCAGCCTAGGCGACAGAGTGAAACTCTGTCTCAAAAAAAAAAAAAAAAATCAAAAAGGAAGCGGGGGCTGGCTGTGGTGGATACACCGGCAGAACTCGGATCCAGAGGATAGGTTAGGGAAAGAGTATGGTAACATTGCTACCAATGTGCACAAACTAGGGAAAAAAAAAAAACCACGTAGGTACTGTATATATAATCAAAACATTATGACACTATTTTTCCTGACATTCAGCTGTCCTTCCTCAGAATCTTTGGCTGCTGATTTTTATTTCTGGCAACAATACAAAACCAAAAGACCAAGAGGATTAAAAACAGAAAGAAATGAAAAACAAACAAACAAAAAAACAACCAGTATGTGCAGGACAATTTCAGGGCCTTTGGGATCTGCATCTTTTTCAAGGTAATGTAAGCAGAGATGTCTGCCTTTTGGAGTCATGTCTTCCCTTGGCTCCTGGGGCACTGTATCCTGTGGATCTCGTCTCTCTGTGCCTTCACTGCCTCCACATCTTCCCTAAAAGGGCTCTCTTTGACACCCAGCTTCAGCTCCTGTCCCGGGACCAAAGATTTCCAAATCTCCCACCCTGAGGTCCCTCAGCCCACCTTCATCCTGGCTTGCCCAGCTGCCTTCAGATTCATTCACTCGGATGTCTCCCTCTGATACCACCTCAAGCTCAATATGTCAAGGAGAAACTCACACCTTTCTTCACACCCCTTCCCTAAAACAGCATTTCTTCCTGACTGGTCTACTGCTCTCCAGCACCACCACTTTCCTTGTTCCAACCTTGGAGTTACATAACTAACAGATGCCTCTCTATTGCTCCCAAGTCAGCAGCCAACAAATCCAGGGATTCTTTTCCAAAGTAAGATTCAGTTCTTTCTTTTTCCACAGCCACCACCAAGACTGAGCACCTAACACTCTCTCCTGTATTGGGGCCTTCCGATTTGGCTGCCTACCTCCACAGTTTCTCTGCCACACCATTCCCCCTGCAAGGCCCTGCTTCTGATAATTTAATGTTACTGTTATGCTTTTTGTAAAAATCACAGAACAGTTTCTTAAAAGACAAATTCCAAGGTTGAATGTAAAGTTGTTTATCAGTTTTATTTACCTGTTTTTGTTTTCATACTCTTGAATAAAATCCTTTATTTATATATTGAATTAATATACTCTGGCCCCCACCTGTGTGCCAGCCAAGGATACATAAACATGAACAGAATATGGCTTTTGCCATTTTCTGAAAAGCAAATAGGCCCATGGTAAAACACAAGCACTCATGACAGTTTATTTAGGATGCAGTGAGAAAAGTGCTGTAGCAGAGAGGAATCAAGATAATGCCAAAGTCTTAGGGAGAAAACTGGAAGCATGAAAGATTTTATAGGTGATAAAATATGCAACAGGGCATTAAAACATGAATAAGCACTAGGTAGTTTGGTCTTTACTGTTAGCAAGGGACAGTCTCTCTTTTTTTTTTTTTTTTTTTGAGATGGAGTCTTGCTCTGTAGCCCAGGCTAGAGTCCAGTGGCCCGATCTCGGCTCACTGCAAACTCCGTCTCCTGGGTTCAAGCGATTCTCCTTCCTCAGCTTCCCAAGTAGCTGAGTGAGAATATAGGCATGTGCCACCACCCCCGCCTAATTTTTGCATTTTCAGTACAGACAGGGTTTCGCCATGTTGGCCAGGCTGATCTCGAACTCCTGACCTCAGGTGATCTGCCCACCGCCCACCTCGGTCTCCCAAAGTGTTAGGATTACAGGCGTGAGCCACCGTTCCCAGCTGGACAGTCTCTTTTATAGGTACAGTACACACTCTCCTCTCCCCAGCTGCCATGACTCACTCTAAATTACCCTTCATCCTCTCCCCAGCCTCTTTTAGGACTCCCCTAGGCTTTGCTAATTCAAATTCTGCTTTCTTCCAAGTCCACCTCAAGCCAAGACTAATTTCTCCTCAGCGCTTCCTAGCTCTGATCTTCATGTTCTTCATCTTCTCCTCCCAGTACTGCACAATATCATTTCTTAATCAGAAGGTTAGCCCTACTTTTTAGGACAAAGGTTCTCAGTATTATCATTGTATTTAAATCATCTGTATATGTGTTCGTAGATTTGGCTCAGCACCTAGGAATCTGCTTTTCAACAAGTCCCCAGGGGATCCAAGCACAAAAGGATCCTGGACCACTTTGACCCACTTTGAGGAAGGCTGTGTTAAACCTCTGCGGTTGGCTTTTATATCTCCATATGGGCTGTCCGCAGCCCACGGCGCCTAGCATAGTGTAGGTGCGTTGCTCAGCTCTCTGGCTCCCGGTGTCTGCTCAGCTTGGTGACTATTAGATACCTCAATTATTAATGACACCCAGAGTCAAGAAGAGTAGCTCAGCCAAGTGCACAGAGCTGCCCTCTCCAGAGGAGACTAACTCCTGAGGGATAAGGTCGCTCTGAAAGTCACAAGAGCAAAAGGAAATTACATTTTCTGCCCTCTCAAAAAATGAGCAGCCATCACCCCAAATGACCTTAGTGCATCTCAAATAAACCATGCTTTCAGAGTATGCAAAACGCACTGCAAGTTAAACCGATTGCAAAAGAAAAAGCCCACAGGTACTCCGTGCGCTCAAAGCCATCATCCTCACAAACGTAAAGTGATGCACTCCAAATAGAGATCAAGGAAAACGAATGCCACGCAGGTCACCAGGCTTGGAAAATAGAAGGCACCCGAAGTTGTTCTACGTGGCTGTCCCCAGCCACCCATTCCACCCGCTCGACAAGGGATCCTGGGCCGAGCCCGGCCATCCGCGGGGGCGGGGCCGGGACGGCGGCGGCGCGCTGACGTAACGGGCGTGGGTCGTCCGTCGCGCCGCCCGGCGAGGAGTGGGCTGGCGGCGGTAGCTGTCGCCCGCTTGGTTGCGTGACCGCGGGGTCCGCGTCCGCTCCCTCCACCCTTCGCCCTTCGCCCTTCGCCTCGTTCCGGCCTCCGCGGCCCAGCAACGGCCGTCATGGTGCCGTCGGCGCTCCCTGCGCGGCCCCGCTGAGCCTCGGTGCGGCGGCGAGCGCGGTCGAGATCGCCATGCCTACCCGTGAGTGGCCGGCCGAGGGCCGGGGGCGTTGGGAGGCGACTGCCTGCGCGACGCGCTTGGGCCGGGTACTCCTCCCGGGCGGCTGGGGAGGCTGGGCCGCGCTGAGCAGAGCCAGGAAGTGTCTGCGAGCGGCGGAGTTAGTTTCGTTTCGGCTTAGCCTTCCGGAGATGGCGTGAGCCCGTTGCACGGATCGGGAAACTGAGGCCCGAACGTTAAGGGAACTGCGGGGACGCGCTGTTAGGAGGCGGCAGAGCTGGTGGTAACCTGACCCGTGGGATTTCAAAGTTAAAGCCCTTTTCCCACGGCCACACGGCTTCGTGGGACTTTATGGAAATATTGAAAATAACTGCGGTACCATTGTCAGTCCCTTCTCACCTCGGGCCGGACGTCGCTAGTGGACGCGCCGGCCCCGAGTCCCTTCCCGCGGCCGCCAGACAGACCCCCGACAGCCTAACTCGGCGTCCGTATCGCCGTCGGGGCGGCTGAAGTCGGAGCTTTCTGTGGAGCTTGTTAGGCAGAGGCACCTCGACTGTGGCTTTTGGACCACACTTCGGATTCACCCGGGCAGATGATTAAAAATGCCGGTTTCGGGACCCGCCCTATTCCCATGGAATTAGTCTGGAGCTTGGGCCCCGGAGTCTGCATGTCTAATAAGCGTCCCTGGGGTTACCAAGGCACCCCAAAGTTTAAAAGTCACTCGGTGTTGGAGGATTTTTAGACAGACGCGATACTACAAGTACTGCTAATGACCTATTTTAAAATGACCCAGATAATCGCAGTGTGACTTTATAGCCACTGGTCAATGTGGATATGTGCAAACTAGGGAAGCTCCTGATCTTGGGTAGAGAGGAAGCAACTTTGTCATTGATTTGAGAATTCAAGTAGGACTCCTTTGACTAAGTGTTCAATACTATAGAATCTTTACACACTTGTGAATATATTTCCTAGAATTCATAACTACTTCTAGTTGTCCTTGTTTTGTAGCCATCTGGGACGCTGAATTTCCAGGTCAGTCTCCAATGCACGTTTCGTCTAGTGGTGGGAAAAGATGAGTTATTTCTTGATATTATAAAGATTGATATTTTCCTGATATTTAAGGATATTAAATTTAAATTGATATTAAAGATATTTAAATATCTTTTTGAGATTTAAAGATTTTCCTGTGGCAAATCTTTACATAGTCCTGATGTAGAGATTACTTTTAACTCCTCATACATGTGTGGGTACTGTGGATTTTGTTTTCTTCACACACTACTGTGTGTCCTTAACTCACGTTCTTGGACTTCGCATCCAGTAAATATGTCCAGTTTAAATTTCTGTTTTATTCCTTTTGGCTGGAGGAATATCATTTACAATCATCTTCATTGTTATTGCCAGTTTAGTACTTCTAAATTCATGTTCACGTTATTCAGTGAATATCTGAGACTAGCACTATGCTAATCTTTTATTTTCTGAGAAACCAAAGGGGAGGAGGTAAGCACCTATTGAAAGTTGAGGCTTCAAGTAGAATTTATTGGTAACATGCCAGAATTATCCTGTGAAATAAAATTTTTAGTTATGTTCTAGGGTTATCTAGCTTCACAGAGTGGATATAGTAAACTCGTTTCTTTTCAAATGTTGAGTTCATTCTGCAAAATGATTTTAGGATGGGCCATGGTGGAGTTTACATAGTTAAGAATGCAGATTTCACACCCTGACTGGAAGACAAGTGAAATGTTTGTTTTATCTGTCATTGTTAATATTTGTCATGGTACATTTTTTATGACTGAATAAAAATGTGCTGTGGATTGATTGGGGGTACCAGTGTGAGGTGAATAGTGTTCATATTTGCCTTTTCTCTCCTTTGGCAGTCACAGCTGCCGAAATTGCTGGGATAGTGCAGTGGACAACAATATTTCTTTGAAATTCTGTTTGTAGAATATATATCCAACACAGAGATGGCAAAATTGTTATTCTCTGTAGGAATTTAGGAGGAAGTTCACAGCTCTTAGGAGGAAAACTGTGCTCAGATAAGCTAAGTGTTTTTGTTTGATTGGTTGTTTTAATGTTAAATGGTTGAGAGGCTTAGTGATAAGCCCAAGCCAGTTAATCCGTACGAGTTTTAATTAAAATCAAAGGGTTGGAGGTGATCACTGTGGTCTCTCAGACTCTACAATTCCGAGAGCAACCCTTGCTGTAAGTCATAGAATTATTCTACTCTTGCTATTTTGTTGCTTATTTGGAATATTGGTACTCATTGAAACTGTTGTTAATAACTAGAATCCAGTGAAGCATGCAGTAACCCCACTGGTTAAGCAATGATATATCTCATGAATATTAACAGCCACTTCACTAGAATTATTTTGGAGATCCGTAGACTCTTTGAGAAAGCAACCACCTGGAAGGATGCCTGACAGGAAACTGCCAGGACACAGAAACAATTTTGTGGTCGTGTTACAAGCCTGTAGTCTGAAACAATCCTTAGGCACAGATTTCAAGACTATGCTGCTGAATGCTGTTGCAAACCTGTAAACCTATAATTTGACACATCATTTTTCTAGAGGCCTTTATTTCATTCTCCATTCAAAGGACCATTAAGAAGCGTTTTATTTGAAAGATTTTCAAACTCTGAATCGGAGTTTGAGTTGGAACGACTGTTAAAGCTTCTTCATCATTTTATGTTGTGTATCGGGAAGCTGAGCCTTCTGAGAGTTTCCATGGAGTAAAACCATGACTTGAACACAGAACTGGCCCCTATAATCAGTAACCACAGTGAGCATAGTAACATTAATTTTTCTCTAGCACTAAATTGATAATAGTTTAGCCTTTTTTTCCCCTTGAGTTACATTAAGACAAATGTAAGCTTGGTCAAAAATTTAAATCGTTCTGTGAACTTACAAGAATGCATTTGCTTCCATCCTGTCACAGAAATCTTTGGAAAAGCTGTGGATATCACTGGTGTGCTAAGTAGATTCTTGTTTATATAGACACAAACTTAAACTTTTAGTAAACTCCTTATGTGAAAATGGCTCCTGAGTTCACAGATAACTTGCCTCAAAACAGGTCCGGTAAAATGTGCTCTTTTATTTTATATGAAAAGTTATTCTATATTTTCTAGGGAAAACCAAAACTCTCAAATATTGTTTGCTGTTAAACTATACTTTGAGTAATTATGTGTGTTGAATGCTTTCTTTTCTCATTTAGGTACTGACGTTGAGGTCTAGGCAAATTTCTTAGGCTGTAATAATAATATGGTTACTCCATGTTTGTTTTTCTTTTGATGAGGCTAATTACATTTAACTTATTTTTTAATTTATTTTTATGAAAGAAATGCAGAATGAATTATAAAAGAGGGTTGCTGATTGAAGTGTTTTCCTTTTAGAGACACATTACATGCAAACTTGACCTACACTTTCATATTACTGGATTATTAGCCTTTTGTGTTCATTCATATTCTCATTCTTTCTCTCCCCTTTTCCCCTCTTCCCCCCTTTCCTCATTGTCCCTTTGCTTCCTTCTCCCCTCCCCTCCCATCTCCCTCCTTCCTCCCTTCTTCTACCCACCACCTATGTGTCCTGCCAGAGTTGTAGCTGATGAATTTTCTTTTTTGCAGTGACCTTTGGCTTGACACTGCCCTGTTTGCTGCCCAGATCTCATCTTTCAGTCTGTCCCCACTTGTGGGGACATGGGGCTACATTAATGATTATGTAGGTGGTAGGAGATAATGCTGGAGAAAGAGAAAGCCAGAATTTGAGGTTTTTTTTTTTTTCTTTTTTTGAGAGGGAGTCTCGCTCTGTCGCCCAGGCTGGAGTGCAGTGGTGAGATCTCTGTTCACTGCAACCTCCAAATCCCGGGTTCAAGCAGTTCTCCTGTCTCAGCCTCCCTAGTAGCTGGGACTACAGGCATGTGCCACCACGCCCGGCTAATTTTTTGTATTTTTAGTAGAGATGGGATTTCACCGTGTTAGCCAGGATGGTCTCAATCTCCTGACCTCGTGATCCACCCGTCTCGGCCTCCCAAAGTGCTGGGATTACAGGTGTGAGCCACCGCTCCCGGCCATTTGAGGGGTTTTATATGCTCTCGCAATCAACAGTTACGGTGGCTTTTTTATAGGCTTAGTAGCAGTTTCCAACTTACTGATTACTTTATGAAGACTTACAGTTTGCTATTAGTAATAGGAAGTAATTATTGAATACTGATTGTGTGGTAGGCAGTATACTTTGTGCTTTACCTGAATTATCTTCTTTAACTCTTCCACTTTGAGGGAGGCCCTATTTGACCTGTTTTAGAAGATAGAGAGATTGAAGTTCAGAAAAGTTAAGTAACATTCCTAATGACAGTAAGTAATAGAGCTGTTATTGCAACTAGATGGGTCTGACCTCTTAAGTCCCAGCTCTTTTTTCATACTATAGTGCTCTGAGCCAGGCAGGAGTTGAACAGGATCCCATCAGTTTTACACTGTCACTTTTGCTTAGCACTGTGCCTGGTTATATAATAGGTGCTTGGTAAATGCCAAATAAATTAAAAATTGAATCTTTACAAAATTTTTAAATTGATACATAATATTTTCACATTTATGGAGTAGGGTACATGTGATATTTTGTTAGATTCATACAGTGTGTAACAATCAGGTCAGGGTATTTAGAGTATCCATCACTTTGAGTGTTTATCATTTCCATGTGTTGGGAACATTTCAAATCCTCTCTTCTAGCTACTTTGAAATATACAGTACATTGTTATTAACTATAGTCATCCTACTCTGTTATCAGACATTAGAACTTACTCCGTCTAACTGTATGATTTACCTATTAACCAACCTCTCTTCATCCGCCTTGCTCCCCCACATGCTTCTGGCCTATATGCAGAATAGATTGAATTGTAACTGGAGTCAGATAAGTTATTCTTTGGATACCATAACCGGAACTTTTTTTTCCCATAAAGATAGTGTTATAAAAGTTTTATAATTTGGCCAGGTGCAGTGGCTCACATCTGTAACCCCAGCACTTTGGGAGGCCAAGAAGAGAGGATCGCTTTTGGCTGAGAGTTCTAGACCAGCCTGGGCAACATAGACCCCGCCTCTACAGAAAAATTAAAAATTAGCCAGGTGTGTTGGTACATGCCTATAGTCCTAGCTACTTGGAGGCTGAGGCAGGAGGATTGTTTGAGCCCAGGAGGCTGAGGCTGCAGTGAGCTATGGTCTCACTACTATACTCCAGCCTGGGCAACAGAGTAAGACCTATCTCTAAAAAGGAAAATATATATATATTTAGTTTATGATTGTGTTCTTTGCAGGCCTGTCTGTACCACATTTGAGGTCTGAGACAAGAATACAAATGGAGGTCTGCAAATCATAGTTTAAATCAGGGATTTTCAGTCTTTACACTATTGATGTCTGGGACAGGTTTAGGGGTAACAGGGGCTGTCCTATGCACTATAGGACATTAAACATCATCCTTGGCCTCTACGAACTGGAAGCCAGGAGTAACCCTCCTGCCCCAAGCTTCTGTCAACCAAAAGTGTCTCTAGATATTGCCAAATGTTCTCTGGGGGACAAAATTGTCCCTGGTTGAGAACCACTGGCCTAAATATTTAAATGTTATAGACCATACTATGCCCGCAGCCTGGCCTGCTTTCCCATGCAGGGTCCCCAGCCTGCTCCCTAGGCATTGCCGTCTCAGTGCAGAGGTCCAAGTAGCTTGCAGGCTTGATCCAGTCAGTAGGACCCTGGCCTGGGATTGACTGTCAGTTTCCTTCAGGGAGCCAGGGTGGGCAGGTTCCCCTCCTTTGATACTGTACTTTTCCATCTCAGGATTTCTAGATAGATAGTTCCAAGCATCTCCCAGAACTATACTAGCCGAGTAGCTGGACAGATAGAAGGTGGAAGCCTAGCTTTTTGGGGAACTCATTCTGCTTAGACTCTGACTCTAGGTGACATGGAATGGGGAACTTGAAGCAAAAACAGCTGCAGCCATCTTTCTCTGGTAATTTGAGATGGAGTCTCACTCTGTAGCCCAAGCTGGAGTGCAGTGGTGTGATCTCGGCTCACTGCAACCTCCACCTCCTGGACTCAAGCTATTCTCCTGCCTCGGCCTCCCGAGTAGCTGGGACTACAGGTGTGCGCCACCACGCCTGGCTAATTGTTTTGTATTTGAGTAGAGATGGGGTTTCACCATGTTGCCCAGCATGGTCTTGAACTCCCAAGCTCAGGCAATCTGCCTGCCTCGGCCTCGCAAAGGGCTGGAATTACAGGCGTGAGCCACTGTGCCCAGTCTTTCTCTGGTTTTCTAGGGCAGTGATTTTCAGTTATCACTACTCCATGCACTTTCCCACCCACACACACCTCTGTAAAAGGAGAGACAGTCCTCTGTGTTTCGCAGGGCAGAGGCCCTTTTTTTCATGGGTCAAATAAGATACTGATTTTTAGGATGAAACCACATTTTACTCATTACATGGCTCAACTCTGGTGTGGAATGATCCAGTTATCATATGCAGTGTTTCTGTTGTGGTGGGATGGATTGCAGTGAATGAATCTTCATCCTATAGTGGGAGTAGAGAGGTTTTTATTGGTACCATTTAAGGAAAGGGGTCCCAGACAGTCTCAGAAATAAAGAGAAGGGCACAGAAAATCCCAATATGGCCCGCAACTGCTTCAGAGAAGAAAGAGTGGACCGGAAGATAGGACATGAGTCGTTTGTCTAGGTTAAGGAGCCTTCAGTCTTTTTGCTAAATTAACCCTTTTGAGAATCTGATGAAAGCCATGATTATTCTTCCCCAGAAATGCAGATTCTCACCCAAAGTTTTGCATGTAATTTGAAGCAATTCAAAGGCATACTAAGATGGAAAAATGAAGTAAATCACCACAGTGGCAGTTCTCTGAGAAAAGCACCCTAACTGAGGTTGTGGAAGAATATCATTTGCCAAATATATGATGCCAATATAAGTATGTCTTTCTTCTGCTTTTTTGTCTGTTTTCCCCCTAACCTTTTAACATTATCTTATTTTTTCTTACCTTCTCTGTTAGCCTACTGAAATCTTTAAGGTATCATATAATATATAGATGGATATTCAGTAAGGCTTTTCTAAAATTGGTATCTATGAAGAGAGTTAGTTTAAGAATTGCAGGATCACCAGAGAAGGAACTTTAAGAGAGGGAAAAATGAAATTGAATAGAATTTGAACTTAAAAGGCCGTTTTATCCAATCATTAAGGGGAAAGTGAAACCAAAGTAGTTTTGGGGCCAAGGGTAAAGTTCCCCTTTGCCCTCTGAAGGTTCACTGAAAAATCAACTGACAAAAGGCAGATTAATTGGAGAAAAGGCATACAAATTTATGTAACGTATATATGCACAAGAGCCTTCAGAATGAAGACCCAAAGATACGGGGGAAAATGCCCATTTTTATGCTTAGGTTCAACAAAGTATGGACATTATATAGAAATATTGGCCAAAATACGAATGATCTAATGTTAATAGACTGAGTGGGGAAACTCAGCAAGGCCCATCTAGATTTTTCTTGGATTATCTGAGCATGCATTCTTTTCTTCTGGGTATGGGGCAGGACCCTGTCTGGCTTGGGGTCTTGTGACCCACAGTCAAACAAGGTAGGTCAGGTAATTTCTTTATGATCAGTTTTTACGCAGAAAGGCCGAGGGAAAGTTAGAGTAATATTTTTCAGTTTTATGACTGGGTTTGGGGAAAAAGGGTTCTGGTTTTTGTAACCCACCTTGGGGAAGAGCGATTCTGGTTTCTATAGCTAGCCTTAGGGGAAAATGGGACTGAGAGACAGGAAGGCAGGAGAAGGTCAGAGAAAAACTTTTGTTTTTGAGGCCTTCATTTTGGAGTATGTTTTCTGAGGCCCAACAATAGGTTAACTGTGCCATTCAGCTAGATAATGGTGTGGTACTAGAACCCAGCTCATCTGAATCCTGGGTGGGTGTGCTCACAGCTACATACTTCCTACGACCTGCATGGCACATGGAAGGGGTGGGAGATAAGCAGGATAGAAACCATGGCTAACAGTATGAAGAAAGATTCAAAATTAATATCAAATAGGAAAAAAGATATTATTTACAGCATTTGTACAAATCTGAAAGCAAAATACTATGAATCCTATGTGGTTAGAGTACATTTTTGGTCTCTTAGATTACCAAAAGACTTAACACTAACATGCAGAGGCAGTGAAGTACAGTAGAAAAGACAGAAGTTTAGATTGGTACAGCATTTTTAGAAAGCAATATAGCAATATGTTATCAAATACGCAAATCTTAAACCACTGACACAGTAATTTCACTTTTGGGGATCTATCCTTTTTCTTCTCTATAATTGGTGTTTTCCTTCTACAGTTAGCATTCTACAATCAGAGAAGAAGATTCTTAAGATGTTTTTACAGCTCAACATAATTTTTTCAACATTTTTATAATTCAACATTTTATAAAAATTTTTATAATTTTTTTCAAAACCTTGAAATGACATGTTAAAATGCTGCTTTGAACTGGTTTTTCTTTAGCCTGTAGAAAAGAACTTTGAGTTACTGGTCAAGTAGTTTTGACCATACTGGCTTAGGAAAACAGCGCATCAGCTGTCTGATTGCTATCATGTAAAAATCTGTGAACGACTTTGAGAAGTCATTGGTGGATTATGTTGTTCAGGAATAGGAATGGAGCTTTCTTCCTATCACTTGTATTTTTTTTTTTTTTTTTTTGAAAGGAGGAGGAGGAGGAAATAATTTCTGCCTTATTAAGTGGTGGTTTAAATCATGAAAACCTGAAAGGTTGAGATGAGTCATGATGTGGGGGTTCAGTTTATTGGGAACTGACAGGTTTTTATTTTTCTGTTTTTTTTTTTTTTTTGAATGATCTTGTGTTGTAGAGTTGAATACAGTTCTAGGGAAGTATGATCACAAAATGAATGTTGGCAGTTCCTCCTATGATTAATATGTCAGACATGTCAAAATTCTCTCATCATGTGTATTTGCCGGGTTTATTCAGTTCTTGAAATGAGGCAGCTCTCAAGTATATTCTAAAGCAAACAGGAACTACTATTTTTCTTCTTTCCATGTATGGTATCATATTATCCCTTTTGCATATGTATTTCTTGCTCTCTGACTTTAGGTGTTATTAGATAGTGTGATTCTAATTTTTATGGAGGAAGGAAACACTAGTCAGGTTTTTTTTTTTAATTTTACTTCTGAATCAAGAGTTTTCTGTATTCTTAAATTAGGCATTAAGCCATTTGCTTTACAGTCTTTAAGAGGAATTCTGTCCTTCTAAATGCTATTTTTGTTTTTATTCTTAGTTGGTGAGTTATTCAGCTGTACCTTTTTATTGTTATTACCTGAACTCCAGGGTATTTCTGCTGCAGTAGTTTTCTGGATAATGCTAAGTGTTCTTCACATCCCTGTTGTTTAATTGGTGTTTTTGAACAGCTGTCTTGGCAATTAGCTACCAAGTTCCCTTGATGTGGTTACAGTTAACTGTAAACGAATTTCACTCCTGATGAGCCGAGTGAAGTGTAAGGTGTCCAAGGTTGGCGTTGTCATTTCCTGGAATCTCATAAACTTTGCAGAAGGTACTGTGCCAGGCTAAAGGAATGGCCCATTTATGACATCTGACTTGGATTGTTTTATTTTATTAACTTAGTTAAAAATAATTTACTAACTTTTTAACCCACTAACTGGAGAAGATTTTATCTCCTACGCATATTTAGATGTAATAGAATTTACGTAACTGTGCTTTAGAGGTGGAAATGCTTTATGAACATGTTGTTAGAATCAGCAGGTTATCAGTTCTTGCATTATCATCCCACCATCTGCTGCAGCTGGCTCTAGAAGGGCATCTACAGTGGGGGGGACACTCCAGGCAAATGTATAACACCTAAGATTCTGGCTCTAAGTCCCTATGGCTTCTCCTGTTTTCTTAGCTGGGCTGGAGTATGTGAATTTCAGAGGTCCAATTACTTTTCATTTCACAACTCAAATTGGAAGCAGACTTAAGTGACTTGTCATGACCCCTTTTCCCTTGGTTCCATCTTGCTTCTTTGTTTGGTCTTCCAGTGATGGGGGTATCTGCCCCAGGACAGTTCTATTTCTAATACCTATACAGAAGCTCCTTCCCCTGGCACAGCATCCTCATTGTTGATTCCTGAGGATTTCATATTGCTCTTGACCCACATTGATGAATACAATCAGTGAGGGTGGCCCAAGGGAAGCTTGAGCTTTTAGAGCCGAGTTTTCAAAATTTCTTCCACAGAGTATAATAAGGACTGTTGTATGGGAAGGATTCCGACAAGACTGTGCAGGTGGCCCTCTCTATCTGACCAGCTTCAGCTGGAGCAGCTCTGTTTTTTTTTTAACTTTTATTTTAGGTTCATGGGTACATTTACAGGTTAGTTAATAGGTAAACTCGTGTCACAGGGGATTGTTGTAGTACTATTGTATTGTTGTAATATTATTGCACCCAGGTACTAAGCCTAGCACCCAGTAGTTATTTTTTCTGCTCCTCTCTCTTTTCCCACCCTCCACCCTCAAGTGGGCCCCAGTGTCCATTGTTCCTTTCTTGGCGTCCATGAGTTCTCATCATTTGGCTCCCACTTATAAATAAGAACGTGGTGTTTGGTTTTCTGTTCCTGTGTCAGTTTGCTAAGGATGATAGCCTCCAGCTCCATCTGTTCCCACAAAAGACATGATCTCCTTCTTTATTATGGCTGCATAGTATTCCATGGTATATATACACCACATTTTCTTCATCCAGTCTGTCATTGATAGGTATTTAGGTTGATTCCATGTCTTTGCTATTGTGAATAGTGGAGCAGCTCTATTTTTATCTCTTTTATTTGTGACATTCTGCATTTGGTTTCAGTAGTGTTGGCTACTTGTAAAAAGTTTGAGGTTTATAGTATTAGACATTAGAATATGCCCTCTGACAAGAATTTAAGCTGTTTTATAATCAATAGCTCGGGAACCTAGAGGCAAAAATAAAAACTGTTTAGTTGATAGTGCCTCACCTGTTTTGCTCTCATGATCTCCAAGATGGGAGATTTTATAATCTCTTCTTGTAGTCATTTCAGTCATAGGTACTGTCAGTATGTTCCTAGAATCACAAGTGTTCTTTCAATTTTTCTTGTTTTCCTGTTGGATTTCTCTTAGCAAATATTTTTGGGCCTACATTTGTAAAGCACTGCTGGCTGGAGAATACAGAGGTGAATAAAGCAGTCCCTAGCTTCAAAAAGTTTACCTTATTTATAGAAGGGTATAAATTGCTATAACACAGAGAATGGCAAGCACGATTAGAATGGTGCTATTGGGGGCCCAGGGGAGAGACTGCACCTCTGATTGGGAGAAGAGAGCAAGGGGAAGATGAGTGGAGGACAGCTTTCTAAATCCAAGTGCCTTAAAGTATACTACAGATACAGTGGTCAAAGGAGAAATGCTGGATTGGGGAAACTGTTTGAGATGAGTTATGCAGGTGGAAATAACCATTAAGCAGTTTAAGTGAGACAGTAGTGCTAGGGAAGGTGAAGAATCTAAGGCTGTGTATGTGTGCACACCTGCGCATGGTAATTTTGTCTTTTATTCACATATTTATTGAATGCTATGTGTCATTTATTATGCTAGACACTGAGGATACGGTGCTATCCTCATACAGGACATATGGACACCAACAGGGGTGTCGTCCCTGCCCTCATGGATCTTGGTCTGATGGGGAAGAAAGGTGCTCAGCACGTAGTTAAACTGATGAGACAGGGAGCTTTAGAGGGCCTATGGTTTCTTTCCTTTACTGCTGTGTTTATAGTTTTGGTATAGTGTCTGGGCCATGGCACACATTCAATGTATGTTTATAGAGTGAATCAAAGAAATGTAATAGATGTTAATAATAAAAGAAACACAAGTTGCTATGTAAACATGTAAGTGAGCCTGGAGGAAAAGCAGTTAGAGGTTATTAAAATACAGTAGTCTAATTGGTGGGCTTTGGACTTGGATGGTGGTTGTAGGAAGGACTGCAGTGAACAAATGTGAACACTTTTGAGGAAATACAATTGATAGGATTAATTGGATCAAAGGATTGAGGGAGAAAGGGGAGTAAGGATTTACTCAGGTTTCTGGCTTTATCATATGGGTGAATGGTTCTGGTTTGCTATAGGGACTTTTTGGAGGAGGAGGAATTTGGGGAAATTGAGATGGAAGATGAGTCCATTTTAGGATATGATGAGTATAGTGCCTTAAAGACATTCATGTTATGTTTGTAGGAGTAATAGTGCATAAAATTACTGAAGGATAGGTTGTATAGAGGCTAAAGAAGCTGAGGGCAAACTCTTGAGGAACATGTTTATTTAAAGATGGAGTGAGGCACAGGAACCGAAGAGGGAGCAGGTGGGTCATTTTTTAAACAAATACCATTGCAACAAATGTTTGCAGGATGAGAGTTATGCAAGACTCAAATGACTCACACTTATTTTTAGTAGCATTTGAATATTCCAATGTAGCAAGAAGCAGAAACACTGGACAGTCTCTTACAGTTTGATCTGATATGATGACAATAAAGGTAATTTATGAAACAATTTTTTTTAAGCTTTAGGACTTAAGAACAATTGTTGTGTCTCAGCCGTGGCAGTTCTGTCCTATACGTCTGGCCTAAACTGTCTTTTCACAGCTTCCTAGCTGGGGGAGGTGATTGTCAAATTATAATTGGGTGAGAGGATGTAAACTGTAAATTGTGCAGTTTGCAAGTAGAAATTAGGGTGGCTCCACATATATAAGCTAAAATAAATAATATAGAACTAAACTGTTAGTAATTTATCAACCCATTGCCATCTTGAGAATCATAATGTGTATTTGTGAAACAACAGAATGATTTGCAGGCAGCAGATGTAATGCTTATGCAGAGTTGCTGGGAAACTGCTTTATTCACACAAGGAACTGAGGGACATTAGAGACGAGCTGTCACCTGAGAGTATCAGTCAGCTCTTGGAGTTTTCAGTAAGATTTCTTTCCCCTTATACAGCGAATACTGTTCTCCTTTCCTCCCCGTCGATTGGTTTCTCGGCATCTACTTGGTATGACACAGTAAACAGGCTCTATTCTCTGTTTTCAGCAACATAGAAATATTGTTCAGCCTGTCCTGATGGAGTACAGCAACCTGCTGATTAAGGGATTAACAATTTTAAAAGTATTTTGTACAGTGGTTCAGGGAAGATTAGAGAGGGTTGAGTATAATTGTGGTTTGGATGCTTTGCTTTTGCCAAAATTGGCAGTTGTTTCAACCATTCTTAATATTTTCATCTAAAATTGCACAGTAATTAAACCCTGCTAAACACTTTTAAGTATTTGCATAGAGGTGAGATAATGTTCTATTGATTCTTTTAATTTGTAAGAGTAGATTAAGTTTATCTTTATAGTTGCAGTAATAAAATGAATTATACAAATATATACAGAATTCCAGGTTCTTTGTGTATAATGCTACAGAAAAACTGGTTGGTTTGTTTTTTTTCCATGCGTCAGTAGTAGTAACCCTTATCTTTGAACTTGAGGTAATTTTGTCAGTTGGTAATACATTGAATTCTTAGGGTAGCATCAGATTTTGGTTTATGAGCCATTTAAGAATATTGATTAGAAAAGATTTGATTTTCTTCTTAGAGGCATATGATTAACATAAAAATACCTTGTTAATGTTGTGACCACAGTGTGTGTTTGTGATAAATTAAAAGAATAGGGGCCTGGCACAGTGGCTCACTCCTGTAATCCTAGCACTTTGGAAGGCAGAGACGGGCAGATCACGAGGTCAAGAGGTTGAGACAAGCCTGACCAACATGGTGAAACCCCATCTCTACTAAAAATGCAAAAATTAGCTGGGCGTGGTGGCGCATGCCTGCAATTCCAGCTACTCAGGAGGCTGAAGCAGGAGAATCGCATGAACCCGGAAGGTGGAGGTTGCAGTGAGTTGAGATCGCACCACTGCACTCCAGCCTGGGTGACAGAGCAAGACTCTGTCTCAACAACAACAACAACAACAAAGAATAGGTTAAAATTTAAAGAAGTCTTAGGCTTTTGACTTTGTGTTACTATAATTTCATGTATAGAGTGAATATAAAATGTTTAAGGTTTCTTGGTTTTAGTTGGAAGATTGGAGAGAATATATCAGGCATTGAACTTTGAATGCTTAAATTAGTAGAATAATTTTTTAATTGAACATTTTACTTAACTAGTCCTGCTCAGCAAATCCTGTGTTATATGTTGCTATCTTCAAATGTTGGATAGAGAAATTACTTAAAATATATATTTTATTTAGATATGTAATTAGACTGCTACTTGTCTTTTCAGTTACTGTTTAATCAGAAAATGTAATCATCTCAATTCAAATGAAAATCTCTAACATATGGCATAGATGCTGTGGGTGTTATGGAATCTATAAGAAGAATCAATGCTGTTGGTATATTAAATGTATTTCCTCTAAAAATAATTTTGGAAGTTACAAACACTCCTACAGATTTAACACTTTTGTTGCTCTGTGACTAATGAGGAAATAAAATTTTTTAAAAAATTTAAGTAGTTAGGGTTTTAAAGCTGTTTTAAATTTTGCCTGAGATAACTCATATCCTATTTGTGAATTACTTAGAGGACTTTTAATTAAAGTAACTCAAACCAACTTGGTTAGCTAAGAAAGATCCTAGTCATTGCCTGTGATAGATTCTTTATGCTCATAATGGTAACAAACTAATATTTTTTGATTTAGGGGTTTTCCTAAACTATGGTGCCTTACTTTGTTTAAGCAGACACTGTCCTTTGTCAGTGATTTTTTTTTTTTTAAAGCTTAGCTAAAAATCTGCAGAAAGCCCCAAACCTATCTTTTTTCCCCCCATATTCAGCTTTTCATTTTGGACAATAGGCTAGTAGAATTTTAAACTGTGACCTTAGTATTACTAATGCATATTAAGGTCACAGTAAGTATACCGAAGGAAATGATTGATTTTTAAAGCAGCTTTATTGAGATATAATTTGCATACCATAAAATTTACCTGTTTTGGCCGGGTGCAGTGGCTCATGCCTGTAATCCCAGCACTTTGGGCGGTCGAGGCGGGTGGATCACAAGGTCAGGAAACAGAGACCATCCTGGCTAACACAGTGAAACCCCGTCTCTACTAAAAATACAAAAAATTAGCCGGGTATGGTGGCGGGCGCCCACTACTCAGCTACTCAGGAGGCTGAGGCAGGAGAATGGCGTGAGCTCAGGAGGCGGAGCTTGCAGTGAGCTGAGATTGCGCCACTGCACTCCAGCCTGGGCGACAGAGCAAGACTCCGTCTCAAAAAAAAAAAAAAAAAAAAAAATTTACCTGTTTTAACGGTATGAGGAAACTTGATTTTTACATTAAACAAAATCCCTGGGAAATCACCTGGACAGATACTTTTAACAAATGTGAATTTTCAGATGCTCCATCTTTTCTTCTCCCTAGATTTTGGTTCATTAGGACTCAAACTTTAGTAAGTATTAGGAGACTTGTGAAAACGAAAGACTCTGAAATCCCAGTTCTTTTTAACTTTTTAATTGTAAGGAAGATACATTTATTTCTGGATTTTATATATATGTATATATATATTATATTTAAGTTTAAAAACCTGAAAGCTTCCAGTATCAGATTACTGTAGTGACAAGCATTTTAATATGTGCAGGAAAGAGTAAAAAGTAAAGACTTTTCTGCATGCTGAAGTTACAGTACAGCAGAGGATTCTCACCTTAGTTTTACAAAATAAAAAGGGGCCTTAGCTTCAAAACTGGATTTTGCTTGGGGATGGATTTGCTGCTAGAATTTTGTGAAAGATTATGTAAAAATATTTCCATTATTTTCCTTGTCAGTTTTGGGACACTTGTGCCGGAGTGCTTTGTTATTGTAAGCTGAAACTTCAGTGCACAGTGCACTGTGGGTGGAAAAGCTTTAAGACATTCTAGACCCTAAGCAGCAATGGCCATTTTGCTGTGAGTTTGTAAAGTAAAAACGTTCTCTCCCCCTTTTCCTAAGATGTGCATGTAGCAAGGATGGCAAAGTCCTCCCTGTAGCTCTTGCTTGTGGTCTTGGTATGCAGGGAGTTTACCAGGAACTTCTTATGTAGACCCTCTAACAGCATAAAAGGCTTCTTTTTTCTTTCTCACATGTTCTTGTATTCTTAGGGACATTTTTTAGCTCAGAGTAACCTATGATAGGAAAAGAAGATAACTTCTAGAAGTGGTAAGTTTTGTAATATGACAGATTCTCAAGCAGGATGTCGCTTCCCCATTCTGTACCATCTGACTTAAGTTTTGTACGTCTGGAGAGCAGTGGCAGTAATTGTATAATTTTTTGGCAGCTGCACAATGTTTTGACGACGTTGCTTTAGTCTCCAAAGTAGACAGTTCAGATTTTTTTTTTTTTTCAAAAAGAACTTTCTCAGAAAGGCAGTATAGTGTATAGTGTTGAGAGTACAGGCTTAGAGGCCCTTAACGAGATCCATGCTCCATGCTTCTCGTTGTATGGTCTTGGGGATATTATTGTCTTTCTGATTCTCTATTTGTAAAGTGTAAATAACAATACCTACCTCATAGGGTCATTCTGAGGATTAAATAAGACCAAACCTAGAATTTAGTGGACACTCAAATATTTGGTAAATACATTTTGAAAGAATCAGACTAGTAGATGAGGGATAGATAGGAGCAGGGAATTCTTGGAGTAGATTGGATCTTGTTGCCATTTGGTTAAGTCTTCTGATTTTCCATTGTATTTGCACAATATCCATGAAGCCAGATTTTGTGCTTTTGAAAAACACTTGGATTAGAATTTGGTGTATTAGTTTGCTGAGCTGTTGTAACAAAGTGCAACCAACTGGATGATTTCTACAACAGATATTTATTGTCTCACTATTCTGGAGGGTAGACCTCTGAAATCAAGGTGTTGGCAGGGTGGGTTCTTTGTGAGGGCTGTGAAGGAAGGATCTGTTCCAGGCATCTCCCTGGCTTTTATATAGCCATCTATCTGGAGTTCTGACTGTATGTGTGTCTGTCTCTAAATTTTTCCTTTTTATAAGAATACTAGTCGTATTGGATTAGGACCTACCCCAATGGCCCTATCCTAACTTGATTACTACTGCAAAGACCCCCCTCTCTCTAGATATGGTCACTTTCTGAGGCACTGGAAATTATGACTTTAACATATGAATTTTGAAGGGACACAATTTAATCCATAACAGAGGTATATCAGACATGAGAATGAAACAGACTTTTACTTACAACATTTTCATTTTTTTAATTGTGCGTATTTATTAAACTTTGATGTAAATTAATGGTATAATCTTTTTTTCTTTTACTGAGCCCAGACATTCATTTACCTAAACTTAAGTGAAGTGTATGTGGCACTTGAAAAAGATTGGTAAAATTGAACAAAAATTCCTTATTTCCTTGTCTTAGTTATTTTGTATGTTACTATTGAGATGAGGGAGGAATGTTTGAGTTTGAGTGACTGAAATATCAAGGGAGGAGTTAAATTCTCTGGAGGCTGACCTGAAGTCATTTTGGCATTTAAACTGGTTTCAGAATGGTACATATCTACTAAATATAGAATTTACTGGTGTACATGTTGTACGAAATCTTATGTGTATTAGTTTTCTAGGGCTACCGTAACAAGGTAGCACAAACTGGGTGGCTTAAGACAACAGAATATTTTTCTCTCACAGTTCTGGAGTCCAGAAATTCAAAACCAAGGTTTGGGCAGGATCATGCTTCTGAAGGCTCTAGGGAAGAATACTTCTTTGCCTCTTTTAGCTTCTGGTATTTACTGTAGTCCTTGGAGTTCCTTGGCTTGTGGCAAAATAATTCCAATCTCTTCCGCTGTCTTCATGCAGCCTTCTTGTGTGTATCCATATCTTTCTTTTTTCTTATAAGGATACCAGTCATTGAATTTAGGGCTTACCCTAATCCAGTATGACCTCATCTTGATTATATCTGCAAAGACCCCATTTCGAAATAAAGTCACAATGGCAGGTATAGGTTGAATATTCCTAACCCGAAAATCTAAAATGCCCCCAAATTTGAAACTTTTGAGCTCCTTTTTGAGCACTCAAAAGAAATGCTCTTTGGAGCAATTTGAATGTCAGATTTTTTTATTAGGGATACTCAACTAGTATGTATTCTACAAGTACCCTTAAATTAAAAAAAAATTAAAAATCTGAAACACTTCTGGTCTCAAGCATTTTTGATAAGGTTAATTCAACCTTTACTGGGGTTAGGACTTAAACATATTGTTTTGGGGAACATAATTCAACCCACAACACTTGTCCATTGCTTCTTAAAATCACATTTACTGTTAATTTCTCTCTTAAATTCTCCAGTTATTCTGACTAGTAAATGGACAGCCTTGTTTCCACACATTAATGTACTTGAGTGTGACAGCTGAGAACTCTCCCACTTTCCTGCATGTTAACCTATTGCCTTGGTTTTCCAGCTACATAATCATGCTTTCACTCTTTGTCCTTCTGTTTCAGCAGTTTGTTGGAAATTCTTAGATTGGTTTTGGTTTCTTGTTGTCTTTACCAACTCAGTGTCATAAGTTGTATTTAAAATTGTTGAACTTTCTGTTTTATAACTTACAGTAGATTTTATCTCCAGGAACTTTTTTGTAATTGGAATGCATATTGACTTACTACTGAATGCTTATTACTAATAACACTTTCTATTGAGACAACAATGTTCTCCGCAGAATGAATGGTATGAGCACATGCATTGGAATGAAAACATTTGAGACTTGATTTGAAAGCTGTATTCACAGGTTTTGCTGTGAAAAATGTTATGCTTTATTGGGAAGTAATGCTGAAAAGGTAGAGATTATGCATAGGTTCACCTCCAAGACCGGCCTGTCAATGAAGCATAAATAAATTGGGGAGATCGTTATTTCGGCAAAGTATTATGTGGCTTTACTGTTTAAAATATGTTGGCATGTGTGTGTATAAAGCTAAAATAAGCCATTGATCATGTATACTTTTTAAAATAAGTGATTTGAGTTTTTGTGGGTATGCACTGAAGGAACTATCTTTTAAATTGTTTAATTGTGGATACTATATTATCTTTTCTATTCTCAATATTTGTGACATATAATAAAATGTTTTGTACTCATTCTTTCTAATGTGTTCATTTTGCTCTGTATAAACTTCACGGCCTTTAAAAAGGCATCTGGGAAAATGTCAGGGTGTTTTTTTTTTTTTTTTTTGACAAATTGGAAATGCCACATTCAGATGACTTCTTAGGAAGAATAAAATGTTGTTATTCTGAGTCTAGGTTTGAACTTTAAAGATTCATCTCATTTTAGTATAAAGTGTTTTATTTACCAAGAACTTCAGTAGGCTTTCTTGTCACCTGAATGGCAAGTTAATTCAGAAGGAACGTATCAAAATAATAAAATGAGAAAAGTTAGGAACCAGCATTAGCTGAGTCACAATCCCCTGCTTAACCTTATTTGCCAGTGCGCACTCAGAAGAACTGCTTCTTACCAAAACATCTGTCTCTTCAGCTTTCAGTAGGAAGCAGTGTCCTTTGGCTTACAAAGAAGTGGTAACAGAACTAAGCGAAGATGAATGAAACAGTTTGAAATTGGCATTGGTAGATTTAGTTTCTTTTTTTAAGCAATTAAAAGCCCGCAGCACTGTGATTGGCATTTTTGACGTTTAGCTTGTGCTACTTAGTATCAGAGACTTAGTATCAGGGACTTATCAGTAAGTCCCTGATACTTACTGTAATTGCTGTATCTTGCTAAGACCTGCTGTTTAGATATTTCTTAGGTCATAAAATGAATGCTTATTAGATTGTTTCTTGTGAGAACTAAGGACCAATGTAGAGATCATTTATTACCAGAGTATGATTATTAGCATTTTATGCCAAAGGAATTATTTCTGCATACCCCATTCAGCATTTTTATATACTGAGAAATAACATTAATAAATATCTAATTATTTGTCCTTGACTCGGCATTTTTCTTCATAGTTGTTAATATAATTAATTTTTTCACCAAGTAATTTTTTTATCCTTTGACACGTGAAAAGACTAATCATATAATTACAGTGTTTTCATCATGCTACTGCCCTACTCTAACATTTTGAGTTGTTTACAGTGCTTACAGAGTCCAGGCTTAACATCCATATATATGTACAAGGTTGTCTAAAGTTTTGAGGAGAGACAAGTATATATTGGCATTATATGCTTGTACAGCTACTGCTAACTTATCTTTCTGATTCTTCTCTAAGGCCCCAGAGCTAAATCTGCAGTTCAGCTGGGTTAGTCATTTTATTACTCCAGAACATCCTGTTTCCCTCAGCCTTTCTGGAATACTCTGTTCCCTCTGTTCATTTTCTTCCTTTCTTCAAAGGCTAGCTCAAAGCTCAGATTTCTTGAAAGGAGAAACTTGTCCTAATCAGTCCAACTCAGAAAAGTCTTTTCATCTTCTGGTCTGTAAGAAATAGTCGGTTCTACTCATTTCGTGTTCATGCTTGGCTGAGCTCGTCTTTTACATCTTCTAAGAAGCTTTTCTAGACTTCGATTTTTCTCATTTCTCTTATATTTTATTTATATTGTTTATAGGTGGGTCCTTCTATTCTTTCAAGCATGTAAGTTCTTGTTAGATAATATTTTCCATTAAGGTTTTTTTCTTTATCTTCCACAGTACCTTATATACTACTTTCAACAAAAATTAGTTAATGTTTGTTTGCATTTGAGTTGGAATGTCATGTGCTTGATAGAATGAACCTTAGTCTTAGTTCCTTAGTCTAACCTCTGGTTTCTTAGTCTTAGTTCCTTAGTCTAACCTCTGGTTTGAGTCTCAGGAATATATTTACATCCAGGTTTGGTCCTTTGAAGATATCACAGACTAGTCCCTTTTTCACATGATGTCCTTTAAATATTTGAGTAATATCTGATATTTTAACATTTACTATGTGATACATCCTGTGCTAAGCATTTTGTAACTAAAATAATGAAGATTTTTGTTATGCATTATAAATTGTTCTTAGTAGCCTTCAAATACACCACAATCTGTGCAGTTAGTTAAATTCAACAGCAGTTCATTTTTGCAGAATCTGTGAAGTGGGGCAAAACGTCCTTCAATTATCAGTAAGTTACCTACTTAGCTCTTGCAGGCAGGTAATGCATTGCACTCCATTTCCAATCAATAATATGTGATGAGCATCCAGAGAATTATATAAAAATGATTATGAAGAAATTATCTTGATTTGATTTGAGGACATTAAATATGAAAACACAAAAGCATAAAAATGATACAAATATACTGGCTTCTGCAAAAATCTGAATGAGGAAGTTCTTAGTAATATGTTTCCTGTGGCAGAGGGAAGTAATTTTTTTTTTAATAAGGTCTTCTCTCCCTGAAGACCTGATTATAATTTTTAAAAGATAACTCTTAATGCTATATTAAGTATAGTGAGTGCTTTTAGGTAAAGTTGCCTTAAATTGGGTTTTAGTAGAAAGATCTTCTACCTGTACTTTGTCCCTGATCCTGTGTTTTCCTTCACAGTTGTTAAAATAATTATCCCCCTCCCAAATTTTGCTAAGGCCTAAAACAGAACAGTAGTGTATACAATAATGAATATGCCAGGCTAATGTTGGTATTCATTGTGGCTAGATTATTTTATTTTAATGTTATTATTTTTTTTTGAGTTTTAAAATAAATGCAACAAGGTCAGTAATCACACTGTCAAGGCTAAAGCCAGATCAGTCAGTGAATAAAATAGTTAAAATCTATTATAGGGTTATAGTTGATTATTAGCTTTATTGTGTTGTAAGACTAGATAAAAAAAAGACTAGAAGACTAGCTTCATGTTATAAAAATTATAAACAATATACTTCAAATATTAATATGAATTGCTGTCTCAAAGGCTAATTCATTGATCAAGAAATGCAATATATTAGTCACAGAGTTTCAGAATATATTATGGTGACTTTAAAAAACCATTTTTATTGTCTGTGATTTCAAATTTAACTTCTTTGTAAACATCTGTGATGTACTATATAGTTAAAATTAACAGACTGAAATTATTACTTTTTTGGGTGTAAAAATAGCACATTTTAAACACCAGAACTACATCAAAAATGATGAAATTGAAGAAATAAAAAAAATTTGTATCTTCTTATTTCGTGTGGTCAAAGCTTTATTGTGGCACAGTGATGCAAAATGACCTATAATGGCATATGGGGGTGCTAGATACTAAAAATTACATTTTAAGATATATGTCTGCTTACTGCCAAAACTTATTTACTTTATAGCTCAGGAAACACACCTGTAAGTTGTTTTTTTAAAAAAAAATTTTGGAGGGTATTTTTTGAGAAAGGATCTTGCTCTGTTGCTCAGGCTGGAGTGCAGTGGCATGATTGTAGCTCACTGCAACCTCAGTCTCCTGGGCTCAGGTGATACTCCCTCCTTAGCCTCCCGAGTAACTGAGGCTATGAATGTGTGCCACCGTGTCCAGCTAGTTTTTATGATAATCAGTTTAAACTTTCTATGTACTTTAAGTGTGGGAGTCAAATGCTGTTAGTTTTCATTTTTTATTATAGCATTTTGACTATAACTGATTGCAACTTATAAAATGATTAATATTTTAGTCTAATATATTAGAGAGGACTTCACATTTCCAAGGTTGCATTTTTCTTTCACGGAGGGGAAAGATGTTCATTGTAGCTGTGGACTTTCTTAGCAGTCATTTCTGGATTCCTTCTCAATGTAACATTTCACCCTGTGAGTCTTTCAGAAATGAATAAACCACAGCTCTGCCCTTGAGGAGCTTATAGACCTCTGAGAAAAATAGATCAATAAGTTATTAACCCAAATGGTAATGGTTGTGGCAGCAGAGAGAGTAGCACCTGCCTAGCTTTAGGTCGTGGTTAAGGACAACTTGAAGAATAATGCTGGGCTGAGGCTGGGAGGTAAGTTAGCTGAAGACAGGGACAACATGAGCAGAAGCCTGGCCTATTCTTCATACATGTTAGTTTGCCACTGCCTTTTTTTGTAGTGTGGCAGACAACATTGCCTATTTGCTCAGTATCCAAGCTATCAGATTATTAAGCAAAAGTACTAAATGCAGAGCTTTGTGGCAGTGACTGGAAATCTTCCTCTAGGTTACTGTTCCCCAAACTTGAGAACTCTGACCATTAAAGTGTTGTCACACCCTACATCAAAAAATTGCTGCATGAAAAGTTAAATATTATTATTTTAGGTGATTATTTGGTGCTAATATGATTTTAGACACGGAAGTGAACATGGGCAGCAAAGTCGGTATAGTATTACATGGTTATAAGGTGGTCATACATATACTCATATACAAAATGAAATGGTTTTTAGCAAGAGCTTTTTTTAGGAACCATAACGTGTGTGCCAATCAGTTACCAGCTATCTGTTAATTTTTTGGCATTGAGTTTATTCATTTACAATTTACAACTTCTTTTGTCTCTTCACTTACTGGAAATTGAATTATCGTTTATTATTTTAGAAAAAAAACCAAAAAGTTAAAAAGTGAGAGTATAAAAAGATGAATGAGAAGAGCCCTTCCCTTATGAAACTACCCGGAAACAAGTTAAAGAACAGATATAGATGTGATGAACTGTGAAAGCCTTGCAAATTCCCATCCTTTTAGAACTTCCTGTTCATCATGATTTTGCAAGCATTGATAGTAATTCTGCAGCTATAATCTTAAAATTGTCTTCTGACAATGGAAAATAAAATCTGACAACTATAATTTTTTGAATTTTAGTCTTTCTAGTTTGGGAACTTCTTGAAGACATACATGTTGCATTCCTGGCACTTTGCGTGTAGTTAAGTACCTTATAAACCTAATTGATTGGTTGACTAGTCATGAAATACTTAAAATGTTCTTTGAATGTCTCTCCTGGAAGAATGCTTCAAATGTGGAACTTCTGTTACTGTGTGTATTATAAGAATAAGATAGTTGCCCAATTCTTGATCCTGTTAGAAGAAATCTCTGCTTTTCTTATACGTTCGACATTAAATGCTAAATGAAGGGTGGGGTTTCTGCAGACATTATACAATTTTTTTCTTCAGACATTTATCATCAGATTTTCCTTTTGTTGTTATTCTGATCAATTATTTTATCCTACAGCATTTACTAGAAATTATAAAATGTAATCTTAAATTCTGTATTTTAGATAGCAGACTTTTATCTTGCCAAAAGCTGATTAAAGTAGCAATAAATTAGTAAATCCTCATAAAGGAAATTTCTTATTACCTAAATAATAAGTTATAATCTTGTTGTAAACTATGTTATCAGTTTCTCCTTTTTCCATGTCAGATGTGGTCTATAGAACAATGATTTTCAGTCTGGATATTCTGAAACTGCCACTGTTGTGATTTATTTTGGTCACAATATTTAGTCCATCTTGAAATTTTAAATTACATTATTGTAAAATCATGTTTTCCTTTTTACTTGCATTTAAAATATTCTTAATTTCTTTTTCTGATGTTTCCTCATTACTGGAGCGTTTTTTTAAAGTCCATGTATCTTATCTCTATAATTGGTACCTTTGTAAAAAGTACAGTATTTGAAAAATTATTCTTTGCATTTTCTAACACAATCCTTTTGTAATTTTCTTTCTGTTTATTCAGAGGTCTTCTCTTTCTGCTCTTATTGTGCTGATCATCCCTTAAATGTTTTCTTACCTCAGGATTCTCTAAGTCTCCTATTTGCCTTCAGTGATCTCAGCAGATTTGCTTTTGCTATCACTTAAATGCTTTTGGTTTTTAAATTTGTTTCTAGTTTAGATCAATTGTCTGCTACAGGATATCCCACCTTCAAGTTTACCTCAAATTTAATATGTGCAAAACAGAATTCATTCTCTCTTCTTGATATCCTCCTTTTACCCCAGAGTGTATCCTCTTGTGTTCCTTGTTGGTCAGTGACACTAGCATCCAACCAGTTGTCCAAACTTTCCTGTCTCTTCCTCTTTACCTTCTATACTCAGTTGTTTCCAAGTCAGCTTCCTGCAAGTTTGCCTAGGCATTTTTCTCATGTTGCAGAACTTTATGCTTACTTTCAAATTAAAACCACATTGTTTAAACCTCTTAAGAGCCTTAATAGATGTGGCTCCCTTTGCCTGGGAATAATAATCCTCTCCTCTTTGCCTAATTTCTACTTTTTCTTCAAGACTTAATTTAGTCATTACTTCTTGCAGAAAGGTTTGTTATCCCATTAGCTATTATCTCATAGCAACCTGTGATAGTTGTTATCACAGAGATAATTCTTTCTGTATGTGATTATCTTTTCCCACCAGACTACGAGCTACTAAATGGCCAGGGATTGTGGCCTGTATTTGTATTCCCTACATTTAGTTTAGTGCCTAGGGCATGGTAGGCTTCACTAAATGATTGTTAAAAGAATACATGAGATTGGGTATTGTTTTTCCCATTTATGTATATTTCTGAGGCACATTTGTTTTTTGGTTTTCAGAGGGTAGCAGTTTCACCTGTGTCCCTCTCTGAGTTGAGAACCAACTGAAATACAGAAATATAAGAGTCAGTTTGAAGCAAGTCAAAATACCAGTTTTACTACTAGTAAAGCTGGGTTGGAGAATGCATCTTGATCTTTGTCCATTATCAGTCTTTCTGTTACTTTTCCTCCAAATCTAAACTTTCCAATGATGTATCTGAGGGACACCCCAAGTTAGCAGAGCAAACACATTGACCAAGCCTTTTGCAAGGAAGGCACATTGATTCAAACTGCCCTATAACTCCATGGAGATCATGTAAAGATACACACTTCCAGACCCAGGTATGCTTATAAGCAGGAAGAATGAATTGCAGACTGCACATCTGAAGGAGAAACTCTTAAGAGTTTGTTTATTCATTCATTTAACAAATAGATATTGAGCTCTTACCATGTGCTGGATGGACATTGTGCAGATGGTGCAGATATAGATTTGGTGCTTATGTTTTAGAGCCTACTAGGTTCCTTTTTTCCAGACTGACGAGTAAAATAAGTCACTTTTCCTCTTATAGCAGAAGTCTTCTCTAGGGAAGATAGGAACAGATGAATAGAATAGTTTATCCAAAGGTATAACCTGTTCTCTAGCCATTGCATGTAAAATAATTCCCAAGGACTGATAATTTTAAGAACACGGTGGAATGAAATACAGAGAAACATATCAGCACAATCTTAAGAGAAATTTCAAAGGTCTGGTCATGTTTTAGAAAAACGTGGAAAATTTGATCATGATAATTTCACTTTTCCTTTACTATACTTGAAATACTTGGCTTAGGATTTTAAAGACCATTTAGTCATGATTTATTTCTGACATGAGTCTGCTAAGTATTCATTTATACAAGTTACTTAGAAAATCTACTCCCTAATGAGGTCTGGTGGCAGCATTTGAAAATAATGGGGAAATTCTAGTGGTCTTAGCCACAAATACCAGCTCCCTGTTGCCAGTGATAGGTCTTTATCACATCAGCATCTCCTGTGAAGTCTTTTCTGAATGTCATAGCATTCATTATTTTTCTCACTCATTTGGTCTCCTGGTTCTTTATAGTGCTATTTATGATTCAGTTATTGTAATATATAAGATGATCTTACGAGGTGCAGCCTATATTATAACTTATCTATTGCATAACTTAGGTAAGGACAGTTTCCCGAATACCTGAAGTACACAATAAGAAAAAGTCATATGCTAAATTCTCTACATCATTATACAAGGGGAGTGGTTCTCTAGAGCAATGGCTCCCGAATGAACGTGGGTGTGCATGAGGGCCATGGTGGGAGGGGGAGGCTTATTTTTAGAAAGAAGAATTCTGGTATGCCATCCCAGGGATTGATTCAGAAAGTCCTGGGTTGGGGGCAGGGAGTATTCACTTTTAAAAGTAATCTAGGAGATTCTTCTTCAGAGGGCTCATAGGCCACCCTTAGAGAAGCATTGTACTATGGAAACATAGTTCGCTTTGATTGTATTTATTCCAAGGCAACCTTGTACAATTAAAGAATAAATACAAACAGTAAGAGAAGATTTTTATGAATGTTGATTTTGTTAGGGAGTTAGAAGTTGTGGTAATTGTTTCTTAGAGATGTGTTAATGTTAAACGTTTGATAGATAAATCAGTATAATTAGGTATATATAGTTATACCCCAAGACTGAGGGTAAATCCAGTCATTTTCTATTGTTACTATTTTGTTTGCATCTAGCTTTGTTTTTAGTAAAAGAACTATATATTTTGTTTTCTGTAATGTTGATTTCTTACAATCTCAATATATATTAGACTGCTTAATATCAGGAACCAGTTGTATGAATATTTGCAAATTTCACAATGCCTTATATGTAGTAGACATTTTATAAAACATTTTCATTACAAATGTTGAGTAAATGAGCTTTCTATAAAAATTGTTGCATTATTTGATACATGGTAAGTATTATAGTTATTATATATGAAAAAAAACCAGCTAACATCTTAGGGTTTTTCATTTGTTTTACTGGTCTTCTATGTTTCTTTTTGTCTTCATCTTTTTCTGCCCTGACTGGATTCTTGCTGCTTTTCTTCATTTTGCAGTTGTAGCTGAAAATTTGACTATTTGATACCTTTAGACATGTTCCAATACGCAGGAGAATAAGTAGGATTATCCTGGCTCCTGGTTTGCCTAGGATGGTCAAAGTTTATGCCACTGGTCCTGGCATAATTAATGATAGCACCCCCCAGCCACTCTCAAAATGCCAAATTATATAAATTCCTTTGAAGCTTGAAACCATGTAAATAAGTGATTTGCAAGTTGAGTTCTTGCCTTCACATATTCTTGCCACAATCCCATTTTTTGTTGTACTAATGTTATTGGTTCTTTCTGTATTTTGATTTCTAATTGTGAGCATTTTTGAGACCCCCTAATTTGAGGTGTCTTTATTTTTTATGAGAATTTTTCTGTTTTGTATGTGGAATTTTTAATTTACCTTAATAGTATTTTTAAACTACAGAAGATTTTAGTTGTCTCAAAATAATTTGTTCTTTTAAAATGGTTTAGAAATGAGTGACAGACAGTTCCTGGGCCATTAGCTTATGTTCAAGCATTGATATAACAAAAGCAGTTTTCAAAAAGACATTTAACAATGTTCCTTGGTGTTCCATGAATATTTATTCAGGTTGTTAGAAGTCCTTTACAGGAAATATTTAGCTTATAAATAGGCTAATAAAGGGGAAGCTGTAAGTTCAGTTTCTTTTGTCCTCTTGGCATTAAAGGAAGCTGTTACCAGAAACACAGATCTCAGTTTTTAAGGTAAAATACTCCTATACATGTTAGCTAGCTTTGTTACTTTGTGTATTTACCAAGATTTTCTCTAAGACATGGAAGTAAGTTCCTATAGAAAGCTCCAAAGATATTGATTGATTGGTTGAAATACACTCTATAAATGGAAACTGTCTCCATAATGACTTTACCAATTGTTTCCCTACAAATATAGGGAAACACTTTATTTTTGCCAACAAGTGCTTTTGTTAGACTGCATTTTAGCAGGACTCTTAGAACATGTTAGTGCTTAGTACTATTATAAATTCACTCTCAGTTCCATTATAAATTGTGGATAGTCTGATTTGCCTTATGCCTTTCCTCTGTTTTTCTCCCTCTTAATCACGATCCCTAACATTTGTCTTAGACCACTACATAATTACTACACTCCTCTAAAACATATTAATTAGCAAAGTAAATTTCAATGTGATAGTACCATGGTTTGCATTAAAGAAGAAAGTCACTGCTTACATCTTTTTAAAAAAACAGTTACAACAATGAAAATGTTCTTTTTTTAATTCTAAGAGTACTACTGATATTGTAGAAGACATTAGCCAATCTTTTATATATTAAAAAAGGGAATCACATACTGTTTCAGTTTTTATTTTTGCATCATTTGATTACTTACCTCTGTAGATTGGGACACCGGGGCGGTATAGTCTTCTTGCCAAGACTCTTCCCCCTGAGCACATTGAAGATGGTCAGTGACATGTAGGGTCCAGGGACATGGTCTTGAAAATAGGAATGAACCATGCAGTGTTGTACAGTGGTGGGGCAGAGGTATGAGTACTTTTCTCTCCTGGTTGCAGCTTTGGTTTCTCTTTCATCCGTTGGGTTGTTTCCTATTTTGCAAACTAAGCCAGGATCAGATGAAATGAAAAGGGAATGATATCTGATTTTAATATTTGTGTTAATTTTTTTTCAAATGATGATTCTAGAAGCTTTTCGAATGAAATCTCTCAGAATAATATTTTCCAAAAGCTGGGATTATTCTGTATTTTATTGCTCTTGTCTTTGTGTAACTCTGCTGAGTAATATTTAATTTTTTTCCAATAAATATGATAATATACAGTAAAGTTAAATTGAAGTGTAAGTCTACAACATGATTACTAATAAGTAGGATAATGTCTAAAATTAAAACTTTTTAAATTAAAAATTGTAATAGTGGGAAAAAATCAGATATAAAGTATAAACCAGTTAGTTGCCTCAGGAAAAAAAGGTGCTGTTTTTTTTTTTCTACAGTTTCCCAGAATTGTTTGGAGAAGTGTACAAGAGTTTTGTCTGTGTTATGCCTATTATAGAGCAAAGTATTGCAATGTAAGGAGAAGACCATCTTTTAAAACAGAATTGGAGCTTTAATTCTATTTATTGCTTTGTTGTCCTCTTTTCCATAAGGTTTATGTGCCTAGGAATTAAAAACAAGTAGTGAAATTGAGAATGAAAGGAGAGAAGGTATACGATTATATGTGGAAAGAATCATGTAATAAAATACTCCTCTAATGGATTAAAATCCTTTTAAAAGGAACACTTTTCTGAAGATAAGATTATTTTGTTCCTTTCTTTTGACCCCATATCTAATTAGTCACCAAACTCTTTTCATGTTTTCCCACTTTTCTTTCAAAGCTCTGGGACACTAGAATATGCATTTTGTTTTTCCCATGTGCCGTCCTGCCTAGTGTTGCTTGCGTTGTTCCATTTGATTACAGTTGTCCTTCACTGTCTCTAGTTTATTCCTGTAGTTCAGTCTTACTTGTTCTTCACGGGAGTCCTCAGTATCCAGTTCGAGTTCCATGTCCTTGGTAAAACCTCTTTTCACTTTAGCCGCAAGTTGTTTTCTCTCTCCTCTGAACCTCTGTGGTGCTTACAGCTGTGCAGTCTATTTGACATTGGAGAGCCTTTGTCCTAAAATGTCCAAGGTTTGTTTTAAAACTTAATTTTTAAACTTTGTCTTTTAAAGTATGTAGTCACCTTTTTAAGTCCTTGTAGTTGTCATTTGAAGCATAGTTTGCTAAAATAACACCTATATTACAGGCTTTATAGATAATACATATGTGTATGTGTGTATATATATATAAAAATACAGAATTATATATAATACGTGTGTGTGTGTGTATATTGCTCTTTGGGTAGCTCTGTTGAGTAATTAATTTTTTTCTGATAAGTATGATAATATGCAGTACACAGACATATTTAGCTTTACTGCTGTGTATTACATATATGTGTATATACACACACATACACACATATTATATGTAAATTGTTTTGGTACCTGGAAAGGATATGTGTGAGTGGAACTGTAATATTGCTAAATATTTTTGATTGTATGAAGTAAATGTCTTGTTCTGACATCAACTGAATGAGTAACTGGACTTTTAATTTTAACCTTGGAGGGAATATATGTGAGGCAGACTCTTTTAAAGGGTTTTGGACACCACAGAGCTAGAGTTCTTGAAGTGGTTAATTTTAAAAATCTTCTAATAGAAAGTCTGTCTCTTTTCACCTTGATTACTGGTGGACTCTGCTAGACCTAAAAATAAAGCATGAATTGTTCAAAGTGATTCATTTGACATTGTCATCTGTTTGTTGGAAAAATCATATCATTCTGGCACTTATTTAGTGTTTTATGGTGGACAGTGTACTTTATTGATTTTTATAGCGTATAGGAGCAGATGTTAAACTCACTTTATATTTTGTTTCCTTATTTATTTAGGAAAAAGCATTTTTATAAATGTCTGCTTTATGCCTGACATGCATAACAATGAGTAAGATACATGGGCTTTGCATTTGAGGAATTCATATTCTGGTGGTGAAGACAGACACATATATGTAAACGAGCAGTAGATTGTTACAGGTGCTGTGATAGAAATATATAATGAGGGCATGAAGGACCAAAATCCAGTAATCGTAGGCACTGTCATTTAAAAGTATGAAATCTAGTGAGCCATACATATGTCAGTCAATTTCTATTATGTTACATGTGAGAATTAAATGAGAGAATTGCTACATAGAAGGTGTAGATACTATTATTGTATGCTTTTATAGATTATGAAACAAACTTAATTCAAAGCCATACAGTCAGTTTCCATAATATGAATACAATCTAAACATTCTTCATCTCCAGTGACAGTGTTACTAACTTAGTATTTTTGTTTTGGAGGATAGCTTTATCCCAAGTAGCCAGTGGCATGGTGGCAGTTAGTGGTGGAGACATCAATATTTCCAGTTAAATTATCATTGAATAGTATAGTCCCTTGAAAGTGGAAGTTGCTTATTTTTAAAGGGGTCTTTTTTTTTTTAATGATCCAAGTCCCCAAATTTATAGAGTTGCATAGGAAAGCAAATGTTATCTCAAACCAGAAGTACTCAGTGGTCAACCAACCACTTACAATATTGGTTCCCAGTATTCAGAATTCTCCTAGTACCTTTGAGTGCCTGCGTGCCTAATCCATACTATCAGTTTCACCTTGAGTTTCTCTATGCAGCTGCTCAAGTCCTTCTATGAATGCCTCTTTGAGACAGGATGGATTGGAAATTAGCTCTAATACCTCATTATTGAAGGAGGAGGATGTTTCCTCTTCTAGAGGTCAATTGGCATCACTACTGTTTAGGGACTAAGAGGCATTGCTGAATCTATATGAGAATGATGTTAGGGGAGCAAAGGAGAAGAATTTTCTTGCAGTGTTGAGTAGATAAAACAAACTGCTTGCTTCTTCTACTATACTGTCACAATACTTGAACACTTCTGTGAACAAATGTGTGGGAGATTTTCCCCAAGCACCGAGCTAGCAATTCCCCAGCTGGGTGTCCTCTGACGTAATTCAGTTCTTAGCAATATTTACATGGAGGTAGTGTCACAACCCACAGGTTGAGGGCTCTGTCCCACAGGACTGCCTCCCTCCGCCCCCCTCCCCTCCAGCACACACACACACTCACATACACACACACATGCTCTCTCTGTCTCTCTGTCTCTGTCTCTCTCTCAAGATGCCAGTTGGAAGCCCCAGGTTGTTTTACCTGTGCTTCTGCCAGCTATAAATCAGGATTCCCACACTCCCTCCTTGGGCTCAGCTAATTTGCTAGAGTGGCTCACAGAACTTAGGGAAATACTTTACTTACATTTACCAGTTTATTATAAAGGCTATTAAGAAGGAGACAGATGAACAGCCGGATGGAAAAGATGCATAGGTCCAAGTATGGGAGAAGGAGTGAGGAGCTTCCATATATATTTGCTCCAGGTAAGTCACCCTCCGGAAACTTCCATGTGTCCAGCCACCTGGAAGCCCATCCACACCCAGTCCTTTTCGGTTTTTTTATAGAGGCTTCACTATAAAGGCGCGATTGATTAAATCATTGGCCACCTGTAACCAACTTAACTATCAGCCCCTCCCGCATCCTTAGAGGTTAGGGGTTGTGGCTGAAAGTCCCCATCCTCTGGTCATGCCTTGGTCTTTACTGTGACTAACCCACACCAGAAGCTATCCTTGAGCCCCCAGCCATCAGTCAACTTATTAGTATACACAATGACACTTGGCACTTTGGAGAACCTAAGACTATCAGAAGCTATTTGTTAGGAAATGGGAAGACCAAATATATATTTCACAATATCACAGATGTCTTTAAAGAAATGTTACTTCAGGAGTATGTAAAATTTACTCATAAAAAAAGAGCTTATTAAGTGTGTTTAGGTGGCTTCTACACTCCAGGCACTTTTTATGTATTATTAATTTAATACCCTTAACTGTGAGAAGTAGGTAGTAGGATTTTCCTGTTCACTGACTAAGGCTCAGAGAGCTGTATTGAATAGATTACTTCTGAGCTTATGTGTACACTACTATAATATTCAGCCTGGCACTTTTTTGGTTATAATTTATCCACTGTGTCTGAATTCTATTTTCCCAAAGTTATCCCACTTGAGCCTTCCTATTTCATATTCTTCTAGTGTATCATAATCAGAGTTCTGAATTCCACATGCTGTAGGAGGAGAATAGTGGATAGTTTTCTCTTTTATGTGCTGGAATTAATTTATTTTTACTGATAATAGTATTTATTGAATATTTCCTAGGTGACAAACACCGCAAAGGCACTAGACATACAATTGGGGAAAAGAACTACAATATAGAATTAAATTTAAAGGAAGAATTTATATTGCTTAGACTTGCCAGTTGTTGGAGACTTTCTGTGATATGCTCATCCCCCTCTTTTTTTTTTTTTTTTCTTTCTTTTGGGAAAGAGGAAGTTGGGAAGAGGTCAAAAATATATTAGTTTTGGGACCCAAGTGAGTTTGTTGGAAGGGATCAGAAGCTAGGATAAGGAGGAACTAAAGGAATGCTTTAAGGAAAGGGGGTGTAAGTAGGCTTGCTTTCTTATTTAACCTGTATGAAAAACCTACTTTTATTAAGCTAGCAATATAAGTACTTTAATAGTATCTTATTTAAGCTAGTTGGCTTTGCTTGCAGAACTTGATATGGATATTATCAAGTTCTTGATAGCTTTATATTTGATGTCAATGACAAGTTAGGTAAGTTACAGTACTTCTGTGCCCTCTGCTAATTAATTAGAAGTAAAGTGAACTAGGCACTTGCTGAACAGTAGGTAAAAGGATCTAGAGTCAGAAAGATCGACTAGAAAATAGTCTGATACAACATGAAGGACTATGTTCAGGTACCTGCAGCTGAACTCGAAAAGCCTTATGAATTTACTTCAACAAGGGAGTCACCTACATTTCTATACTTGAGTAGGTCCAATGATTTTATTTTACTTGTTCTGATATTTATAAGTAGAATATTCATATTTATTTAAAAGTCTATATAGTAATTTCTTTTGTGATTATTATTGCCAGTTATTTCAACCTTACATTGTCTTTGATATAATTTTATAAAAACCTGAAATTGTAAATGAAAAATTTTAACCTATATGCCTTCTTTATAGTGGGTAGTTTTTTATTTTTAGTAAGTGGTCAAAAAGGTATTTTTGTTTTGTGTTGGGCCTTCCTGAGAAACTCACTGTGATCATTTATTTCCCTATATGGCAATGCATCCCTCATCTGTTAGGCACACACATTTCTGCAATTATGTTCATTGGTCATGATTTATAGAAAGCTAAAATATTTAAAGTAATTTAGAAATTTGCTGGTACTTGAGTTTAGTGTGGCAGTTACTCTTTGAAGTCATCAGGTCTGGGTTGGAATTGCAGTTCCTCAGATCCTCCCCAGCTGGGTGTTACTGGACAAAATTGGCCTCTCTAAGCTGGTTTCCTCATTTATCCAATGGAGATGATCATAACCCTCAGAGAGTTACGATAGGAGTGAGTGAATAATGTTGTAACATCCTTAGTACAGTGCTGTACACGTCATCTTCAGAAAATGGTAATTGTCCCTCCTGCTATTGATATAGTTATGGTTGTGAACCATATGTAAAATTTATTGTGATTTTTAAATTATGGGCTTACAACAAAGATTTTTATGCTATTGGGAATCCTATCTTAAGGGTCCTTGATCATCATCTGCTTACCCTGATTGTAATACTCCTCTTACTGCATTACTAATAATAGCTACCATTGTATTGAGTGCTTGCTTAATAAGAGCTTTATATACAATTTTATTTAATTCTTATTATTATGAAGAAGGCATTATTACATCTATTTTTACTGATGGGGAAACTTGTGTGTAGTAAGACAAAGTAACGCACCCAGCCCAGCTGGACGGAGGGAGACTGATTCACTTCAGATCTGTCTGTTCCAAAGCCCATGTTCTTTAACCCATGGCTGTCCACTAGACACTTCACCATTTGCTTATCTGTCTCTCCTGGTAAACCTAAGCTTCCCAAAAGTGGGAACTGGACATTGTTTGCATTCCAAGGTTACATTTATATTTCAAGCTCTTTTAAACTAAAAGCAGTGTATAGTGTATAACATCAGAAATGTTAATGTAAGTGAAACTTAATAGCTTATTAAGAATCTTTCTTATTGAAAATAACAAAATTTCCCATTCTTACAGAAAACTTGAAACATTAGGACTTGTTTTTTAGACGTGTGGCTAGTCTGTGCCATGCTAACAATTTGAATTTACTATATTTGGCTTTGCATTAGTGTTCACTAAGTACTCACTTAATCTTCTTTTCAGGTTATAAGCTTCTTTCATCATTGCAATACAGGACCTGGCTCAGTGCTTGTGTGCTTAATACATATTTGATTTTAATTTATTTTAGTGTCAGTATTAATGTTGATCTAAAGTATTTTTAGATTATTTCAGTTGTTTGGGATTCATCAGTGAGCAAAACAATGATCCCTGCCTTCATCTGAGTTTGTCCTGGTGAGGGGGCACAGATGAGGACCAGTAAACACAATAGAAAGTTTATTTAATGTGGTAGGTGATAAGTGCTATGGGAAAAAGAAGGTAGAGCAGGGTAAGGGTGGTCAGAGAGGCGTAGATGAAGAATTGAAGAAGGTGACAGAGTTATTATAGCTGTTAGTAGATACTTGGGCATGCCCCAGGCAGAGGGAACAGTGAGAGTTAAGATCCAAAGGAGGGGGTCTAGCTGGTTAGAATTAGCAGGGAGACCACTGTGGCTTGAGTAGAGTGGATTGCAACAGGTGGGTGGGGGTATGCCGGAGTTGCGGGCAGATGACATCAGAAAGGAGGTAAAGGGGGCACGGATGATGTTTTCACTTTGTCAGATGAATTTGGCGGGATGTGTATGCATGTTACCTAAAAATTCTTAGAAGCTGTGTGTCTTTGGAGTAAGGATAAGAAATTTAACTTTGTCTTTTCTTAATCACTGATTACATTTGTATGTCTTTATTTGTGACAGTTTGAACTTTGTATTTTATATAGCCCATTAATATTCAGAAACTTGAATTTCCAGGCCTGTTTACAATATTAATAATATCTGTATTTCTTGATTTTTTTTTTTTTAACAGGAGTATGCTGCTGCTGTTCCGCTTTGCGTCCTCGCTACAAACGCCTGGTGGACAACATATTCCCTGAAGATCCAAAAGTAATTTGATCTACATCTACTGATCCTTCTCTTTGCTGACCCATTCTGCCCCCCGCTGACCTCCTTAAGGTTTCCCTAATTTCATTTCTCTACTTTTACCCTTACATCTCATCATTTATACTACTTTTTTTATACTTTTCTTTTTTTTACTCTTAAATGACCCATGCTTGCTTGTCTAGTTTTCAGATCCTTTTAGTAGATTAGGCACAAATCTAGAAAAATGGACAGTTGATGTTCTTTTATAGTTTATATAGTGTCTAAGTAACACTGTCGCATTAATTTATGTTCATTAATTTATGAACCAGTGCCAGATTATTTAAACTAAGTGCTCATGATACCACTGTGAACAGAGAGAAGGTTTTCTGCTCTCATTATGCACATATATAAGTAAATTGGTAATTACAGTTTCTTGTAAAAAAAAAATGTTGTACTAGACAAATGAAGTATGGGCTGCTCCTGGAGAAGATAGGAGTGATACCCAATTTGGGTTGAGGAGAAGAAAGCCTGGAGGAAATAAAATCTAAGCTAAGATCCAAAGAATAAATAGGGATTGACCACACAGTTTTTAGAAGAGAACTGAGAGGTAAAGAAAGATTGTTTCAGGCAGAGTTTTTCTTTTTACTTAAATACTATTTAATTTTTGTATAACAATTATTTTATTTGTGAAGATTACTGGTTTCAAAGCAACTGGTTGGGGTGATTTTGTTTCACATTGCCTCAACCTTTCTAAGACTTCTGTAGTCTCCTGTTAAATGAATAGGAACAAAAAAAAAGTTACATGGCTTTTGACTTCCAAAATTTGCTTTATTTTAAAATGTAACAAACTGTATAAAGCTTTTGATTATCTTAATATTAACTTAATGTTGATGTATCTTATTTTTAACCAAATCTGTTTAAACATTCAGTTATGTAGAGGAGGTTAATCAATTAAATATTATTGGCTGCCAGATATCCTGGAAAATTTGTGGCATATTAAAAACCCTAAGATATGGTACTGCCTTGAAGGACCTTTCCATCCAGTAACTGACATAAAGCAGAAACATACTAAATATGAAATTACAGTGCATAAATCAGTAAGTAAAATGCTAAGTAAATCAGGTGGAAAGTTTTTGCCTCTAAAGCAGGGAGGTATCACTGTGGGTTGGGAACCTCCGGGAAGCATTCACAGAGGAAATGAGATTTGCTGAGCTTTGAAGTATGTATACCATCTGGAGAGGTAGACAAGATTAGTCTCTTTATTGCAAGTGAGGGGAAAGAGAAAAGACATGGGAAAGCAAGACATATATTTGAAGCCTAGAGCAAGTTATCCATCAGACTTCAAGCGAAGGTTTATATAACCTAATTGTAGAGTGTAAGGGTGGTAATCATGTTGACCATGATTTCTCATTTGAAATTTCAGATGTTATCAATTAGTAGACTGAATATCCAAATAATTATTTTCCTGAGAAGTCTGGGACATATGGTTACTGAAGGTAAGGTGGAGGCCAGATTTTAGAGGATTGTGAATGACAAGGAAGGCCTCTACTATAGTCACTTTAACTTGTAGTCAGTGAAGGAGCTTTGAACACTTGATCATTGAAATGACCATAGGTAAATTAGAGAAAGAATCCTTATTTTTGCCAAGGATTTATATAAGATTTGTTTAAATAGCAATCTTTAAAATAAGATTTTAAAAAAGGAAAAGATCTACATGAACCTTGAATATATATGGCAAACATTACTCAATTTGCCATGTTTCTTATTTTTAACTTGTTAAAACAAACAAATCTTGTGATATGTCCATAATCGGTCAGACAGTAGGTACCCAAATGCAGAAGCAGATGTCATAGTCCCTGCCTTGAAAGAGAAATCTAGTAAGGGGGACAGATAAACAGTTTCTTAAAATTAGTAGCCAGATGATCTTGGGCAAGTCCCTTGTTTTGTCATCATGTAATGGAAGTAATAAGTAGTACCGATCTCATAATGTTCTCATGAGGACTAAATGAGTTAATGCAGCTCTTTACTCACTGTTGCTTTCCTAATGTCTATCATTGTGCCTGGCACATAGTTGGCACTCATTATTTGTTTAATGAATGAAAAGATAATCTGATAAAATATAATAGTGGAGATAAGTACTGTGAGGTAGAAGAACATGTAGTTGGAACATCTCACCCAAACTTGGAGTGGGGGCTGTTGGGAGGGTGCAACACAGTATTGGAGGAAGCTAAGACCTAAAGGATGAGTAGGAATTATCCAGGTGAACTGGAGAAGGGTTCCTAGGCAAAGAGATGAGTTGAGTGAAAGAAGTCTTGCACAAAATATATGATTTGTAAACTGTATGATTCTATTTATGTCAGATGCATGCTGATTCATAGTGATAAAAAGCAGAGCAGTGGTTGCCTGAAGAGGGAGAGATGGCCTGCAAAGGACATGGGAAATCTTTTGTAAATGATGAAAATGTTCTTTTCCTGTTGAACATCCCTAATCCAAAAACCTGAAATCTGAAATGCTCTGAAATCCAAAACTTTTTGAGCACTGACATGATACTCAAAGGAAATGCTCACTGGAGCATTTTGGATTTTGAATTTTTGGATTAGGGATATCTAAGTAGTTAAGTATCTGCAAATATTCCAAAATCTGAAAAAATAGCCAAAGTTGAAACACTTCTGATCCCAGGCATTTTGGATGAGGTATCCTCAACCTGTATCTTATTTTTAGCAGTGTCTTCACAGATGTATACAACTGTCACATTTCCAATTATATACCGTAAGTCAATGCAGTTATTTATATATAGATTATTCTTCAATAAAATTAGTAAGGGATTAAAAATATAGGAGAGACACAATTTTATTTCAATGATGATGTGGAGGAACTGATACAGAGGGAGAGGTCAAAGAACCAGGAAGAAGAGAGGCTAACTAACTGATGGAGCCAGATCATGGAACTGTGTGTGGAAGACAGCCAGAGCAGAGGCAAACCAATTCCTCCTAGACAGGAAAACTAGATTGCTTCACTTTGCCTAGGGCAGGGTTTCTCAACTTAGGTTCATTTGACATTTTGGTCCAGATAATTACTTACTTTTGGGGGCTATTTTGTGCATTGTGAGATATTTAGGAACATCCCTGGCCTCTACCTACTAGATCCCAGTACCCACCTTCACCCATCTATGACAACCCATAATGCCTTTAGACATTGCCCTGGAGGGGCTCAGTTACACCTGGTTAAGATCTACTGGCCTAGCAGGCACTGAGAAAGCAGGGATGTTTTGCCAGTAAATACTAATGTGATGGCTTCCACCTTCTCTGGGAAAGAGAAGAGCTCATTTGCTGTCTGAGAGAGGAGAGAGGCACCAAAGTAGCAAGTTTGAGGAAAACGGAGTAGGTACAAAATATGAGGGGGTGACTCAACTAGGGAAACAGCAAAATAGCCAAAGAACATTGAGGGACCAGTTGAAGGTGAAAACACACATCTATACAATTTTTGTTGCAGATTCACTGTCTAACATAGTTTCCCTTTCTCCCTTCTCACCTATTCCAATATTCCTAAGCAACACTTACTTGGGTTATATATGGCCAAGAAACTTACGTGGTAACTGGGGAGAATTTATGCACCTGTTGCACATCATCTTTTAAAAGGCAGAGACAAATGACCGTTTTATAATCCCATATCAGGGACCTGTTGTTGCTTTTTAAATATGTTGAATAAGTATAGATTCTACAGCTCTGAATACTTTCTTGTTTATTAATTACAACAAAAACTTATAATGATATCACTGACTTCTGAATCATTAAAAAAGCCATATGTTGACTATCGTATAAGTAAATGAGTAAAACAGGCTTAATAACATTTCACATTTTTAAACTGAAACAAATTTTGTTTGAAATCTTTTTACATCTATATCCCATTCCCTATATACTACAGATAATTGAGCTATGTCTCTATAAAGGAAGATGTTAGAGTCTAATTCACTGTTTGTGCTTTGCATAAATGGGGCATTGTAAAAAATTTTTTGAAAGTTCTATGTATCCATCATGGTGAATGTTAGCACTAAGGAGGTTATGTGCAGAAGGGTTCTACATAAATATCGTTTAATCCCCAATCCAGAAAGGGAAATTGTAAAGCAGGCAACACTTAAAAATATAATAAGCATGAAAATATAGATAATCTATTTATCTTGTTATTGTTTTTAGGATGGCCTTGTGAAAACTGATATGGAGAAATTGACATTTTATGCAGTATCTGCTCCAGAGAAACTGGATCGAATTGGTTCTTACCTGGCAGAAAGGTTGAGCAGGGATGTTGTCAGACATCGTTCTGGGTAAGGAAACTAATGGCTGCTAAAATAGTATCTTTGGAAAATTCTTTCTAGACTTTTAAATCATTCTATAGATTATTTTGCCATTTAGTGAGACAAAGATAATATATAGAGGATAAAACATTGTAATATTATACAAAGAAATATATAATACTCCAATAGATGCTGTGGCTTTTATTACTTTCCTGGTGGTCAGGTTTTGTGAGTAGACTATGTTAGTTAACTGAGTTACTTTTTGCTTGTGTCTATTGATTTTTGAGTCTTTTCTAATGGGAAATAGTAGAAATTGACTCACTTAGTCTATCAGTGCAATACTGTAATTTAAAAATCAGTCTCTAAATTGAAAACAAACAGAAAGATCCTGTTAACCAGATCATTTTTTTTCACACAGCTTCAGTTTTACCTCTCGGAGGAGTAATAAGAGAGAACCGTGTTAGGCTTAGATATCAAGGCCCAGGAAATTCAAGCATGCTGATTTGGAACTGTGCTAGCTATACTCTTACTGATAAATAGAAGTCTACCATCCTACTGTATTCTCTGTGCTCAAACAATAATAACTTTGCAATTTGGATTATAAATACTTTTTCATTCTGTCATTTTATGATCCAAGTTTATTGGAGTATTCTATTCTCCAAGTGATATATTAGCTTTCTGTACCTTTGCGTTGTTACCACTTAGAACATTTTAGTAAGTGATGGCACACATAGCTTTATGGTTGATTGTTGAAGGAAAAGTATCCAAAGACTGAATTTTAATTTTGTTTTAAATTTACCCTTTAAAAATTGATACATAATATTTTACATACTTATGGAGTACCTGTGAGTATTTGTCACATGTACAGAATGTGTAAAGATCAAGTCAGGGTATCTGGGCTATCCATCACCTCAATTTATTTATCACTTCTGTGTGTTGGGAACATTTCAAGTCCTTTTCTAGCTACTCTGAGATATACAGTACATTGTCGCTAACTTTAGTCACCCTACTGTGCTGTTGAACATTAGAACTTATTTCTTTTATCTAATTTTGTAAGTTTGTATTCATTAACCAACGTCTCTTCATCCCTCCACACCCTGCCCTCGCAACCGCACTTACATGCCCTTCCTATCCTCTGGTATCTGTCTGAATTTTAAGTACAAGATGTAAAATCTGATGAATTGTAAAGTAATATTTATGAGATTTTTAAAATAATATTATGTTGCTGATAGTGTTTTATCTACTCATATTTAGACATATAAGTAGATTATATTGGAAATTGTCACATTAATAATTATTTTGGGTCAGATACAAGTAAATATGGTTAAAAGTCTGGAAAATAGAAAATGTCCATATTTACAAAGAAAAATATACACAAAGTTAATGTTAAGCTCACATAGTTAAGGAGAAAATGGGGGAATACAGTGTATATTTTCTGTATACTTCGATAAAAGGATTATTTTATAACCTACAAGATATTAGTGCTGTGTGAGAATTAAGATTTTACTTAGGAGTTACTAAATTTGCATTTCTTTCTTTGGTGTATTTCAATAGACTTATTTCAGTTCTTCCAATGTAAAGCACTTAGGAGAATTAAGAGAGGTAGAAATGCTTTGACATTCTTTTTCTCCTACATGTAGGTATGTTTTGATTGCTATGGAGGCACTGGACCAACTTCTCATGGCTTGCCATTCTCAAAGCATTAAGCCATTTGTAGAAAGCTTTCTTCATATGGTGGCAAAGCTGCTGGAATCGGGGGAACCAAAGCTTCAAGTTCTTGGAACAAATTCTGTGAGTAAAACTATTCTGTTACTAAATGTATGCTTAATTAGCATATCTAGAATTAATTACTTCTTAGAATGACTTTACCTGGTAAAGGCAAATTCCCTGAATAGGGCATTTGAACAGTCAACACAAATTAAGATAATTAGAATACTTTGCCTCTCAGTTTTTCTGCTGTTTCTTGTGAAATCTGTGGTATTAACTAATCATAATAGAATGTCTGCATGTAAATGAATGCATACTTGTCATTTTTATTTTCTCTTGGTCTTTTATTGCAACACTAACTTTGTGTCCTACATTCCTTTTGAGTTTCATGCCTTTTCATTAATTAAGGTTGTTTCCATTTTTATGGCTAGTATGAATAATGCTGCTATGAAGATTTGTGTACAGGTTTTTGTGTGGATGTATGTTTTTCATTCTCTTGGGTATATACTTAGTAGTGTAATTGCTGAGTCATGTAGTAACTGTGTTTAACTGTTTTCCAAAGTGGTTGCATTATTTTACATTCCCACCACCAATATATGAGTGTTGTTTCTCCACATCCTCATCAGTACTTGTTATTGTCTATCTTTTTTTATTTTAAGCATCCTAGAGCGTCTGAAGTGGTATCTCATTGTGGTTTTGATTTTCATTTCCCTAATGATTAATGGTAAAACTCTGCACGTGCTCGTTGACTATTGGGTATATTTTCTTTGGAGAAATGTCTATTCAAATCCTTTCCCTCCTTTTTTCAATTGTCTTTTTATTGTTGAGTTGTAAAAGTTCTTTATATATTCTTGATAAGAGTACTTTATCAGATATATGATTTGCAGATATCTTCTCCATTTCTATGGTTTTGTCTTTTCACTTTCTTCATGGTATGCTTTGAGTCACTAAAGTTTTGATTTTGATGAAGTCCAGTTCCTTTTTTTTTTTTCCTTTTGTTGTTGGTGTGTAATGTGTGTTTGGGGGGTGGTGGACAGGTATGCTTTCAGTTTCATATCTAAGAAACTATTGCCTAATCCAACATCAGAAAGGTTTACTCCTATAGTTTCTTCTAAGAGTTTTACAGTTTAAGTTTGTATTTAATAATCCATTTTGAGTTAGCTTTTGTATGTGATGTGAATTCAGCATTCAACTTTATCCACATTTTGCATGTGGATATTTAACTATGCCATTACTATCTGTTGAAAAGGCTATTCTTTCCCTTTGAATGGTCTTGGCAGTCTTTTAAAAATAAATTTACCATAAAAGTTAAGGGTTTATATGTTTATTCTTTTTTAGACTGCTTCTGAACTATTTCTGCTCACCACATTCATTTTCTTCTATCTTGAACCATTGTCCCTTAAAATAAGTTTGGGAAAGCATACCTACTTTAAAAAGAAAATAGTGATAATATTTTTTCTCTTGTCTTTAGTTTCATTGTATCACCTTCAGTCTTTCAGTTCCAACTTCTTCTCTGAGAAGCTTTAAGGCATTCAACCTACATGAATACTGTATGTTTCCATTCAGAGTTTTAATAAAAAAAATCATATATTACCTGCTATTGTTTATGGATAATTGTTTTCTGGTATAGGAAGAGGAAGTATACGAGGTGCTGACAGTGTGGATTCCAGAGTCTGACTACCCCAGTTTTGAACTACGCCTGTACCGCTTTCTAGCTGTATACCTTGAGCAAGTTATTTATTCTCTCCTTGCCTCGGTTTTTCATCTGTGAAATGAGGAGAATGAGAATACCAATCTCACAGGATTGTTGTGTGACATGAGTTGATATATATGATGCTCTTGGAAGAGTGCATGGCACTGTTAGTTATTACTGGTAGTAAGAGCGTTAAATAAACCCTCATTCAAAACTCTTAATATGATTTTTATCACTTACTTCAGCAGGAATATATTGGGTATTTCCAAGTGCATTTAGATGATGTGACAAGCTTAGTTTCAGGCAAGGTAGCTACTTAGGCTTCTCCTGTTTTGTTTACATTAGGTGAGGAATGTTTTGGGAAAGTGGCTTACTAGCTAGGGGGAGAATTTTAGTATACATTTCCGGAAATTTCTTTACTTTCACCCAGCAATGCCATTAGATTGTTTTAGTGAGTCATTTGGGCAAAAGACAAAATTCTCCAGTTACCTACCTTAATTTGAGTGAATTTTATTAAATGAAATGCCATGTTATCTTGACCAACATTAATTACCTAGTATTTCCTGGTGGTCTAATTTTCTTAGTGGTGCTGAGTGCCTTATGTTGTCAAACATGACCAGTGCTAATTTAAAATTTATTAATGGTGTTCGTACGGTTTAATTTGTTGACATTTTCCTCTTCATGCTAATGCCAACTCAATATGACAGTAATAGATGCAATGTATTTCGGTTCTCCTTTGTTTCAGAAATTGTGCTAGATACTTTTTATTTTTACCTCTTTTTTATTGTAAAGTGTTTCAAATATAGAAAAGTGTGGAGCATAATATAGTATAGCTATATACCTACTGATTCAAGAAAGAAAAATACTAAATAATATCAATAAATGATAATATAATTTTTGTTATAAATAATACATAATGGTAATACATGTTAATACTATGCAACATTGGTTCATGTTCTTTAAAAGAAATAATACAGTATATGCTAGATATTTTACATATATTAATTATGTCATGATTCTCAACCCTTCAAGCTTAGAAATATTATTTTCATTTTATAGATGAGGAATTACAGCTAAATAACTTGTCCAAAGACACAGTGAAGTAATGCTGTATATAATAGGAGGATTCAATCTTAGGCCTTTCTTAATTCGAAGCTTGTGTTCTTTGTACAATGATAAATACACTGTCATTATTATGGATTAAGATTTAGGGAAAGCACAGATTATGTTTTTTTCTTCCTCTTGTTTTCTAAAAGTTTATTATTAAAAAGTTTCTTTTGGGTTGGTGCAGTGGTTCATGCCTATAATCTGGGTGCTTTGGGAGGCCAAGGCAGGAGGATCATTTGAGGCCAGGAGTTCAAGAGCAGCCTGGGCAACATAGCAAGACCCCCATTGTTACAAAAATAAAATTAAATCAAAAAATTAGACAGGTTTGGTGGTGCGTGCCTGTAGTCCTGACGCCTTGGGAAGCTGAGGCGGGAGGATCACTTGAGCCTAGGAATTCAAGGCTCAGTGAGCTATGATCACACCACTGCACTGCAGCCTGGGCAACAGAGCAAGACCCTATCTCAAGAAAGAAAGTTTCTTCTGTATTAATGTTGTATTTGATGTTTTGTTTGTTACTTATTTTTATATTGCTTGTTAATATGACAGTGTATGAAATTAAATGTATTTGGTTCACACTTCTGAAGAAGGTGAAGTATATTATATTATTTGTGTTTTTTAGTTTGTCAAATTTGCAAATATTGAAGAAGACACACCATCCTATCACAGACGTTATGACTTTTTTGTGTCTCGATTCAGTGCCATGTGCCATTCCTGTCATAGTGATCCAGAAATACGAACAGAGTATGTATTATTTTACTTTATGATCTATAGTAAGTAATTTAGAGATTAATATTGTGTTCATATGTTACATAATGATTACCAGAGGAAACAATAATATGCCTGAAATACGGCTTTCCATTGCTGTTAGAAGCTATAATTGCTGACTGAAGTAGCAAAATGAGAATGGTTTTCCAGCTCACTAAAATGCGGTCTTTACTGTAGCCTAGAATGTCTCTTCATGCCCTGCTTACTCTGTCAGATCCTGTCCTTCTATCATTTCTTCCTACCTTCACTCTAATCCTGCCATGTGGATCTCCTTGCCATTTCTTGAATACTTTAGTCACACCTCTCCTCAGGCCCTTTGGACACATTGGTCTTTGTGCACAGAACAATTCCCTGGATGCCCACATGGCTCGTTACCTAACTTTGTTCAGATTTCTGCTCAAATGACACCTTATCACAAGAACCCTCCCCAGCCACCCTTTATTAAATGTCACCTCTCTCATTCTACCCCTAGCTATCTTTATCTTCTTATCATGTATCTCCTTGTTTCTTGCTCCTCTATGGAATATAAATTCCAGGAGCGTGAGGACTTTGGTTTGAGGACTGCAGTATCGCGAATACTTTGAATAGTGCCTGGTACATAGTAGGCTCTCAGTTAGTACTTTTTGAGTGAATAAGTAGATAAATTGAATGAATGTATATTACTGAATCACTATCCATCTGAGGTTGTCATGACAACTGTCTTGGACATTTTTAAACATTTCTTCTGGATATATCCTACTAAAAATCTGGAATCAAATATTTTATAAACTCAACTATAGGTTGATAGAATGAGACATACAGAAATGAGAAACTTTAAAGTTAAGAAAGTCAAAATGACTTTAGGAAATATAGAAAGTAATTGGAGCATTACTATCTACACCTAAAAAACAAGAAATCAACCCGGATTTAGAGTTACTGTGGGCAGTTGATAAGATATAGCATGCTTTATAACTTTTACTTTTATTTTAAGATAATTAAAGGAATGTACAGAAATATAACTAGGTTTTAGTTAAAGTATGCAAGCTACAGTGCTGGTTTACATGAAACAAAAACAAGTATAAATGTTATTTTAACTTGGAGAAAGAAAGCTTAAAGGTGATTAAATAGTTATTTTCAGGTATAAGATTTGTTTTTGTCTGTGATGCTGCTGGTATGATTTTTGCTCAGTAGAGTATAGGCCATTTAGAGTCCTGCTATTATTCCTTTATTATGAAGTGTAAAGCCTTCTCAGAGGTAAAAAATACTATAATTACCTTACAATAATTAGTTTTCTATTTGTCTCCATCACCAGGAAAATTAATTTTTCTCTCTCTAAAGGATATCTTAAATGTTTATGAGACTATTCTCTGTCTTCAGAGGCTGATAATAAGTTTTTAATGGGGCAAAAAGATACAAAGATTAGCTAAAGAAAATGGCAATTTTTTCAAGATTTTAACGTTTTTGCTTTCTTTCAAAATATAGAAAATATCTGGAATGTAGTACGTTTTTCTAAGTATTTATCATCCCCTAGTGAAATATCTTGTCTTTTGAATATATTTTTACCTGTTCTTCATTACTGCTTCCAAAAAGAAACTTTGACATTTTCTGTAAACCAATGAAAGGACTTATAGTACAATTTGCTAACTCTAGGTCTTTCCAATATTATATCATATTTGAAGTTCCATAATGCCAACATTTTATTTGAATTCCTGTAAAACAAATGAGTAAATTAAAATGCTATTTAATATAAAATACTTAGTTTGATTATTTCTGCTTTAACTTAAATAAAAGCCCTTTTGATTCTCTTTAAGTATATTTATATTCTATTTTAAGTTCTAACTTAGAGAAATCATCAGTCCCTTTATTTTTTTACCAAGCTGTTACCAAATAGAACTCCAGGGGACATGGACAGTAGGAGATGGGGCTGGTAAATGTTAGGATTTTCTTATTTTCCTTGAAGAACTGGCTCCCACTTGTAGAGTCATGCATCACAATCTTTAACTCTAATTTTCTGAAGAAACTTCAGCTGTGGTAGAAATTACCACCACCACCACCACCACCACCATCATTGTCATCATCCTCGTCGTGGTTAGCAACAAACAGGAACAGCTAACACTGAGTGCTTTCTGTGTGCCAGTTATTGTTTAACCACTTTACATGAATTAACTCATTTAAATTGTTCAACATTTCTATGCTGTAGATGTGACAGTTGTTCTATTTTACTGATGGGAAACTGTAGAATTCGTTTTGGGGGGTCATGGCTAGAATGTACTGATTAGTCTAGATGTTAGATCTGAATTGGATGAAGCTGTGTAGCTATAGTAGCTATTGGTAGTTACCACCAACACTGCCCTTTAACCTTGAGCAAGGGCACCGCTATCTGCTGCTGCACCATTTAGGCTGCTGTCTCACAAGGCATGATAAAAGTTTCATCTTGTTTGTTAATGTGCTCCATGCCACCTTGTGCTTGGCCTTCTCATCACCCAAGGTGTAGCAGCAGGTATGTAAAGCAGGCACCTTGTGTAGGAATGTTAGGCTTGCCCACTGTGATAGCTGCACGAGAATCTCTCAAGACTCTTTATGTTTTAAAAAGCAGCATGTATAGACACGGCTTTGAAATAGGCAAAATTTGCCTTTGTGTCTTCCAATTCATTTTTCTCACCTGTTCAGTATCATATTACTGCCACCTCCCATTGTCCATCTGCTACTCCTGAATGCCTGCATTATTTTGCCATGGAGATGTAAAGCAATGTCACCTCCCTCCCCATATCTTCTATTCTTTAAACCTATTTACAGTTTTTAGAAGACAATGCTAGGTAAACTGAATAAACAACTAATTGGTGAGTATTTTAGATAGCAGAAAGAAAGGAAGTAAATAGCCATCATATTTGACCAGAAGGAAAATGTTTTGAGACTCATTGGGCCACCAAGTTAGCTCTGCTTGAGACTTTGTTCTTTTGCAGTTTTTAGAAACTGTTTTCTAGTCACTTTTCTTCTCATTCTTGAACCTATAGATTTTTATTTTCTTTTGCTTTTTTAAAGAAGTGTAAGGAAGAGCTTGAGGAGGTTTGGTGCTCTGATCTGGGATGGGAGGATAAGGCAGCATTCTCTCACTATTATATTGATACATTTTAAGTCACATTATCAGATTATTATATGATAATGTATATGTGTTTATAGACATATTTGTATATATATTGCTGAGGTTATCTCTGCTCCATTTCGATAGTTCTTATTTGTAATACCTTTTAAAAGAACCAGCTTAGTCTTCTATCTAGGTAGTCAAAGGGAGTTGAAGGGCTGTTAGGGAGGAACAGTGAGAGAAGTCTGAAGAAGCATGAAGGGTGTTCAGAACAGTGAAATCCTGTTTTCACTCAGCTCTTAAGACTTCTAGGTAAGAAATGGAGTATCATTATCATTTTAAGAAAACCTATGCTGTTGATTTTTTAAAATTGAAAAATAGATATTTCTGTATTTTATAGTCCTTTTAACGTTTTAAATGCGGATTTTAAGAACATGATATTTGAAGTAAGCCTTTTTGCAGCACATCTCCATGTCTCTTAAATTTTTGAGATTTACTTTCTTAGACTTGTGTGTTATTTTAAGATATTTTATTGATAAGATAACAGTATTTACTTGATATCCATTCTCTTAGCTACGCAAACAGTCTTGTTTAAATAATTTTTTTATGGCTCATTTTCTTCCTTTTTTTTTTTTTTTATAGGATACGAATTGCTGGAATTAGAGGTATTCAAGGTGTGGTTCGCAAAACAGTCAACGATGAACTTCGGGCCACCATTTGGGAACCTCAGCATATGGATAAGATTGTTCCATCCCTCCTGTTTAACATGCAAAAGATAGAAGAAGTTGACAGGTATTTAAAAAAATATTAGTGTTGAGACAGTGTTACTTTTATATATATGTATGTGTGTTTCCTAGGATAAGAATGTTTTGTCTTTAGTACTCTGTAAACAGTAGTCTCGTAAAGTTAAGTGAGTTTAAAAATATGTACCTTTCTGAAAAAATTTTTACTCTGTAGTGATCACATTAGGCTTAGCAGACTACAGATTATTATTCATACACTTAAGCCTTTATTTTCTTTTAGAATAAGTTTACAGTTTATTTGCCACCAACTATTGAATATCCAAATTGCTGTTTTAATGGATACTACTTAAAGTTGCAAATGTGAGAAACAGAAATTATAGCTCTACTTTTGTTAATATAAAAGATCCAGCATACTTTTGCACAGGGAGTTAGAACTAACCAAAATAATAATGATAATGATAATAATAGCTACCCACACTGTATTTTATTTTTTCAACAAATGGTTAGATACTGTTCATATTTGATTTGTCCTAAGATGTTTTGGAACTGAATATTGTTTTAGGATATAGGCTTATTTTTTCTTTTTCCTCTACAACATTCACTTGCAGTTAGAATTCTGTACTTTATTCCACTTTTTCAAATACTAGAAGCATGCTTATCCCCCACATTTCTGTTGCCATACACAGAGATAATAAGTTAATAATAAATAAATAGTGAAATATTTATTATAAATAATATTTTAAATATTTAATATAAATAATAAATTAATATTTCAGAAGCAGTATTCTCCAATGGCTTATTATCCTGACTTTCCTGATTCTTGCAGTTTGAAGAGGAAAATTGGAATCAAATTTAAAAGTGATTCAATTCTATAGTTCTAAATTTAAATTTTATTTATGATTTTAGTGATTATATGTGTAATAGCAGCATAAAAGTAGTCTAGAAATGAGATGTAATTGATAACTCTATGGTAACACACGTTCATGTTAACTTACACTAATTACAGAAAGGATTCATGCTTAATTCCTTAGATGTGACTGTCTCCAGCTTTGGGAACCTTTCCTAAAATGTGAAACTTGATGTATTTTAGCACTATCTGTATTTTTCCTGTTCTTGGCACTGTAGCTGAGGTGAAAGTTTCCTTATCTAAAATATTTACTATTTAAAGGATCACTAGCTAGTTGGGAACCCATTTTCCATAATTACGGCTCTTGAGGTCCAGGATTAGCATAAGTAATATACCAGAAACAAAGCTCATTGGTTATCAGTTCTTAAGAAATTACATTTTTTCATGATATAATCCCCGTGCCACATATACATTTTTAGAATTATTATTCATAAATTCATTAGCCTAAAATAATGTTTCAGGATATGAACAGAATATTGTCTGCTGAAGACAGCTACGTATACAGATATTCTAGTTAGCTTTTAAATTTTATTTTTTATTTACAGGCTAGGTCATAGTTTTTCACTTTATTTTTGCCCATTTACAGTTAAATTAAGGATACCTAAAGATGGTCTCTGGGCCCTGTGTTCTTACTAAGATTTTGCTATAAATATAGAAAAGTTGAATGAAAGTGAAAGCAAGCTGCTGAGTATTTTAGTTATACATAAAAGACATTCTGTTAGCTAGAAACAATTTGCACAGCCAAGTTTATTTCTTCAATTTGAAAGAGTGTATGATTCATTTTGGTGGTGTTAAATTCATGAAATTAGAATTAAGCTATATATTTTCTGGAGTATAAAAAGAAAATGCCATTTTAACATTTCTAAAAAGTAAAGTATATTTTGTTTATTAGAACTGATATTAAAATTCTTGTGTTTTTCTTTATTTCTCGTTCCTTTTTAGTCGCATAGGCCCTCCTTCTTCTCCTTCTGCAACTGACAAAGAAGAGAATCCTGCTGTGCTGGCTGAAAACTGTTTCAGAGAACTGCTGGGTCGAGCAACTTTTGGGAATATGAATAATGCTGTTAGACCAGTTTTTGCGTAAGTAGTTGGTGTTTTCCTGGTTATTTGTGATTTTGCTGTATTAATTCTGTGTTAACTTATTTATAGAGGACAACTACTTTTTTACTTGCATGAGTGAGTTATTAATGGAACCAGTGTAACATTGTGAAAGTAGTACAGGACTGAGTCATGCATGATGTGTTTGACCAGTGGTTCAATTACTTAATTAGCTTTTTCCCTTTAAGTATGAAGTGTAATAATGTGTTAATATCATGTGCATTAACTTGAATATCTGCTTACAGACCTTGAAATGCCTATGTGCAGTGAAATATTTAAACAAACAGTGTCTAAGCATGATGTATCTTGTTCTACTAACTTTCATGGTCAGTTTTTCCTGGTCCCTGGCTTCTATTTATTGGCTCTCTTTTTGCCATGGCTGGGCTGCCTTAGATCGCATTCACATCTCTGAGTGAATTCATCTTTTACATAGTGATTAATCAGAGCAAGAATATTAAATATCTTGTTGGTACTTTCATGCTCTCCTCCAGGCAAAATATGTTAATGAGCTTTGAGTTTCTCCACATAGATATGGTCTCTCAAGCCTTGTCAAGCCTTTGTGTTTCTGACTCAATCACCAGATGATAGATCTACTATATAATATTCTGTGTAATTTCTGGACATTTTTGCTAGTCTTTCTTTTGTTAAAATTCACCTTGTCCTTTTCTCCTTCTGACTGTAATAGTGGCTTTATAGAATATGTATGATATTCTAAATGTAACATCCAGAATTCTTTATTTAGGACAGATGGATGTTCTTAGCCTAGAGTTCAAAGTTGAGCCTTAGTTACAAGAATCTATAAATCACAAAATTATATTAAAAATTAGAGAATCATTAGATTTTCAAAGGGATCTGTGTTTCCTCCCACCTCCAAAATATTGAGATCTATTGTTTAAAGGCTCCCTAAGCTTATGGAAATGCTACTAAAAATTAATCAGAATTACACCAAATATACTAAAGGCAAATTTATTTTTTTAATATCTAGATGTGCTGACTTAACGTCAGAATTCCATTTTTTATCTTAATACTCTTAGAACTAATCTATAAGGCCTTAAAAATCTAGAGAGCTAGCTTGGAAGAAAGAATTTACCAAATAAGTTGTACTTGAGTTGAATAACTTGAACTCAGTTATATTCTTTTCTACATAGAACTTAAAATTTCTGATCATGTATTAGTTAATTAATTAAATTAATCTTAAGTAAATATGTGATTACACATTAACCATTTAGTTAATTAAATATTAAATGCCCTCTGCAAGTGAGGTGCCAGATATTTGGGGAATATATGCATGAATAACAAATTTGATGGGTGATTGACATGCATAATATTTATAAAATAATATATGGATTATGAGAAAAGAACAAAAAGTGCTCTAGCAGATCAAAACAAATAATTCATGTCTAATTTGAAGATTTAGGGCCAGGGTCTTTTTTTTTTTTTTTTTTGAGACAGAGTTTGCTGTTGTTGCCCAGGCTGGAGTGCAATGGCATGATCTTGGCTCACCACAACCTCTGCCTCCTGGGTTCCAGTGATTCTCCTGCCTCAGCCTCCCGAGTAGCTTGGATTATAGGCATGCGCCACCATGCCTGGCCAATTTTGTATTTTTAGTAGAGATGAGATTTCGCCATGTTGTTCAGGCTGGTCTCGAGCTCCCAACCTCAGGTGATCTGCCTGCCTTGGCATCCCATAGTGCTGGGATTACAGGCATGAGCCACAGCACCCTGCCAGGGCCAGTATCTTTTAATGTAGATGAAGGTAGTTATCAAAAACTGCTCTGGAAATTGTATTTTATTTGTAAAGAATGCTTTTGTTTGACATTGAAGTAGGTTTTTAATTTCAATTATTATTTGATCGAGTAAAGAAAATAATAGATGATTTAAAAGAAATTTTGAATATCATATTTTTAATCAACAGTGAGCACAAGACACTGATATTGTTGGCTGGAGTGTTGAATATAGTTTAGGGGTTACGGTGAGATAAGAGGGAAAATGTTTAGGCTATACTGTAGAGATCTTAAAATTTTATATTTAAGTTTATAGATAATTAGTGGAGACCTTAGCTCAAAAGTATAAAGTGGCTATAATTTCCCTTTGAGAAAGTTAATCAGATAGAGCTATATAGGACACATTTGAGCCAGGGCCAGTATGTTAGCAGGTTACTGTAATAAAATTCTTGACAAGTGCATATGCGAACTATAAGTAATTGGTAGCATGCTTGAAGCGGTAAATAAAGTTTATTTTTCTGCCTCTTAGGAGATAAATATTGTATTGGACGATATTTAACTTGACTATTGGGTAAGAATCCATAAGATCATGATAATGCAGGTCATATTAGCATTAAAGATTTATTTTATATCTTCTGAGAGTGAAGATGGAAGAATTTGCCTCAATTATAAGGCAAACTACCCAATTTATCAGATTCAGGTTAACTGTGCATTTGTTTTCTGCATTTTGTTCTGTAAATTCTCTGAATGTGTTTCTATCACTGCTTCTGTCCACTTTATTTTAATTAGTGGGTTTCATTTCTGCCTTCTACTCTTCATTCAGGCTTCTTTAGAACAGGTAGCCATGTTCAAATTCTTCTTCGAATGTATAGAGCCTAGAGCATAGTATGTAACACGTAGTAGACCTTAATAACTACGATGATTCAAGAGGGATTTCAGGTCTTTTTTTTTTTTGTACCATTTCCATTTTTAATGACCCAAAAAGTAATTATTACTTTCAAGGAAATGAAAGTTATAAGAAGCAGCACAGATGTTAATATAGGTCATATCAGGATGTGCTGTTTATTAGTTGTATGAACTTGAAAAACTCATTCAACCTCTCTGAGCTCCAATTTTTTCACCTTTGAAGAGTTTTGAATGCATGCATTAAATGGTTTATTTATATATTAAAATAGAAGCTACCACTTATCAAGTGCTGGCTGCGCCCTGTGACTATGCTAATAACCTTATATACTTTATCTTACTTAATCCTTTTACCCTATGAAATGGATGTTATTATCCCCATTTTCCAGGTCAGAGAACTGACCCTTAGAGAAGTCAAGTAACTCACTCATGGACAAGGACATATAGGTAGAAAATGAAGTCAGAATTCAAATTCTGATCATTTTATTCCTGAACCCATGGTCTAGATTAACCATTAAGGTTGATAATATATGCCTAGCATAAAGTATATTTTCAACAAATGATAGTTACAATAAAGCTGGTTTCGATATGGAAGGACAATTTTTAAAATTTAATTTTGATACAGTAGGTGAGAAGTAGATCTGGCAATCTGTGAATATAATCTAAGGCTGTTCCCCTGTTGTTTTCCAGCCTTGTATTTGTCCTTCATTCACCCTCTTTCATTCAGATTTACTTGTTAGTTAAAATTACCCTTTGAGAGAAGTAAATTAATAAATCACAACATTAAAAAAATGGAATCAATAAATATTTGTTGATTAAATGTTCACGAAACTACTTCTGGTCCACAGCATTGCTTTAGAAATAGCTTTAATTGCAACATATATTTCATGAAGTTCATTACTTAAGAATTAAATTGAAATCTTGCTTTTCTTTTAGGTAATATTCTCACTATTAAGCTTTTCCTATTGTTGAGGTTTCTAGAGGAAGAAAGTATAGTAAAATAGAGAATTTTAAAGTAATTTTTGTTATTTGCAGGCATTTAGATCATCACAAACTGTGGGATCCCAATGAATTTGCAGTTCACTGCTTTAAAATTATAATGTATTCCATTCAGGTAAGGTTTGATTAACTATTTACTGTATTTATATAAGTAATTTTGGTTCTCTATGGATAAGCACATTATCAAACAGATGTGGGAAGCTGTAGGATATAAATCATTGCTCTTAATTTAGCTCTTTTGTCTCATTCATTTTCATTTGCTACTTATTTTCTTATTTGCCAAGATAAAAAGATAGATCTAATAAAAATAACTAAATCATTCTATCACGGTTCCCCTCAGAGCCAAGGCCAACACAGACAAGCTTCTTGACAGTCTCCTGCTATCCCCTGATTCATTGAGGGTGTTGTCTTTTAGGGGTTCCGAATTATCACAGGGATTTCTAATCTCATAGCCTTCCTTTCCTGGATGGGCCCTAAGCTTTGTATCTAGTCTCCTATGTATACAACCATTTAAATGAGTAGCTTTGGGCACTGGAAAGCTGAAGATTTGCCTGGGACTGCTGCTGGCTTCAGTGTGCACTTGCCTTTCCAGATGCTTACCTTCTTGTGGAGTTTAGACTAAGGGACTTTCCTTTCTTGTCATTTTATGTGGATATCAGAAAGTCTTACATATAGCTGATCCTTGAATAACATGAGTTTCAACTGTGCAGGTCCACTTATAGTATAGATTTTTTTTTTCCAACAAAATGCAGATCCTAAATCTATTATTTGTCGGATTCAAAACCCCACGTATATGGGGGCTGATTTTTTTCCTCACAGGGCCAACTGCAGGACTTGAATATGTGCAGATTTTGGTATGGGGTGGGGCTGGAACCTATCCCCAAGTATATCAAGGGATAGCTATAGTCTAGTATTTTACTATTGTTTTATGACAGGGTTTGGCAATTTGGGAAAACATGTATAATATTTCTGGAAATGGTAGTATATACTAGAATAAGAATTTCTGTGTATTATCATTGTACAATTAAAACTTTGGATAGCTTTGAGTGTTTTAGTTACCATTTACCATAAAATTGGTGCAGGTATCATTCTTAGGTAATATTTCACCCTCTCTCCATAAAACAAACAAACTGGTCTTGACCAGGATTTATATCCTTAAGGGTTTACATAGTTTCAAATATAGTAAGGCATTTCTGGTAAAGGGAAAGTATTTTACTTAAAGCCTATCTTTTGTGCTAAATTTATTTCTTGAGGGTAATAAGATGTGATTAAGAGTTGTACTCTGGGATCAGACAGAGTTCACTATTAGGCTCTTCCTTAAGAGTTTCTGCAGGCAGCAACATTTGCTGTTCACCTGTATTCACTGTTCTGCAGCCTCCGCTGCTGATACCCAGGCAAACAGGGTCTGGAGTGGACCTCTGGCGAACTCCCAACAGACCTGCAGCTGAGGGTCCTGACTGTTAGAAGGAAAGCTAACAAACAGAAAGGACATCCACACCAAAACCCCATCTTTACGTCACCATCATAAAAGACCAAAGGTAGATAAAACCACAAAGATGGGGAAAAACAGAGCAGAAAAACTGAAAATTCTAAAAATCAGAGCGCCTCTCCTCCTCCAAAGGAATGCAGCTCCTCACCAGCAATGGAACAAAGCTGGATGGAGAATGACTTTGACAAGTTGAGAGAAGAAGGCTTCAGACGATCAAACTTCTCCGAGCTAAAGGGGGAAGTTCGAACCCATGGCAAAGAAGTTAAAAACCTTGAAAAAAGATTAGACAAATGGCTAACTAGAATAACCAATGCAGAGAAGTCCTTAAAGGACCTGATGGAGCTGAAAACCATGGCACGAGAACTACTTGACGAATGCACAAGCTTCAGTAGCCGATTCGATCAACTGGAAGAAAGGTTATCAGTGATGGAAGATCAAATGAATGAAATGAAGCGAGAAGAGAAGTTTAGAGAAAAAAGAATAAAAAGAAACACACAAAGCCTCCAAGAAATATGGGACTACGTGAAAAGACCAAATCTACGTCTGATTGGTGTACCTGAAAGTGACGGGGAGAATGGAACCAAGTTGGAAAACACTGCAGGATATTATCCAGGAGAACTTCCCCAATCTAGCAAGGCAGGCCAGCATTCAGATTCAGGAAATACAGAGAATGCCACAAAGATACTCCTCGAGAAGAGCAACTCCAAGACACATAATTGTCAGATTCACCAAAGTTGAAATGAAGGAAAAAATATTAAGGGCAGCCAGAGAGAAAGGTCGGGTTACCCACAAAGGGAAGCCCATCAGAGTAACAGCGGATCTCTTGGCAGAAACTCTACAAGCCAGAAGAGAGTGGGGGCCAATATTCAACATTCTTAAAGAAAAGAATTTTCAACCCAGAATTTCATATCCAGCCAAACTAAGCTTCATAAGTGAAGGAGAAATAAAATACTCTACAGACAAGCAAATGCTGAGAGATTTTGTCACCACCAGGCCTGCCTTACAAGAGCTCCTGAAGGAAGCACTAAACATGGAAAGGAACAACCGGTACCAGCCACTGCAAAAACATGCCAAATTGTAAAGACCATCGAGGCTAGGAAGAAACTGCATCAACTAACGAGCAAAATCACCAGCTAACATCATAATGACAGGATCAAATTCACACATAACAATATTAACCTTAAATGTAAATGGGCTAAATGCTGCAATTAAAAGTCACAGACTGGCAAATTGGATTAAGAGTCAAGACCCATCAGTGTGCTGTATTCAGGAAACCCATCTCACGTGCAGAGACACACATAGGCTCAAAATAAAGGGATGGAGGAAGATCTACCAAGCAAATGGAAAACAAAAAACGGCAGGTGTTGCAATCCTAGTCTCTGATAAAACAGACTTTAAACCAACAAAGATCAAAAGAAACAAAGAAGGCTATTACATAATGGTAAAGGGATCAATTCAACAAGAAGAGCTGACTCTCCTAAATATATATGCACCCAATACAGGAGCACCCAGATTCATAAAGCAAGTCGTTAGAGACTAGAAAGAGACGTAGACTCCCACACAATAGTAGTGGGAGACTTTAACACCCCACTGTCAACATTAGACAGATCAATGAGACAGAAAGTTAACAAGGATATACAAGGATATCCAGGAATTGAACTCAGCTCTGCACCAAGTGGACCTAATAGACATCTACAAAACTCTCCACCCCAGATCAACAGAATATACATTCTTCTCAGCACCACACCACACTTATTCCAAAATTGACCACATAGTTGGAAGTAAAGCACTCCTCAGCAAATGTAAAAGAACAGAAATTATAACAAACTGTCTCTCAGACCACAATGCAATCAAAGTAGAACTCAGGATTAAGAAACTCACTCAAAACCACTCAACTACATGGAAACTGAGCAACCTGCTCCTGAATGACTACTGGGTATATAACGAAATGAAGGCAGAAATGAAGATGTTCTTTGAAACCAATGAGAACAAAGACACAACATACCAGAATCTCTGGGACACATTTAAAGCTGTGTGTAGAGGGAAATTTATAGCACTAAATGCCCACAAGAGAAAGCAGGAAAGATCTAAAAATTGACACCCTAACATCACAATTAAAAGAACTAGAGAAGCAAGAGCAAACACATTCAAAAGCTAGCAGAAGGCAAGAAATAACTAAGATCAGAGCAGAACTGAAGGAGATAGAGACACAAAAAACCCTTCAAAAAATCAGTGAATCCAGGAGCTGGTTTTTTGAAAAGATCAACAAAATTGATAGACTGCTAGCAAGACTAATACAGAAGAAAAGAGAGAAGAATCAAATAGATGCAATAAAAAATGATAAAGGGGATATCACCACCGATCCCACAGAAATACAAACTACCATCAGAGAATACTATAAACACCTCTACACAAATAAACTAGAAAATCTAGAAGAAATAGTTAAATTCCTGGACACACACACCCTCACAAGACTAAACCAGGAATAAATTGAATCTCTGAATAGACCAATAACAGGCTCTGAAATCGAGGCAATAATTAATAGCTTACCAACCAAAAAAAGTCCAGGACCAGGTGGATTCACAGCCGATTTCTACCAGAGGTACAAGGAGGAGCTGGTACCATGCCTTTTGAAACTATTCCAATCAATAGAAAAAGAGGGAATCCTCCCTAACTCATTTTATGAGGCCAGCATCATCCTGATACCAAAGCCTGGCAGAGACACATCAAAAAAAGAGAATTTTAGACCAATATCCCTGATGAACATCGATGCAAAAATCCTCAATAAAATACTGGCAAACCAAATCCAGCAGCACATCAGAAAGCTTATCCACCATGATCAAGTGGGCTTCATCCCTGGGATGCAAGGCTGGTTCAACATACGCAAATCGATAAATGTAATCCAGCATATAAACAGAACCAAAGACAAAAACCGCATGATTATCTCAATAGATGCAGAAAAGGCCTTTGACAAAATTCAACAACGCTTCATGCTAAAAACTCTCAATAAATTAGGTATTGATGGGACGTATCTCAAGATAATAAGAGCTGTCTATGACAAACCCACAGCCAATATCATACTGAATGGGGAAAAACTGGAAGCATTCCCTTTGAAAACTGGCACAAGACAGGGATGCCCTCTCTCACCACTCGTATTCAACATAGTGTTGGAAGTTCTGGCCAGG